>NW_011332701.1:3132908-3817307 GCF_000001405.40 Homo sapiens
CGACGTGGCTGGGCAGCCCCATCACATGTTTCTCAGCACATATACCAGAGTGTGCTGGCCTTGAAGCTTAAATTCCAGGGGAAGCAAAAGATACAAGCTACATGCTGCAAAGCACCTTTCTAGAACTGTACTAGAAGTTCCTGGTACTGGATTAACCAGTAATAACACAGTAGTGCTTTTCTTCCTTTTTCTAAAAAGCTGCTTATGTGCGTGAACTAATGAGGACTTCAATGACCTTAAAATAAGGCATTCCAAAAAATTCATAATAACTAAATGACATTAAACAAATTAAAAAAACAAATTCCTAGTCACTTCTAGAAGATCCCCTAGGGAACCAGCTCACTATTTGGAAAAATGTTAAGTAAAGGAGAAAATGTAGATATTTATATTGCTTTTCTTGTACGAACTGTGTTACAGGGCACTAAAGAGCTGGTGAGAGAAAAGTTCGATAAAAGCAGAAAGATGATAGAATTAGAAGGTGAACAATAGCAATCCTTAGTGAAATAACGATCTGAGCAATGATCCTCCCTCCCAGTGCAAAACTATTTTTGGGAGCTCAAACCATGATATAAGAGGGGAACTTTTACTGGGTGGATCAGGTTGACACCCTCTAAGCCCACTGGTCGTCAGGATTACAATGAGAGAGACACAGCCAGCCAGCCTGAGATGGGATGTGACTCCACAGGAGAACACAGAACCACCTAATGAAACATTCTTGCCAAAAGTACTGAACCTGAATCCGATTAAGCCTCTGTTGCTAACATTTTAAAGGAAATATTAGAGACAGAGGAACACATTACGGGACACCCTGGGGATAAAACAAGCAATATCTACAATGTGGAAAATTCTAGGGAACAAATGACCTGGTTTGTCAACAAATAGTAGGTAAAAAAGAGGTGGGAGGAGACTGTTGTAGATTAAAAGGCCTAAGAGACATATTAAGCAAATTCAATGTGAAGACTTTAGATCCTGATATGAACAAACCAACTGTAAAACACCAGTTACAAGATATAATGCAATAAACACTGACTACTGATGACAGTAAGGAATTACTATCAACTTCTTTTAAGGGATACCGTAATTTATATTAATAAGCCTTGATCTTTAAAATAAAATATTTATTAAAACATTATTAAAAACAAATATTCCATTAACCACAACTTGAAAGTCATCAATGACAACAGAGTTTGATGATTATTCATAGGGAAGTGACTTCCAGCCATATATAACATTGCTAAAATTGTACTTACCAAGTGGATATCATGTAACCCTCGTTAATAGAACAAACTCTCCACCCGGAAGCACCTGTCCTCTTGATTTCTCTGTCCCAATCCGAGTAAGTTTCAAAGAGTGGAGTTTTCTGGCTGCTGCCACCACCAGCTCCATTACCTCCTCCTCCTCCTCCTCCTCCATCTCCTGAGGGAATTCCATTAATTTTGTTTGCTGTAGGAAAAAGCAACATTATGAATTTTAACAGTCACATTTTCCCCAGCATTCCCTCTTCTCTGAGCCTCCTGTCACATGCATACTCTGATGTGCTGTCTCTAACCTGCTTCACCTTCCAAGTCTCTCCGAGAACTGTCTTGCCCTTTCCATTTAAAAATAACTCCTTTTTTTTTTTTTGACGGAGTCTCGTTCTGTCGCCCAGGCTGGAATGCACTGGCATGATCTCGGCTGACTGCAACCTCCGCCCCCCGGGTTCAAGCTATTCTCCTGCCTCAGCCTCTTGAGTAGCTGGGATTACAGGCACCTGCCACCATGCACCATGTCCAGCTAATTTTTGTATTTTTAATAGAGACAGGGTTTCACCATGTTGGCCAGGCTGCTCTTGAACTCCTGACCTCAGGTGCCCCACCTGCCTTGGCCTCCCAAAGTGCTGGGATTACAGGCATGAGCCACCACGCCTGGCCTAAAAATAACTCATTTAGTCTTGTCCTTATCCAGCTCTTTCACAACTCCGTAAAACAGCTTTGATTTTTCTCTCCTTCTACTGGCTCTATCTTCTCTGCCTTCAAACGTAAACAGGTCAGTCAACATGATATTGAAAACACTTTGATCACGCCGGACCACTCTAGCTACTATGCTATACATTTTTCTTCCTTCCTTTTCCTGACCACCTTCCCCCAGAATGAAGAATGGCTGCTGCCTAGGTTTCCTCTCCATTTATTTTCTCTTTAATTTTCAATTGTCTTCCATCCCTACCATTCTAACAGAAACTATTCCTAACCCTTCCTCATCTCCGTCCCTAATTGTGGGGTAAGTCCATGTCATTTGATTATTTGCTCCACATATTTTGCCTGGAAAAATGAAACATCCAACAATCATCTCTGTCCTCAAGCCCTTCAAATCTTTAATTTTTCTAATACCAACTTCTCACCTACCTGCTCTTTTCTATCTGCTCATTAGAAAATTCTTGGTTTCCTGTATCTACTCGATTTTCCTTTGAAAAGCTCATCAGGTTCCTTGTTCTTTGCTAGAGTGCTGTTTCCACATGAAGATTACAGCAGGGCAGGCCTAGACTTGCATTTCCTTAGAAAGGAGCCTGCTCTGAGAGAGAAGTAATGCTATCTTCTGGGAGCATGCTCACAGCCTCAAGAGTGCCTGCAAAGTGATTATTGAGAAACAAGCTGTCCCACAAAGTCAGCCAGATCTACCTTGGCAATATCTGGTGACAGATGGCACAACCCATTCTGGCCCAGGGTCTTTCTGCTGCAGGCTGCAACTGTGGCAAGTCTCCCAGCTGGCATCCCCAATAGAATATTCTGCTGCATTTAAACCAGCCAGCAGCTTACCACAAGACACACTTCCCTAAAAAGATGTGTTCATGATGCTAGTCCCTTGCCTTAAACTTTCAATAAGCTCATTTTCCAACCAAATCAAACCTAAATGGCTTCTCTTGGCCTTAGAGATCCCTCACGTAACTTATCTGACCTTCATTTCCCATTCTCCTCTGCAGCCATGCACTACCCTCCAACGTCCCATGAACATGTCATGCTCATTCCTACTGATTATTCATTAATTCCTGGTATAAGACAGGTATTTTCTGAGAACTCCCCATGTGCTAATGCCTGAGAGCAAAAAGATGAATAAGATTTTATCTCTATCTTGAGAGCATTAATAAGTGTGATAATCACAGAGTACCAGATGTCTGAGTGCAATGAAGATGCAAAAGAGAAGGCCCCTAACTCTCGCTGCAGAGAGAGGCCGGGGCAGGAAAAGCTTCATGACTTGACCACAACTAAAGAGAGTTCTAAGGAACAAGTCAAAAGTTGCCAGGTAGCTGGTGAGGAGGAGGTAGGCATGCTAGACAGAGAAGAACTTTAAAAAGATGGTGTAACTGTATAATATCAAGTAACTAAATACAGCTAGAGCATAGGGATTCAACAGGTGGTGGAAGAGAGGCGGGAAATCAAATAGGGCCTAGACTCTAGTATGTTTCCCAAAAACGTAACTTCTAGCCACACAAGCCCATTTAAATTTAAACTGAAATGAAAATTAAATAAAATTAAAAATTCAGTCCATCAGTTGCACTAGCCACATTTCAAGTACTTAACAGCCACATGTGGCTAGTGGCTCTAGTGGCTGCCCTACTTCCATCACTGGATGGTGCTGCTCTAGATTACGGAGGGGCTATGTTAGGAATTTGGACTCCTCTTAAGTGGTATCAGAATTATCCAGTGATTCTGATTTTAACAAAGCTCATTAAAAAGTAAAATGTTGCTGGGCGCGGTGGCTCATGCCTGTAATCCCAACACTTTGGGAGGCCGAGGTGGGCGGATCACAAGGTCAGGAGATCGAGACCATCTTGGCTAACACGGTGAAACCCTGTCTCTATTAAAAATACTAAAAAAAAAAAAATAAGCCGGGTGTGGCAGCACGTGCCTGTAGTCCCAGCTACTTGGGAGGCTGAGGCAGGAGATGGTGTGAACCTGGCAGGCAGAGCTTGCAGTGAGCCGAGATCGTACCAGTGCACTCCAGCCTGAGCGACACAGCGAGACTCTGTCTCAAAAATAAATAGACAGATAGATAGATAGACAGACAGATAGATAGACAGACAGATAGATAGATAGATAGATAATAAAATGCTCATTCTAAGCCCACATCCTAGAGTCCCACTCCATCTCAGGGCCTTCTCTGGAGTAACACAACTAAAAAGCGTGTCTGTGAGAAGGAAGACTTAGGAGTTATGATCTCTCCAGAACACAAAACCTGCATATGGAATTTTTGGCAAAGCCCAATCTATACAGTGTTCCAGTGCACCAAAACAAAGAAAGCTATTCAATATTAGAAAATCTAAGTAATTCATCATATGACTACATTAAACACGAAAAAGGCTATATGAATGACTAGCTCTGTAAGTGCAGAAAAACATATGATAGATACCTGTTTATGACTTAAAAAAAAAAACCCAACAACGTTAGCAAGTTTGGAATAAAAGGGAATTTCCTTAACTGGATAGAGGGTGTTTATCAAAAAGACATAGCTAAGAGCATCTTCATTAAAAGCGGGAAGTGAAATTATGCCTGCTAATATTACTGCTATTCAACACTGAACCAGCAGTCCTAGCCAAACAATAAAACCACCACCACCAAAAAAGAATTATAAAAAACACACTCAAAATTTTAACAGTTATGTAAAACAGTTTGGTGACTGAGTCTAGCAGCACTGAATACTTTTTAGTGTTTTGGGTTGCAGACTTTAATAAGCTAGGCTAAGAATGTGCTATTGTTTATGAGATTGTTTCTCTGGCCAAATTTTGTTTCAAGATCTAACTTACACAAATTTTTCTAAACATAAAATGAGAACATCTATATTTTCTAAGCATAAAGTGAGATCCTCTATCGTTTGTTATTTTTGCCATTTCTCTCGTTCAAATCCTGTACTTTTCTAAACAACTGGGACTAGGTCTTTTATATGTTCTATATCATCTTCAGTTAGAGCTCATTACAGAATGTGTAATGTATACTCAATCTGGTTTTATAGTCCAGAAATTTGAATGCTTTCCAAAGTTCAAAAGACCTGATACCAGTGGCCTGCTCTATGAGTGGATCGCTATGAGGGGCTGGACCAACACAGTGAAAGGTGGGTCATCTCAGGGAGACCTGGCTCCGCTGACCGCTACCTGACTGAGGTTTTATGACATGCCTCCACAGCAGACTAAGAGTGAAATAGATATTATATGCTCCTGACCTTGGCTATCTTCTGTGACAGTACAAAAGTCTAATCCTATACTGTTGGGGTTATTTTAGATAATTTCCACTGAATTGGCCAATTGATATCTAGAATGGCTTCAAGCAACAGAAAATACAAGTCATCAATATATGAAAAGAAAGCCCACCACTCTGATGATACTGCAGAAATTAGAAGTCACAAAGGAATAAGGTAAAAAGAGGACTGTGAGTATTAATCAGTTCAAAAGCATGAGTCAACAAAGTGGTTCTTAACTGGGAGATTCTGACCTGTGCTGGAGCCAACATGGCTGCATTTCTAAAGGTTCCTCCAGTAATCCTGATGTATACAGCTGGCTGGAACCACCAATATTCAACAATCATTTATAGCTATTCTGAGAATCTTAAGCAACAAAGTTTAAAAATTCCTATACTGTTTCAAATGGATTGTGTACCTTGTGTTTTTCAAATAGGCATTTTAAGGAAAATCTAATAACAAGATCTATGTTAATAAAAAGGATAAAATTAAATGTCACTGAAAATGTACAACTTCTGATGTGAAATTTCATTACAACTTCAGATTACATCACAGCATCTGTAAGCAGGATGTCTGTCATGAAGCAGTTGCTGACACTAGGCTGCAGATAACTTCATGAAACTTTCAATATTTTTGGTCCAGAAGCATAATCTGACATCTTATCAATTCTATAAGAAAGATGAATCTGTACTTTTTTGACGTTATTTGCCCAATAATAATCTGACTGATGAAAACAGAGTCCTCATGGTTTCTTTAAAGTTAAAAGAGAAAAAACAGAATCATTGTTCTTGTTTGTGCTAGTAATATCTCCTGGGGTGTTTGTGCAAAGCGATGTTCCAAAGCCTGGGTGCTACACATCTTACTTTACTCCAGGATATTCACAGAAGTGTTGGGATGACTGCAGGACCTTTCAGAGATGGCTTTTCCTCATGTGATACTGAATATGAATGAAAACCTGAGTGACTAAGGCCAGCTAAAATATCATTTTCTCAGATAACTGCAGGGGAGCTCCTCCAACTTTGGATCTTATTTGTGGAAACAGCTTTGTCACCTACCTGCCTGCAAAAAGGACTTCTTTAATCCAGCCAATGAATCAAGGTGTCATCCAGAAGTTCAAGAGTGGATGAGTGGGCATCTTTCACTCACAAATTAATGAATTCTGACTGCAGTGTGTGGAAATTTCAGGCTCCTTTTGATCTTAAAGATGCAGTATTTATGCTTCTGTAACAGCATGGAAGGATATTAAAGGATGTTACCCTACGAGGAATCTTAACAAAACTATGGCCAGTGTTATGTTTATGAGGTACTTGTCAAAGGAGGAGTCTGAAGGATGTAATATAAAAAAGCATCCCTGAATATTTTCAGTATTAATCATCAAATTTTATCAATAAGCTATATAAGAAGAAATAGTGGAACTGAATGATGTAGATTTTAAAATTCCAGTAGTAGAAGACCTATGGGTGGATAAACTAAAGTACTGTAAACCAGAGATGCCCACAAGGTATGAATGAAGAAAAATGTGGAAAGTAACTGAAGCAGGCATCAGGTTACCAACTGTATAATGAAGTTTACTGTCTTTGCTGAGCCCAAGTCACTACATTACTGTAGAAGTTATGGATCTGTAAACTGAAATGAATCATTTCTATTGGAAAAACAGCAGCATGAAGAACTGGTCTGTATCATAAACAGTTGAGCAGGAATCAAAGACTCACTCCTACAACCCTTGCAACTCTGGGTGAGGATCTTATTGAAGATAACCTTGATCACTGTTCTGTAGCTTGACGATGATCCCAAGGAGTGTTTACCTAATAGTGCAGGATCTGTATACTTTATTTTTAGACAGTAAGTGAATTTACTTAATATTAATAAACTTCAAAAAATAACTGTATTGCTTAAGCCTCAGTTACAATTTATGTATATATCGATAAGAAAAATTAAGTTACAAATACTTTTGTTATACAATTTCTATAAATATAATACTGTATGATAAAAGCTGCTCTGCAAAGCATTATTTTCATATATTATCTCTACTGTATTTTCTTTTTTTTTTTTTTTTGGTCCTCTCAGTGCTTAACAGAAAGGTAGTTATCTTTTAAACTAAGGAAAATTTACTTATACACATGCATCTTCAGATACCGTACACTGATACATTTTAATGTATTTACAATATAGTGTTGCTGGAATATACTTTTATTATGCCAGTTATTTAAATTACTACCATGTTTCGTGGTAACAAAATATAAAATTTCAGTACAATTAATAATTTGTATGGCCCAGAGCATGCTGGGTGAATGGATTTTTCATTATAAATACACAGCTGATTTATTTTTCTTGCTTAAATAAAAGAACACAGGCTTCGCTCAGTTAACTGACTTGCAGTCACTAACTGACAATGGGGCTAACAGGAGACACGGCTCTTTGTTTTTCTCTATCAAGATATTTTTAAAAATTGTTTATTAAAATTACATTTGTACGAAACAGAATGTACAGAATTGCATGATCATCTGGAATCTTCCCTGGTCATGTCATGACTGTCAGATATATAGACAAAACTATTTACTTTCACAAAAGCTGTCTAGAATATACTTGTCCTTGGAAAAATGCTCATCTTCCTTTCATCAGTATTACTCAGAAATAGAAACTCAGTATTCTGAGAATCTTAATGAAGTCCACAAAAAGTTTTTAATCACTTTAGCTTTTGCATGAAATCACACCTTGCCAGAAAAGATTATGCTTTTAATATATCTTTTAGTTTTCTGCCAGTTTTCTTAAAAGATAAGATTACTTTAACTCAAGCTATCAATTAAAAAGGGTGGGTTATATATTCTTCATCATAAAATACAAGCCAATGACTGGAGATTAAATATCTGACATAACTTATAAGCCCATATTCATAGCATTAAAGGTTCTTCCTGGTAACTTGTCAAGAAATAATCTGACAAACTATTGGCTCTTTTAGCATGTAGTGCTTACTTCTCTAAGGTATGAAGCTAGTAATTCTACAATCATTAAAGCTCATGTACTTGGAGGCTTCCGGTAAACATAAGAGTAAAATTTACACATGTAAAATTAGTCACAATATTTAATATTTTCATATTTACCTGAATTGTGGTATTTTTTCCCAACATATTCAAATGCAAAGAGTAGCTGGAGGTCTGTTGGCTGGGAATAATGAGCTATTGCAAGGCATACCTAGGAAAAATTCTACATTTAGAATTTGATTTTAACACACTTAGTTAAATGAAATGTACAATAAGGCCTTGGGCACTGGGAGCATCATCTTGGGGCAGTGATTATAGATACTATTTACATGTTTTTCTGTTGACCTAGAATATAAAAGAGCTCCTTAAGGCCAGGTATCTCATTCACTTTCATGCCCTCAAGACATTGTTTATCTTTAGCTAGCACATGGCAAGTATTCAGTAAGTATTTGCTGAGTTAAATTTTAATTGGAAAGTAATTTTAGTCCAATAAAGAAAGCTTCAAACTAAAGAAGCATTCTCCAAAAAGGCAGTGACTACATGTCCACTCCAAAAAAGGAAGAAAAAAGTTTCATTTTTGGTGGACTATAAAGGATTAATATAAGGCATGAAACTTTAAAGTTTACGCCTCATGGATTTAAACATCTAAATAGAGAAACATAATTACAAAAAATTAAAATTAGCAAGAAACTCCAAAAATGCATGGGTGGCTCAAAGAGGTACATCAAAAAAACAACACACACACACACACACACACACACACACACACACACACACACACACAAACTGTGTTTAAGTAAAATGGTTTGGGACTGTGTGCCCTGTGGTGGAAAACGTGCGGGCTTTAGAATCAAACAGATCAGGGGGCTTGAATCCTAGCTCTGTCAAGTACTTGCTACATAACATGTGTGAAGTCATTTCCTCTTTTCTAGCCTCAGTTTGCTCACTTGTAAAACAAAAGTAATACCTAGGCTGTGGTAAGAATTAACAAGCTTAATGCAGGCTAGGCCTTTGGAGGAGCTCCATATATAGAAATATGGCTGTTATTATTCTCAACTGCTGCTAGATAGAATGAAGGATGGTGCTCTAGGCTTACAAACCCTGGTAGTCACTAGAATGTGGGAGAAAATGCTCTTCAGTGAGCAAAGACGAAAGAAGAAATTTAAGACATATGCAAGGAAAACATAGCAGAAAAACTTATTTAAAAGATTAAATTTTATTTAGAAGGTAAAGCGTTAAGTTAAGGCAGAATGATATACTTTTGACAGTGAGTAAGAAAAGTTAATTGTTAGTTCATGTCAAATTAGTGGTGTTTGGAGTGGGTTGATGCACATTTCATTAACCAGTAAGCATGTGTCAACTTGTTTAAACTACATTTTAAAAGTCTTCTATAGAATAAATGTTTCCTGTCTCACTAAGTTAAAATATACAAACAAGGGGACAGAATTTGTCATTAGTTTTGACCAAAAAGAAAAAAAAAAACTGCTTCTTGAAACTTACGTGGTATCTCGATTTCTCAATACCTATAGGAGAGCTTTCTATGACGGTCCCACTTGCAAAATTTAGGAGCCGGTTATCTATATTCCCATTCCTAATCTTTTTAACAGTTTTCCTTAAAGCATTTCTAGCAGCAAAACTACTGAAATCTGTAGCTTGAAAAAGTTCTCATCCTTCCTATTTGTTTGGGCACCGTTGATAAGCTATGTTGCACTTTTCTCTAGACATTTTTCATAGTTGTCCATTTTGCTACACTGCCATAGCCACATCCTTAGGCCATACTCACCTTATGGCACCTCTGAGAGCTTCCTTACATTCTAGAAATCTACAAAACTTAAGGATTACCTTCTAACGATGTAATTCTGACTAACAATTTTGCTCTCCTGATAATCTGCTGTGGTTCCCAGACATCTGCATAACAAATTAAATCTCCTCATTCTTGATTCTTCACAAAACTGGCTCTCCTCACCAGGTAACTATACCTTCCCAATATTCCCTCCGCAATCTCAGGTCAGAGAAAAACAGGTTTGAACACATTCTGCCTGACTTAGCCCCAGCCATCTCCACTGTCACACTCTTTGCTTGGAAAATCCTACTCCTCTTAGCCAACTATGCTTTCTTGGAAACTGTCATGTCTGTTCAACACTACTCTCTTCACAAGCCTTCCTAGAGGGAGCCAATTTCAGAGTACTAATTCCAGAAACCCAGAACAACAGTTTCAATATAAAGCGTCTCTTTAGTTAAGTGCTTATTTTGCTTTACTTCCAAGGTATTCACATAATAGTTATGATGTGGATGAAAAGTAGGATATAGGTGGTTCTGTTACACTTCTACCATGAAGGTCAATTCCTTAAGGATAAATGACACATTTCACATTGATTTAACAAATATTTACTGAGTACCTACAATGTTGTAAGCCCTAGAGATGCAGTGAACAAAACAGACACTAATCCCTGTCCTCATGAAGCTTACATTCTAGTGGGAAGACAGACACTAAACAAGATAAAGAGAAAAAATACAGAAAGTTAGATAACTATGAATGCTAAAAGAGAAAAATAATAGAGCAGGGAAGGGGAATATGAAGTGTTATAGTGAGAAGAGGGAGATAGGCTAAAAAGTAGAGAAGGAGACCAAGAAAGACCTCTCTGCACAGACTTGAGTAAAGATCTGAAGATGTCTGCACTTTGCAGCACCACTTCAGTAGCTTTCTGACGGTGCTCTGTGTCCAACAGTGGCTACACTAATATTCACTGACAAAAGTAGTTACCAACATATTAAGGAAAATGCTCCAAGCCAATAATAATAATACTAATGTCTATCACATTCTCCAAAACAATTAGAAAGCAGTTACATGCTCTTTCTGTTTACAGAAAAGAAATTCACAGATCATTGATCATGGACATCCTTTTTTTGTGGCCATGAGGCAAAAAAGAAATAAAGCCTATTTTCAAGGCAAAACCCAACACAGCGTATTTTTTAAAAGCCCCTTAAAAATAGCACAATATCACATCAGGTTAGGAAACAAATGAGTATGTCCAAAAGCATCTACGCTGAAAGAAGTCTATAAAAATATTGTAAAACTGCAAGTCAGTTGAATTACTCGTTGATTTTTTTGGGGTGGCAGAACTCGAACTAAATACATTGTTTTTCAGTAGTGAATTTCAAGTGTATAACTTATGTTCATATGACCTAAGTAAGAGGCCTCTTTGGACACACAGACTAAGGCACATACAAACTTGTGTACCTGGATTGTCTTCATGTTGTTACTGTGGAACACTCCGAGAAGAGAAAGCCAGGGCCCCATTCTTTGCACTTTTACATACACACTATTTTAAAAACCTAAGTCCAAATTCCTACCTTTCATCCTAAGAGTTTTTGAAAGATCTGAAATACTTCATTTGTCCTGGCTACCATAGGAAATGAAGAAAATGTTGGTATTAAAGACATTAAATTATGGCAAATATTTTATTGGAGAAAAAGAAGTAAACTACTTTTAAATCAATTTTTGGACCAAAGCTGATAATCTTCTCTGGACAGAAGCCAGAAGTACCCACAGTGGATGGTTTCTTTCCTAAGATCACCTGGGGTGCAGTACTGAAGAAACTCAAATCCAGGAAACACTCAAACCTCATTAAGTTCTATCTCATTTGCAAACAAAAGTGGTTTATTTCTGTGGCCTGAAAGCCACCAAAAAACAGTACCAGATTCAAGTCAAAAATGACAGTTCATGAAAAGGCCAACTTGTTCCTTAATCAGATGAATGGAATTCACTTCTATAAAGTATTCCTGAAGAAGTGATTCACAACCCACTAATCAGAGAACAAAGTGGAGACAAAAGGCATGTATTTCACTTGTCACTCATGTGTATCTATATATTTATCTTTATCTACACAGACAGATATATAGATAAATCATTAAAAACAACCTTTATTATTTTGCCCTTCAGTTTTGAGCAAAGGTTCTGCAAAAGAAAATGGTGGTTCTAAGTTGCTATGAGGTTAGATGTCCAATTCTGCACCATCAAATTCCTTCTTTCTTTATACAGACCTTTCCCAAATATCACTATTTTCCTGTGACAGCTCGAGGATAATGAGGATGAATATTAATGAGTACAAGTGCCCAAAGCAATCTAATTTTGTCATAATACAATTGAAACAACACCAACAAGACAACCAGAAGGGTTCAGAACATTTAACAAAATGTGAACCAATTTAGTATTCTTGAATTTCATTTTTCAAAACAAAAACATAAATGGCTTAGGTATTTCAAAATGAATCAACGGTTTACCCACCAGAGAACTCCAAACATGCATTTCATCATTTTAAAGCAACTGATAAAATAGCAAAGCATTTTCCAGAGAAAACAGTATTCCAAGCTTCCAGGAGGTAAAAATGAGCCATAATTTCCTAACTGCTACCGAATTTTAGATGAAAACTTTTCACTTGAAATAAAAGAATATGCCATAATTTTTGTTTTTAACTCACAAAGCCGTCAAGCTTTGGTAGCCATATACAACTTAACCCTGTTTGAAATGCGTAAATCCCAAAAAAACTATTTATATTCTCATTGCATCTATTTTTTTTTCCTGCACCCTCCCCTGCCCTGCAACCCCCGTGGCTATACAAAAGACAGAGACTCACATGCTTTTTATATTTTAGGATACTGGGGAAAAGATTTTTGTCTGAAACTTGGTCTTAGGAAAGGGCATATGAGGGACTGGCTTGTTTTGTGCAGACGGTTTAGTAAGGCCCTCTTCATGAACCAGCAGCACAACACATAGGGGATATTCTGAATTTCCACAGCACTTATTATGCTCTGTTCATCTGGAAATCAACTATTTGTGTAGTTGATTTTATGCTGCCACTTTGTACCATTACTTTTCATTTGTTCATGCTTTATCTTCTTCACTAGATTTAAGTTCTCTAGGGCAAGAAACTGCATCTTACCCTTCTTTCTACTTGCAAAATTTAGCACACTGCCTCAACATGAAAAATGACCAACAAGTACTACAGATGGTTCAAGAACTAGGCCAAATAATTATTATTTCCACTCATTAAAATAGTGTAAACTGAAAAATACAGTAAAAGAGGGAGAATTGAACTTTCCGAAAGAGATCCGGTCAATTGCATCAATTTCTTCCTTAGGAATATGCTGTCCTAACTCAATCTAGCAAGTTCTGTGATGTCCCTAATCTTGAGATGCTACACATCTTAAGGTTTTCATAAGCAGGTCTTTGATGCTTTGATCAATTAAATTACAAATATAAATAAGCTTGAGGAATTAACCTGTCTGAAATATTTTATGTACAGTCTAATACATCATGAATTCTAAAGTCCTTCTATATAATAGGCACTTTAAATTAGTAAAATGCCAAAATCACAAACAGCACAATCGAACAGGTGAAAGAGGCTTTAAGAGTTATCTAGTTGAATTTTCAATAATGCAGCTTGCTGAGAGATGGTTATACAGACCATTTGAAAACTTTTACCCATAGAGGAGCCTACAACCACTCTACTCTGCTAGACAGTCACATATTTTCAGATGTATTTTCATATATTCATCTCCTGCTTGCCTTCCTGTGAAGAAACTGTTGGTTCTCAATCTAAAAACAAATCTACCACCTCTTCACCAAAGTATATGAAGACAGCTGCCTTACAGTATTTTTGCCAGCCTTGTTTTGGTATCAACAGAAGATTTACTGCAGTCAGTTGACTAACCATGGAAAACAAAGGCACTCATTGCTTGGTGGTGCAAAGACTGCCTCCATTCTGAGAGAAAGCCACGTCCTATTATACTAAGATACTGTTGCCCTATTCCCATACACACGCGCAAGCTTCCTACTGGAAAGTCTGTGACTCTGCATTTGCTGCAGCACAGACTGGAACGGGGGCCATATTAGGTCTACCAGCTTCACTCCTCTGGCAAAGCAAAACATGGAAAACATGCCCTTGACTCTTACAAGTAGGGTAATAAGTCATTATCTGGAAGGCCGTGGAAAAATAAGGCAGTTAAAAAGTTACTAGCTTTGTGTTGCCCCTGTTGAGTGTCACTCAATTCATAATATTTCTTTAAACCACTAATAATTACTAGGCCTTTCCCGTAATTATATATTTACCTAAATCTTATGTAACATAAGTCTAGCTTACAGTTTGTTGGTAAAGTTCTGCAGTACTGAATTAAAAGCCTAACCAAACCTTAATTACAGTATATCACCAACTTTTCAACCTTTTAACCAAGAAACTGACAAGTAATGATCTTTATGTAAAAAAATGCTAATTTCCACGTAAGAGTCTTTAATATTTGAGAAGCTGATAAAAAGTTATATAGAACACTTTAAAACAGCCATAAACCAATCCAAGAAAATAGTTCTATTAATATTCTTGGCTTTGACTTTACTTAAGAAGATGTCTGATAACTTCCCCTAAAAAACATCTGAGCAATTGAGAAATGAAAACTGCCATACGGAATTGAAATCAGTAAACACAGTACAGAACCCAGAACTTGATAAACCTTAACAGTATTACCTTTTTAGCACTTTCGGGACCTGATTCATCAAAGCGAAATCTGACAATTCTGAAATCTTTACAATAAATAATTAACTCTGTTGGATTAAATTTCAGTTTCTGGTTGGGGCCTAGGACTTTCTGCTTCCTCTTGTGGTCGTTTACTAAAAAAGAAAAAAAAATAGAGAAAATAAAATGCGTAACAGTTATTTGTTACTCACCCTTTAATACAAATTCTTAGTGAAAATAATTGGAAGGTCACCCAACATTTGAGCTCTGCTTGTCTAGAATGTTTCATACTTGTAATTCCTAGAACTTGGGGGTTGGTTTTAACTTTGCTTTGGAAGATATTTTAAATGATTATTTGCATAAAACCACCATCTAGATACATTTAATGATTAATTTTAATTAAAAAGAGGACAAAAAACCTAGAAACTATGAAAAGTTATACATTTTATATCTTCCTTTTAAAATAATTTATTAACATATCCCTCTTTATGTTCCCGGGACTCAAAAAAACGGCAAAAGTAAACTTACAGAAATAAAACGCCAATCCAAGTATTTTGAGAGGTATGACTTTTCAAATAATACTTCCAGAGTGGAATTGACTTTTAGAGTATGTACGGAATACTACGTACCTGTGACAATTTGCTCAATACATGTTAAAGGGACATCGTGTTCACCAAGAAGAAGGTTTCTGTAATGGAATTTCTGGAATAAAAAATTATGTTCATATTAATTCTTTTCCCAATAATCTCACAATGGTAGTATAAGCCTTAAACTGTGATGATAAACTGTGACAGTTATCTCTAAAAAGCACAAAAAGCTTTTGTCTAGGTAGCTAGGGCCATTCCAATGTTGACAGATAGAAATTAGGTTAAAATGTACACAACAATCTTATTATAATACCTAAGATAGGGAATATCATCAATCACCTTACCAGCAAGCATTTGCATGTCTAGATCTGGATAAGCTGGCCACAACATATTAAAGAAAAAAGGGCTCTTAGGTCATCAGATTTTAAGTGGGTAAAATCATGTTTGATTTTCACACTGAAGATTTTAAAGTGCAAAATAACTATCTTTTTAAAGCACAAAGTCTACTAGAAATAAAAACCATTAGAAAAGGTTTTGCATGTTCAAACTAAGGACGTAGTTAACACTATCAATCCTGCTGTCAGTAGGGCACTGGTTTACTTTTTCCTAATAGTGGTACTGGATTTAAGCTGTTCCAGGTATCTGCTTCTCATTTACAGTGAAGTCTGGGGCCAATGATCATTATGAAGCTAAAAACAAAGAGAAACACACAAGCCTATATCCAAATAAGCTACTGTCCCTACACAGTGGGTATCTTTAAGTGCCTTAAATTTAGTCTAAATATACCTACATAAGACTGTAATGAACACACAAATATACAGTACAATAAATATTTGTACAGTATAATAATTATGGTAAATTAGTGAGTGACTACATGAAATATACTTACACTAAACTATTAGATCCTTAAATTTAAAAGTTTACAGTTCATATACCAATATTTCATTAAAGAACAATTACTATAAAGAAAGATCTAGGGGTAAGTGTGTATAATACTTTATAAAACAAAATACAAAATGGCTGACAGAAAAGTCCAGGGTTTTTAAGTTAATCAAATGAATGCCTGAACTTCTAAAAACCAAAATTACATGGAACTATTACTTTCCAGTAAGAACATAAAATAGCAAGAGGGCTACTGAAAATTTTTAAATCGATACTATTCTTCACTCTTCCTAGAAATTAGAATTTAACTTTTTAGGAAAATAACTCTAATTAGTTTAAAAAAAAAAAAAAAGGTAGCTGGGTGCAGTGGCCTGTACTCTGGCACTTTGGGAGGGGGAGGCAGGCAGATTGCTTGGGCTCAGAAGTTCAAGACCAATCCGGGCATCATAACAAAACCCCATCTCTACAAAAAAATACAACAGTTAGCCGGGAGTGGTGGCATGCACCTGTAGTCCCAGCTACTCAGGAGGCTGAGGTGGCAGGATAGCTTGAGCCCAGGAAGCAGACAGAGGTTGCAGTGAGCCGACATCATGCCACTGCACTCCAGCCTGGGAGACAAGACAGAGCGAGATCCAGGCTCAAAACAAAAAAATCAAAAACCCAACAACAAAAAAACCTATGAAATCACTAAAATGTGTGGCATTTATAAAATCATTTAGCAAACAACCTTTTCTCTTTATGTCATTTTTATAAGCAGGTTAAAAGATCTGCAACAGAGGGAATAACTTCCTTAATGAAAAGGACATACAATGAACGATCACAGAGGATAAATAAAGCAAGGTGACTTACAATCCTCTCACTAATACTCCTCTAGCAAGTTCCAACATTCTTCTTAAACTTTACTTTAAATCTTAATATAATTTATCCCAAACATTGCATTACCTAATACTTCTACTATAACTTTTCCATACCTATGTTTTATATAATAATATGTACCACTTAGAGTTGAAAGCCTGATAGAATGAAACAGTGTACTAATAAAACACACCTGTAATGGCATTGGGTCATCTGTAATAAAGGAGATTTTGAAGTTACTGCATATCAGCTTTCCCCACAAATCGTACTGGCTTGTGTCTGTTGCAATGCATTTTCTCACAAAATTGACTTCATTTACGACAATTTCTCCTTTAAAAAAAGAAAAATATTTGTAAGGTACTTTGTCATAAAATACCAACGGTCTTTGTGGGACCTAGAAGGAGTGCTTCATGAGGGCAAGGATGAGGATAGTGAAAACATTCACCAATTGCCCACCAGGTGCCAGGCACTGTATGGTCATAAAGTGAATAGTAATGACAAGGCATTGTTCTCCAAGGCGTAAAACTGAGGCAAAAATAGCTCAGGGGTCTGAGCTGGTTGAACCAGAAAGGCTGACTTCAGTGTACTTTTTTCCTATGCCATACTACCTCTCATTATTTATCTGCTGGAAGACTTTCTGGAGAAGAAATAAACTACACCTGCTCCTTCAGAGTATTACTTGATGGAATATTTGTGTTTTATTAACACATGACTTGATCTCTCAAACCAATGCCTTTGATTCCTTTTGTAAGGAATGAGAAACAGAGCTCAGCTTCACTGAATGTAAAATGTATTCCATAAAGCCAAATCAAGTTTCCTTCTGCACTCAGATTATAACTTAGTAGGCAACAAAACCTTAAAATGTAGTTTGAGTTAAAAGAAAAGATTAAAAGAAATAAATATAAGAAACCAATATAAAAGTTATAATGTACTTTTGAAAGAATACTTTTCTACAATTTATTTAAAGCTTGGTCATCATTAAACCTTAATTTCAAGATCTAAAAGTCAACTAGACGCAGAACATTTTAAGCCATCTGTCTCCAGGGTCAATGGTAGAAAAGTGAGTGTACTGATCCACTTTGCCTATTTCTTTCATTATAAAAACCTTTAGCCCGATAGAATGTTTGCTGACAAACTCCAAACTCCTACCAATTCATGAAGAATGGAACTATAGTCTCAAAACAATCCTCTCTTTAACAAATAGGTTATAACAAATTTGAGCTGCAATAACTTTTATTCGAAGTTCTTAAAAATGTACAAGGCTAGTTTTAGTAACTGCCCCTTAACATTTACCTAAAATCTGCTCATGTCAAATTCACAGTGCCAACAGCTTGAGTTAACTTCCACTTTGAAGACAAGCCTCCCTCTCATGGCTGGGAGCCCTGCATACCCAGCCAGCTACCAGCCTTCCTCACCCTCACTGCTCTGCCCACAGTGGTGGCCTATTAATCCCTCATGGGACCATGCTTCTTCCCATTTCATGGAATATTCTTTTCTTCTACCTTAGTCCAACCACTGTCTAGGGAATGCCTCTTTAAAAAAATCTTCCTATCTAGTTTACATTCACATATCGAAGCATTGTATTTCCAGCACTCATGATAGCTACAATTATATTTATATATTTTTAAATTAATGCCTGCATTACCCTCAGGATTATATGCTCCATGAGGGTAGAAGATGGACTGACTTTATTCACTGCTGAAATGTTAGTGCCTAGAACAGTGTCTGGCACAGGGTAGGTGCCTGTGAAAAGAGTGCTGAATGCAAGAATGAATAAAATCACTTCATGACACTTGGTTCTGTCCACCATGAGTTGGGCAGAAGTTGTTCTAGATAAGAGAAACTAGTAATTCAATATGGCTAAGCAGCCAAGCTGGCTGGAAGATAAGGGCTGTTTGGGTAAATGATATGTAAGTTAGAGAAGAGTCACAGAACTGCCACTGCTTGTCTACATATGCATTAAAGAGCTATAAATAGGACATCTGTCCTGTCTGATTCTTTCAACAACCTGTAAGGTGAGGAAGGCAGATGGTTTCCTTAATACACAGATAAAGGATTTGCACCCAAAGAGGTTAAATCACTTTCCTAAGATCTTAAAAAGAAGTAGTGGACTTCGCACTTATAACCAAGTGTTCTGACTTCAATTCCCATAGTCTTTCCCTATAATTACATACAATTAAATGTACTGCAGTGTAGCAAGTACCAAAACTTATTAAAGTTCAAATATTGGCCTTAACTGAATTCTAACGAGAAAAAAAATTTAAGATGACCAAATATATATATATATAGACGCACTGAGTAATTCAAATACATAAAATTTAAATCTTCTTTGGCTCCTTGAACATAAACCTTACCAATTCCCATATCAGATTCTGGGCCACTGAATACTCAACCCTTTCTCCTCTCCAGTAAATCTTAGATATGAATTGTAAGCAGGCCCTCAATTTAAACAACTAAACTAACCATGCCAGTTCAGATAGAGGACACAGCCCTGTAACAATGACTTCTTTACACGGAATCATCACATACTGTGCCACCTTAGCAAACTCATCTAAAAACAGACTCTTCAAACCTTGCTACAAAAATTCATCCACTTCTAAGACTTATGATCCACACAAACTTGTTATGCATGTTATACTCAAATAAAAATTCACTTAAAGGCTGGGCGTGGTGGCTCACATCTATAATCCCAACACTTTGGCTGAGGCGGGTGGATCACCTGAAGTCAGTTTGAGACCACCTGAGCCAACATGGTGAAACCCATCTCTATTAAAAAAAAAAAAATTTAGCCAGGCGTGGTGGTGCGCCAGGCGTGGTGGTGCGCACCTGTAGCCCCAGCTACTTGGGAGGCTGAGGCAGGAGAACTGCTTGAACCCAGGAGGTGGAGGTTGCAGTGCACTCCAGACTGGGCAACAGAGCTAGACTCCATCTCAAAAAAAAAAATCACTTAAACAAACAAACTACCATATGATTTCAGGTTCCTGAGAAGGGAAGCAGAAGTAATAACAGGAAGGAAGAGACAGAGCTTGTGTGGCAGAGCCTTGTGGCCACACTAGTACCATAAACAAACTGTATTTAGGAGTCAAACGCCCATGGACAGCCCTTCTTCTCTAGAAGCCAGATTCTTTTACTGATGCACGAATGTTAACGTATCAAGCCTATGAACGCAGTGAGAATGAGACAAAGAAGAGGAGGAGAATATACTTAATGGGTCCAACGGATGGTAAACCATGGCCCACGGGCCAAATACAAAACCTTGTTTTTGTAAATGAAATTTTAGTAAGACATAGCCATACTCATTTGTTCATGTGCCATCTATGGCTGCTTTCACAGGACAAAGACAGAGCTGAGTACTTGAAACAAATACCTTATGGTCCGCAAAGCCTAAAATATTTACTGCACTTCACAGAAAAGGTTTGCTGATCCCTGTGTTAGAGATAGTTACTGAAGCGACAACTCTTAAAATTATCTGAAACAAGGTTTAGAAGACACAACTGGGCATGTCCCATCTGAAAGGTGAGAAGTGAAGCACCTGAAAAGCAGGTGTTTTTGATCTGCAATGTTGTAGCCATTTCAAAGAGCTCTAGAGGACCACTCACAGGAGTGATGAGGACAGACAACCTTCCTACTAGAATGTGTCCATGCAAGTCAAGTCAAAAGATCCCTTTCTCACCAATGAGCTACAGCACTCAGCAGAAAGTAAATATGGAAACCAGGTTTAACTGCTGTACTGCCCATACTCCATCAACAAAAAGCAAAAGCAAGAATTTGGAAATGAACCCCGAGGGGCTAGATTAAGAGTTTGAGATAGCAGAATGAACTTATGCTTGCCTTAATAAATATACAAATAGACATGCAGTAACAGATGTGTGTACACCTGGGTTGGTACATGTGTGTATGTTTTCTAGCTCTGCCCTCTGAAAGTGCTAAAAGCAGTGACGCTCCAGCAACAACATACACACTCAGTACCCAGCTCTTGCTTTTAAAATACCATTTTCCAATAAAAAGAACTAGGGCTCTTTAGAGAAATGGCTGATTCCAAGGCTGGGGCAGGGGAAACAGAAGATGAGTCTGTAGCCTCTGGTAATGCCAGAATACCAGAAAATATGGAAGTGGGGGTGAAGAAAAGCGGGGGGACGGCATTTCCAAAGGATACAAGAGCCAACATGAAATAACTCTCAATGGCCAAAGCTGGAACAATCTGAGCAACAAAAGAAATAACAAAAATGCCGGATTAGAAAGTAAATTAAAAAGTATCTGTGAATCCATACTGTTGTCAACAGATGACTGAATAATAAATAAATAAATGGCGGAGAAGAGACAAATCTTCCTCACAGAAGAATTCCAATTAATAAATGTAGGAGGAATAAGGAAACAAAATCATGATTAGAACATTACAGTAAAGATCAAGAAACTATCATGGACTCAATGTCATAGACTGAATGACTGCTGTGTGCAACATGCATTGATGAATGCTAAATTCAGAGAGCCAAACTTTAAGGAGAAACAGGTTATTTGTATAAGCACAAAGCTATCTTCCCAAAAGTATTGACTAATTACTGTGGTAGTTTTAAGGTATGCCCATAAATTCGTGATTCTCCTCTCTCCAGGAAGTGGAGCTTAATTCCCAATCCCTTGAATGTGGGCTGCACTTAGTGATTTGTTTCTAACAAACAGTACAGAAAAGGAAAAACAGTCACTTTCTAGAGGAGAAACCTGACAGATATCACTTTAACCTGAAGTGATCGAGGTTAACCTCACCAATAACCAATGATGTTGATGTCTTGTGCCTGCTCACATGACACAAGGGCAAAGGATACCACCTCTGTGGGTCTTTCCCAAAATCCATAACCTCTGCTTAATCAAAAGAAAACATCGGACAAATCCAAACCAAGAGGCATACTACAAGACACTACCTGAATAATAATCTTCCAAAGCGTCAAGGTTTTATTGGGGAATCTAAGGAAAGGGTATCCACAGATTCTTCTGTTATTTGCAACTTTTCTCTAAGTCTGAAATTACGTCTACATTTTTAAGTCAATTTGATGACGTTTCTAGGGGGTGGTTTGTTAGAACAGAAATCTAGTAATTATAAAATTTTTCCTTTTGTAGTAGTATATTTCTATGTTTAAAGAGCTTTAATATGTATTATTTGAGGCAAAATAAAAATCTCATTCTCATGCCTGTAATCTTAGCACTTTGGGAGGCTGAGGCAGGCAGATCACTTGAGGTCAGGAGTTCGAAACCAGCCTGGCCAACATGGTAAAACCCCGTCTCTACTAAAAACACAAAAAATTAGCTGGGCCTGGTGGTGCGCACCTGTACTCCCAGCTACTCAACAGGCTGAGGCAGGAGAATCGCTCAAACTCGGGAGCTGGAGGTTGCGGTGAGCGGAGATCACGCCACTGCACTCCAGCCTGGGTGACAGAACAAGACTCCATCTCAAAAAAAAAAAGAAAAGAAAAAGAAAAAAAAGAAAATCAAATTCAATAGAAAAAAACACGTCAAGGTCTTGAAAGATGAGATGAAAAAGCTGTCACAGACTGAGACATTGAGAATAAGGAGACACGACAACTAAATGCTATGTAGTATCCTGGATGTGAACCTGAAACAGGTAAAGAACATTTGTGGAAAAACTAGGGAAATACGAATAAAACCTGCAGTTTAGCTAATAGTATTGTTGGTTTCTCAGTTGAGCTAAATTCACCAAGGTTACATAAGCTATTAACATTAGCGGAAGCTGGCTGAAGAGTTCACATTAACTCTATCCTCTTTTGTACAACTCTTACAAATTCAAATTCATTCCAAAATAAAACTACTAAAGAAGAAAATAAACAAGAGACACAACATTAACAACAGCCAAAAAAAAGAAAAAAGAAAAAAAAAGTGAAAGAAGGACTCTCTGGGCCAGGGTCTTTTAAGCGCCACACAGCCTTTTCTTACAGAATGGAAATGAGCCCTTGGAAGAGAGCAAAGAACAGAAGTACAGAGGGATACAGGGGAAGAAGAAAGAAAAGAAGGGCACTTCTGAGGATATGCTACAATTGGGTCTTCCTATTACAATAATTAAGTGTCGAGTTAGTGACATGAGTTTTATTTGATAATGCTAAATTTTGTTCATGCAGAACCAGTCTTTAAAATATTTGGATCATGTAGCACAGCTGTCTGCTCACGTAAGTCATTTGTTCATAATTTTAAAAAAAAGGAATGCTGAAGAGGAGCTGTCATAAGCTCCTGCCATGCACTGAAACACTGTGGGCCAGAAAACTAGCTTATACACAGGGAAGAAAAAGAAGACACAAAGTGGCCTCTTCCCAGATAGGATATATAAAAAGAAGGTACTGAGACTGCTCTTGTTCACATGTTAAATTAAGTGACCTTGAAGAGAAAACTCCGAATAAAAGCTTCAAAGCTCTAGAGGATCTGAAGTTTTCAGGGAGACTATACGCCTGTGCTTTTTATGCAGTAAAAGGGTGGTGTGCTAGAGACGGCTGGCTGGCCTGCTTGTGAGAACCCACCAGACTCCTCTCTCCCAGCTCTGTGCTATGCCATCAGCCACGGTGGGACCATTTACAGCACCAAGCACTTCCCAGGATGCCACAAGGAAGCCTCATGAAGCCAGAAAAAGCAGGAAATTAGCTTCAGTGTGCGGTAAGCAAAAACCTTCTAAATTAGAGGATGATGAGCCAAAGGTTTCTACTAACACCTGGGAAGAAATCAAGAAATCCAAGTTTATTTTCTCAAGACCCTTTCATCTGTAAATATAAATAAGAAGGGAAATGCAATTACAGTTAATAAACCTCCAAATGATATGGCTAGGAAAGTTTTTAACTCCCTGAGGACCTCAAAACCATGTTGTATTATCTTTCCTAACACCTTATACATTTAGAAATTCATCACGTTTGATGGACAGAAATAATGTTTCCCATACATTTTAGGTTGGAACACAGTTTAAGGCAAAGTCTCACGGCACACGTGGCTAATTAACCTGTGGGATGTGTAGAGGCCAAAAGCATAACTTAACTTGGGCTTTTAACAGTAGGGTGACTGCCCCAGTTTGTCTGGGACAGAGGGGTTTCCCTGGGATGTGGTATTTTTAGCACTAAAACCAGGACAGTCTCAAGCAAACTGGGACAAGCTGGTCACCCTAGCTTTAGGTAAATTCAGGAATTAAAGTGGCTCAAAAGTTATCACAGGAAATTGAAACTATGTGGAAGATAAACACAAATCTTTAATGCTGGTACTAACACACAATGTAAAAAAGCAAGTACCAAGTCCAGTGAGTAGCACTCAGGATAGGATGGGGCAGGAGGAAGGGTATAGTGCCGATCTCAGGAAAAATTGTAGAATGAAATCTTGAAGGAAGAAGAGCATTGAGATAGTAGAGAATGTGTGATAATAACAGTAACAAGGTCCTAAATAAGGAATAAGGCATCTGGAAGAGACCAAGGAAGCGGCATGATTGAAGCAAATATCAATATTGGGAAATACTGAGAAATGAAGTCAGTGAGGTACAGTGTTAGCAAATTACAAGGTTAAAGAATTTGGATTTTATCCTGCTTAAGTAGGATTTTATTTATGGAGGTTCATGAACGGTGTTGACAACGATAGTGAGGAGTTTGGAGGGGTAAGAAAATGCTGGCCTAAGGTACTGCAGCAAAAGCCTAAGGAATGGACAGCTCCAAACATTCCTAAGGCTCTACGGGTAAGGTATAAAGCTAATGCTAAGATAGTACAGTTACACTGTTCACTGTTCTGAGGGTGTGTTACAAGTCCTTTGGTCTTTCAAAAACAATGCATTCACAAATTAAAATACTACAAAAATCAGTCTACAATCATTTATGAAGCCTACCTACAAAAAGGAATTACATAAAACACTTGAAAGATAAAGTCTTTGCCTTTAAGGAATTAACAACCCAACTGAGGAAATAAGACGTATGGTGAGACAGAAAACAAGAACAGTACGGGCCAGTGAGCTTGTAAAAAATAAACAAGACATCTATACAACAATGGCTATTTTCATTTCCCAGATGGCCCATGGTTGTATGCTTTTCTGATCCGATTACAAAAGACTCTGACAATCACTGCATTCATTATCTAATAGTTAATCTCAAGAATGAAAGTGCTGTGAGCACTGTAGATGCGAACAGGGAAAGAACTGAGCTGACGCACAGCCTCAGCACAGGGGCCCAGGCTCAACGGGCACTCAAGATTCAGAGCACAAGCATTTGTTTCCAGAGATCTTTCTTGACACCCCTGCCCTACTCCAAATCTGGCTTAGGTGACCTTCCTCTGAGCTCTTACTACTTTTTCTCTCCTCTACTGAAGCATCTCTCCAGTGAACTGAAACTGTCTAAGAACAGGATCCCATCTCCTCAGCATTTTACCCTTCTGCCAAACTGCATCAAGCACACACTCAATACCTGCAGAACAAATTCATTATCGTTAGTCTTGGCATTTCAACTCTTCTCCCTTAAAAAAGGGCATGCCCTGGGGTGAGAAGAGAGCAAAGGCCATCAAGCCCCACTCACTGCAAATCTTACATCCTCAATACAAAGCTGCTGGCATTTCACCAGACTGTGCTTCGGCACAGCCAGCAACAGGAAGTCCACTACCTCCCTAAGACATTCCATTTTCTGGCAGCTGAAATTCTCTGAAAGTTCTTCTGCACGCTGGGTCAAAATCTGTCACTGTTGTGAAAAGGGCAAAGACAAGGACAGAGCTCTTTTTACTTCACTAGAGAACTCCCTCTAGGCTGACATCCAATCTACTCCCCAACAGTTCCAAAGCATAAATCTGTACCCTAGTGTCACCAGTGCAGCCAGGTGGGCCGTGCTACTTAGCAGTTAGTGGCACAGCCTGGGAGCTGGACAGAGAACTCTGGCTCTGCCTTGCTAGCTGTGTGACACTGGGCAAGTTACTTAACCTCAGCAAACTATAGTTTTCACATCTGTCAAATGGAGATAAACTGGTATCCTAGCTGACAAGACTGTTATGATGATTAATCTGCAAGCTATATTAGTTAAGGATCCTCGTTCAAAGTATGTTCAGAAACATGCCTGGTAATAGCTTAGCAAAAAGAAGAATACAAGGCTTTTGTGTCACCTGGCCTGCAAGGACAATGAAACCCAGGGACTTCAACACACATTAGTGCACTTCCTTGGGGTTCTTCACTCTTTTCAACAGATTCTTCTGGAACTGTGGCCACTTGCAGCATTACCAAAGAGGACCTCTTCCCTTAGTACCAACCTAACAACATCCAGAGGCAGACCTGTGTTCATGCTTGCAGTCCAGGGTGGGTTATTAACCTTGCTGGCCACACTGGAACCCAAGGTTGGGTGGAGTTAGTCAGGAAAGGATAATTTGTCAAAAGAGGGAGGATGCATTTTTCAGAGGATGGTGGAAGGGGGCTGGGTGTGGTGGCTCACGGCTATAATCCCAACACTTTGGGAGGCCAAGGTGAGCCAATTGCTTGAGCCCAGGAGTTCGAAACCAGCCTGGGCAATATAGTTGGACCCCATCTCCACAAAAAATACAAAAATTAGCCAGGTGTGGTGGCGCACGTCTGTAGTCCTAGCTACTTGGGAGGCTGAGCTGTGAGGATCACTCGAGCCCAGGAGGTTGAAGCTGCAGTAAGCCGTGATCACACCACTACAGTCCAAACTGGGTGACAGAGCGAGACCCTGTCTCAAAACACAAACAAAAAAATGGCAGTACTCCTAGGCAGACAAAATAATTAATGTTCTCTGTGTGAGTGCTCACAAAATTGTATCTATAGTATTATAATAATCTCATCTAGTAGGTTCTAGTTTAGATTCCAAACCAGGTATAGTGCAAAACTAATTTAAAGGACCAATAAAGAGTTTTTAACTTTTTAATTTTGTTAACTTAAAAACTTTTTTAAAGCTACAGCTATTATCACCAACATTTAACAAAAAAAGTATCTATTCCAAGTAAGTTAGAAGAACATAATCTCAGAATAAAAGACAATCTTTTAAATCAAATAAATTTATCTTTATTAAAGAAAACTGCACTTTTCTTAATTTTCTCACTTTGACCAAGGGCTGGTAAAAACTTCATCCAAATCTGATACCAGGCCCTGGCTGGAATCTGGGTACCAGTGATCCAGGTCACAGTCTTCTACCTTGTCAACAGGCAGCTTAGGGCTCACCCCACGCCTTTCTGCGATACAGGCACATGACACCTCCAGCATTCTCGCTATCCAGGACAGACCTGGCACCCAGGAGATACTCACATCCTCACCGAACCGATCCACCAGTCCAGCAGCTAAACAGGACAGAGTCTGGCATTACATGCTCTTAACAAATATATACTGGAACACAAACATATATACACACACACACTTTAAAAGTCAAACTCAGTTTTCAAGTATTGGAGTGATTTTACACATATACAATATAATCACTGAAAGAATGAAATTCACATAATGAGAGGAAGATAAAGAGAAAGCCTACACAAAAGCTGACTACTTTGACAGAGTACTCTATTTCAATTCCAGGCTCCGACATAAATCTCTTGAAATGTCTGGCATAAAATAACACAGTCTTCCCTTTACTCCTAAATCTGAAAGTTAGTCTGTGTGTGTGCCTGGGTAAGGTAACAGTTTAAGCCAGGTGGTCTGAGAGGTCCTTTCGTTCAGTCCCTCAGTAAACATCTCAGTGTCTACCACATTCCTGGCACTTTGTGAGACATCAAGACCACAAAGTTGAAGTAGGCACAATACCCATCTCAGAGTTTCATGTATCAGGAAAGCTGAAAATTACTAACATAAACCACAATCTAAATTAAATTACTAGTCATTTTCTTCTGTTTTCTTTACTTAATAAAAGATGAGGATCATTTTGAAATTAGGCTTAAGTTCCAACAGTGCACATGGTGACAGCACACAAATAAACAACTCATTTTGTGTTCTAATTTTCATCTGCTTATTGAATTAGAAGTTCAAACTTTGGGCAACTGAAGTAGGATACCCTTGGACCCAAGGCATTATGCCAAAGCAAAGCATGCAATACCATATCTCTAACAATTAATTCTTTTTTTTTTTATTTTTTTTTTTAAGTTCTGGGATACATGTGCAGAATGTGCAGGTTTGTTACATAGGTATATACGTGCCATGCTGGTTTGCTGCACCCATCAACCCCGTCATCTAGGGATGACGCCGGGAATTTCAAGCCCCGCACGCATTAGGTATTTGTCCTAATGCTCTCCCTTCCCTCATCCCCCACCCCCAACACCCCCGACAGGCCCCGGTGTGTGATGTTCCCCTCCCGGTGTCCATGTTGAACAATAACTTCTGCATCCCTGTATATAGCCACAGGTGATGTGGCCAGGTTTTCTATTGATTCTGATAGTCACAAAGGCAAGAACTATATTATTCACTCCC
Source organism: Homo sapiens (assembly GCF_000001405.40). Lineage (NCBI taxonomy): Eukaryota > Metazoa > Chordata > Mammalia > Primates > Hominidae > Homo > Homo sapiens. The sequence continues at coordinate 3,161,332 of NW_011332701.1, forward strand.
TCTTAGTAAAAGCTCTAGCCTAGTCTAGGTCTTTAGATCACCAATAGTTCGGTAACTTTCCACTTGTCTTCCAGATTTCATGGGTAGAGCAGTAGGCTACAGGCCAACAAAGAGCAAATGGTAGCAGTGAGAGATGTGACAGGCGAGGTAAAGCAGGAAACAGAGACCACAACAGGGCAGCCAGACAGAACACAGCCAGGATGGGTGCAGGAAGGCCAGAATGAGAGGGTAAGAACAGAAGGGGAGAGGAAGGGGGCAAAAGACATCCTAATTCAGGACCGGCTAAATGTTGGGTAAGGATAAGTCAGGTACAAACAGAATGCTGGGTGATAGAGCCGTCATGTATGCATGTACAGATTTCAGCTATGATTTGGCCGCCAATGCAATAAAAATTAACACAGGTCAGAGAATTCCTTAATGGGCAACTAAAAGGTTCAGACTTAGTGTTACAGCTCTTTTAGAATTTCTCTAAAAATAATACGGATTTAGCTGCCATTTCTGGGACAAGAAAAGCACAGTCAGAAACTTGGTTTACAACTTCCCCAGAAAACTCTGACTTTTAGCCATTTTATAGAATTGATAACCCTCAGTGAGAAAGTTCTTCAAGTTTATGCATACTTAGTAACACCTTTTCTTAGCACATATCTTAAATTTAAAAGCTAATTTTAAAAAAGTGGCCAGGCGCAGTGGCTCACGCCTGTAATCCCAGCACTTTGGGAGGCCAAGGCGGGCGGATCACCTGAGGGCAGGAGTTCAAGACCAGCCTGGCCAACATGGAGAAACCCCATTTCTACTAAAAATACGAAAAATTAGCCAGGTGTGGTGGTGGGCTCCTGTAATCCCAGCTACTTGGGAGACAGAGGCAGGAGAATCGCTTGAACCTGGGAGGCAGAGGTTGCAGTGAGCCGAGATCACGCCACTGCACTCCAGCCCAAGTAAGAGTGAGACTCTGTCTCAAAAAAAAAAAAAAAAAAATTTAAAAAAAATTTTAAAAAATTAAAAAGCAAGCACTGACATTTACAGCTAAGACCATGTTGTTTCTGAGTGTGAAATCATAGTATGCAGAGTGGAGGAATCAAAGCCTAAGAACCAGGCCTGTTCAGAGTAAACGAAGTCAAAGTTCAATAGCTCATAGGCACTCATTCAAGATGAGTACTGTTTCCTCGTCCCTGCATTTTAAATGCTCAGAGTGACTAAGACTAAAACAGAGCACACAGGGAGCAAGGGTTACTTAGTAATTCTACTGTTCACTCTGAGGAAAAGTACAAATGATTAATTAGTACACACTGTTGAGTGAAAAGCACTAACAAAATCAAGGGAAAATATTTATGACTCCCATAGTAAAGTTTAAAAAACACTTTTTAAACTTTCATATGGAACCAAAGTTTGGTGTTTTTAATATTTTGTCCCTATATAATATTTAAAATTTTAAAGTTTCCACATTTGTTCAATTTTTACCTACAAAATTCTAATTATTTTACCGATTTGGCTTTAAGTAATGAGTCAGATTTTACAATGCTGATAGTAGCCACACAAACTAGTATTTGATTTCAGGTTTTTTTTTTTTTTTGAGACGGTGTCTCACTCTGCCGCCCAGGCTGGACTGCAGTGGCAGGATCTCGGCTCACTGCAAGCTCCGCCTCCCGAGTTCATGCCATTCTCCTGCCTCAGCCTCCCGAGTAGCTGGGACTACAGGCGCCCGCCACCATGCCTGGCTAATTTTTTTTGTATTTTTAGTAGAGACGGGGTTTCACCGTGTTAGCCAGGATGGTCTCGGTCTCTTGACCACGTGATCCACCCGCCTCGGCCTCCCAAAGTGCTGGGATTACAGGCATGAGCCACCGTGCCCGGCCGATTTCAGGTTTAAAACAGGCTTTCCTAAGTATCTGGCTACTTCCCCTAATAATCGCATTAAACAACTGACTTTTCCTAATTATTATACAATTGTTATACAATTCAAAATACCATACCAATATTCTGTATGCTCTAAAACAAACCCCTTTCTACCACCAATCCCTACTTCCATCTCTAAGGTCACCTATAGCAAATTTTGTTCTAAAGCAGTGATTCTCAACTGTGAGATTTTTGTCCCCCAGAGGTAGGGGACAAAAAAAAATTGGCAATGACTGGTGGCATTTTGGTGTGGCAACTAGGTCGCAACTAGGTGGTGGGGGATAAGGGTACTACTACTGGCATCTAGTGGGTGGAGGCCATCTTTGTTGCTATACACAGGACAGCCTGCCCGTCCAACTATGAATTATCTGGCCCCAAATGTCAATTAAGTGTCTCTGCTGGGAAAAGCCTGGTTCTAAACTGAAACAAGCAAATTTGCAAATACAGCTGACAACTTCAAAAAACAATTGCCAAGCAAGTAATTCAAAGTTCACTAAGCTCTGTTATTGGTATAGAGACACACACATAATAAAGGCGTCTTTTTATACTATCAAAATGCATTAAAATGATTAATCATTAATGCAATAAGTGGCAAACACGTCAGCAAAGAGTACTTTTACTACCCAAGCAATTAAACATATACATCTTTTCAAAAAGAAATTCGGGAGACAAAAAAGGAAATGAGGTAATGACATTCTTGACAGTTCCTTTTTCTCCTCTCAGTCACTAGACTTTTAACTGGAGAAAGTTTAATGAGAGAAGGGAAGTTAACCACATGATACTAGTCGGCAGAATAATCTTAAACCAAAATACGTTGCTAAAGTATCTGTTAGAATCCTAACTAATGTTTACCTGGCAAAAGGACTGGCTCCAGTTTTTTAATCTTCGGTTCCGAATTGATCTTATCGTCAGTCTGAAATACATTAGCAAAATAAATCAAAATCTCAATCCCCCCACCCTCCGTAAAATGCTACAGCAAATGTTGTTTTCTAAGTGATGACACATGCGAAAGACACACAGCCCCCCATTTAAATTCTTTCGCATATTAACTGAGCTGTTTTTAAGATCTGCTCATTATCGACTTGGAAGCCTAATAATAAAAAATGTTTAAACTGCCAGTGTCGCTTCCAGGTGTTCACATTTATGACAGACGGGTAACCGCCTCGACCAGTGACCCCAAGCGCTGCAATCATGCTGGCGGTCATAGGAGGGAGGGTCGATGGGTTGGAAACTAAAGAAAACCCCAGCTCCCAAGGCTCCCCTGGGCCTCAACACTCCGCAAAACTACGGACGACAGAACTTCGGGCAGAGAATGGCTGCAGAAGAGTTTTACAAGTTTTCGCCGAGCCAGTGGGGGCTCCCGAGAAGGCGCATTTCGCGGCGCCGGGAATCAGGCAGCCGCGCTGCTGTGGGCAGGGAGACGCGCGCAGCCTCCTGGGGTCCTCCAGTTCCCGGGGGTCGGCCTGGAGGCTCCACGGAAGCGCAGAGGAGAGTCGGGCGCTCGCGGGGAGGGGTTGTTTACCTGGGGCGGTGGCAGGAGGTAGGACCTGAAGGTGGGTTTGGGCGGCTTGAGGGAGAACATGGTGCCGCCGCCTTTTCGCCCCGTTCCCGTCGCGGGCCAGTGGCAGCGCCGACGCCTCCGGGCGTAAAGCTCTCAGTGCGGCCGCCCAGGCCCTTTCTGCGGCCAGCCGAGCCGGGCGGACTGACGGGCGGGGACACGGCGCAGCGCCCGCCCGAGCGGGGAGGGGCCGGGCACAGCCAGGCCGACGCGGGCGCCGGGGCCCATCCCCGGAAGGGGCCCGGTGCCCCGCCCCGAGAGACGGCGCGCGCAAGGCCGCGGCCCGCCGCTCCCTGACCGTGTCCCGTGCTAGTGCCGGAACGCAGCGGTGGCGCCAGGTGCCCGCTGGCGGGCCCTCAGCCGGGGCGCCGCGGGGAGCGGAGCCCGACGGCCATCTCAAGAGCGCGGCCTCTGGAGGGTCCTTCTACGGCGGCCCGCAGGGGTCAGGCGGCCCGCGGGGGCCTACGGCGGCCTGCGGGGGCCATGGCGGCAGCGGTGGCTGCCTGGGACGGCGGCGCGGGGCGTCTTCTGGCCGGGCTGCAGTCCTGGGACAGTTCCCTTGACTTACACATGGGCCGACTTCGCCCTCCGGCCTGGGCGAGCATTGTTTTGAAGCTCTCAAGGAGGAGCTCAGGGCAGGGAAAGGTGACTCGGGTCCAGGGGTCAGGCGGTCACCCCGTCTGCGCCCAGGATGCGAGGAACCGGCACTGGGAAAGTGGGCCGGTGCCGCCAAGCACAGGTCACTTCTGAGCTCTTACGGTAATTCTGACTGGAGCAGATTTTGGTGGGAGGGGGCTAGTGGTGTTACATTTTGGTGAATCTATTACTTGAGACTAGGTCCTTCTTATACCTTGAAGAATCAAACCCCAATCCAGCATTTTATGATTAATGCCACAGGGAAGCTTCCATGCAGCCATACCAGTCACAATCACGCTGATGAGTGTTACTCACAGGAACATTTAACAATTTAAATAAAGATTCAAAAAGTTATTCTTTTTCTGAAAATAATTTATCCTGGATTTAGAACCCTACTGATCTTTCAGGTTAACCTGTTTGAATTCCACTCTGCCCAAGAACCGTAACCATAATTGTATTTTTTAGAGTCAGGGTCTCACACCATCACCTGGGCTGAAGTGCAGTGGCATGATCAGGGCTCACTGCTGCCTCCACCTCCTGGGCTCAAGTGATCCACGTGCCTTAGCCTCTCAAGTAGCCGGGACTATGGGCATGAGGCACCGTGCCTGGCCATAATTGTACTTTAAAATGTTAGTTCCATTGGATTAGAAGTGTTAAAATCACTGTCGTGCACACTTTTTAAAAAATTTTTATGAATATGCTGTTATTCCTCTATATTCAACGGATATTTTCTACAAATACTCTTTAAGCAATAATTGGCTTTTTCTTTACACTTAAATGACTCTGTGATTTGGGTTTTTCTGTACAGGTTTTCTTAGGATCTGCAATTCTAATATGTGACCATACAACTGAAAAGTGGAAAAACTCTATTTCCAGATTTATTATTGTCTTAACACTAAATTTTATGGCATTTCCCAGATATCTGGTTGTATTAGTCTGCTCAGGCTGCCATAACAAAATACCACAGGTTGATGGCTTAAAGAGCAGACATTAATTTCTCACAATTCTGGAGTATAGGAAGTCCAAGATCCAGGTGTTGGCAAGGTAGGGATCTGCCTAACTTGTGGCAGGCAGACAGGTGAGGGCTCTCTGCCGGATTTACAGATGGCTGCCATCTCACCATGTCCTCACACAGTGCGGGGAGGGTATATAACATGCTCTCTGGGATCTCTTGATGTCTCTTCTTGTAAGGACGCTAATCCTATCAGATTAGAGCCCCACTCTTACTACCTTATTTAACTTTAATTACCTCCTAAAATCTCCAAATGTAGCCATACCAGGGGTTAGGGTTTCAACATTAGCATTTTGGAGGAACACAATTCAGTCCGTAGAACTAGTTTTATAACCTCTTCTCAGACCCTGATGCCCTTGACTACGCTGTATGTTTGGTGTTATTGCCTACCCCCTGCTTTTGGCTCTAATGTCACTGTTTTGTCCTGCTTCACCCATTTTTCTGTTTTTGTTTGTTGTTTGTTTTGTTTTGGTTTTTTTGAGGCGGAGTCTTGCTCTGTCACCCAGGCTGGACTGCAGTGGCGCAATCACGGCTCATTGCAACCTCCGCCTCCCGGGTTCAAGTGAGTCTCCTGCCTCAGCCTCCCAAGTAGCTGCGATTACAGGTGTCCACCACCACGCCTGGCTAATTTTTGCGTTTTTTTAGTAGAGACGGGGTTTCACCATGTTGGCCAGGCTGGTCTCAAACTCCTTACCTCAGGTGAACTGCTGGACTCGGCCTCCCATCACCCATTTTTCTGACTACACCTCTGTTTCCATTATTGGATCTTCTATCATTGGGAATGGTAGCATTCTCTAAAGATCACTTCCTTTTCCCTATCAAGAAAAAATAAAGCTAACATTTCTTGAATACTGATCAGGTGCTAGGAACTTTATATATTCATTCAGCACTCATTCAGTGAACTCATGAATTTGTATTGAGTACTAACATTGTGCCAAGCACTATTCCGGACACTAAGACAAAGTTTCTACTTTCATGGCATTTTCATTCTCGGTAGAAAGATAAAAAATTAATATATAGCATGTCAGGTGGTAATGAGTGCTGTGAAGAAAAATAAAACATAGTGAGAGAAAGGTGGTTCCATTTTTCAGTGGGGAGTTGGATATGGTCAGGGAAGGACTTTCTGAGTATAGGACATTTGAGCAGAGACAAAAGGAGTAAGGGAAAAGGCCAAGTACACATGAGGAGGAAGAGCATTTGGGACAGAGAAGATTAGCTGTGCAAATGCCTTGAGGTGAGCGCCTTCGAGGGGTGTTTGAGGCCAGTGTGGCTAAAGCAGCCTAATGCAGTCAGGGAGGAGGGCAGAGGGAAACACAGGCCAGATCACAGAGGCCCCAAAAATTGAGAAGATTTTATAAGGTTTTGAGGTAAGAGTGCTATGATCTGACTTGTGTTTTAAAATAATCATTTTGACTGCTGTAGTGTGCAGCAGGGTGGCCTTTGGAAGACCAGTTGGGGCCTGTTATAACAGTCCAGATAAGAGAAGGTGATGGTGGTAGCAGGGGAAGTAGTTAGAAGTGGTTATACATAATGTTTGCAAAACGAGGCCATGGCTTGAGTATGTGGTCTTTTAAGATGACTACTAAGTAATTTAAGACATCTGTTTCTTGAGGGAGAATTGTGGAAAGATGACAACAGCAGCATACTTTTTCAATCTCTGCATAAAAACAGACAAAGCAACTATATGGCAAAACCAAAACCCAAGGACAACATCTATAACAAATCCAAATGAAATGGTATCCCCTTGATCTCAAAAATATAAATGCGTGGGAACAAACCAATAGCAATAATATGGCAATAATAAGTAATAAGACCCTTGTGGTATCAGCATAGAGAATCAATGAGGCATCTGGAGAACCCCAAAATAGCTGCAAAGTGTTCCCTGGAAGGTCCAGCCAGTCAAGTTGAGAACAGCAGCAGAAACAGGAAAGGGTATTTGCCTTCTCTAAAAACGTGAGAAGGCACGAGCCTCCTGGTAAAGTCTGGAGGGGCTGGAGTAATGTAGCTGCAGGAACTCTTGAAACTAATCTACTAGGCTTCCTTGCAGGAAAGAGACCTACACTGCTGGCAAACTGTTGGGCATGGAAACAAAATTGAGCTAAATAGAGACAATAGAGAGAAAGGAAAAAGAAGTTCTAGGTAAAAATGGAAAACTAGGAAATCTCCAAAAGTAAGCCAACTTTTCAAATAAAAAAGAACGAAACCCACAACACTAAGCAGTAAAAACGGAAGTTCTCTATGAAGTTAGAAAAACTAGGCTGGGCACGGTGGCTCACGCCTGTAATCCCAGCACTTTGGGAGGCCGAGGCAGGCTGATCACGAAGTCAGGAGATCAAGACCATCCTGGCTAACACGGTGAATCCCCATCTCTACTAAAAATACAAAAAATTAGCCAGGCATGGTGGTGGGCGCCTGTAGTCCCAGCTACTCGGGAGGCTGAGGCAGGAGAATGGCGTGAACCCGGGAGGCGGAGCTTACAGTGAGCCGAGATAGTGCCACTGCACTCCAGCCTGGGCGACAGAGCAAGACTCCACCACAAAAAAAAAAAAAAGAAAAAAGAAAAAAGAAAAAAGAAAAACTATCCTTAAAACTGCCTCCTTCAAAAAGTTCAAGAAAACCAATTTCACATAAAAATAATCACATGAAAGTATGGAAGTCAAATCACATAGAAAATTATTGTAATGAAAGACAATAAGAACAGAATAGCACTCATATCCACAATAAAAGCATACCAGAAAGGATGCCCACAAAACAGATAAAAACTAACATCCACTATTTCACAATGAGCCAAAAGATACTAAGAAAATGATATGAAACATGAAAAGAACTATGTAAATCAGAACTAGAAACATTCAAAATGAAATGAATAAATTCAAAATAGAATCAGAAATCAGAATCTGAAATTAAGAATAAAAGAAACCCAAGGATGAATAAACACAATTGATTATTCTTTAAGAGAAGATGAAAAGGAGAAAAATTCTAAAAAATCAAAAATCAATGAAGGAAGTTAAACAGATTAGAAAGAAAGTCTAGATATTGAAAACAGGCAAAGGAGAACTAACAAATAGATAATAGGAGTTCCTGGGGGAAACAAAAAGAGGGAGGAGATAAGGAAACAGAACAAATACTACAAACTGTAGTTTAAGAAAACTTACCTGAAATTAAAAGAAAATATTTGAAACTGCATATTGAAAGAACACATTGCACCTGAGAACATTGATCTGGGCTTACCAGCACTAAGACACATTCTTCTAAACCTACTGGGCCTTGAAGAAACAACAATGAAAATTTCTTTGGATATTTAGACAAAAAAAGCAAGTGACTTTCAGATGAAAGGAAATTAGATATTACCAGACGTTTTGGCAGCAATGCATTATGCCAGAAGAAAATGGAGTAACATATTTAAGGTACTCATGGAAAGAAAATGTGAGAGAATAATAATTATGGCCGAGCGCTCAAGCCTGTAATCCCAGCACTTTGGGAGGCCGAGGTGGGTGGATCATCTGAGGTCAGGAGTTCGAGACCAGCCTGGCCAAAATGGAGAAACCCCGTCTCTACTAAAAATACAAAAATTTAGCCAGGCGTGGTGGCACATGCCTGTAATCCCAGCTACTTTGGAGGCCGAGACAAGAGAATCACTCGAACCTGGGAGGCAGAGGTTGGAGTGAGCTGAGATCACGACATTGCACTCCAGCCTGGGCAACAGAGTGAGACTGTGGCTCAAAAAAAAAAAAAAGAAAAACCCAAAAACCAAAAAATTACAATGGATTAAAATACATCACATATATTTAAATCCATGAAGTCATAATGGTGTTTAAATAAACTAAACTATCAGTCACCTGGAAAAACTCTGATTTCCAGATTTGTTATTGACTGAAATGTCACATTTTCCAGATGTCTAGTTGTATTAGTGTGCTCATGCTGCTATAACAAAGTACACAGACTCTGGCTTAAAGAACAGAAATTTCTTTCTCACAGTTCCAGAGGCTGGGAAGTGTAAGACCAAGATACCAGCAAGGTAAAGGTTCTGGTGAGGGCTCTCTGCCTGGCCTGTAGACCACCTTCATCCTTTGGAGGATGGTAGAGAACCAATTCATTATTTTTAAAACTGGCAAATGGGAAAAATCAATCAGTCATTATTTCTGCTGTGTAGTATGAACTATACCACTGTGTAATCAAGTAGTAGGTGAAAAGAATAATCTCTTTATAAATAATAGAATTTGAGTATTACAATTTTCAACCCTCTATAAATTAAGTGATCTAGGCATTGAGTATCAACAGTTGCTGACATCACAAAAAGAGAGACAAGTAGACACATGTGCCTCCTTGTGTCTTAGAAAGAAGCTACACCATCTAAGGAGTCTTGCCAAAGGGATCAGACCTAAGCCTGAATAAGCCTCTGACTCCTCTTGCCAACCTGCAGAAACAGCAGAATATGTCAAACTGCCTATGAGCGTTCAATAAGTAAAGTTTAGACTGTGGGAAACTTTGCAAGACAAGTGGCCCATGTTCTTCAACAAAGAAATTGTTAAGGAAGAGAAAGAGAGAAAGGTAATACCAGATTAAAAGAGATTTAAAAGACCTTCAAATAAAAAAGAGTAAGGCTAAACTATAGTGCTAAGGAACATTCAAGTGATACAACTATAATGAAATACAAGTATAGTGATTTTAAAACATATCTGCAGGCCGGGTGCGGTGGTTCACGCCTCTAATCCCAGCACTTTGGGAGGCCGAGGCGGGTGGATCACGAGGTCAGGAGATCGAGACCACGGTGAAATGAAACCCCGTCTCCACTAAAAATACAAAAAATTAGCCAGGCGCAGTGGCGGGCGCCTGTAGTCCCAGCTACTCGGGAGGCTGAGGCAGGAGAATGGTGTGAACCCGGAAGGCGGAGCTTGCAGCCAGCGGAGATCGCGCCACAGCACTCCAGCCTGGGCGACAAAACGAGACTCCGTCTCAAAAAAAAAAAAAAAAAACAAAAAACATATCTGCAAATTTTTTAAACATTCCCCTCTATATGACCCCTACCCTCGAATCCGAGCTGGCCTTAGTGACTCTGCAAGACTTCTGAGGATTGGCCATAAAAAGGGATATTTCCTCCTTGCTCAATGGGACACTCACTTCTGGAGCCCTGAACCATCATATAGGAAATCCAGTTTCTCTGCGGCTGCCATGCTGTGAGGAAGCCCAGGCTGCTTGGAGAGGCATGTGTATGTGCTCTATACTGAGATTGAGATCCCAGTTGAGAGCCATTATCCATTTTCAGACATGTGAATAAAGACATATCTAGATAATCCCAGCCTCCAGCTGTTGAATTCCCTCTAGACAGTGAGTCTTCCCAGCTGAGGCCCCAAATATCATGGAGTAGACAGTAGTGTGCTATAGCCAGCCTGTACTGGCTTGCAAGAACCAATTGTCAGTATGTCTTCCTAACTCCATATTCAGTGATGCCGTAGCTTGAAGTTGGCCATGGTAGGAGTACTTACACCATGGAAATCGGCAAACACTGCAAATCAGGGGCATTCCTGCTGCGCCTGTCTGAATTTCTGACCCACGGAATCCATGAGCATAATCAAATGGGTATTTTAAGCCACCCAGTTTTGGAGTCACTTGTATTAATAATACAGTGATAGTAACTGGAACAGCAAGGAAAGGATTACTATAAAAATATAGTTACTTTTCAGGGAACAGAGGTGGTTGAGATAGGGACTTCTGAGACTTTTGGAGTAGCTGGAAAACTCTATTAATCTGAGTGGTGGTTACAAGGATATTCAGCTTACAATAATTAATTAAGTCAGTTATTTATTTTGTGTGATTTTCTGCATTTTTATCTTAAGATAAAACCTTTAAAAGTCTTTTTTTGTGTGTAGGAGGTAGTAAGATGATTTCATTTCACTTTATTTCTAATATATATTTAGCAAAAATGCATTTTTGGTGTTGAATAACTATATGACAACATTGACAGTTTGATTTTTAGATTTTAAAACCTAAACTATGGAAGACTATAGGAACCTCATGATGATGAAGCATATATATGTATTCAGAATGTAAGCAGTCAAACAGCCTTAAAGGAGAGAGCCACATATTATGAGGTCCTTTGATAGTTCAAGTCTTGATTGCCATTGATCAAAGTCCAAAACAAGCTTAATTTATACCAAATAATATATTAGAACTCATTTATGAGTATGCCAGAGTTTTGGGGATAAAATAATAAAAGCCTTCTTATGTTACTATGTTTTACATAGCACAGAAATGTAATTCTTATTCATTTACTGATAGTTCTATATTAAATGATTTGACCATATGCAGTATTCTTATTTTAATGTATTAAATACTGCTAGATTTGATTAGATTGGGTATTAGTTCTCAATATTTGGTTGTCCATATTTAGACAAAATTGTAATGACATTGGGAATAATAATGTAATCATTAATAATGTAATACCAAGCGGTCTGGCATTGTGTCCTACATAGAACACTGTCAATATTTGAGTTGTGCTGGGTTGGTAAAGTACTAATCAACTATATGGTATGATTTAAGGTATACAAGAAAGGTCTCAAGAATAGTCAGCCCAGTCACAGGTTCTGAAATCACACTGTTAGAATTCATCCATTTGGATCCGTAAGACAAACATGCTTAGAAAATCCTACATCAGCTGACACCTTGGCATAAGACAGGAGTCACAGATCTTAGTGAGACTTAAGGAAATGGAACTTGAGTCCCACACCTGAGGCACGGTGGGATGGACCTTGGTAAAGGGAGACTGTGTAATGAAGATATGGGGAGAATTCCAAAGACAGGCTTTATCTTCTGCAGACCAGCTCTGCTGAGGTGTTATAGATTCCCCAGCTTATTCTGAGAAATCTCTTTTCTAGGATATGGTAAAAGGCCGAAAGTTTTTTGACACTCAAAGGAAAGACTTAGGAGTGAGATAAAATGTAATAGGTTAAGTATTGAGTCAAATAAACACATGTGGCAGGATAGATTAAATAGTCTTAATATAGCAATATGCAAATAAGTAATAGTTTATGTTAAATAAATGTTATCACTTTTGAAATATTAAAGCCCTACCCCACAACCCAGGCAATGGTATATCAGTCTTTTTTGATAAATTCAGCCCAGTTCAAGAGTTCTAATCTGACTATTACAATCTCAGTCGTATTTTGAGGAAAAAGATGCAAAATCACATTTTGGTATTGTCACCTCTGATCACTACCTTTGGCATAACTGCAATGAGCCTCTGTTGTAGAACAGGCTACAATCTTCCTCTATCTGTTTCTGGGTCTCCCTCTGTGTGTTTCTGTCTTTCTGTCTCTTTCTGTACTCCTTTGCCAGTTTCTGGCAGTGCTACAATCTACACCTCAGATGAGAATGGGGATGGCGGTCTCATTTTTTGTGATCATCACCCATTTCTGTCTGACACATCTCCCAACCCTACCACCACCAATTCCTGGTTACTCTACCCAGTGGTCCTTTCTGGGTATGAGGCACTTTGCTTCATGATGTATCAGCTGCCAGTAACTCGAGGCTGGCCCTCTCTCTGTGCATCAGAGACCTCCTGAGATCTGAGTACCCTGAGGTTCTCTTGGGGGATGGTGAGGGGCTAGAGTCTAACTCTAACTTCTGCTCTAGCCGGAGAAGACCCCTTTCTGCCACCTCTGTTTCTTTTTGTATAGTTAAGAGTGGTGATGGTGGGGTGGCCTTCAGGGTTCCTAGACAGAGGCCCCTCTTGGAAGCCTCGCATGGGGGTCCTATTACTCTTGTGGGTATTTGTTTGAACTTTGAGGTGAAGCACAACACCTGGTATTCTCAGCTAAGAGCAGTCTCTGTGACTTGTGAACATATATCCTTTAGGTTTTAGCTACAGCTTTGTACAAAGCATTGCATAGACAGGTACAACTAATTTGTATTTGCTATTAAGGACTCTATGACAAGAAGAAAATGCATATTGGATACTTTATTTTTGCACATTAACAAAACTCTAGGTCACCCTAAATTATTAGAGTATGATGTTTGATATAATTGTGTACTTTTTTTCCCATTGTGTAGTTTAAAATAAAACATTAAAACAGAAAACAAAGACCCCATAAAAACATATTTGTGGCTCCTTCCCACTTATTGTGCCTCATAATTTTATTTTTCTTCTTTCCACCCCTCCCTTTTTTCATGTTTGCTTTCTCTTTAGTTTCTCTTTCTTACACAGTTGCTTACTTTTTTTTTTTTTTTTAAGAGATGGGGTATCACTATGTTGCCCAGGCTGGTCTCAAACTCCTGGACTCAAGCTATCTTTCTGCCTTGGCCTCCCAAAGTGCTAGGATTACAGGCATGAGCCACTGTGCCCAGCTAGTTGCTTACTTCTTAAGTGACCTAATGGTGACTTCAGTGCTCGAGGGCACTTCCTAGGCTATTTGGTGGCCCTCAGTAATAAAGAGATTGTATAATCTTGTATACTGATTAGCCAATTTATCTTCGTTACAGTATCATCACTTTCATTTGATACTACTGCAACTGAAAAAACTAAGCCTACTAACATATGCTAACAAAATACTACTTTTAGTGCATTAAATTGTAAATCAAGTCTGAATTTCCAAAATTTTTTAAGGAAAATGTTTTTAGAAATTGATGATGTTTAGATGGCCAAGATGACACCCATTAGTGGTTCTGACTGTTAAAAAAAAAAATTAAAGAAACAAAACAGACTAGCATTCAGTTTCTGTGGAAGCTTTCTCTTTCTTAACCTTTTTTTCTTCTGCTGTCATTCCAGACACAATTACTAAGCTGCTTACACTACTGGCATGTCCAGATCTGTCTAACTTTCCCTGAATGGATTTCACATTCCTAGGATGTCCATGTAAACTTTTTGACCTGAGAGATGGGAATCCCAAAGTTTGATCTGGCTTCACAGACAGTAAGTTTTCCATCCCATTTCTGTCAGTAATGGTTAGGGACAAGCGAGGGATTCGAGGAATTGCTTCAGCGACATGGTGTTCATCTTGCATATCTGCAAACTGCTCTTTATGCTCAGCTTGCACTGCAGCTTCCGACACAATGTAAGGAATATCTGTGCTATGAGAGCGCGTGATCTTTTGAACTTGGCATTGCCATTCCGTCGTCAATTGCTGGTCCGTGATTGAACTGTACTCTACATCCTGGTTAACCCCACCGACCAGCTTTCTTCCCCGGGAATAGACGAAGCTTCTGGACTTCATTGTTTTACAAGCATTGATCGTTTCATCGGGGAAATAGCGTGTAATTTTGGTTTCTTCCAGGGGATAGGAAATAGTGCCTTCTATATTTGTCGTTTCCACTGTTAGCTGAGTGTTTTGAACATCTGATTTGTCCTGTCCATGTATCACATCTGTTTTATTTAAACTTGGGGAAATAGTTTCTTCTTTTTTAGAGTCTGTCTGTCTTTCATCATCTTCCTTTGAAATCCCAATATCTGGACCTAATTTTGACTCTTCAGCGTTCTTTAAGTCATCTACTGCAAGGTGACTGCCATCTGGGGTTGCTGATGTGCTTGTGCCCAGTGAAAGGTGAAGACTGTTCTGACATTCTGGGACTAGGTGCGTTTTCACGTCCTTCTCTTCCTTTATACGGAAGGAACAGGTTTTTTTCCTGACTCCTGTCCCTGGTGACGTGGAGAGAGATGTATCCTCAAATAATAACTCTTCTCCGTTAAAATGATATCGATACAAGCTGTAGCCATCAGCGCTATTGATGCTGCTTTGCCGGAGAAGATACGTTGCCTCACATTCAGAAGAAGCCCGGGACCGTGCCTGGATCAGGTCAGACCTGTCGATTCCCGCAAGATTTTCAAGAGCATTCACCATTCTGTTAGATAATTCTTCTAGCTGAGCAAGTCGAAGGTCAACAGTCTGCAGGGAAGTTTTCATAAAAGTTTCTCTTTCATTGATTTCTTCCAACCTCATTGACATATTTTCAACTCTGGTGAATATAAAGGGATAGATTTATTAAACTGAGATTAAGTGGATATTAAAAATCAAAAGATAATGTCATTGCTATGTGATTTTTCAGAATTTTAATACATATGGAACTGTTTGAGTATATTTACAAGCTTCACAATCCCCTAACATGACTACTCGAATTACCATGAGGAGCCACCAGAAAATAATGGAAATAAATAATTAATGCATATAGTACTTACTGCTCAGTCATTGTTCTAAGAGCATAATGTTCTCACTAACAGGTACTTACTGAGGTTCAATCCTAGGCTTATTTAATCTTCAGAACAGTCCTTGGAAGTAGGTCTATTATTATCATCTCCATTTTACAGGTGAGGAAATTAAGTCATGGAGCGTATAAGTAATTTCCCCAAAGGTAGGAAGCAGTGGAGCAGGAATTTGAGCACACGCAGCCTAGCTCCAGCACTCACTCCGGTGCCTGTCTCTTAGCTGGTACATCATGCTGCCTGTAGTAATAACAGAAGCTACTAGTGCTTAGTTTTTAGAGCTTTGACTATGGCTGTCAGCAGTGAATGGTTATAACAAAATAAATAAAATTAAAATCCTTATTGAGGTTCAAGGGATTCAGAAAATAAACTGTTAATAATTAAGTTCAGATTATCAGATAGTTTGCTTAAAGGATAGTAGGTGATTTAATTGTCTGAAGAATACCAAAAACTTTAAATTATTCTTTATATTTAATAATTAGTATTTCCTTAAGGTTACACACAAAAAAGAGCATGGGAGATTATAAATGCCTGCTATTAGTTTTTTTTTTTTCAGTTCTTAGAAGATCGGGCAACAGCCTATGAAACCATAATGTTGCCTGGCCTAAAATCCACTGGTACAGACTTTGTTTTATATTTTACTACATACAGTATGAATTATTTCAATAGGAATTTAACTCTAAGAGGCAAGGTATGCCCAGGATTGAGGATTGCTTTCTAAAAGTTGAATTTGTCCCCAGGATGGAGCTAGGAGTCCTGGCTACTGTGTTCTGGCTGGTTCATCCCTGTGTGATGGCAAACACTTAGGTCTGATTCCATTATTCTTTTATTTTCTCCCAGCTTTCTTAAAAACATAGGGAGACTTGGCTTGCATTGCAGTCTGTATGACCTACGAAGGTCTTTGCTACCTTCTCTGCACATCCTTATACATGTCCTCACTCGTACTGCTGGCTCTCCTCTTATCCATCCATTTCACGGTGGTCAGCCACCCCGCTCTTTTGTCTTCTGAGCAGATTGCCTGCCACTGTTTGCATCGCTAAGTCAGCTCTGTGCTTGACTGCATCTCCTGAACTCCACCCCCACCCTGCTGCTTCTGTGGCTACCTTGCCCCACCTCCCAGAGTTTTTTTTTTGCTAATGCCACTCTTCTGTTGACCACATTGACAACTGTGCTCTGATGTGTCTGTGTTTGTATGTGTGGTTCCTTGGCTTCTATTCTTAACTCTTTTCTTGGGGTGAGAACTATTTATATGTACTATAGGAAACCACATCATTTGAGCAGGAAGGGTCTGGCTTCCTGGACGTTTGCCACCAGGGAGGACCAAATTCACCATGTATGAGAAGTCCTGGCTTCCTTTTTTTAAAGCCTCTGTATCACAGGCACTGTAGGTTCTAAGGGTTCTCTCTCCTCTTGCATTTCAGAGACCAACAGAAGAATTTTTCACTATTAACTTTCCATTACTTCTGAGTAAGACTTGGTGTTCTTCATTAAAAATAATGGCTCCTGGCCGCACGCAGTGGCTCACACCTGTAATCCCAGCACTTTGGGAGGCCAAGGCGGGTGGATCACCTGAGGCCAGGAGTTCAAGACCAGCCTGGCCAATATGGTGAAACCCTGTCTCTACTGAAAACACAAAACTTAGCTGGGCACAGTGGTGTGTGCCTGTAATCCCAGCTACTTGGGAGGCTGAGGCACGAGAATTGCTTGCACCCAGGAGGCGGAGGTTGCAGTGAGCCGAGATCGCACCACTGCACTCCAGCCTGGATGACAGAGCGAGACTCCATCTCAAAAAATAAATAAATAAATAAATAAATAAATAAATAAATAAAGGCTCCCTACTCCGTTCAGTTCTATTACCCTGATTATTCCTTTTGTATCAAAAAAAACCCCACATTGCCCTAGTCAAACTTGAGTTCCTTTACAAACATACAGTAAGAGATATTGCCGCTGTGCAAACTTTTCTAAATAAATACACTGGTGAAATGAAGATGAATATCTTTCCTTTCAAATCTTTTATAGTTTTACCTATTTTCCCCTTTATTACCTAATTCAGATAACAGCACTCTCAGCCACTCATATATGAAAAACAAACCTCAAAGTCATTGGATTCTTTGGTCTCCCTTATACTAACTCCCTCCCCTCACTTCTCTCCTCTCCCCTCCCCTCTGCATTGAATCAGTTACCAAGCTCCTTTTTTGGTGTCTCAAATCTCCCATCCCTACTGCTGCTCCCTTCATTGAAGCTGTGGAAGAAACAATGCTTAATGATGTGCCCTGGGTTCAGAGAAATTGTCAGTTGCTTGTTTGGAGCTTGTGAACAGCTACAACGTGGATACAGCAAATTTTAAACAGCTATGCCAAACGATGGGAAGTTGCATTGAGTTTTATAGTACGTATGAAAGAAGAAAGATAAAAATGAGTTTAAGTTCACTTACATCTGAAATGATTAACATAAAGGACAAATAAATGAGGATCTATCTCCTTTGTTAACCATGGTTGGTGACTTCCCATAATTATTTAAAACATGTTTCACAAACCTTGACACCCACACAAAGAGTGGTTTCCATTTCAGACAGAGAAAGGCTATCTAGGAATCAATTTGACAAGAGCCCCACATCTATTTACACATTGAATGGCATAAAAACACAAGAGAATCCATCATGCATGATAGAGCTCATAGTGAGATATGATTAATCAGCAAAGAAGTTATTTGTGTAGCTTTCTAAGTCTTAATCCAGCTTTCCTTTCAGCACAGAGTGAAAAATATTTTTCAGCACATTACAGAATACAGAAGCATTCCAGATCCAAGTAATTCACTTGGCTTTCCCTTTAATTAAGGTTGATGCTCTCTTAAAGATTTCTTTTCTTTTCTTTTCTTTTTTTTTTGAGACGGAGTCTTGCTCTGTTGCCCAGACTAGAGTACAGTGGCGCAATTTCCGCTCACTGCAACCTCTGTCTCCCAGGTTCAAGCGATTCTCCTGCCTCAGCCTCCCAAGTAGCTGGGATCACAGGCGCCCGCCACCATGCCTGACTAATTTTTGTATTTTTAGTAGAGACGGGGTTTTGCCATGTTGGCCAGGCTGGCCTCGAACTCCTGACCTCAGGTGATCCACCTGCCTTAGCCTCCCAAAGTGCTGGGATTACAGGCATGAGCCACCAAGCCTGGCAAAGATATATTTCTAATATGGATGTGCCACAGCACCTGTTGAAGGACATTTGGGTTGTTTCCATTATTTGGCAAGTATGAAAAGAGCTGCTATAAACATTCATGTACAGGTTTTGTGTGAACATGTTTTCATTTCTGTAGGATAAATACCTAGGAGTTAAATAGCCGAGATTGCTGATTCATAGGGTAAATGTATGTTTAACTTTATAAGCAACTGCCCAACCATTTTTCAGAGTGGCTGTACAATTTTTTATTCCTACTAGCAGTGTATGCAAATTCCAGTTGCTCAGCATCCTTCTTGGCTATTGTTATTTTTAATTTTTTTTATTTTTAGCTCTTGTATTCGGTGTGTAGATATATCTCATTCTGGTTTTAATTTTCATTTCACTGATAGCTAATGATGTTGAGCATCTTTTTATGTACATATTTAACAACCTTATGTCCTCTCTGGTGTGTCTAGTCTAATCCTTAGCTCATTTTTTTATTGGGCCATTTTTTCCATATTATGGGTTTTAGAGTTCTTTAGATATTTTGTATAAAAGTCTTTTGTCAGATATATGATTGACATGATTATGCTTTTGGTGTTGCATTGAAGAATCCTTTGTCTATTCCCAAGTTGTGAAGATTTTCTCTTATGTTTTCTTCCAAACATTTTATAGTTTTGTGTTTTATGTTTAGATCTATGATCCATTTTTAGTTAATTTTTGTATGTGTTGAGATCATTTTTTGCATAAGAATGTCAAACTGTCCTAACACCATTAGTTGAAAAGATGATCCATTCGTCGTTGAATTAGTTTTGCACCTTTGGGGAAAGAAATCAATTATCTCTATTTGGGTAGATCTACTCCCGGACTCTTTATTCTGTTCCATTTATGTATGTGTTGGACCCTTCACCAAGACCACACTGTCTTCATTACTGTAGCTTCACAGTAAGCCTTAAAACTGGATAGTGTGATTCCTCTAATGTTATTCTTCTTTTTCAAAATTGTTTTACATAGTCTAGTTCCTTGGCCTTTCCATTTAATTTTCAAAATAAGTTGACATAGCTGGGCACAGTGGCTCATGCCTACAATCCCAGTGCTTCGGGAGACTGAGGTAGGAGGATTGCTTGAGCTCAGGAGTTTGAGACCAGCCTGGGAAACATAGGGAGACTTCGTCTATAACAACAGCAGCAGCAGCAACAACAACAACAACAACAACAACAACAACAACAACAACAGTTGACCTATATCTACAAAATATCCTGCTGGGATTTTGATTGGTATTGTGTTAAATCTACAGATAAACTTGGGGAGAACTGACATCTGTGCCACGTTGAGTCTTCCAATACATGAATATGGTATATCCTCCCATTTATTTAAGTGATCTTTGATTTCTTTCATCAGCACTTTGTAGTTTTCTGCATATAGATCCCATACGTATTTTACGAGATTTATACCTAAGTATTTCATTTTTGTTGGAGCTCTGTGAGAATGGTATTATTTTAAAAATTCCAATGTTCAATTACACACTGATGGTATATAGAAATAAGATTAATTTTTGTTGACTTTGTACTCTGTAGCCTTGTTAAATTCACTTATTAATTCTAGGACGTTTTCATTTGTTTCATTTTGTTTTTTAAAGATTTTATGTGATTTTCTACATAGATAATCATCTATAAATAGGAATGGTTTTATGTATTTATGTATTTCTCTCCAAGACAGAAGACTTTTTTTCCTTGCCTTATTGCATGGCCTAAGACTTCCAGTACACTGTTGAAGTGGTGAGAGTGGCCATCCTTCCTTGTTCCCAGTTTTAGGGAGAAAGCAGTCTGTCTTTCACCATGTTAGCTATAGATTTTATGTAAATGCCATTTGTCAGATTAAGGAGGTTCTCTTCTGTTCTTAGTTTGCTGAGAGACTTTTATAAAATGTATTTTTATCATCATGATGTTGAATTTCATCAAATGCTTTTTCTGCACCGATTGCTAGAAACATATAGGGTTTTTTCCTTTAAATCATTAATATGGTGGATTACATTGATTGTTTTCAAATATTGACCTAGCCTTTTATTCCTGGGATAAACTACCTGATCGTGGCTAGACTCAATTTGCTAGTATTTTGTTGTGAATTTTTGTGTCTATGTTCATGAGGAATATTGGTCTGTAGTTTTCTTTTTTCAATTGTCTTTGTCTGGTTTTGGTATCATGGTGATGATGGCCTCAGGAAATGAGGTGGGAAGTGACCACAGCATTTACTATACATTTTACAGTGGTTGTTTTAGGGATTACAAATAGATAGCAACATTTCACAGTATACATAGCATCAGTATTTTACCACTTCAATTTGAATGTAGGAACATTACTACCATACAGGTCCCTTTCCCATAGCCCTTTGTGCTGCAGTTGTCATATATTGTATCCACATATATTGAAAATGCCATCAGACAGTATGGCAATTTTTGCTTTTGACTGTCAAATATACTTTAAAGAACTCAGAAAGAGAAGACTCATCTTTATGTTTATCAACATATTTATTATTTCTGATGCTCTTCTTTCATTTTTGATGTTCCAAGTTCAATTCTGGTATCATTTCCTTCTGTCTGAAGAATTTCCTATAGTTATTCTTTTAGAATTGGTCTGCTAGCAATGAATTCTTTGTCTGATTTTTTTTTTCACTTTCATTTTTGAAGAATGTTTTTGTTGAGTATGTAATTCTGGGTTGATCATTTTTTTCTTTCAGCACTTTAAAAACATAATGCAGGCCATGGTGACCTGTGCCTGTAATCCCAGCTACTCGGGAGGTTGTGGTGGGAGGGTTGCTTGAGCCCAGGTGTTTGAGTTCAGTCTGGGCAACACAGGAGACCTCGGCTCAAAAAATAAATAAAATTTAAAATTAAAAACATAGTGCTACTTCCTTCTGACCTCCAAGGTTTCTGATGAGAAATCTGCCATCATTCAAATCACTGTTCTCCAGTAAGTAATGTATCATTTTTCTCTGGTCAATTTTTTTCTTTGCTGTCAATTTTTTTCCCTCTGTCTTTAGTTTGTGGCCCTTCATTTGATATGGATTCATTTGAGTTAGTCCTGTTTAGCATTCTCTACATTTATTTAATCTGTGGGTTTACGTCTTTGATCAAACTTGGGAGGTTTTCAGTGATTTCTTCAAGTAGTTTCTCTGCATCATGCTCTTTCTCTTCTGGGACTCTTATAATACAAATGTTATACCTTTTGTTATTGCCCCACACTTCTCTGAGGCTTTGGGCTTTTTCTTTAGCCCATTTACTCTCTTGTTCAAATTGAGTAATTTTCTGTTGTAATATCTTCAAGTTTACTCTCTCCTCTGTAATCCCTGTTTTGCTATTGAGCCTATCCAATGAATTTTTCATTGCACTTACTTTATTTTTTGGTAAAATTTTCTTTGAATTTTCTTAATATCTTCTATTCTTTCTCTGAGACTTTCTAGTTTTCTATTAGTTTCCAGAGCCTTTGCAATTTTGTTAAAGCATTTTCCTAATAGCTGCTTTAAAGCCTTTGTCAGATAATTTCAACATCTGTGTTATCTTGACATTGACATTTACTGATTGTCTTTTTTCCCCAGGTGAGTTGAGATTTTCTATATTCTGCATACTCCAAATGATTTTGGATTGTAGCCTGACATTTTGAATATTATACCACATGACTCTGAATCTTGTTTAATTTTCATGGAGAATGTTGATTTGTTTTGTTTTAGCAGGTGATCAACCTGGTTAGTTTCAGGCTGCAAGTTCTGACATGCTTTCTGTGGACTGTGATTCCAATGCCAGTTCAGTTTTCAAAGTCTTTGTAGTGCTATTGAGATCTGACCTATGTGCGTGCAGCCCAGTAGTCAGTCTGGGACCTTGGTAGCAGTCTGATCATTACTTCAGTTCTTACTGTCTTTGAGATCTTTCTTCTTTTTACATGTGGGTCTTTATAGTTATAAATATCCTTCTGAATACTGCTTTTACTGTATCCCATAAATTTTGGTATATTGTGTTTTCATTTTGTTCGCCTTGAAGTATTTTCTAATTTCTCTTGTGATTTCTTCTTTGATCTATTGATTATTTAAGAGTGTATTGTTTAATTGTCACATATTTGTAAATTTTCCAAATTTTCATTTGTTATTAATTTATCATTTTATTTTGTTGTGGCCTGAGAATACACTTTGTTTAACTTAAATCTTTTTAAAACTTATTGAGACTTGTTTTATGGCCTAACAGATGATGTATCTTGGAAAATGTTCCATATGCTTATAAAATGAATATATATTTTGCTGTCATTGAGTGTTCTACTGATGTCTGTTACCTTGAGTTGGCATATAGTATTGGCTAAGGCTTCTATTTTCTTAATGAACTTCTGTCTAGTTCTAATATTAGTGAAAGTTGAATATTAGAGCCTACAACTATTATTTGAGAACTATCTGCTTCTCCCTTCAATTCTGTCAGTTTTTGCTTCATATCTTATGAGGCTCTGCTATTGGGTGCATATATGTTTATAATTGTTATATCTTTTTGATATAGTTACCTTTTTAATCATTATATCATGTCTATCATGTCCTTCTTTGTCTCTAGTAACAATATTTGTCTTAGAGTCTATTTTACCTGATAGGTGTAGCCACTCCAACTATTTTTTTATTACTGTTTGCATGAAATGTCTTTATCCATCCTTTTACTTTAAAACTTTAAAAATCTTTGAATCTGAAGTGAGTCTCTGCAGATAGCATGTAATTACACCATATTTTAAATATTCATTGTGCTAGTCTCTGTCTTAGAGAGCTTTATCTATTTACATTTAATATAATTACTGGTAAGGAAGAACTTACCTCTGCCATACTGCTATTTATTTTCTATATGTTATGTCTTTTTTTTTGTCCCTCAACTCCATCATTACTGCTTTCTTCTGTGTTAAATAGGTATTTTCTAGTGTATCATTTTAATTCACTTAGTATTTCTTTTCTTTTTTAAGATATGGGGCCCTGCTATGTTTCCTAGGCTGGCCTTGAACCCCTGGGCTTAAGTGATCTTCCTGCCTTAACCTCTTGAGTGGCTGGGACTACAGGCATGCACTACCACACCTGGCTCTTGTTCTTTCTTTTATCATATGTTTTTCAGTTATTTTCTTAGTGCTTGCCCTGGGGATTATCAGTAACATCTTAATTTATAACAGTCTACTTTAATTTAATGCCAATTACTTTTTTTTTTTTTTTTTGAGATGGAGTGTCACTCTGTTGCCCAGGCTGAAGAGCAGTGGCAAGATCTCAGCTCACTGCAACCTCTGCCTCCTAGGTTCAAGTGATTCTCGTGCCTCAGCCTCCTGAGTAGCTGGGATTACAGGCATGTGCCACCACACAGGCTAATTTTTGTATTTTCAATAGAGATGGGGTTTCACTATGTTGGCCAGGCTGGTCTTGAACTCTCGACCTCAGGTGATCCACCTGCCTTCGCCTCCCAAAGTGCTGGGATTAGAGGTGTGAGCCCTTGCATCTGGCCTAACACCAATTATTTTCAATAATATACACAAAGTTTACTCTTATAAAGCTCCATCCTCCCCCCATGTTATTCTGTTATTATCACAAGTTACAACTTTGTACATTGTGTACCCATCAACATAGATTTGTAATGATTGCTTTATGTGGTTGTCTTGTAAATCATGTAGAAAATAAAAAGTAGTTACAAACAAAAAATACATTTATAATGCCTTTTATATTTACCTATGTAGTTAAATTTACTGGTCCTCTTTATTTCTTCATGTGGATCTTAGGTTATTGTCTTATGTCTTTTCATTTCTGCCTGAAAAACTATCTTTAGTATCCCTCATAGTAGGTTTGCTAGTAATGAATTCTCTCAGTTCTTGGTTATCTGGGAATATCTTAATTTATCCTTCATTTTTAAAGGATAGTTTTGCTGCATATATAATTTTTAGTGGACATTGTTTTGCTTTCAGCACATTGACTATGTCATCCCAAGGTCTTCTGGTCTTCCTGGCTTCTGATGAGAGGTCAGCTTTTTTAATCTAATTAAGCATCCTTTCCATGTGATGAGTTGCTTCTCTCTTGCTGCTTTCAAGATTCTTTTCCTTTGGCTTTTAACAGTTTGACTATAACGTTAATTGGTATGGATCTCCTTGAGTTTATCCTACTTGGAGTTCATTGAGCTTCTTGGATATGTAGATTCGTATCTTTCATTAAATTTGTAAAATTTTGGCCATTATTTCTTTAAATATTGTTTCTGCCAGTTTCCCTTCTCTCTTTCTATAACTCTCATGATGCCTATGTTGTTCTGCTGGATGGTGTTCTACAGGTTTCAGACTGTTCAATTTCTCTTCATTTCCTCCCCCTGTTCCTTAGACTGGGTAATTTTTAACTGATTTATCTTCCAGTTTGCTGATTCTTTAATCTACCTGCTCAAATGTGCTATTGGGCCTCTAGAGTGAATTTTTCATTTCAGTTATTGTACTTTCCAATGTCAGAATTTCCTTCCCTTCCTTCATTTCTTTCTTTTTCTTTTTTTTTTTCTTTTTTTTTTTTGACACTGTCTTGCTCTATTGTCCAGGCTGGAATGCAGTGGCAAGATCACAGCTCACTGCAGCCTTGAATTCCTGGGCTCAAGCAATCCTCCCACCTCAGCCTCCCAAGTAGCTAGGACTACCGGCACCACCATGCTCTGCCAGTTGCCATGATATGCACCACCATGCCTGTCCAGTTTTAAAAATGATTTTATGTAGATGGTGTCTTGCTCTGTTGCCCAGGCTGGTCTTGAACTCCTGGCTTCAAGCAATCCTCCCTCCTTGGTCTCCCAAAGCTCTGGGATTACAGGCATGAGTCACTGTGCCTGACCTATTTTTTTAAAAATATATATAATTTCTACCTCTTTTTTTTTGAGACCTCGTCTACTACTTGATATAATTTCCACCTCTTTATTGATAGTCCCTTATTTGGTGAAAAATCCTTCTCATACTTTCCTTTAGTTCTTTAGAGATGATTTCCTTTAGGTCTTTAAATATATTTAAAATAGCTAAAATAGTTGAGTTAAACTCTTTGCTAAAACATCTAATATCCAGGATTCCTAAGGGATGGTTTTTAAGATTGTCCTTTTTCCTGTGTGTGGACCATAGTTTCTTATTTCTTTGCATGTTTTGTCATTTTTATTTAAAAGTGGACATGTTGAGTATTATAATGTGGCAATTCTAGAAATCAGATTCTCTCCCCTCTCAGGCTTGTTGTTATTGCTTAGTGTAGTTGTTGTTTGTTTAGTGTAGTTGTTGTTTGTTGTTTGTTTAGTGATTTTTGTAGTTGTTGTTTGTTTAGTGATTTTTCTGAAATAATATTGTAAAGTCTATATTCTTTATGTTGTGTGGCCACTGAAGTTTGTATTTTATTAGCTTAGTGGTCAGTTAATACTTAGAGATTTCCTTAAATGTGTGGAACAAAAACAACAAAATCTTCTAGTCTTTTCTGAGAAGCTGTATGTGTATATAGGGGCACATCTTCAACACTCAGGCAGTTTACATCTTTGCTTTAGCTTTCACTTCCTGCTTGCACAGAGCCTCAAGATCAAGTCAGCCAGAAATGAGCTTATAGCCTTCTCAGGTCTTCCTGAGTATACACACAGCCCTATGCATGCACATAGCTTTCTAAATTCCCAGGAATGTGTTAGAGCTTTTCAAAGCTCTTATGGACATCAGTTTTTCTCCCTAGTTTTTTGGTTAGTCTATTGTTTGCCCCAGCTGTCATCCGTCACCTCAGGGAGCAAGCACTAAACCCTTTGCCTGTAAATGTTTTTGACAACCCTTCCTCCACCCCTTCTAACTAGAAGCTTTAGTACTGGGCCTGTTCCAACTCAGGTGAAATACAGACGAACCTTTCAGCTAGGCTTTCAAGGAGCTGCCCTGTAATTACAAAACAAGTAATTATAATTCTTTGCATATGAGATTCTTTCTGCTCCTACTGGTACTAGGAATGCAGGTTGTTGTTTTCAAGGTGACTACTCAACTGGAGAGCAGAGGATAGGACAGGGCTAAGTTAAAATGTCACAAAGCTCACTTTTCTTATCAAGATCCAGCCATTTTGTTTAAATAAGAATGCCCTAGGTTGCTTAATAAGCCATTGCTTAATTTCCAGAGTGCCACAAGATATAGACTCTGACAGTTTTTGCCAACTTTGTTGTTGCTTTTATGGTGGGGCAGAATTCCAGAGTTCCTTACTCTACCTGCTTTTGTTCATGTCACCCCATTCAATGCCTTTGGTATGTGAATAAGGAGCAGACTCCTCCACCCCTGACAGACACAGTCTGCAGGTGAGCTCTGGAGTTCATAACTTTATGGCATTACTTTTCCAAGTTCCCCCTCTCACTATCTCCCTGATATCTCCAGTTCCTCAGAGTTTCCGTTTTCTATCCTCCAACCAGAAAGCTGGGGCTCAAATCAAAGCAAAGAGCAACGATTGACTTCACCCTCTTGAATTTTGATGCAGTGGGTAGGGACTTCACCAGACCACTGGATTTCCTGCACCTGACTTGAGGCAGGGGGTGGGGGTGGGGCTATGGGACAATAGAAAGGGAAAAAGGTACTCTTGGAATAAACAGATGAGATTATAAGCAGATGAGATGAGGTCAAAGAATAATTTCATTTAATATTAAAAGATATATAACCTTGGCTGGGCACGGTGGCTCACGCCTGTAATCCCAGCACTTTGGGAGGCAGAGGCAGGTGGATCACCTGAGGTCAGGAGTTCCAGACCAGTCTGAACAACGTGGCAAAACCCCATCTCTACTAAAAAATAAAAATAATAAATTAGCTGGGCACGGTGGCATGCGCCTGTAATCCCAGCCACTTGGGGGCTGAGGCAGGAGAATTGCTTGAACCTGGGAGGCGGAGGCTGCAGTGAGCCGAGATCGTGCCATTGCCCTCCAGCCTGGGTGACAGAGCGAGACTCCGTCTTAAAAAAAAAAAAAAAGAAAAGAAGAGAAAAAGAAAAAAGATATATGACCTCATATTGTACCCCAAGCTGATAAAGCAAAAAATGTTAGTTATAAGGAACAGCCTCTTTGCCTCCAATGTCTTCTCACTCCAAAAAGATAACACAGAAACACAAGCACGTCAATCTTGCTTTAAAACAATAGCAGCTTCCCATCACACTTAAGATAAAAACACAATTTCATTGCAGTGTTGAATGCAATGAACAAACCAAAGAGTGTATTAAAGGAAAACCTTATAATCTCCATTGGCAACCCTATTCTACAATTTGGACATTGACACTTCCTCATACTATGTAAAGTGCTATGAAAATGTAGCTTTAACTCTTTCCTTCCATCCATGGCAGCCCTTAATCTTAACACCCTATAGAGATTTCTGTTACTCATATACATTCAAAGCTCTTGAGAATCTGCCCTCATCTTCCCATCCTGTCTCATCTTGTTCTTCATCCCCACATTTCCTCAAGGACCCTTTGCAAACATGCCGTCATCATCAAAATTAAAAAATAAAATAATCTTAGAACTTGAGAACCCCAAATGCCAAGGCATTTGATGACCCCAGCTGTGAGAAAACCTGTCCTAGAGCTTTCAGCTACCTCTGATGTTTGTGGAAGAACTAGATAAATGAAAGCTGTCTTGGTGATGTCAGGGACCTCAGCCATTGCATGTAAACGTACGTTACTATCCTGGCTTTAGGCATGATTTAATTAGATTATCATGGCTGTGTTACTTATTATAGGGTTTGCGAAATTTTTCAAAATAATATTCACTTTACAAAATATGCCAATACCCTCAAATATTTCAAATCACATAGTGAAATAACTTATAACTATGTTTTTAGTATAACAAGTATTCAGCACTAATAAATGATTTCTTTGAATAGTGGTACTTTTGTGATGCAAAGTGTGCTTTCTTACACATGGTGACACTGATTTCTGATCAGGTTGATTATCTTCCTTTCCCTCTAATTGAAGTTTGTGGCTTCTGTAACTATTTCTGGGTTTGGATTTACTTGTAGATGCTATAAATAGCTCCACTAGGTTTTTATTTTTCACATTATGGTAGCACTGACTTCACAGAAAAAAATTCCACTTATGAATACTTTTGAAAAGGTCATTAATGAGGCCATTTTTCTAACCACCAAATACATGATTTCTTAACTGGCAGGCCTAAGAGCAATTCCTGAGGGCCACTCTCCATCCTTTTGTATCAAAGGAAACTATAAACAAATGAAATCTATAAACTGTCTGGGCCCCAATTAATCATTCTCCTGACTTTGAATAGAAATTTAAGCTGCACTTGATTTATTACAATATTTGCTCTGTCCTTAACTGCATCATGTGTACTGCTACTAAAGTCACGAGGAGCCCAGAACCGCATGTGCTTAATCAGTCATGATTAATAATAGCTGTGATCCTCCACGCCCATATTCATCTTTTGACTCACAGATTAAATCTTTGGGCTTTTCTGTTAAAAGGATACACCTGAATGCCCTAATCAGTCTCAAAACCTGGCGTACACACACACACACACACACAAAAAAAAAAAACTTGTTTTTTAAATTAAGAAAGTCGGCCGGTTGTGGTGGTTCACGCCTGTAATCCTAGCACTTTGGGAGGCCAAGGTGGGCAGATCACCTGAGGTCAGGAGTTCGAGACCAGCCTGACCAACATGGTGAAACCCCCGTCTCTACTAAAACTACAAAAATTAGCCGGACATGGTGGCGTGCGTCTGTAGTCCCAGCTACTCGGGAGGCTGAGGCAGGACAAAGGTTGCTTGAACCCGGGAGGCGGAGGTTGCAGTGAGCCGAGATCACGCCACTGCACTCCAGCCTGAGCGACAGAGCAAGACTCTGTCTCAAAATACATAAATAAAATAGAGTAAAAGATTGTACCAGATTAACAACTGATATTACATGTCATGACTCTTTTTGTTTAATTTGGTTTTGAGAAAAAACAAAAGCTGTTTCTGATTAACATATGGCCAGTGTCAGTGTTCCCTTTGAGATGTGCCCATCCACATTGGCATTCGGGATGAAGCTACTCCACCAGCCCCTCTTTATTGTACTTCTGTCCCTGGGGAGTGATTTATCAAACATTAACAACAGTTGCAGCATGACAGCAACTAAATTAAATGAATTAAATGAAACTGTGTGCTCTGTGAACTGTAAATGCTACACAAGTGTCAAAGGACATGGCTGTGTGAATATCATTGCAAATCTTCTCTATATTGGGGTATATCTATTATTAAGGATATTTGATTTTGAACATGATGCCACTAAGCCTGAAGGTGGTTAAATGAAAACATACTTTTTGTTAAGGGGTTGTACATAATGTGTTCTGTTTCATTCAAATAATAGGTATGGCAATACCTGAATTTGTGGAACTTTTGCATTAACTTCCAAGAGAATACCTATGTATGGCATAACTTTATTGGACTTTGCATAGACTCTTGTCTATTAAACATAAGGTCCAAACTCATGTCCTTGTGGTAAGAGTCCCTGTGTGTCTTTCCTAGGAAGGACTGAAACATCTGGAGTTCTGTAGTAAGCCAGTTGTTAAAACCTGTTTTATTTAATTTTATTTATTTGTTTATTTATTTATTATTTTATTTTATTTTTGAGATGGAGTTTCGCTCTATCGCCCAGGCTGGAGTGCAGTGGTGCGACCTCGGCTCACTGCAACCTCTGCCTCTCGAGTTCAAGCAACTCTCCTGCCTCAGCCTCCCAAACAGCTGGGATTTCAGGCATGTGCCACCACGCCTGGCAATTTTTGAATTTTTAGTACAGATGGGGTTTCACCGTGTTGGTCAGGCTGGTTTCGAACCCCTGACCTCAGGTGATCTGCCCGCCTCGGCCTCCCAAAGTGCTGGGATTACAGGCATGAGCCACCACACTTGGCCTTTTAAATTTTAAATTTATTTTATTTTTCATTTTATTTTTGAGACAGACTTTCACTTTTGTTGCCCAGGCTGGAGTGCAATGGTGCAGTCTCGGTTCACTGCAACCTATGCCTCCTGGGTTCAAACAATTCTCCTGCCTCAGCCTCCCAAGTAGCTGGGATTACAGGCATGCGCCACCATGCCCAGCTAATTTTTTGTATTTAGTAGAGACGGGGTTTCACCATGTTGGTCAGGCTGCTCTCTAACTCCTGACCTCAGGTGATCCACCTGCCTCAGCACCCAAAGTGCTGGATTACAGGGATGAACCACCACACCTGGCCTTTTTAAATTTTTGAGACAGAGTCTCACTCTGTTGCCCAGGCTGGAGTGCAGGGGTGCAATCTTGGCTCACTGCAAACTCCGCCTCTCCGGTTCAAGTGATTCTCGTGCCTCAGTAGCTGGGATTACTGGCATGTGCCACTACACCCGGCTAATTTTGTAATTTTAGTAGAGATGGAGTTTTGCCATGTTGGCCAAGCTGATCTCGAACTCCTGGCCCCAAGCAATCAGCCCACCTTGGCCTCCCAAAGTGCTGAGATTACAGGCGTGAGCCACTGTGCCCAGCCTAAAACTTGTTTTATATGCAGTTATCTTTTCATGGGAAACAGTTGCCCTTCACCTGCAAGGAATCTCATAAATTATATGGGAACATTTCCTTAATGATAGAGTTAAATGTTAACATAAAGACATGATGTTAGTGGAGCTAGGTCCAGTTCATACTTGAAGAAACCCCTGTTTCAAGATCCCATGGTATTCTATACTTGAGTTCTAAAACTATTCCTACCCTATAATTTAATTCCAGAACTACTGATCATAAAGTTGTCTTATCCACTCTAAATTTTACATCCAGCTATTTTAATTTCCATCCACTTCTTCATACAGGGCTGCCTTTTACATTTAGTAGTTATAGGAAGAACACCAGGATAGAACCTTGTTGTGCTTACTTACAGAGTTTTTATGTGTGAAAGACTAAATGAAGACTAATCATAAAAGAACAAGACTCACGTCTTTCTTTTTTTTGTTTGTTTTTGAGAGGGAGTCTCTGTCACGCAGGCTGGAGTGCAATCAGTGGCACTATCTCGGCTCAGTGCAACCTTCGCCTCTCGGGTTCAAGAGATTCTCCTGCCTCAGCCTCCCGAGTGGCTGGGATTACAGATGCTTACCACCACTCCCAGCTAATTTTTGTATTTTTAGTAGAGACAGGATTTCACCATATTGGTCAGGTTGGTCTTGAACTCCTGACCTCAAGTGATCTGCCCACCTCGGCCTCCCAAAGTGCTGGGATTACAGGCTTTCGCCACCATGCCTGGCTAATTTTTGTATTTTTAGTAGAAACGGGGTTTCACCATGTTGACCAGGTTGGTCTTGAACGCCTGACCTCAAGTGATCCACCTTGGCCTCCCAAAGTGCTGGGATTACAGGCCTTTCGCCGCCACGCCTGGCTAATTTTTGCATTTTTAGTAGAAAAGGGGTTGCACCATGTTGACCAGGTTGGTCTTGAACTCCTGACCTCAAGTGATCCGCCCACCTCCGCCTCCCAAAGTGCTAGGATTACAGGTGTGAGCCACTGCTCCCGGCCAAGACTCATGTCTTTCTTCTGGCTTTTTCATTCTCTGTAATAAACAGTATACTGAATAGTTACTAAAAGAACATTAAGCTTTCTGGGATTCTAGCTGTATGCTGCCTCATTTAAACATACCCCAGACTTCCTGGGTTTATAGAATTCAAGTCATCTAATCATTAGCCTTTTCTGGTTATGTTCTGTTTTCTATTCAGGCCAGATTCTGTGGTTGGCCACGAAGTGAAGCCCTCATTAATAACCTATGTTCTTTCTCCCTTACTTGCAACACGTTAGTGCCAATCCCTAACCCCCAACCTATTGCTACCAGGACTCCAGGACTAAGCAAGGATATTTGGTGCCTGGAGGCAATGTCGTATGTTTATGCTGCCATTTGCAAACACTAGCATCTTTGAGGTCTCTCCACAGACTGGTTTTTGGGCGCATGGCCTCCTTCAGCATCCATGCCGTATGTACAGTTGTCTTTCTGTATCCCTGCCTTTCGGCTGTACGGTGTCACCGATGAAGGTCATGGGAACCACACTGACCTGGCCCAGTACAAAGCCATGTTATCTAATTTAACTTGCATCTTCGTTATTCCTGCCAAGCAATCCTGGTTATCTCCTTTCCTGCCATATTCCCCCTAAAAGTGAACTCACTTGACTTGAATCCTTCCTACTGGCTTTAAGTCAGTGATGTTGATTGTTGGAGAGGTACACTTTGCCCATGCCTAGTTTTTCTTTCTATGTATGTGGACTTTTCATTAGTAATGCTCTGACCTCATTCCAGGCCTTTATTTATTTTGGAGGAGGACGGCTCATTTGGTTGGAGATTGGGGACCAGGATACTGCATGCTTGTCTCTCTGTCTTGGTCTTCTGGTAGGCTTAGCGCGCAGGCTAAACTCTGCCTGTGGGAAGCGAGGCCTGTGGTGGCTGGTGCTGCCTGTGGCTAAGTGGGTATTCCTAATTCTGGGTGAGTAGTAGGCAAGAACGAAGCCACACCCTCCAGTACAACTTTTATTACTAATAAAACTGATTTTTTTTTCTCTATCCTCCTGAAGTCTGCATCTGTCTCTGAATTGGCTTTCAAAGTCAGATCAGGAACAAGGGTGTCATCCACTGGCACATCAAAATTTCAACATTTAAGCCATCTCCTTCCTATTATCCAAGCAACCTTGAACCCTATGAATTTAGAAGATTAAGGTATTCAGACAGGATCATCCCCAAATGTCTTCCCCATCACTGCGCATTTGCCGTTCTACAACCTTCTCTACATGCAAAGAATCCCCCACCTCCTTCCTAAGACTGATCTCTCTTTCAGTTCCTCTAGTTACTATCTTGTTTCTTCTAGGTAGGTCTCCATTACCAGCCATTTCTCTTTCTGGTCACATGGGAAGAGGATGCCAAATAAAAAGATTTCAAAGCCACAAATTGCTGATTTCCCATCAAGCCTGCAGGCAATCCAGGATGGGGCATGATGTCTCATGCCTGTAATCCCAGCACTTTGGGAGGCTAAGGCGGGAGGACCGCTTGAGGCCAGGAGTTCCAGACCAGCCTGGGCAACATAGTGAGATCCTGTATCTACAAAATATGCAAAAATTAGCTGGGTGTGGTGGTGCACGCCTGTAGCCTCAGCTACTCAGGAAGCTGAGGCAGTAGACTCACTTGAGCCCAGGAACTGGAGGCTGTAGTGAGCTATGATCATCCCACTGTACTCCAGCCTGGGCAACAAAGCAGTACCCTGTCTCTAGAATTAAAAAAAAAAAAAAAAAAGACAAAACACTTTAATCCATATCCACAAATCTGACAAGAAACCACTTAATCCAGAAAGTTTTGGGGGAATCAGAAAATGCTATTATAGGTTTAGCTCATCTAAGACCCATAGCTTCTTAAGCACAAGGCCAACTACACTTAAAATGTATAATTTATGAGTTATATCCTGCATATTGTGAAATGTCAGACATTAATAAAATGTATGTAAATGGAGGTAGACGATATAAAAAAAGCAGAGAAGAGGCAACGTACCCCACATATTTCAAAATCCTATAGTAATATATTTGATAATTTAATATTAAGTTTGGTGTTAAGCTTCCTTGAAGCCATGGAAAAAAGGAAAACACACTGGATAACATAATTCTCATTGAGAAAAGGAAGTTGGGTCTCTGACAAAATTTTGTCAGGAAAGATTCTTTCTAGCCCAATTGCTCTTGAACCTGTGAACCTGTGATAAGGGATGCTGAACCACAAAGAGAACAGTGTGCTCCGTAGTGGATGTGCAGAAGACACAGATAGCCTCAAATCTCCCAATGATAAGGACTCATGTTGCCAAATATTCTCCTGGAGCAATGAGGACAGAACACATGGGTTGACGAGGTCTACTTTGGCCATGCTGCCAGAAGTTGACCAGACATGGTGGCCCATGCCTGTAATCCCAGCATTTTGGAAGGCTGAGGCAGGAGGATAGCTTGAGCCCAGGAGTTTGAGATCAGCCTGGGCAACATAGTGAGACCCTGTTTCTACAAATAATAATAAAAAAGGAGTTGTTTATAAAATGTTCTTATCCCACCAGCCCTCATGGCTCTTTGATGTTATCCCTTTGAGCAAAAAGATGGTGCCAACACCAACACTTGTTATCCTTCCTGTGGCACAATCCTTTGGCTCTTGAGTCTGCTCCTACTTCCTTATAGTAAAACCAGTGTCTTGAACCTGGAGGGAGCATAGCTGGTTTCCTTTTCGATATTCCATGAGGGAACTCATTAAGGATGGGATAGAAATTTATATTCGAATCAGGAGAAAAGCTTTTAAGTCATCCATTCATTCAAAAAAATCTCGAGGCTGAGGCAGGATTGCTGAGGCCAGGAGTTTGAGACCTGCCTGGGCAACACAGTGAGACTTCCTCTCTACTAAAATAAAAAATAAAAAAAATTAGCTGGGCGTGGTGGCACATACATGTATTCCCAGCTACTTCAGAGGCTGATGCAGAAGGCTCGCTTGAGTCCAGGAGGTTGAGGCTGTGGTGAGACCTGATTGTGCCACTGCACTGGGCACAGAGCGAGACCTTGTCTCAAAAACAAAAACAAAAACAAAAACAGAAACAAAAGTCTGGCTCCTACTATGTGGATATGTGCAGGCTCTAGGTATATCATGGTGGACCAAACCCAGACATGGCCCTGCCTTCATGCAGCTTAAGGCCTGAGGGTCCTGACCTAGTCTAAGGTGTGAGGTGGTGAAGTTTTCCATAAGGAATTGGCATTTGGGCAGAGATCCAAGGAAGAGGAGCAGGGAAGGAGGGTGAGGTGCATCAGACAGAGGGCACAGCCCATGCAGAGCCCCTGTGGCAGGAAGGAAGCAGTGCTTTGAGGAAATGAAAGAGAAATGGAATACAGAGCATGAAGGAGAAGATAGTGCATGGCAAAGCCGGAGAGAGGGCAGGGCCTTGCAGGCCTGAGGACAGTGGGGGCCACAGAGGGTTTTTCAGGAAAGCCAGTGCAGGAGGGAACAGGACCCCATGAGAGCTGACAGTGCAACATGGATTGAAACAGCAGAAACAAATATGGAGAGCTCAGGTAGGGGCAGCTACAGGAATGGAAGTGGAAAATGATGGAAGCCTGTACTAGGTGCGTTGGGGTAGGGATGAAAAAAATAAGTGGATCAGGATGTATTCACGAGGGGAAGTAAACAGAACTTGATGATTGTTAGTGAAGAAGAGGGAGGTGCCACAATGATTTGCCAGTTTGCTAACTGAGCTTAATGGCGATGCCATTCACAGAGACTGGAGTGCAAGTTTGGGAGGAGAACCCTGAGAGCAGGGCCCCTATGACATCTAAGTGGGCGTGGTTGGTAGGACTGACCCAGTGTTGTGTCGATCAATGCTGAATCGTATTGCAAATCTCATTGCAGGACTGAATGTTGGATCTTACAAAATGTTGGAACTTTTTGAGAAAAAATAAATGGTTAAATTGTTAGCATTTTATAGGTAAATTTCCAAACATTAGGAGAGAACCATGAATTTGGTTTCTGCACAGAAGCACTAAAAGCACCCTGCGTGGAGGAGAATGATTAATGGGTACCCATCCTGTGTGAACACGCCTGTAAAACTGAGTCATGAGAATTGGTAGCTCAGCTCTGAAAGCTACCAAGACAACAGGGAGACAAGGCAGGGGCTGACATGCTCCTAACCAGACCCTACAGACTGAATAGTGCTGGCGAAGACACGACCGAGAGAAGAGCAGGAAAATCATCAAATGGGAAATGGTGATGCAGAAAATAAAACTAATTTTATATAGAAAGAATATTAAAGAAATGGCAGAAATGCTTGAGTACTTCAAGTGTGATTTTTAAAGTAGTCACAGGTGCCCAAATAGCTACTTTTATTTCCATCCTCCCACCTTATCCCTTGCTTCTCAGCTGGCTTGGCTAAGAGGGAAGGAAAACTCCCTTCTCCTCAAGCCTTCTCCTCTTTCTGTCTTGGGCATTCACCTGTGAGTCAGCCTGACAAGGCCAAGGGAAATGGAGGGGCAAGAATGTGCTCCCATCGCTCCTGGGATCTCAGCCGAGGGAAACAGGAAGCAGCATGTTTTCTCTGCCCTACACACTTTCATCCCTATTACGTGTGCACAGAGCCCCCAGAGAAAAATGCAATTTGGTAGTGACCTGATAACCACACTCTTGCAGCTTTGGTCCAAGAATGGTAAAAATCCAAGGAATGCCGGGGAAGGGAGAGGGGGAGGCAGAGCAAAACAAAACACAATCTCCATTGTAAATGACTGGTTAAAATTACGTTCAAGTTAATGTCTAACTAAAAAGTGGAAATTTGATTACATGGGGTACCTTAACTTTCTCATGAAGAAATAATTTTTATACCTTGAAAGTTTAGCAATTACTGTTAAAGCATCAAAGAAACATTTCAAAGTTTTATTAAAAATTCACCTTGGTAAGGAAGAAAGGTGGTGCAGGTAACCCTAGAGTTTAGCTGGTTGGATTTGGTTGGGTCACAAGGTGACTGGGTCTAGGAGGGAACCGAGGCCAGGGACCCACAGTTGCCATCTCCCCTCCTGTGGGCTGGGGCAGAGTTCACTGGCCTCAACATGCACCAGGGAGACCTAAGGTGCATCTGTGAATTCTGTTGTAATTGTTTGGGAACTGTCAGCTGCAATATCTTTTTGAAGTCCCACCCTGTTTTTATGGCTCTCAATGTGTCTATTAGGAAACTTTAATTCTGTGTACTCAAGGATAGAAAGCAGAGCTAGGCATGGCTCCTCTGAGCTCATCCTTCTGGCCACGTTGTTAGTGAAACCCTTTGGAACAGTGTGTTATCAGTCACCAAGATCTTTAGCAGGCTGAAAATGCTTTTAGTAAATGATAAA
Organism: Homo sapiens; assembly: GCF_000001405.40. Lineage (NCBI taxonomy): Eukaryota > Metazoa > Chordata > Mammalia > Primates > Hominidae > Homo > Homo sapiens. Next base: position 3,198,622 of record NW_011332701.1, read on the forward strand.
GGCTCTCAAAACTTACGTGATAAAAAGTGCAGACAGTGAAGGTCCATTGCTCCTGTCTACCCTTTGCCAGTTGCTCTTTCCTAGCTTAGGGTAGAGCAATACTACGAAGTTTGGAAAATGTCACCATTTCTGTACCTCGCGACCTGACTTCATTTACTCATTCACTGGTTCACACATCCTGCATTCATTCACTCTGCATTTATTAAGCATCACCGCGGAGATTAGGCTGACCTTGCTGGGTACTGCGGATGTGAAGGTGTCTGAAAGACACACCCTGCCCTAGTTTAGCGGATCCCACCCTCATGGGGCCAGACACCTCACCCCCCACCCTGCACCCCACCCCTCCCAGTTCCCACTCTCAGGGGAGCCCCAGGAGGGAGCCTTTTCCTCTGCCCTGTGAGGCTGGGAAAGGTGTTGCCAAGGTGCAGCAAGCAGCTAGGCCGGATGAGGAGGGCAGTCCCCTGGGGAGGACCATGCTCGCAAAGGGAAGTTAGGAACAAGAGCTGGGAGAAGGATGGCTTTCTGTAGCTTCCATTAACCTTGCGGAAACACCCCCAGTTTGGGGTAGGGGGTGAAGGTAGTCAACTGTTAGGTTTTCTTTCGGCCCAGGATAAATAAATGTCATTCCCTTCTATATCCAATGCACAGTTATTACCTAGTAACTTTCTCACTATTTCGTGGGAACCACGTTAAAACCTAAAGTTTAAATAAAACAGGAGAACTCGGAGTGCATGTTTAAATGAACTCTGGCATCCCCCATAGAGTGGGGCGCCCGAGTCAGCAAACCCTTGGCTCACGGGCCCGCGGTGGGGACGCTACACGTACCTTTCAGAAGTGACCCGGATGCGCTCGTCGCTGGACGACTGCTGCTCATCCTCCTTCTCCCGGAAGTGCTCCTGCACGCACTGCTCCTCGAACTCATGCAGCCTCTTTAGCTCCTCGTCGCTAAGGAAGAGCTCTGTGTGAAGGGAGAAGTGTCGGCCACGTGAAAAACAAGAAGAATCAGTTTCGTGGCGTCAATGAGAATTTCACAGCCCCACTTTAATTAAGCTCTCTTCTCCGCCACTCCTAAGGCAGTTCGCCACTACTCCAATTGATTTTTATCTAAAAAGGGGTTGTCATACGCCCCAACCCTCTATCAGTTGGAGCCAAACGGCCCGCTTTTAAACATAAAAAACAAAATTACATTTACTGGGAAAGTAAAGCCAAGTAATATTTCCTGGAAAACTTTTTGCACTTATTTTTATGAATAGAGTCAAACGTATAGCATTATTTTCTCATTTTCTTTAGATGCAACAAATTAAGACGTTTTGAAAGGAGCATTGAATTTATATAGAAATTTACAGAGTAGAGTTATTTTAGAGAATTAGCTCAACTTCTGGTCTCTATGAGCTGGCTTTCCTAATATTAATTACTAACAAATTAACGAAACTAGAATAAAATGGGTACAAAATGAGAAGCCTTTTGAAAAGAACAGCAGTTGGACTGAGTGTGGTGCTTTTCACACGAGCAAGTAGTTGAGTGAGATTTCTGTGAGGATGTCCAATTTGAACACTATTTTGAAATCAGCCCAACTTAGAAATGAAGAGCCCTGCACATACTCAATCCACGATCCCGTTCCTCTTGGTCCCCTTCTCTCTTTTTCCTGCAGCGGCCGCTGAGACGCATAATGATGATGTAGATGTGGCTTAAAATGATCATCGGTGGGGGCAGGACTGGCCTGTCATGAAATGTCATAATCAGCTGATATCGCTGGAACTTCCACACCTGGTTGGATATTGATTTTACTTCAAAGAAGGTATTGCTTTAAAAAGAAGACATTTTTACAGTTAGTTATATTACTTTTTATAGTGATTTCCCAGAGCAGTCAAAGTTACTCACATTTAAGTGAAAATACTCAATGAGATGGCCTTTTAGTGCCCTTTAGTACTGATTCCTTGATTATCCAATCTTTTGGTTTATCCATCAATGTGGATTATCTGTGCTTAAGGACATTGTATTCATAAATAGCTAAGTGTAATAAATTGCTATGTACTGCTTTCTTGAAAAACCACACCACAATCTACTCATATACTCAGGAAATTTAATTTCCTATGTGTAGCGGTATAAGCCATTTAACTAAATGCTTTCACATGTTTAAACTTTCAATTCTGTCTAACAAGTAGATGACTACTTTTTTTTCAACTGAATTAATTAGTTATTGAACTTATTTGATTGAAGGTTCGTTATTTTGGACATGGGGTAGGTACAATCTTTGTCTTATTTTAGCTTCCAACAGGAAGCAGTAAGTGCATGATTTCATTGTCTACCAATACTGGGACCTTAGGAAAACCAGTTACCTTCCCTGACCTTAGTTTTCTCATCTCTCAAGCCAGAAGTTTGGACCAGGTTTTCTCCAATGCCCTGTTCAATTCTAAGATTGCATATTTCTGTGAAGGATTTTTCCCTCTATATTTTTCATCTTAGAAGCTAAAATCATTTTTTTCAATATTTATTGAGCATGGTCAACATACTCAACACAACATGCCAAATAGGCAGGTTTTATAAGAAACTCGATTTAACCCTTTAAGCCATTTTTTTCTTAGGCCATTTTATCTTGTATTCTATAAATGATCAGAAAAAATGCTTTACTAGTATTACAGTAATTGTAACAGCTTATGAAACTCATATTGCCTTTTCCACCTCTGCTGATGAATAAAAAGCATGACTTAATCAAATATTCTGTACCCCAGGAGACTTTCATCTAAGAAAATATTTTCATTAGATTAAAATACATGCTAAAGTGTTAAAATACTAACCAAGATTAAATTTAAATGTATTTAAGTGTCAACTCTTGATTTATGAATACATTAAGACTGATTAAGTTTGAACAAAGAGACTGCAAAAATTGGATCTACTTAAAAACCCTAATGAAATTATCTGCAAATATATTGGTATCTTGGGAGCGTTCTGAGATTAAATGGAAAATCTGTACAGTAATAAATAATAAGCATGTGGTCATCGGCTGTGACACGTACTTGAACACAGCAATCAGCAGGTTCACCAGCAGGATGTTGGCGACCAGTAGATAGCACGCCATGAGTGCTGGAGTGAGCCAGGCGCCGGGGATACAGGGAGGAAGCCGCTTGCCCTCCTCATCATATAGGTTCTCACCACAAGGAGCTGAAAGAAAAAAATAGTTTTGTCTTTGCTTTTTACATATAATGAAAAGGATAAATATCTCTTACATATGTTTTTCAATACCTATTTCTTTTTTAATATGATTCTTTCTTATTTCATAAGCAATATTTTTTCCATGGGAAAAAATAAACTCTGTAGCCCCAGCTACTCGGGAGTCTGAGGCAGGAGAATGGCGTGAACCCGGGAGGCAGAGCTTGCAGTGAGCCGAGATCGAGCCACTGTACTCCAGCCTGGGTGACTGAGCGAGACTCCCAGTTGTCTCAAAAAAAAAACAACTCACACAAAGAAAAAAGTCAGAAACTCATATCTGCGCTCAGAGATAGTCATTATTTGTCATATTTCTAAACATTTTCCCATTTCTTTATTGTGGCTTTCAAATATAAAAGTCTTCATTTTTAAGCAGACAAATGTATCTTTATGTTTTTTCCCTTTATCGTTATCCATTTGAAAGTCATTGTGGCTTCTAATTATTTAACATCAGCTTATGTTGTCTTCTGGTTGTTTTCTTGGTTTCACTGATACATTAAATTTGAAAATATTTTTGTTATGTTGTATGGGTTAGGGATTTCCTCTACTTCCCAAATTGTTTAATCAACTGTTTTGGTGCCATGTTTGAAAAATAATCTTTTCTCCCTCTGCTCATTTGAAATGCAACTTTTTATCATAGGGGGTCTATTTCTCCCCTAAAAAAATAGGGTGATCCCAACAGTGAATTTGTGGTTCTCTTTACTTTTTACTGACAGCTTAAAAAGTACTGGCACCAAAAAACAAGAGAAGTATTTGAAAACAGTTTAAGACTACTAGTAATCAGCTAAGGAAAAGGTAATTGAAAAACACATTCCATAGACTAGAATAATCAATTCCATGTAAACTTACGATTAATTTCCATGGCGTAGACTACATGACGATTGGAAAGCAGGATTTTTGTTTTGTTTTGTTTTGACAGGAGGGGAGGAAAGAAAATAAGATGATGGTTGAGAGAAAAGTAAAACAAGTGGTTTAACAACATAACTGTTTTGCTGTGAAGAAATGCAAATATTTTAAGCTTGGGAAATATTGATTCACACTTAGAAACAGTGATCTGTTTAGAAGAATTACATACATTAATCATTCTAGAAAATATATATCATGGATATTTATTTTACCCTGTGTCATAAGCGAGAGCAAAAGCTCACTAGTTAAAAATACTGTGAAAAAGACATGATGTTACTGGCAGATGATCAGGTTAACCAATCACGCGCTCCCTATATTCCAACACAAACACCTCATAAGCACAAATAACTACAAAATTATTAGTTAATAGATCAAGAATCAAAAACCTACATTTAATTATGTTACTGAGAATAGCACAGCCTAAAGTTTACCTCTTTACCTTCTCTCATAACCCAATTTAATTTAAAAAAAAAAGAGCTCAACAATAAAAATACTACAGTTTATGCCTGGAATTCAGGAACTTTTAACGTGTATGTATATCTACCTAAACTAATATTCTTTTGAAATCAAATTAGATTTTTATGTTCTGGCTTACCAAGCTACTAACACACTTCAATAGTTGACTTTGTGATACTTGCAATAATGATATGGTCAGAATGACATTATAAAAGTTAGAAAGAAGCTACTGCATGAGCTGGTTATTGTCTAACCTAGAGGCAGTAGATATACACTGACAGCCCTACATTCCATATGAGAGGAAGATGATAAAAACTTTCTATTCCCAAATAGCAGAGCTCTGGAAGCAGCAGACATGCTATTATAGCTGATGCTTTATGATAAATCACAACATGCAAATGAAAATGTTGGTCCTGAAATGGAAATGGGACTAAAAGTGCCTCCTTCACTGGTGGAACATTTATTCAACTGTCCTGGTGAAATAGTGTACAAGAACATTTGAGCTTTACATTCCTTCAATCCAGAAGACACCAGCTCAGCCTGCAGAGGAGCTGGGCCTACATTCCCCAGAAATCTGTGCAGGATCATAGCCCATTTCCTCTACTAACATCCAGATTATTTTTGATAATACAAAATAGCACTCTAGTAGTGAAGATGAAATGGGTATGAAATGGGTAGCTATGTGGAAAATGGGCTCTGATGGCTTTAAGAAGAGGATGGTGGGAAGTGTCAGTTACTCTGCTCTGTTCACTAGTTCATTCTACTGGAAAACACTACCAGCCTTATCCTGGGGTGGGGAGATACTGGGTTGAAGAAAAACTAGGCTATTGGCATTAGAACTGCATTCATGTGACACGATGTCCATCAGGTCCAGCTCAAGGGAATTCTAGTGAATTATTTTTAGAATAAAAGAAATGACTGATGTCTGAAAATCCATGTTCCATAATTTGTTCTTATTTCTTTGTAAAATAATTTGATGCCTATGGTGGAGTGACAAATATTTTTTATTTCCAAATTAATACATGTTCTTCCATTAATTTGGAACTGATCATCTGCCTCAGAAGCAGGGAAGAGAATCTTACTATGAATTCTACTCTTACGGTCTATCTGGTCTGCAAACACCTCTCCATAGATCATCCAGTAGGGCATGTAGAAGATGTTTCGGGCCAGTTTCCAAGAGGGCTTCTCCTCTGGATGCAGAATGGCTTGACGGGCTACTCCGAAACTCATGAGCACGACCAGCATGATGACCACAAAGTACAGCATGTCGATCATCTGAGTAAGGAGAACATTTGTCTCTCACTGTCTTGGCTTGTGGGCCAAGTTCACCCTGGCTCATTATATTGCTGTCTCCAATTAAGCACTTCACGAGTGCTTAATTAGGACGAAGAAAGCCTCTTTCCCTTCCTTTCTTCCCATCCCTGGGAAGGCTTTTTCCTACTCCATGCAATGCTTTATGCCTAGAATGTCTTCTAGAACATTGCTATCTTCATCTGCTCTTCATCCTTCTTGCTTCTTCTCTGTTGTTGCCCATAAACACATGTCCCTTAGTAACTACAACTGCAAATGGAGAAAGGGAAGAATTACAAGAAAAGATGGGAGTTTGTAAGGGATGCTAAGGAGGAAGAGGAGCAGATACCTAAGGAAATAAAACGATAATGAATTGAGAGTATAGACCAACATTTATTCATTCACTACACAAGTGCTGAGCAATGCCCTGGTTACTGTGGATACTAAACTGGTATAATTCCTAATTTTGAACATCCCTGAAGATGGAGGCCCTTGCTGGAATTTACTAAAGCATACTTCCCTTAGCTCAAAACCACTTGCCCTATAAAGAGTCCTTCCTAAATGTAGGAGGCTTGCTTTCTTCTTGTACCAGTCCTAACACTGAAGCTCTTTTAGGTAATGTAAGGATGACCTGCTGGTTCATTTTCAGTTTCATATTCTCTGGCCTGTTCTGGAGTATAAGTCATCATGGTCTAATCACATGGACTTCCTGTGTTCACTCCAGGCCAGAGTAAATGAGCTGAAGATCATCTGGAGTACAGGTTGGGGATTGGCCCTGGGCTCCCTTTGTCTCCGGCTTCTACCACATGTTAGGAGGTTATAAATCAGGCGGGGTTTTTTTTTTTTTTTTTTGGCCATATATATATACATTCTGAAGTGGATGTAGTCTCATAGAACATCAAATCCATGTCCCTGTACTAAAGAATGCTGAAAATATGTTTCCAGCCATCAAGAAGTAAATATTTTGAGACATCTATTTTGCTACTGAATTCCTATTGCATCAAAAATTGATGTTCTCTTATGTCCTGGGAAAGTGAAGTAAGCTCTTACAAAAAAACGAGGCTATTTTCTTTTATATTGCTGTCAAAATAGACTCATTAATAATAAATCAGAAGGAATAAAAAACAAACGTAATTAGTCACCCTACAGTTGAGATATGGTATGGAAGAAGGGAGACAGTATATATTGAGTACCTGATATATATTGAGAGAGATATACATGTGTACGTGTGTATGTATACACACATATATACAGTGAATGTATATACACTATATATGTATATATGTTATGTATATATACACAGTAGGCCCTCAACTCATGTTTTTCTATTGGATTTTATTAAGTTATCAACATGTAGGAGAACTGTGTATCTTAAAGCAAAGAATATTTCCTTTAAAAAGCCAACTGCAAAAGAAAAACCAAATGAAATTGAAGGAAGCCATGCCCAAGGCCTGTTCTTATGTCCTAACTACAGCCAAAGTCTCTCTGGATACCCACAGGATGCCACTACTAACCATCTTTCCAATCATCATCACGTATGGCCCCAGATACTTGTTGACACCAAAGATGTCCAGGACACGGATGTACCAGAAGATGATATCCACACAGTAGATCACCCGGCCATAGCCCATGTAGGGCTGGTTCTGTAGGCGAAGAATTGCTCCAATCATGAATGTGGAAATGGCCACGAGATCTGTGATGTTCCAGTACTCCTGAAGCCAAACTTTGATTTTCTGGCTGAGTTTGCCTGGTTCTGACATGAGGATCTGAAAACAAACCCCAAAGAACAATAAACTGAGATGCCGTATTAGAAGTCTTGTCTTAGAATCTTGGAACAATAAGACTGATGGAACATTCCAGGTCATCTGGCCCCTTTCCTACTCAAAACGTTTAAACACTCTTCTTCTCAGGCAGGGAGAGATATCTAGAAAGGGAAATTCCACGGAATCCTCCCTATTCTTAGATTCAGGGTTTTACAAACTCAGGAAATGCCTTCTAAATTATGTCCTTCTGGCTGTAATTAAAGCAGCTGCATTTTGATTTCTTTTTTAATTATCTGGACACGTGCCTGTTACTCCACATTCCAGAGTCACACAGGATGAAAACTCTAGAGCATAGATGAGCCCCACGTGGCCCCACAGAGGGGCAGTCCACCCAGTGGAGATGGCAGAATACCACTAGGAAATGTTTTGATTTGGCAAAATTCCTTTGCAACTTAGACATGAGAAATTAGGGGAAAGTTAGACCAGGTTTTCCCCTACTTGAGATATTATCCTTTCAAAATCACTGCTGCTTAAGGGGAGACTTCCACAGAGTAAAATGGAAGATATTTAGCAAGCAGCATGCACAGGCGTGCGCAGAGCCTTCCCAATGGCACAGCTGTCTGTGGTACCACACTGGGATGGAGGGTTGCCATGCCAGGTGGTACCCCTTCAGTTGCAGAGGTCTTGGGGATCTCTGTGGTAGGATGGGGCAGTGGCTATCTGTCAGCCCACACAGAAGGGATTCACTAGTTTAACAACCCATGCACACTAGCCGATGGCCACCCTCTCTCTCCTATAACTGGGGGCAGGTTTCTGGAATAAAGAACAGTGTCTTGGTGTATGGTGGACCCTCAGCAAGGCCAGGACGGCACAGCGATGGTAAAGCAGGCCGCTCAGGAAATACCAGTTGCAGCACCTGCAGAATTTGAATGAGGCCCAGCTAGAAAAGGAACAGTAGTAGAAGGTGGCAAGTATAATTTTGGATTCAGTGCTCTTTTGGTTTTTCAGGCTCTAATTAGACCGATGCCATCAGATTCCCTCTATCTGGACTAGGTTAATAATGTTTTTCAGTTCAGTGAAAGGGTCAACAATTACTGCAAAATAATAGTATTGGTTGTATATCAGTTGGAGAAAGGATATGAAATGATGCTGTGGGCTTTTTCAGCTCAAGTTGCTTTTTTGCTTGGATACATGCTTTCTCTTTATAAGCAAATTTAGTGAATTAAAACTTCTGAATGATATTGGAAAGGGAAGTATCCGGCCTATCTTTCCTCTGCTGTCTGCAGAGATTGCTTACTGGGAGTTACATTTTCACTCGAGCTCTCTGGGATAACGAGTCATATGTGAGATGGTATCTGTTCTTTTGCAATACTGAGTTGAAAATCCTGTTCCCTCTGTTTGCAGCAAACGCTCTAGGCCCCTCCCATATCCCCTGGAGCTTTTCCCCAGGTGGGCTTGCCCACCCCATCTGCTGCAGGTGCTGCTGTTAGGCCCACACCTGCCCCCTTCTGGGAGGCTTGCTCTTAGATGCTTGGAGCCATGTCTCTGGTGGGTACCAATGACAAATTGAGGTGGGGCCCAAAGGTGAGACAGACTCCACAGTGTCCAGTCCACTCAGAGCCCCCTACAGGATTAGGCCAAGGACAGGATCCACCTGAAGCCACACCTCACTTAGCTCCTTTTCCTCCTGACTGGGAGCCCTCCCTTCATAAATCTCCTGCACAAGAGTCCAGAGATAAAAGAGATGGCATTTTTCCTGTAACTTTGGGCTTTGGACCACACTGTGCAAGTGTCTCTTGTATCTCTCTTTCTCCCTCTGATCCCAAATAACTAAGCCAAAATTTGTGCCCAGTTGCGGTAATTGGTTTATCTCAGGTCGCTGGCAGCATTTGCTGATGCTTTCCTATGCATTCAAACCTGTTTTCATTATTAAATATCTTTATTTTGCCTTGTGTTTTGATTTGCAAGTTCAAGTTCATTCAAGATGTATACATCTTAAATAAAGAAATGGAATAAACTTGGGATTGTGATACCTCCAAAAAAAGTCCCACAGCATGTGTAATTTGTTTTTTTGTTTTTGTTTTCGAGATGGACTCTCACTCTGTCACTCAGGCTGGAGTGCAGTGGCGCGATCTCGGCTCATTGCAACCTCTGCCTCCAGGGTTCAAGTGATCCTTCCACCTCAGCCTCCTGAGTAGCCGAAATTACAGGCAACTGCCACACGACCGGCTAATTTTTGTATTTTTAGTTGAGACGGGGTTTCACCATGTTGGCCAGGCTGGTTTCGAAGTACTGCTATCTCAAGTGATCCTCACACCTCAGCCTCCCTAGTAGCTGGCATTACAGGCGTGCACCACCACGACTGGCTAATTTTTTTTATTTTTAGTAGAGGCAGTGTTTCATTCACCCTGTTGGCCAGGCTGGTTTCAAATTCCTGACCTCAAGTGATCCATCCGCCTCAGCCTCCCAGAGTGCTGGGATTACAGGCATGAGCCACCACGCCTGGCCCAACATGCATAATTTGCATGAAACGTTTTTTCAGTAAGGAGCCATATCTGCATTTGCAGTCAGCGGTTAGTGGGCTGGGGGAGGCCTTTGGAGTAGCCACCTCTCGTATCTTCTCTAACGCCAGGCTCACGATGTAGGAGATGACGATCCACTCCTGGAGGGACGGCCAGCCATCCATCCGCACCAGGATGACGTAGTTAAACAGCAGCAGGTAGCCCAAGTATGATATCTGAAAGAAAGACAAGCTGTTAGCCGTGTTTGGGGGAATCACATAGCAATCAAATTTTGAAACGCTGTTTTCTTTCAGGTTGACACATCTAAAAGAATCTTTGTTTCCAACTGGACTGACTCATTGAGAGGAAACCTTCACTGCACCTCACCAGTGCAGACAGAAGACCTGGAGGCAGGACGGGAGGCATTTTATACTTCAGCACGATATGGGCCCTGACTTTTCATTTTCTACATGGAGACATATTGGTTGGTGCTGTCATCCTCATGGGGAAACTATGAAGTTGCAAACATTATGATAACGGGAAACTTTTAATAGTTTGCTGGAGTGTCTTCTACATTCCTGGAAACTGGAAAATGTTACTTACTCCTCCCTGCCTCAGAAATTTCCTTCCTGATTCTTTCCACAACTGGGAAGTTAGATGAGAGGACATGTGGATGAGTTGCCCACCCAGATATGCGAGCTGACCCTAGAGTCCCCTCAGTTACTGGTGGCATGTCCAGGATTTGCTGTGGCCACAGCAGGGCCCCTATCTCTGTGGCAGGGAAAGAGGCAGAGCTGGAGGTGGCAGTGGGTGAGGCAAAAGCAGGGAGTTAAGGGGTTGGGGGAGGACGTCTGAAGTAGATCACCTGTCCCCAGTGATTCACCATTATGCCAAGGAAACTTAAGCTTCTGGGTCCCTCACTGGCACAGGCCCCTGTGGAAGGCTTGGGGGAGGGGTGCTAAAAACTGAGTATTTGTAACTGGGCAGTTTGGTTTTTTTTTCTTTTTTTTCAAGATCCTGCCTCCCAAGCCTATAAGCTTTACCAGGAGAGAGGCAGGCCCCACCCCAAGATCCACTATCCACTCTTTGAAGAAAGATTAGAGCCATGTTCTCAGACTTTGGGCTGCATCCTAATCCCTGCGAAGCTGCACAATGTGTGATGACTCCACCCTCCACCCGATCCAGAGGGTCTGGGGTGAGACCCAAGGCTGAGAGGCCTCGATGGCTTCCTGGCCCCATCTCCGGCAGCAGCCTCTATGGCTGGGCTCTCCTGCAGGCTGGGTGCACCCCAGGCCCTCAGATGGTTCTAACCAGAATCGATGGGCAGCAGTGACTTCGACTGTATCATCAATCTTGGCTGCCACAAGGTTGGGTGTCCAGGCCCTCAGCTGACCCTTGAGGTGGGCCCCCACACAGAGCTTTGCTCTGCCCCCAGCCCACCCTCATTCATCGCCCAGACCACGGCCAGGGACCCAGCTCCTCATGTCCCATACCCTGCTCCCACCTCATCACCAGTGCAACCACAGCACCGAGGCCTGCCTGGCGGGGGCTGTGGCTTGATGCTTGGGATTTCATGAGAAGTCTCTCTCCTCCCGACTGACGTGGTTGCACAAGCCACAGTGTGCCTGGCCACCCCCGCTGGGACCGCCTGCAGCTCGGCCATTTCCCCCAGAGGCGCTCTGATCTGCCCTCCTGCCTCCTCTCCTGTTCTTGTTAGCAGAGAGCCACACTCTGGGAGCTGTGTAGACCCAGGGCCTCAGAGAGGGCTGGAGGATGGCTTGCCAGCCAAGCGGGTCAGTTTGGTGAGCACTTCAGAATGAGACGCCTTGATTTGTTTCCCTATTCCAAGAGTTTACCATCTGGATTTAGCCATGCCCTTGTAATGACCCCACCAATTTCATGAAAAATGGAATCTGTGAATTTGCTCTTTAAATCACTAGTCATCTCTGTTCATTTAAAAATAAAATTATAGTTCCTTAAGTTTGTATTGCTAAAGGCATCAGAAGAATTCATCTTAAGCAAATAGCATGTGACTATTTTGCCTTATGAGATGGTGTATTTGGGACTAGGATGGCCATATATCAATATATGACAGGATATCGAGATCCAATGTTAGCCAGAGATCTCAATTAGTCCCAGTTTTGTTCTCATAATTCATTTTAATTCAGTGAATTTTTAGATACTTTTTTAAGCCCTTGAAGTTTTTCTTGATTCCAACATATCAAAGCATTCAAAATATACTGAATGTCAAATGTTCAGGAGGAGGCCTCACTGTGTAAAACCAGAACTTGACAATGGGCGCGTTATAGAATTCACAGATCTTTGTTCCGATGGGAATACTTCTCTGTTTTTTGTGCTCGTTCTCCTCATCCCCCTTTCTTGAGCCAGCATCTGCATTTGCATCCTGGAAAACAGAGCACAGCACATGACAGGCAGGTGGCTAAATGGGAAATGCAAGGCACTCCGGCACACAGGCACCATTAGAAAAACACAATTCCAAAAATACCTTTAACCAGTGAGATTTCTCAATCTGTGGTACAAGAAATCTCAACAATTTTGAAAACAAGATTACACTGATATGCTTAGGGTCAAGTGTGTCACTGACCGTATTTTCCTCTTCTTTTTCTTTGCCATCCTCGTTTTCCTTGGATGTTTGATACGAGAAATCATCATATGTGCGAAATTCCAAAAACAAGATGGTGGGGGGTAGAAGAATCCCCATGATAACCTACGGAACATAAATTGATTTTTTAAGCTGTGGCAATTCTAGAAAAATGTCCCAGCATAGTTAAAATTTTTAAATTATGACCTTCAACATTATTCAATAACCTAGGAGCCCTGGAATGTTATCCCTGGTCTGACGTTCTGTGACATGTGCTTGGTAAATTAGTAGAATTGCAGGCAGTAAAACAATTTAAGAACATACACTAAATTTTTTAGATGAATGGCAAACAGCACTGTTGGTGATCCTAACTTTAAAAAGAAAAGTCTTGGCTGGCATGGTAGCTCACACCTGTAATCCCAGCACTTTTGGGAGGCCAAGGTTGGTGGCTCATATGAGGCCAGGAGTTTGAGACCAGCCTGGCCAACATGGTGAAACCCCATCTCTACTAAAATACAAAAATTAACTGGGCATGGTGGTGCACGTCTGTAATACCAGCTACTTGGGAGGCTGAGGCACAAGAATCACTTGAACCCAGGAGGCGGAGCTTGCAGTGAGGCGAGATCGCGCCACTGCACTCCAGCCTGGGTGACAGAGCAAGACCCTGTCTCAAAAATAAAATAAAATAAAATAAAATAAAAGTCCTTACATGAAATTTTGAGGAAGGCAAATCTTTAAATTAAAATAGAATAATATAAATAAAATATAATACCTCTAGTGAAGTAGGCCAAAAGTATTTTATATAGAAATAACTTTGATATAAATGAGATTATGTGAACTAAGAGTTGCAAGGCTAATGTGACTCAGAAAAGAAGGACTAACATGGGCTCGGCCTAGACAACAAAAGGATGCCCGGATGCCCAGGCTCATAGATAGAAAACATGCTTCCCCTTTTTTTTTTTTTTTTTTTGCTTGGACTACCTGCTAAACTAATTCTTCTGCATGGGAGGTTGAAGGTGTATAGTTTGAGTCTTTGCCTGTCTTAAACAGATATTCTTTTCTCATGCTTTTTGAATAGTTGGCCTGGGTAGAAAATATTCCAGGCTCCAAATGCCTTCCCTTCAGAACCGTGAAGGCCTTACTCCAGTGCTGCCTTCTGGGTTTCAGTGTTGTTGATGAAAAGTCTGATGCCAATTTGATGTTCATCCCCATGTAGGCGATCTACTTTAGTTTCCTGAAAACCTTAAAGAGCTCTTTATTCTTGGAATTCTGAAAACTGTTTATTAATATCCTAAGTTATGTATAACATCAGCTTAGCATATTATATAGAATTAGACAGTTAAGCATAACATTCACATTTCTAAGAAACAAAGTGCCCTCTATTTGCCAGAACCATACTACACAGTGTAACTCGTATAGTCTTTTCTTTATCCTCATGGAGAGCTCTAAAATAGATATAATACTGCCATTAGATTGCTAGGTTATCTGCAGATTAGAATCTCTTCTCAAGATAACCTAGTAGTTAACAGCAGTAAACCCAAGAGCTAGGGTTTGATTGCAATATAATTTTTCCCCCACTATATCTTTTTCAAACCCTTTCGTAGCTTCCTATTTTCTTGTAATTTTCTCCCATGTCATGAAAACATCACTAGTTAAAATAATACACAATTTCAGAGTTATAAGGGAATCTAGAAACAGAGTTCCAGTCCCTCCTTTAATGGTGGGTAGACGACCCAACCAGGGTGCGTGTGCATACTGAGTTATGGGGGGCTCCATTAGGAGACTCTGACTGTGGCAGGGGTTTGTGCAGCCTGGTGGGCTGGTCAGGTGGGGCTCTGGAGTTAGAGCACCTGAGTGTAGGTTCTGATCCCATGCTGACCAGCTAAGATCCTAGGCATGTCACTTCATCTCAAAGCTTCAGATTCCTCATCTATAAGACAATGATTGTCATGGCGTCTCCCTCAGGGGGTTGCTAGAAGGAATAAATGAAATAAGCCACAGAAAGTGCTCAGTTCAGCCTGGCAGAGAGTCACTTGTCACTGTCACCCTGGCCCGCCTCGCAGCACGTTGCACGCACCTTCAGGCCGGGGTTCTTCCGCATCCGCAGTCTTCCCATCCACATATCGGTCAGCAGCATCTGGCTGCAGGTGTGAGCAATGAAGTCCCGGTGTTTGGCTGCCACGGCCAGTTTGAGGCAGGTCGAGTTGCTCCAGTTTTTCAGCTCGTAGGTCAGGAGTTTCATAGCGATCTGCTCGTCATGCTTATAGGACTGGTCTAATAACTCCAAAGCAAGCTGGCCGAAGTCTCTGGGGGGAAAGAGAAGGGACCAGGGTGAAGCCACAGTGGCCGCAAGCTGTTTCTTAGACAGGCATATCCACCAAGGACTTATGGAGCCACGGGACACAGTATCCTTCACTGGAGGGGCTCTGAGGTTCTCTGCAAGCAAGAAGCTCCAGGGATGTGTCCCCAAAGGGGGAAGGCCAGGGACAGTGGCTGGGAGCTCAGTCAGGAGGTGGGCTGACTGCTACTGCTGCAAATGGAGCTGTAGGTTGAGACCACATCTGCCCCTCAGACGCCAGGGACATAGAGACGAGAAGACAAAGTCCCTTCCCTCAAGTTGTGCACAGATCAGGGAGGCAGATAGAAAAGACAGCAAAAGTGACTTCAAATGCAGCACCTGTGGAGTTGGAGGCCACAGTAGCGGGGCTGCTGGTGGTGGTGGTGGCGGGAGGTGGACACTGAAAGGAGTCACAGGAGGGCTGGTGGGTGCCGGCTAGGTTCTTAGTTGATCTGGGTGCTGGTGGTGCCGGCATGTCCCACCTGTGGACTGTCACCAGCTGGACATTTCGGATGTATGCCTTTCTCTGCCCGTGTAACACTTCACCATCACAGTGATTACAGAGAAGCCAACATTCTCAGTGCTATGACAGGGATGAGGCATAGTTGTCATAGGGCCCAGGCCAGAGGGCGTCTAATGACTGATGGGGACAGTGATAGAAGTTGGGGGGCATGGAGAAGGTGGCACAAGCTGAATTTTGAGCATAAAGTTTACTGCCTTCCCCACATGATCCAGATTGAAATATTTGGCAATAACCATAAACGTTCCAAGTTCCTTCAACTTTTTTTTTTTTTGAGATGGAGTCTCACTCTATCACCCAGGCTGGAGTGCAGTGGGGCAATCTCGGCTCACTGCAAGCTCCACTTCCTGGGTCCACGCCTTTCTCCTGCCTCAGCCTCCCGAGTAGCTGGGACTACAGGCGCCCGCCACTACGCCGGGCTAAAATATATTTTAGTAGAGACGGGGTTTCACCATGTTAGCCAGGATGGTCTCGATCTCCTGACCTTGTGATCCGCCCACCTCGGCCTCCCAAAGTGCTGGGATTACAGGCATGAGCCACCGTGCCCGGCCAGGAGAACCAATTTTACCAGAGCCTCACCTGCTGGTTTGATCAGAGCCTGACTGACCCAGGGGAAGCACGCCCAACTCCAGCCCCCTCTAGCCATCCTGTCCCACCTAAGCATGGAGCAAAATCAGAAACACCTGTGAAGGTCACAGTCCAGGTCACAGTCCAGGGCACAGGCTCATTAATGTTGTATTCCTTGTTAGTGTGTGTTTCCCTATGGAAATTAATTTCACCATCTTTGCATTAAAATTGTGTTTCAAGGAAAGGAAAAAAATTGTGTTTCAATTTTGATGCAAAGAGAAGGCAGTACACGAAAACAACGACAGTCCAAAAACACCTCTGAGAGACAGAAAGAAAAATGCTGACATGACAGACGAAGTGATTTGTGAACAAGCTTTAACCACCATTGTCCTTAAGTGAGAAGTACATTGGCCACCCCTCCCTGCAGAGACAAGTACTCAGGATGGTCATCTCTCCTGGCCTTTAAATCCCCGCTAGACACTAACTTGGAATTGTTATCCAAGTCCTGGGAGATGTCATCCACCAGATCACTCTCGGAGGACTCGTGGGCCATGGCCTTGTAGAGCTTGCAGGCCACCAGGGCCTTGGCCATGCTCTCTTCCCCTCGCTGCCAGAGGAACACTGCCATTTTCTGGCGTTTCATCAGCACTGCCCACACCATCAGCTCGTGGAAGGGATACTGGAACCGACTCACGGCAGGGTCGTCCACATCAATGTCGATCTCTTCCTCCTTTTTCTTCTTTTTCTTTTTCTTCCCTTTAGCTGGAGGCTCATCATCCTGAGGGGAGAAACATGGATTTCATGGTTTTGCCATAAAAGTATGCAACAAAGAGTTCCAGAACTCCTGGAGAAAGGGAACCCTTTCTGTCAGAGGTAATAAAGAGACTTCTGAAGTACATCTTACATTTCCACTCCGCATATGAATTCTTTTGAAAAGATGCACACGTTTATTATGATAAGTAAACTATCTAAAACCAAATGAACTGAGAAGGCATACTGTTTGGATAACTTGCACCCCTGGGTCAGCAGTTTTACTTAGAAGCCTTTAACTGAGGCGACGCTGCAAAACTAAAACAAACAAGCAAAACCTCCCCCAAAACTAAACACAAATAACATCATGGAAGAGGGAAGGTCTACAGTTTATTTCCTCAGGGAGGTCTTCAAATGTAGCAAAAATAACACTCGTTTGCCAGACGTAGCTGAACCAGAAATTAACAGGAAACATGCAAAAGGGGCTAGAGAAAAATGTTTTAGGTTTCCCTCCAGTGTTTTAAGAAAGCAAACATTCCTCTTTTAGTGAGCACTGTCCTTTTCCCCATATGGTGCAAAAAGGAAGGCCAATCTTTCCCATTTCCTAAAGGGGTTATGAGAACTGTTCTGTGAATGGATCAGGATTCATAAGAAAGGCAGATCGTGATTGGGAAAATTGGCATGAAATATGTGGGTCTCAGACTACTCCAGGCTAATACTTTAGTATTCAATGGAATAACAGAAACAGATGTTTGTTCTTTTGCAAACAGCGTTCCCATCAGTTATCTTCTTTTATTCTTACAAGGACTCTGAGAGGTTGTGAATTCCTTCCATTCCCTCAGATTAGGAAGCTGTGGCTCAGTCTGAATAACTCAGCCACATTCACAGAGTTGGAGTGGTCTGGAGCATGGGGAGTTATAGGAGGTATCCTGGCTCTCCAATTCCTATCTCAGGTTGTTCACTACTGACCCAATTTGTTTTGTTTTGTTTTGTTTTTGAGACGGAGTCTCACTGTGTCGCCCAGGCTGGAGTGCAGTGGCACCATCTCGGCTCACTGCAAGCTCTGCCTCCCGGGTTCATGCCATTCTCCTGCCTCACCTCTGGAGTAGCTGGGACTACAGGTGCCCGCCACCACGCCCGGCTAATTTTTTGTATGTTTAGTAGAGACGGGGTTTCACCGTGTTAGCCAGGATGGTCTCGATCTCCTGACCTCGTGGTCCTCCCGCCTCGGCCTCCCAAAGTGCTGGGATTGTAGCCATGAGCCACCAGGCCCGGCCACGACTGACCCAATTTTTATAATATCATAATGAGCTGTGATAACATTTTAATGGAAAATATAGTATCTTGACTCCAATTTAAATATCTTTGTTCTAATTTTCTAATTTTGTCACAGTGAAGCTACAGTCGCAGTGATATGGGAAAGGTTCATCTACACAGGTTAAAAATGAACATCGTAGAAATGTTTAGATAAACATAGATTTTCAAGAATATATAAGATAAAATAAAAATTAACTAATGACTAATGAAATGTTATAAAACAGAAGTCCTTTTAAGCCTACCTTTCAATAACATCTAATATTATTAAAATATTAATTGCATGTAAATTCTCTTTAAAAACTGCCAGAGAGAGAATATGAGAAACAAAGAGTTAATTTTCCTAAAATGCAAAGGCCTGTCACAAATCAATGAGGAAAAGGGAAAAAAACCAATAAAATAACAAAGGATCTGAACTGGGAGTGTAAGGAAAAATTGACATATTACCATAGTTGAGTAAGTAACACACCTTACTTAGCAATGAATTTGAAAAAAAATTACAGGATATTTCTATACAAGGAATAAACTTTGAAATCAATAACAGTAGTATGACAACAACAAAAGTCTGTATCTGGGAAATTTGAAATACACTTCTAAATAACTCTTGGATTGAAAAGGAAATAATAAATGCCTTAGAAAAAACGACAATGAAGGTTCTACTTATCCAAACCTGTGGAATACCATGAAACAATGCTCAGAACAATTTATACCTTTAATGCATTTATAGGAATACAGTGAAGATGGAAAATGAGTGAATTTTCCTTTCAAACTGAGTTAGCACGAACAATGCAATAACAGTAGGGAAAGTATATGGAAGAAACAAATACAAATAAAAGCAGACATTAATAAAATAGAAACAGAAAAAGGAAGTTGCTTGATAAAGCAAAAATACCAATAAAATATGTAGGAAAGAAAGTTTAAGAAAATAGGAGATATAAATTTTGTTTAAAAATGGCACAAGAGGCTGGGCGTGGTGGCTCGTGCCTGTAATTCCAGCACTTTGGGAGGCCAAGATGGGTGGATCACCTGAGAATCTGAGATCAGAAGTTTGAGACCAGCCTGACCAATATGGTGAAGCCCCATCTCTACTAAAAATGCAAAAATTAGCCTGGTATGGTGGCATGCACCTGCAGTCCCAGCTACTTGGGAGGCTGAGACAGGAGAATTGCTTGAACCTGGGAGGCTAAGGTTGCAGTGAGCCGAGATTGCACCATTGCACTCCAGCCTGGGTGACAGAGTGAGACTCCTACTCAAAAAAAAAAAAAAAAAAAAAATTGGCACAAGAAATGACACACAACTGAAGATACTGAGGAGACTGAAAAAAACTAGAATACTATGTAAAAGTTTATTCCAGGGAACTTGAAAGTCTAGATGAAATAAGTCATTTTAGGAAACTATAAATGACCAAAGTTGACTCTAGAAAATAAAAAGCCTGAAATGTACTTATATTTATAATGGCTATTATGAAGTAGTATTATGAAATACACACTTCTAAGAAATAGGACTGGACCCGGAAATTTTACAGGTGAGTCCACCAAACCTTCATGGAATAAATAAACCCTGACCTGGAGAGTTTGAGAGAACAGGAGATCACAGAAAGCTCATAACCCTTCCAGGAGCACCGTGTTAAAGGACAGTCTTAATTGTCAACACAGAATGAAAGCCGTCTACACTGAATCCATGAAGAATCGGGATGCTGTTTAGCTCATAAATTTATTTAAAAAGAATGTTTCCAAGAGTCAATCCTAATATTCCACAATATGGCATTTCTTCCATTCATTTAAATATTTTTAGGTCTGGGACATTGTTCTTACGGTTGCTAGTAAAGGTAATTTCTGGTACTTTTGTCCTATTGTGAGGGAACTTTAGTTGATTTTCCTGGATTTTCTAACTCCCCCCAAATTTTTTTGCTGATAATAATTTCTCCCTTTCTTGGGTATTCTTTTTTTAGCATTTATTTTTCCTTGTGGTTCAATTTCCAGAACACTTTTGGAGACTAGTGAAAGATGCCAATAGGTAAGAATTATAAAACAGTAGATGACGCCAATGATATTGGGCATGCTTGTCTTGTTCTTGATTCTCATGGACATGACTTCAGGGATGCACTGCTCATCATACGTTTCCCTTGCTCTAAGATATACGTGTATTTTAATCATTCCAAGAAAGTATTTTATCATTCTATTTTGAGAAAACTATATATTTTTTAACAAAGTAAGGCATATGTTTTACATGTGTTTCAAATTCTTCATTAGCACCTGCTGAGAGATGGTCATAGATATGATGCAATATATTAAAGACTAACACTGCATTGTATTTGCATTCTTGGAGGACTCTACTTTGATTTAGGACTATGAAAATAGTCTATTGAATTCTTTTTGGTGTTATTTTTGGTTTTTTACTTATGGTTTTTGCATACGTAAGTGGTGTTCCTCTCTAGTTTTTTTGTTTGCTTAATCTTTGCTTTTGAAACTGTGGTTTTGTTAGTTCTAGAAATGGATTGTGCAGCTTTTATCCCCATTAAAGAAAATGTATATATGGTCCTTTTATATAATTTGACTAAGACATCTAGGTAAATTTTGGTGAGTAGTATCGTATATTCGCAAATACAGAACTTAAAAGGGCTATGTATATTTGACCAGGATATTATAAAACTGTTGAAAACAAGTTCTACTTACTTCCATTCCCAGAAGTTTAAGAGCTTTAGGCTGCATGGTGAAAGAGGAAGAAAAAAAATCAATTTACTTAGATAACTAATGTTAGTAGTACATTAGCAGTATTGTTGATAGTGGACATACGAATGGATTAAAAAGCACTTTGTATCATTAACAATTAATGATAATATCCAAGGAAAAGAAGTGCTTTAATATAGAAACTCTTCTTCTGTCAGCAGAAGTTAATTGAGAAGAAAGCTCAGCAGACGCGTGGCCCTTATTCCAGGTAGAAACCGAGAAGTTCCCTAATAGACATGTAGAGAGCTGTGGGGCTGTAAGGTGGGTGTGAGAGGAGGGCATCATGAAAGATCAGACATTTGAGTTGGACTTTTGATAAGGGTGGGAAAGGCACTGATAGTGGGGAAAGACGTGGCAGGTACACGTCTTTGATTTGATCACAGGATTTGATTTTGGTGCAGGTATGTGGTCTCCCATGTGGGTGAGGGCCAGCTGGTGGAGGGCCTTGGCTGCTGTGATAATGAGTTTGGATACGATTCTCCAGGCAGTGAGGAGCTCTGGGAGGCTTGAAGCAGGGAATGCAGGCATGTCCCTTGCTTTGGAAGATTATGGCAGGTACAGTGGTGGGATAGTAGAATAGGCTGGAGCGGGCAGACAGTAGCCCCGGAGCCCAGGAGGAAGTCTGCTGTGGATAGAAAAGGAGGGCAAATGCAATGGATGGGCGGGGCGGCCCGTGCTCAGGGGAGCTGGCGAATGCCGTGGCTCTGGCCTGAGAGCACTGTAGGAGGCAGGACAGCTGTGCTGGGGACAGGGCGAAGGGCTTGGCTCTGAACCGGCCAAGTTGTTGAAAAGCAAGCGAGGAACCACATGGTACTCGCGAACCACAGAACACTACACAGGCACTGAGTTCTACCCTCTTTGGTCCAAACAAGTTGTTGTAAAGGGTCCGAAAGTTTTTCCGAGTGTAGTTGCAGCGGTAGGCTCCTCCCATGAGGTACTCCAGCACGAGCCCGATGTCTATGAGGCTGATGTGGTAATCAGGCGGAAGGTTGCTCTGTAAAAGAAGTCTGGTCTCAGGCCCTGTGAGAATGCGTTCGCAGTGTGGACTTCATCACACGTCTAGGGGGTAAGTGGCTGTCCTGGCCCCCACTTGGGAGTTCATGTAACAGGTGGGTGGGTGGGGGATTAAACAATATTCAGGCTGGGGAAAGCATCTATCCCTTGATAACAAGGTGGCAGAAAGGGCCAAGAACAGCAGCTGCAATCAACAGGGCACAGAATGACTTGAGGAACCTCCTGCCGGTGCTTCTGGAAAGAGCCACAGGCAGTGGGTGAGAGATCTCAAAGGAGGGACAGAACGAGAGGCTGCATGGACAGACAGCGGGGCTCAGGTCAGCAGCCAGGCCACCCCCTTCCCCAACCCCACCCAGTGGCCGCCCTGGCCTGGCGCTGGCGTCAACCTATAATCCGGCTGTCACTGACAGTGTCCCTATCATGGATTTGGATGAACATGCAACTTAAAAAAGATTATCCTTTGCTTTCTTAGTTTTAAATAGACTCTTTACGAAAGAAGGAATTCATTATCTCCTGTGCCTGGAATAATAATACATTTTGAAAATTTAAAACTTGCTCTTAAGAAATGATTTTGTGAAAGATGCCAACAGGTAAGAATTGTAAAACAGTAGACTGACCTTTTTCACATCCCTCACCAGCAGATGAAGTGTGTTTGGTGGACCCAGTCTCTGAAAGAGAAGCATTCATGTGTGTTAAATATGTTTTTCTTGGCCAGGCGCGGTGGCTCACGCCTGTAGTCCCAGCACTTTGGGAGGCCAAGGCAGGCAGATCACTTGAGGTCAGTAGTTTGAGGCCAGCCTGGCCAACATGGTGAAACCCCATCTCTACTAAAAATACAAAAATTAGCTGGGCGTGGTGGTGGGCACCTGTAATCCTAGCTACTAGGGAGGCTGAGGTTGGAGGATCACTTGAACCGGGGAGGCAGCTGCAGTGAGCTAAGATTGCACCACTATACTCCAGCCTAGGTGATAAAGTGAGACCTCGTCTAAGAATGAATAAATAAATAAATAAATAAATAAGTTTTTTTCTTGAACTCTTCGAGCAAAATCCTGCCCTACTCTATATAATTAATGAATTGTGAGAGCTGGAGTGTAACCCACACCAGCCTTTTTCTTTTACAAAACAGAGCTGGTCATGGTTAGAAAGTATCCAACACATTTCAAAAGTTGTGAAATACTTTCTGTTGCATTTTTTTAAAAGAGTATCTTAAGGTGCACAATATAGTGTTAATAATTCATCAAGTTGGCCAGAATCAGTGGCTCAAATTAGTATATTTGAGCCTATTATCCCAGCACTTTGGGAGGCCAAGGGAGGTGGATCACTTGAGGCTAGGAGTTCGAGACCAACCTGGGCAACATGTCGAAACCCTGTCTCTACAAAATTTTTAAAAATTAGCTGGGTGTGGTGGTGTGCACCTGTAGTCCCAGATACTCAGGAGGCTGGGATCGGAGGATGGCTTGAGCCTAGGAGGTTGAGGCTGCAGTGAGCTGAGATCATGTCACTGCACCCCAGCCTGGGCAACAAGAGAGACTCTGTCTCAGAACAAACAAAAAAAAATTCACCAAGTTTTAGCAAGCAGCTGCTGAGGATCATTTCTGCTACTTAAAATCTTACAATAGGGAAGGAAATGTAAATTCTCAAAACTTATATTGTAATAATATAAGCCAAGGGAATTTCATTCAAACCCTTCCAGCAGAGCTCCTGGGTGTGAAACTTAGCTCTATGTTTTACCCCAAAGCCTCATCAAATGTGAGGGTCCCAAGGAACAATTGACTTCTCACCCTTGGTGACATTTCACTCTGCTAATGGCTTGGGGAGCTAGATTCCCTCTTTGTAGCAACAAGTACTCACACACCACCCTTAAATGCGGGACAAGAGTTAATACTGCCCGAGAAAGGAGTGACTGGCGAGGCATGGCAGGAGGTGGTGAGAATATGAACACAGGCTGTGGCCAGCAGCAGGTGAGAAGTAGCCGCCTGCCATTAAATACGGACCTCCCAGCTGAAGGAGGTCAGATGAGCACATTTATGCACAATATGCATCAGTGACAAACACATTTAGGTGGCTGCCTCCCGCTTCCTTCCCTTTTTCTAGAGCACTCACTGTGTTATAAAGCTCCTCCAGCCTCGGAATGGTCAGAAAGTGTTGCATGTTCACTCCGTTTTCAATCAGGAGCTTCACAAAGTCGACACGATCTAAGACTAAAGCATCTAGCATCGCTTGCTCCAAAGCATTCACCTGCAGGGACCAAGGGCCGGGAGCCTGTGAGTGGCCTCTCAGAGACACAGGGGAGGGGGGCGACTGGAAACACAGAGGAAAGGGTATTCCGAACGCCAGATTCCAGAGCACTCCAGCATGGTACTCTTTGCTCTTTATCTTGGGTAAACACTCCCCATCTCCCCTCTCCTTTCTTCTCAGTTTGGCCTCTACATGTTCCATCCATGTCTGTAAATTATTGTTTCCTTTTAAAAATAGATTGAAGAGGATTCAAAATCTCAGCCCTCCTGGCATTGGCCTGCCCAGTCTCCACCATTTGTTTCCTTGACTGAGAAGTTGTGCCAGGAGGAGCTGCATGGGCAGGCAGCATGACCAGGGTGCCGTGTGGGTGAGTGACTGTGATAAGGGCAGGCACACGTCACCACAGAGGCCTGGTCCCCTGTCTTGCCTGTGTCCTGGTGGCAGCAAGACCAAGAACTGCCATGCGATGTGTGGCTCCAGCCTCCCCACCTAAACTGCTGTTACCCCACACACCCAATCATGGGCTCTGTCTGTCAAAAAAGGGCTTTTTCATGAATTGCATTTATTTGGTGACAACTGATTTGTCTGCTGTATATTCATGCATCAAGCATTGGCATGTCTGCCAGGTACAGAACCATTGCTGAACAGGATGACTCAGGGCCCCTCTGTGGGTGGCATCATTCCCCCCAAAGCAGGAACGTTTGGTGTTTTGGACAACCGACAGGCTCATTGCAGCGAATGTGCTGTTGTAGTTTGAAATGCTGACACTACCCAGTCAAGCCTTTACCCGTCCCTCCTGGGATCAGGGCCCTGGGTGGGACTGAAGCAAGGACAAGAACCATCCCTTCCCCTGGGGAAGGGTGATGCCAAGCTCGTGATCTCTGTGACCTTCCACATACCCAGTTCAGCAGCTCTATCTTCCGGGGGTCAGTTTCTTCCTCCACTTCCTCTTTCACTTTCCCTTTCTTCTTGCCTTTCCCTTTTCCTCTTCCTCCCTTGGTGGTGGCCATGGGTGGCTTCTTCTCCTTCTCTGTGGCTTTGCTGTCCGTCGGGGGTGCCAGGCTTCCCAGGGGCTGCAGTCCACAGCAATCAGAGTTGGGAAATGGTACTAAGGCTCTTTCTTGTCCCCAGACCAGCTCATTGACCCTCCCACCTCTGTATGTGCACACATGCACACCACACATGCACACAATGTACATGTGCACACCCACACAGTGCACACATATGCCCACACATATGTACAGGTGCACACGGACTCCATCCCATACACCTACATACTCAGTCGTCGCAGGCCTGGCTGTCTGAAGAAGGCTCTGATACTGGGAACCACTGTTACTCGTGTGCACAAACACACACTTGACTTGATGCAGCGGCTTTGCATACTTAAAGTGGCTGACATTTTGATCCATGTGTGCTTTTGCATGGAGGAAAGGATGCTGAAAGGAGAGTTCAAAGGCACCAAAGACATGTGTCCATAGTTGTTTAATGATGGGAAAAAGTGATTGTGAAGGGGGTACAAGACAATGGATAGAACTGAGGATGCCTGCCTGGATGTAAACGTAAACTGGAGCTTATCGGCGGGTAAAGAAGCTCTCCGCATGTCACTGAAATGCATGCAATGCGGTGACAGACTCATTCATCAAGGGGAGTGTGTGCTCTACTCCAGAGAACAGGAGGGACAGCAGAAGTAGGCCTGGCCCCGTGGCCTTGTCTCCTGGTCTGGTGGAGAATGTGGGAGTGTGTCCTGGTGCAGACACAGAGCCAGCACCTAAACAACCGGACCCTCCAGCTGGCGTCCTCTCTTGCCAGACCCACCCGCTCCTCTTACCAAACGCTCCTGGTGGGTTGCCTACCTGAGGAGCCTCCATTTCCTCTCTTCCTATCTCTCCTGCACGCACCCTGCTGCTTCTTCCATCTGTCCTGGGCTGTGGGTTTAGTTGCTGAGAACTGTGCTGGTGCCTGCCTCATGGGCATTTCATGCTGGGTTCTCAGCACATCTGACTCCACTGCCTGCTTCCTCCTAGAGTCTCTTCCCTTGGCTTCTTGGGCATCACAAGCTCCCAGCTTTCCTCTTCCCTGTCTGGCCACTACTTCTCAGTGCAGCTTTAAATGTCAAGGTTCCTCTGGGCTCTGTCCTCAGCCTTCTACCTTTCCACTCTACTCTCTTCCTTGACGACCTCATTGACCCCCACACCACCAGTCACCACTGATTGGCATACAACTTCTCCTTTCTGGCTGCGGCCCACCTCTCTCCCCAGAGCTCCTGTTGCCTGCTCAGCATCCTGCTTGCATGTCTCAAAGACATGCAGCTCCTTATGCCCCAAACCACTCTCAGGACCTACCCTCCGACCCAGTCCTCTTCCAGGGTCCCTTATCTCAGGGAAATGTTACCACAGCTTGCAAGTTGTGCAAACCAGAGAACTGGGGAGCATTGTGACATCTCAGTCCCTCCAGTGCCCTCAATGATTCATCTACCCCTATGTGCAGCCATGTTTAATGCTAAATTTTGCTTAATTCTGATTCTTGCCTTCTTCTTTGCCTCTGCTCTAGTCCAAGGCCTGAATTATTTCAAAGGCCTATTAACAGGACTCTGCACACCTGCCATGGTACCCACCCAGTGCATTTTCCACAGTAACTCCAGAGTGACCTTTAAATATAAAAATGGAAGCAAGTAACTCTCCTGCTTAAAACCCTTAAGTAGGGCTGAGGCAGAGCTTATGTCAGGGGAGGTGTGCATTTATATAGTTCCTGGTCAACATACAAATATGGATGAAAAAGTGTCTTGGCTGACTCCTCATGCAGATAAAACCGTTATGGTCCTGAGTGACAGAGTGACACCGCATCCAACAAATGGTGCTGGGAAAACTGGATATCCACATGCAAAAGACTGGAGTTGGACCCTTACCTTACACCATATACAAATATTAACTCAAAATGAATCAAAGACCTGAACATAAAATCGAAAACTACTAATATAAAATGCTGCTGGGCACGGTAGTTCATGTCTGTAATCCCAGCACTTTGGGAGGCCGAGGCAGATGGATCACCTGAGGCCAGGAATTTGAGACCAGCCTGGCCAACATGGTAAAATCCCATCTCTACTAAAAATACAATAATTAGCTGGACATGGTGGTGGGTGCCTGTAATCCCAGCTACTTAGGAGGCTGAGGCAGGAGAATTCCTTGAACCCAGGAGGAAGAGGTTGCAGTGAGCTGAGATCGTGCCGTTGCACTCCAGCCTGGGTGACAAGAGTGAAACTCAATCTCAAAAACTAATTAATTAATTAAACTAAAATGCTTAGAAGAAAACATAGGGCAAAAATATCACTATATTGGATTTGGGAATTCAATTCTTGAATATGACACCAAAGGCACAGGCACAAACGGAAAAATTATTAATAACAAATCCGATGGACTTTATGAAAATTTAAAAGTTTTGTGCAGCAAAAAATACCATTAACAGAGTAAAGGTAGCCACAGAATAGGAGAATATATTTGTACATCATGTATATGATAAGGGGTTCATAGCCAGAATATATAGAGAACTCCTAAAATTCAACAACAAGAAAACCCAACCTGATTCAAAAATAGGCAAGAGACTTGAATAGACATTTCTACAAAGCAGATACACAAATGGCCAATAAACACACACAAAAACGCTCAATATCACTAATCATTAGGGAAATACAAATCAAAACCATCTGAGATATTATCTCACACCCATTAAGATGGCTATTATCTTTTTTTTTCCTTTTATTTGAGATGGAGTTTTGCTCTTGTTGCCCAGGCTGGAGTGCAGTGGCACGATGTTGGCTCACTGCAACCTCCGCCTCCCAGGTTCAAGTGATTCTCCTACCTCAGCCTCCTCAGTAGCTGGGACTACAGATGTGTGCCACCACTCCCGGCTCATTTTTTTTTTTTTTTTCTGTATTTTTAGTAGAGACGGGGTTTCGCCATGTTGGCCAGGCTGGTCTCCAATTCCTGACCTCAGGTGATCCACCTGCCTTGGCCTCCCAAAGTGCTGGGATTACAGGCATGTAAGCCACTGTGCCCAGCCAAGATGGCTATTATCTAAACAACAGAAAATGACAAATGTTTGTGAAAATGAGGACAAACTGGAACCCTGTGCACTGGGGGTGGAAATGTAAAATGGTGCAACTGCTGTGGGAGGAGTTTGGTGATTCTTCAAAAAATTAAAAATAGGATTACCGTGTGATCAATGGTTTCACTTCTTGGCATACCCAAAAGAACTGAAAGCAAGTCTCAAAGAAGTATTTGTACACCTACATTCATAGCAGCATTATTCTAAAACATGGGAGCAACCCAAGTGTCCACTGATGGATGCTTGGATAAGCAAAATGTGGTCTATCCATATAATGGAATATTATTCAGCCTTAAAAGGAAGGAAATTCTGACAAATGCTACAACACGGATGAACCTTGAGACATTGTTCTGAGTGAAATAAGCCAGTCACAAAAGGACAAATATTACATGACTCCACTTATAGGAGGTACTGACAGTAGTCATATTCATGGCAACAGAAAGTAGAATGGTGGTTGCCAGTCACAGGAGAGGGCAGGATGGGGAATTATTGTTTGATGGGCATAGAGTGTCCATTTTGCAAGATAAAAAAGCTCTTGAGATGAATGTTGGTGATGATTTTCCTTCAAAAATTGTTAGTCCAAAGTTTTTATGATTCAATATAAATAAATAAATTGCCTTTTGTTACCTGTATATATCAAACGTCTCTCTTTTTCTCTCTCTTCATTATGTTTTTTGTTTGTTTGTTTATTTGTTTGTTTTTTGAGACGGAGTTTTGTTCTGTCACCCAGGCTGGAGTGCAGTGGCATGATCTCAGCTCACTGCAACCTCCGGCTCCCAGGTTCAAGCAATTCTCCTGCCTCAGCCTCCTAAGTAGCTGGGATTACAGGCATGCAACATCACACCCGGGTAATTTTTGTATTTTTAGTAGAGACGGGGTTTCACCATGTTGGCCAGGCTTGTCTCAAACTCCTGACCTCAGGTGATCCACCCGCCTCAGCCTTCCAAAGTGCTGGAATTACAGGAGTGAGCCACTGTGCCTGGCCTCTTCGTTATGTTTAAAAGCATGTTTTAAGAAGAATTTTTTTTGCAAAGCTTTTACTTTAATTAATTATTTTAATTAGCAAATGACAAATTGTATATATTTATGGTATACATGATGCTTAAATATATGTATACATTGTGGAACGATGAAGCTAATTAACATATCCATCACCTCACATACTTATCATTTTTGTGATGAGAACATTTAAAATCTACTCTTTTAGCAATTTTCAAGTGCACTATACATTATTATTAATTATAGTCACTATGTTGTACAATAGGTCTCCAGAATTTATTCTTCTTAACTGAGACTTTGTACTTTTAAACCAAAATCTCCCAATCCCTCACATCCTAGCTTCTGATAACCACATCATACTCTCATGCAGCTTTTATTTTTTGCATTCAATAACAGAAAATATAGATAGAAGAATTTTGTCTAGTAATATATAGCAAATCAGACCTAAGATTGATTTACTGTGTTGGAATTCTTATGTCCTCCCTACCACAAGTTTTCTACTATATGAAGAATTCTAGATAGACTATAGATTCACAGGCACATCCTTTCTTGAGTGCTTCAACTATTAAAAGAAGATTTTGGAGACCTTATATCCCACTGTAGGGAGACAGAGAAGGACTTTTGGCTCCAGGTTACAGCCTGAGCATGTGTTTCCTGTCTTCCCTCCCTCCCCAGATACTATTTAAATGACAGCAGAGGAGTATGAAAAAGAAAAATCTATTTCAGGGAGAAGAGGCGGGCCAGAGAGTTTTTAACAAATTTCTGGAAGCATTGAAGGACCAGTTAAAACTATGGAGAGGAAGCCAAAGCCCAAAATGTGTAATGTGGAGGTTGCTCTTGAGGTGAGACCAGATTTTCCAAGATACAAAGAAGAGGGCATGTGGTGGGCAGAAGGCATGGTGACCGGAAGATGGTCTACAGAGCAGGAGGCCACACATCCCCTCCCGGTCTCCAGGCTGCCACTGTGGTGGGTGCAGAGCAAGCAACTGCATTCCTGGGCTTCACTCCCAGTAAAAACTGGGAGGATGTCTGCTAAAGAATAGGGAGGCCCAGAGCCCACCAGCCCTCTCCAGTCGGCACTCAGCAAAGCAGGAGGTTCAGGCGATACTCTCCTTCCTAAGCAGGGAATTCCTGGGCAGTCCTCCCAGGGAGGAGAAAAACCTGTTGGCAAAATGGGTTTCCATACCAATTAAGCAGTTCTATCCCTCATTCTGTAGTGTGATGGACAGCCAAGGATCTAGAGCATTTGAGAAAATCAACAGCATAACAGAAAAACCCAAAATGAACAAAAAGAACAGCTGACCAGGGAGAAAATAGAGATAATCTAGGGAACAGAAGATAACTTCAAAAAATCTAATTCATATCCTTAGATATTGCATCTGTGAGATGAAAATAGGCTAATAAGAAAATAAAATTGTTAAGGAACAAAAACACTTTCTTAAATATAAAAAGCATGAGTGCCTAAACCTTTAAAAATTGTATAAAAGCTAAAGAAAAAGTTGAGATTTCCAAAAACATACAGCAAAATGATAGAGAAATAAAAAACCGAAAATGGACGGTCAATCTGGGAGAAGGGGACCAGCAGTTGCTTGACTAATAGAAAATCCAGATGAAGGGAAAGAGATAATAAAGAAAGAAATACTCAAAGAAGAGATAGAAGAAAATTTCACAGAGCTGATTCAGGTCTTCAGCATAAAGGGACCTTTGAAAGCCAGAAGAATTAAATGTCTACATGTGTGAAGATATGGCTGCTTGAGTTTGTATTCTCTATACACTTCTATTTTCATTTGCTTGAAATAGGAGATACATCCTTGTGAAATTTTCAAGCACTGAAAAAGCAAAGAGCAGAGAGAAAACAATGGTTCATCTATAATTGAATGAAAATCATAGGACAATCTTGAGCCTCATGTGAGGCAGACTTTTTTCAGACATGTAAAGACACAGAATGATAATTGCTGTGGTTTGAAAGTGTCCCCCAAAGTTCTTGTGTTGGAAACTGAATCCCCAGTGCAACAGTGCTGAGAGATGGGACCTTTAAAATTGTTTAGGTTATGAAATTCTGCTCTCATGAATGGATTAATGCTTTTATAGAGGGAGAGGGTTCATGATCTTGAGAGATTTGTTTTAAGAGTTCAGCCCTCTCTCGCTGTCTCTCGCTCTCTTACCCTTTCACCTCCCACCATGGGATGATGTAGCAAGAAGGCCCTGACAAGATACCAGCCCCTTGATCTTGGACTTTCCAGTTTCTAGAACTGTAAGAAATAAATCTCCTTTCTTTATCAGTTACCCCATCTGTGGTATTCTGTTACAGAAACACAACACAGACTCAGACAGTAATTCTCCCACATGCTTTTATGTAAAAGTTACTTGAAGATGTACTCCAGCAAAATGAAAAAGGAATCTGAAAGGGAGGAAGACATGGGGTCTAGGAGGCAATGGCCAGTCTCAGAGTGCAACGAAGGGATGTCTGATGTAGACAACTGTACAGTAGGCATTGAGAGCATCCAGGGAAGATGGGGGTAGGAACTCATGGGGCTTTGAAAGATTCTTCAAGAAGAAATGGGACAGTAACAATTAAGAGAATAGATATGGCTGCAGCCATAAAAAAGAACAAGATTATGTCCTTCGCAGGGACATGGATGGAGATGGAGGCCATTATCCTTAGCAAACTAAGGCAGAAACAGAAAACCAAATGCTGCATATTCTCATAAGTGGGAGCTAAATGATGAGAACACATGGACACATAGAGGGGAATAACAGACACTGGGGCCTTTTGGAGGGAGGAGAGTGGGAGGAGGGAGAGGGTCAGGAAAAACAACTAGCAGGTACTAGGCTTAATAACTGGGTGGTGAAATAATCTGTACAACAAACCCCCATGACACAAGTTTACCTACATAACAAACCTGCACTTGTACCCCTGAACTTAAAGTACAAAGTATATATTAAATATAAACTATGTATATGCAAATAAAAGTACAAAATGGCATTTTTAAGGTAATATCTGTATGGCTTCATCTTGGAAAGAGTGCAATAATTTTGCCCTAGCTCCCCACAGGGTAGCCTTTGCTGCAGCCATGCTTGATATATCCACGTTGCTGACAAGAGCCTTGATATGGTTTGGCTCTGTGTCCCACCCAAATCTCATCTCCAGTTGTAATCCCCAGGTGTCAAGAGTGGGGCCTGATGTGAAGTGATTGGATCATGAGGGCAGTTTCCCCCACGCTGTTCTCATGATAGTGAAAGAGTTCTTATGAGAATTGATGGTTTTAAAAATGTTTGGCAGCCCCTTGTGCTCTTTTCTCTCTCTCACGGGCTGCCGTGTAAGATGTGCCTTTGCTTCTCCTTTGTCCTCCGCCATGATTGTAAGTGTCCTGGGGTCTCCCCAGCCATTTGGAGATGTGAGTCAATTAAACCTCCTTTACAAATTACACAGTCTCAGAAGACTGCTATTCTTTATAGCAGTGTGAAAACGGACTAGTATAAGCCTCAACATTAGCAGTGGCAAGTGTACATAGGCAGGTACCAAACTTTACATCTATTTGTTTGGAACCAAACTAAAGATACAATAAAAATACTTAAAAAAAAAAGAATAGATACAGCAATGACATCAAGGCAAATGTTTGGAAGAAAAAAAGAGAATCAATTAGAAATGTGGAGAAAAGCAAATATCTATTCAAATAAGTCATGGTCCAAATATGAAGGAAATTAAAGTGTCACCTAATTTTAAATAGTTGGTGAATGATGGAAACCTTGATGCCTGTCATATTTTCCTTTGTGTGAGCCAGATAAATGACCCAGGACTACCTTCCCTTCTCCTTGACTTCAATCCTACTTTGCGGTTCAGCAGTGAACAATCTCCATGTAATCACAACAATGTCAAAGCTGCTGGTTTCTCCATTTTTTTAGAATCAACATAGAGACTAAGTACAAAAACTGAATGATGATTAAAGAGTAAGATGTAAGCAGGACCTCAATGATTAAAGAAGGATATGTACATGTTCATCATGTCAAGCACCTTGTAAAAGTGGGGCTGATTGAATTAGGAAGATGAAACTTGTCAGGAGAGGAAGGAGGAGTATGGAGTGAATTTCCTCATTTAACAAAATGGGAGTCTGAAGCGGACAGAACAAGTAGGTGGTTCCACGTACTCTTTACCGTCATAAAGGTGACCAATATAAGAATTAAGCAGGGCTGGGTGCAGTGACTCATGCCTGTAATCCCAGCACTTTGGGAGGCCAAGGCGGGTGGGTCACTTGAGGTCAGGAGTTTGAGACCAGCCTGGCCGACATGGTGAAACCCTGTGTCCACTAAAAATGCAAAAAAAATTTAGCTGGGTGTGGTGGGTGCCTGTAGTCCCAGCTACTTGGGAGGCTGAGGCAGGAGAATCGCTTGAATCCGGGATGCAGAGGCTGTAGTGAGCTGAGATAACACCACTGCACTCTAGCCTGGGCAACAGAGTGAGACTCCATTTCAAAAAAAGAAAAAATAGAATTAAACAGGCAACTATCAAATCCAGGAGGAACAGGGGCAGTGGAAGCAGAGTGAGCAATCCACCTCCTTCTATTACCAAGTGGAGAATTGATGGATCCGTCTACACATGATCAATCAATAAAGAGTGATAAAACGTGTTATGGCAATGTGTGGAAGCAACTTCCAGGAGACCTAAACACAGAGGCAGTTAAATGCTTTGGGAGGCAATTAAATGCTTTGGGAGACCTAAACACAGAGGCAGTTAAGTAAAATGCATTTGTGCAGCAATATGCCAGGGATGTTTTGAGAAATGGTTTTGCATTGTTTTTTGTTTTATGTTTTAGAGATGGGATCTCATTCTCTCACCCAGGCTGTAGTGTAGTGGTGCAGTCACAGCTAACTGTAACCTCAGATTCCTAGGCTCAAGCAATCCTCCTGCCTCAGCCTCCAAAGTAGCTGGGACTATAGGCATGCACTCCCATGCCTGGCTAATTTTTTTTATTTTTTGTAGAGATGGTGTCTCACTATGTTGACCAGGTTGGTCTTGAACTCCTGGCCTCAAGCAATCCTCCCAAATCGGCCTCCCAAAGTGCTGGAATTACAGGTGTGAGCCACCACATCTGGCCAAGAAATGTGGTTTTTAAAACCAACATAAACTCTCTAGATATTCCTACTACCTTTCATAAGCAGCAGAGCCCTTTTTGCAAACACAAATTTATCCTGACTCCTAATCTATAAAATGGATCAAAGAAGCTGCTTTGACTGAAGAAGAAGTAGGAGGCTTGGAGTCCTTTATCATGCAGACTTATGTGTGTTCACACACACACACGCTCATCCCCATGTCACACACACACATTAGTACTCCTCAACACTCCACACACACTGCTCATCCCATATCACACACACACAATACCCTCCCAATGACACCCACATACACACTATACCACCCATGGCCACACACATTACTCACCTACACAAAATCATACCACATACAGGCACACCACATATCACATGCACACAGACACCCTATACACACATACAGACACACACATAGACACACACATACACACACACACATAAACACACACACACACAGAGTTCTCTAGGCCTCCAGGGTTTCATGGAACATAGTTTGAAAAATCATTGCCCTGGATGG
Source organism: Homo sapiens (assembly GCF_000001405.40). Taxonomy (NCBI): domain Eukaryota; kingdom Metazoa; phylum Chordata; class Mammalia; order Primates; family Hominidae; genus Homo; species Homo sapiens. Next base: position 3,233,543 of record NW_011332701.1, read on the forward strand.
AAGCATTGCATTAAATTTTAATAAGCTATTTTATTTCTTCTTCTTTTTCTTTAAAAAGGTAAAAACCCACTTTCATCAGCAACGATAAAATATTTGGTGATTAATTTCTTCAGGAGTACTGGTTTGAATGTGGAATTACTTCTTGTTGGTTCTTTGAAGTTAAACAGTGACATCTTCTAATGAGCCTAATAGATTACATATCATATCATCAGAAACCCCACATAATTTCCTGAATTCCATGTCACAAGGGAGAACATACTAATAGGTCACTTGTACAAAGTCAAGATCAATGATATGAATCGAAAAAAAACAGTTTCACCGGCCAGTGGGGCCCAAAGACAAAGATCTGGCTTCGTGCTATGTCCACGCGGTTCCAAGCCAGTGCCAAGCTCAGCTGATCTGGAGCAGATACGTTTGTTCCTGGAAAGGCAAGAAACCGGAATGATTTTTCACTCCACGCCTGGACCGCCAGGGTTTGGCAGGTGCTGGGTGGTGAGCACAGGCTTCCCTTGGGCTGCTGGCCTAGAACTAAGCATTGCTGGCTTTGCTCTTGCCCTGAATGACCACAAAGGCTCCGAGCTGAAAGAGCTTCCCTGGAGGAAGGTGGAGGCAGCCTCTTCCCATGCCAGCTGTGCATGGTCTCCTTGGGAGGGACAGAACAGGAACCCAGTGACTCAGGGACCCTGGAGATGATCTCCAGGAAGGCTGGAACCCTGGGACTGCCAGGCAGCCAGCCTGACAGTGACCCTTCCCCTCTCTCTGTCCTCCCTGCCCCCTCATGGCACCAGGCTAACTGAGAGGCAGGGAGGAAGTGTGCATCCCAGAGCAGACCCTCCCCGCCCGGCCATGAACGCTGGCCTGAAGCCTGTCATTAGAACCAAGACGGGGAAATTGGACAGAACACTGCGGAATGCAGTGATTGCAAAGGAACCCATCTGATGTTTACACTCTAGGAGCTGAGGCCCTCAATGAACCAGTTACAAATAGAAACGGTTCTGACCTCAGCCCATGATGGTCCAGGAGCACCCACAGACCTCTGCCCCACAGAAACAGCGAGCCTTGTCATTCTGCCGTGGCTTCATGCTGAGACTGCTCAAGTGGCCTGGCTGGCTCAGGGTCTAGCACCAGCAGACATAGTCCATGGGAGGCCGGGAGGGAAGGATTGCCGGCTAGGCCAACATCAGAGGGACAGGAGTCACCATTTCCTGAGAGCTCACCTTTCAGCAGGGCAGTTAAAATTGCCATCTCGATGTCCTGCTGGCCCTCAGAACCCATTCTGAACACAGTGACCTGAAAATGTGAAAAGACTGAATTAAAGCCAAGTTGAAAACAAGAAGGAGATATGGGGTGTTGTTACAAAATGACCACAGAGACTGACACGTAATAAAATGATCCTGAGCACTAAACAGTTTCAAAGCAAGTGCTGTTGATTTCTTTTTTTTCTTTTCTTTTTCTTTTTTCTTTTTGTTTTTTTTTTGAGATGGAGTTTCGCTCTTGTCGCCCAGGCTGGAGTGCAATGGCGCTATCTTGGGTCACTGCAAACTCCACCTCCCAGGTTCAAGCGATTCTCCTATCTCAGCCTCCCAAGTGGCTGGGATTACAGGTGCACGCCACCATGCCTGGCTAATTGTTTTGGTATTTTTAGTAGAGATGGGGTTTCACCATGTTGGCCAGGCCGGTCTCAAACTCCTGACCTCAGGTGATCTGCCTGTCTCAGCCCCCCAAAGTGCTGGGATTACAGGTGTGAGCCACTGTGCCCGGCTGATTTCCAGAAGTTATGGCATTGCCGTGGGGTGCCTGCCTGCATACTGACTTTATTATTTTCCCCATCCCTTCTGGCACCCTCGAGAGGAGGGAGCTACACTCCGAAATCTCAGTCGCCATCGGAGATGCAAAGTCGTATCTAATCAGACAGGAGATATTTGTAGGAATTAGAATTTTGAAGAGGCCATCTTATGTGCACGACAAGAGTACCTATTCCTTGTAAATGGAACGGAAGAGGGAAGGAGTGGGAAATAAAATAACAGAACTTTGTAAACATGCCTGACAGGGTGGTATGTGGCCCTTTTCCCCAAGACTATCAATCTGAGTAATATTATGAGCCTCAGAGGGTGTTGTGTGGTGTCATGCCCCACTTGCTAAAGTTTGAAAGCACCAGGGGCCCTCCCCTGTGTGGGCTCGTTCAGCTTCTGTCATGTGGACACAGCCACCAATTTGGTATGCATTTGTACTGTCTCTCAGAAAAGGCCGGACTAAAATATGAATAACCCTGTCATGCACACATGGGCGGAATTAGAAAAGGAAACATAATTCTCTCCACAGAGCTTGTTTGGAAATAAATTCAAGACACTTACGAGTTCTTTCTTCTTCATGCACTCCATTATAATTGCAAACAGCTGATGTGATTGTGCCTTATTATAATTAAATGTTTTCTGAATGGTAACTAGAAGCTGCTCCCTGAGGGACTCATTTATTATTCTGTTCAAAGAAAATGCAAGAGAACAAAACAAGGCAAGTTAAATCTATATATGAATGAGTCAGACATATCTCTGTCTTTGATTTGAGACTTTGCTGTGGGAGGATATCCTGACACAGGAGACAAAAAGTAACCATAGTCAAACATCGTATTCTCACTTGTCCTAAATTCCAGCTTTGTTGCAAACTTTCTAAGGGCAAATGAAGTTGGAAATGAGGGAGAGAGAATTCCATCAGGAACACCCTGCCTCTGATGGTTCCCCTGGATGCTGACCTGAGGAAATGGGAGAGGAGATCTAGCAAATCTTCCTGATTTAAACACGTTTGGAATGTCTAAGCAGACCACTTTAGATTTTCTCCTTGGCCCGACAAAGAGGGAGTTACGAACCCGCCCTTCCTCGCGCGTCAGAAATCCTACCCGCCTTCTTCACAGTACTTGTGCGCAAAGGACAGGATGTCCGAGGCACGTCCGCTGCCATCACAAATCACCACAGGGATGGGAGGCTCTTCTTGCAGGTATTCCAAGACGATGGACACCACGTTAGGGCCCCCCTCCACCACGAGACCCACGAGGGGCACGCCCTGCCCCAGTCCTGCAACACAAACCACATTCGCCCATACCACCTGTGCCCTGCACTGTCCACCCAGTCGTTTTAACTCCTGAAGTATGGGGAAGAGTAAAAACATTACGACTTGGGGGATGTTCTATCTGGCTGGAAGGAATTCAGGCATGTGATAACAATTTTCTTTTTCTTTTCTTTTCTTTTTTCTTTTTTGAGACAGAATCACACTCTGTCCCCCAAGCTGGAGTGCAGTGGCATGATCATGGCTCACTGCAGCCTCAACCTCCCTCTCAGCTCAGGCAATCCTCCCACCTCAGCCTCCTGAGTAGCTGGGACTACGGGCACATGCCACCACACCCGGCTAATTTTTGGTAGAGATGAAGTCTTGCCATGTTGCCCAGGCTGGTCTCAAACACCTGGGCTCAAGTGATCCACCTGCCTTGGCCTCCCAAAGTGCTAGGATTACAGGTGTAAGCCACTGTGCCCAGCCCAGTTATCATTCTTGCATTCTGTCACATATTATGGCCTCATTGGGAAAACCAGGACCTCAAAGTCTGAAACTTTCTGACTCACATATGGTTAAACTCCTGAATAACCCACCCACCTGATGTTGGGGCTACTTCAAGGTGACCACTGAGAAATATTGGAAGGTATTCCTGGCTGGAAAAATATCCCCCTGGCTGTCCTAGCCTATGGTCTGAAATTCCCACCCTGATGGCTGTCCCTGAAGAATAAGATGATGAAAGGGGATCTGGACCAGCCAGGGAAATTGCAGTTCAATTCCTGGCTTCTCCCTTATGACACTGGGCCAATCACCAAATCACCAAGAGCCTTAGACAGCCATTTGTAAAAGGTGAACAATCACAGTGCTTCCTTTAACTCCTGCAGTTGTAAAAATATCAGAATATGTGTTTGGCTAGCAAATAATTTTGTAAACGTTAAGTAGCATACAAATGAGGCACACTGTTCTTGTTGACGTTTCTGTCTTCAGTGGCTGGAATAAAGTGCAGATCTTGGACGCAGCCACTTGGACCACTAGTGGCCCATCAGTTAATGACCTGTTCCCAGAGTCCTCCCTCTGTCTCTATCAGTTAATAGGACTCTTCAAGAACACAGTGGGTACCAACTAACTTTTGGTGGCAGAACCTGCAGGCATGGCTCTGGGAAGCAAGAGGTGGCAGGAAGATTCCAGGAAGTTGGGATTCTGGAATGGGAAGGAAATGGGAGTGGAGGCACATTTGCCTACTTCCTAATTTTATGCCACACTGGCCATGACAGATCACACTCTGAGCCTATTTCACCAGCTGTCCATTAGTTGTGATGGGAATTAGTTGATCGATATTAACTAAAGGCAAGTGGAAGTATAGTTGGTCTCAGCTCTGAAGGGCTTCAGATAAAAATCTGCCAGCATTGGTTAAGAGAAGATTGGAGAATTTCAAATGAGCCATTTCAGAGTTTCTAATTTGCTTCCATGAGGTGTTCCTACAGTCAGGGACTCTTACATATGTTGAATAACTCTGCTGTGTCCACCAGAGTAATTACAGCTAAGTTCATTTCAGCAGACATGCATTGAGGGTCTGCTTTGTGCAAAGCCCTGACCAGGAGATATTGGAAAAATGAACTAAGATATCCTGGACTCCGCCTTTGAGATTTCCAACCCAAGCAAGGATTGGTATTTTCAATCTTTAGGAATATGGTGGCCAAATCACCTTCTTTTCGAGCAACAGAGTAGAACAGGTTCTTCTTGGCTTAGGCTGGAGTCCTCGAAGCTCCGTGCTGTGGGAAGTGACAACTGAGCACCCCTTTGCTGTCCCTGCCCTGCTCAGAGCCCTAGGCGAAGGATGACAAAGGGAAGCCCACAAGTCACATGGCCAGGTGAAATGGGGTGTTGTAAAAACTTACAAGTCCAGAAAAATTAGAGATGTGAGAACAAAAAACATTCAGTCATCGACCAATGTATTCTTCGAGATCTGATTCTCGGAAATCTACAACTTTTCCTAGTAGGCCATCCCCATTCTACCCACTCTGCAGCATCACAGTCCCATACATGATGATTCCCAATGACCATTCGCCAGGACTAGATGGTCTCCCACAAAAATCTTGCCAGTAATGGGAAAAACAAACTACTCTTTCAGATCATTTAACAATTGTTTGACGTTAAGAATTACTGGAGTATAAACATGCTCCAAGAGATTATACCAGTTATTGTAATTCTAACCAGTTGTTATCATTGTTTCTTCTGGTTGAGGTTTGCGTCTTTCTCTCTAGTTCGACCTCAGCTTTCGTCTGACAGTGACAGCTCCCCCTCAGGACCAGCAAGGATGATGCCCCTTCAGGAGCAGATGGCTCCTGCAGCCCTCTCCAGATATGTCCCCACCTGGCCATCTTAGTCTACATGAAAGGCCCAGCATTACAGAGATATTTAATAATCACATAATACTTATCAGCAAATAGAAAGAATCCTACTAAATCTTTGAGAAATTGTTTTCCTGTTAAAACACTTAAAAAATAACAACTAATTACAGGGAACAAGAACCACTGGGCAACAGGGTGGGCAAGGCCATCACCATGGCGAGCACTGAGGGTTATTTCGTGCTAACTTGTGAACCTGGGGCAAAGCATCCCCATGTAGCCCAGTGAATGTGATTTGGTAGGTGGCTAAGGTAAGACATCTAGGTGAGTCATTTTCTGTTGACCTAACAAGAAGCAAGGTTAATCTTCTAATCCCCTTGGGCAATCAATCTCCTTCTCAGCCTTGTTTCCACTGTGATGGCATCAGCCCAGGAGGACTGCGTGCCTTTGCCAGCACTTACTTGTGTTGATCTTCTGCAGGGAGATGTGCTTTTCCAGCAGCCTTCGCAGCTTCACCTCGGCGCCATACTTGCCCAGGGTGCCATTGTCAGCCAGGATGAAGTGGGTGTGGGAGTTGTTGAGCACAGAGAGCTTACTTAGAGGGTTGGACATGGTCTGGTACACTCTTGTTACCTGACAAAGTGCACAGCGCAAATCAGACCTGCAGGACTTGGATGTTAAGACCAACAAGGGAAGCAAGCACAATACATATGTGTGGAGTGACTGCACTAAAACTTATTCTCACATCTCTACCCTGCCTTTTGAAGGTTTTATTTTTGCCAATTGTTACATTAAAATAGAAAGAAAGTTAATTGTTTTAGATAATGACAACCTAGCAATTGCACCCCTGGCATTTATCACAGAGAAATGAAAACCTATGTTAACCTCAAATCCTGCACTGGAATGTTTATGGCTACTTTACTTGTAACAGCCAAACTGTTCCTCAACAGACAAATGGTTAAAGAAACTGGTGCCTCCATATCATGGGATGTCAGCCAGCAGTAAAAAGGAATGAAGACCAATACATATGGCAACCTGGACGCGTGTTCAGAGAACTATGTGGAGTGAAAAAAAAGCCAATCCCCAAAGGTTACATTACTGTATGATTCCATTTACAGAACCTTCTTGAAATGCGGGGTGGTGCAGATTAGTTGTTTCCAGGGGTTAAGGAAGAGGTGGGGGTAGGAAGGAGTGAGGTATATGTATATGAAAGGGCAACAGGAGGGATCCTCGTGTTGATGGAAACATTCTGCACCTTGACCTTATCAATGACAGTATCCGGGTTGTGATCTTGCATTATGGTTTTGCAAGATGTTACCATTGGAGGAATGGGAAAGGCTGCAAGGGAGCTCTCTTATTATTCTTACAACTGCATCTGAATCAACGGTTACCTCAAAATCAATCATTAATTTTAAAAAACTGCCAACATTTGCAGAGAAAACACTTACATCCTTTCCAACCAGGTCTTCCTTATTCTCCACGATGCCCCATGGAGCAATTCCTATAGCACAAACCCGGCCTCTGGACTTGGAGGAGTGGTCTTTCAAGGCATCCCCTACGTGGCTGATAACACCTGTGAGCAGCCATTGGTCATATTTTAGGCTCTTTTACTTCCCAGCACACCATCATTCATGAAATTGAGGGACACTTGCCCTGAGTCCCTACATTCCCTACAGATCAGGGGTGAGACACACTCATCTTTATCATTAAAACAAAGTACACTGAAAGTCTGAGCTCATGATAACGAGCAATCTTGCATTAACTCTAGAAACGGGAAAACAAAAACAGAAACCAAAGCAACTGTGTAGGGATTTCCTTTACAGATGTCTAAGGCCTAAAGCTGGAAATAACTGGAGTCTTTTTGGCATTCCTTGGCTGCCTTCAGTGAAAATTGAGAGCCATACTGCCTGGTATGTTCCTTAATGTCTTTGTGCCTAGTTTCCTGTCCTATAACAGGAAAAGGATTGTCGAGAGGTCTAATGAAGATGATGCTTGTACAGGGCTCAGTTCAAGGAATATTGCATGTCATGGGTGACCCAGAGATGTTGACCATTATGACAATCATTACTATATTTGCTGTTTTTTTTTAAGAGTCATATCAAAGTAAAAAACACAAGCTAGGGAATAAAGACTTCACTTTAGTCATAAATAGGATCAGGATGCAATATGTTTTGTTGTCCTTAGTTATTAGGAAGCTCTTTGGGGACCACAGTGAGTTCTGGGTGGTACATTGATTATCGGGAGGGAAAGGGCCTGCTCTTACCTGTGCTGACACCCCCGGTGAAGATCCAGGCCCCGGTGGTCATAGCAGCCTTGATCAGGCCTTTCCCAAAGACTTGTTTCAGCTTGGGCTGCATCTCAAAGTTCTGGAGGCCTCCATGCACAGATATTAAGAGCTTGGGGAGTTCCAGCTGCCAATCTTTCACCATGAGATGGAGCAGTGAGTCTGGCTTGGTGTCATAGGATACACGGATATACTGTGAAAGAGTGTGTGGCACTCAGCCTCTGTTCTTGGTTTTGCTTCTCGTGTCAAAGGGGAGTGAGGCTATTGCTCATGTCCAAGCAAGAACTGCCTGGCTTGTCTCTTCCTCAGGGCCCTGGAGCCCTCTGTGTGAGTCTGTGGCCAAGTGACTGAAGGGAACTTTGGAGAGGATTGTCAGGTTTAGCAAATACAAATAAAAGATGCCTGGTACCATGGTCTGAATGTTTGTATTCCCCTAAAATTCACGTGGAAACCTGATTCCCAATGCAATAGTGTTAAGAGGTGGGATGTTAGAAGGTGATTACGTCATGAGCATGGATCCCTCGTGAGTGGGACTAGTGTCCTTATAAAAGAGGACTCAGGGCTGGGCGTGGTGGCTCATGCCTGTAATCCCAGCACTTTGGGAAGCCGAGGCAGGTGGATCACTTGAGGTCAGGAGTTCGAGACCAGCCTGACCAACATGTTGAAACCCCGTCTCTACTAAAAAAAATACAAAATTAGCCAGGTGTGGTAGCGCATACCTGTAATCTCAGCTACTTCAGAAGCTGAGGCAGGAGGATCACTTGAACCTGGGAGGCGGAGGTTGCAGTGAGCCAAGATTGAGCCATTGCATTCCAGCCTGGGCAACAAGATCGAAACTCCAACTCAAAAAAAAAAAAAAAAAAAAAAAGAGGACTCAGAGAGCTTGTTCTCTGCTTCTGCCATGTGAGGACACAGCAAGAAGGTGCTATGTATGAAGCAGAGGATGGGCCCTCGCCAGGCACCAAATCTGCTGGCACCTTGATCTTGGGCCTCCCAGACTCTAGAAATGTGAGCAATAAATTTCTGTTGTTTATAAATTACCCAGCCTAAGGCAATTTGTTATAGCAGCCAAACAGACCAAGACACCCAGTTAAATTTGAATTTTAGAGGAACAATGAAAAATGTTTCAGTACAACATTTTTATTAAATGCAATAAATCATGCAATATTTGGGACATACTTGTACTGAAAATTTATCCAATGTATGTCTGAAGTTCAAATATAACTGGGTGTCCTGTATTTTATCTGGCAATCCTAATGTTGGAGGAATAGGTTCCAAAGCTGGCTTAGCTAGAACAGTGGCCCAAGAAGTTGGATGAGGATGTTGTTGAGTAAATGGGTCAGGCGATCATGGGCCCACCCATGAACTTGACCTCTTCAAAGTGAGGAGGAGGCTAATAATGCTCAGATGCCTTGTCTCCTATAAACTGCTTCTTTGTGTCTGGGCTAATATGTAGGGTGCCATTTCAGAAGACTGTATATTGCAGCATTTGGAACACAACTAAATTTTATTTTAACAATGATGTTGGGCCAGTGAAATAAAATGAAATTGCAAAAAGTCTGTGACTGGGCATGTAGGAGTGTAATTCAGAGTGAGCTGGAACGGATCACAGAGCTGAAGCCTCCCCCACGCTGGCAGGGCTCACTGGAAGGGCAGAGGGCACTCCCTGTTTACATGCAAATGTGAGGGACCTTGGTCCTTCTCGGGCCAGCTGAGCGCAGGCCCAGGGAAGCTGTGGACAGACCTCAGAGGAAAATATTTCCAAAGACTCTCAACACATCTAAGGGGGCTGCAGGTCCACAGTTATTAGAAAAATGAATTTGTCTTCCTTTACTGAAGATGGAGCAATGGAGTGTGTTTGCAGGGTTGGGCCAGAGCCTGGTTTGTGGATTCAGAGCTTTGGTATGGATTTACGGGACACTAGATGTTCTTTACAGTGGTGTCCAGTTTCCAAGCCTCATGGCTAAAAGCCATGTGCACAGATATATCTCTTGGTTTTTCAATGAAATATCTAGGAAGATTGAGCCACAGCCATGAAGAAGACCAGGTATCTGCAGTTTGGGGCTGGGAGACTGGCCGCCAATGAAAGCTGTGATCCTAGTGGCACCATGTCTGAATGCCTTTCTCACCATGGCTTTATTGGAATATCCGCCACCCTGGAATTCAAGAACTCCATAGGAATCTGTTGGGTAGCTCTGGGTGTGCTTGGCAACAGACCATTTCTCAGGCTGAGTCTCCACCTGTTTGTTTTCCTCTTCATTTTTGCTGGGTGTTGCACTTGGCAGAGGGGGGATATGCTGGTTGGTGAACTGGCCACAGCAACACCTGAAAACAAAGGCAAAGCAGGGTCTTTCTACAACAATCTCCCCCTTTCCCCTTCATTAGCAAAAATGAATTAACCTCAACAGGTGAGTTGGGCCCAAACAGGAGCCTACTAACACTTCAGTAAGCCAGCGTTATTAGGGACAGAAATGCCCCATCTGATGGCCTTTTCCAGATAATCAGTGCACATCTCTTTATATGCCAGTCGATTTTAGACACATTGGATGGTTGCTCTTTCGGAAAATATTTCAACTTTTTGATGTCTTGATAACATCAGTATAAACATCAAGTACTAAACATTCTGTGACAAAGTATAGACATGCCCTCCGAACATAGAGTTGACCTTCCAGATTTTTCTTTCTCTTGTCATTCAGGTTGGAGTGTAGTGGCGCTATCATAGCTCACTGCAGCCCAGACCTCCCCCAAGCTCAGGTGATCCTCTCACCTCAGCCTCCCTAGTAACTGGGACCACAGGCACACACTACCATGCTCAGCTAGTTTTTATATTTTTAGTAGAGACAGCATTTTGCCATGTTACCCAGGCTGGTCTCGAACTCCTGGGCTCAAGCAATCCGCCTGCCTTGGCCTCCCAAAGTTCTAAAATTACTTACTTAGGTGTCAGCCAAATTTTTCCATATTGTTGAATTGTTCTGTTCCTTAGTAAAACATTTCTCCACTCAAGTAATGCTAAAAGGCTATTTCAAAAGTGACCAATATGTCTTTTTCTGCCTTGGACAGATGGCCCATTGGGCCATAACCCGCCCCAGCATCAGGGATCTTCTAGCTCTACAGCATCTCTCCCAAAACCCAGCCAACCTCTCACGCCCTCCCTGAACTCTGGCTTTCTAGTCTTCTCTGAACATGTTCCCTGGCTTTGTGCCAGCTTCTTTTCCTAGTGTGCCTAGGATTTCATCTGTTACTCCATCATTTTTGGCTGCCACTGTTTTGAGTGGACTGGACCCACCAAAAACTTGAAAAGTTTGTTAGGAAGAACTGCAGTAGCCTGGAGTGATGCCTTGGTGGAGATGGAATCCAGGGAAGGCATGGAGGGAGGTCTGTTCCTGGACCCAGCAGGAGCCTGTGTGGGCAGCCGTGCACCCTAGCAAATGGGGTGGGAGAGCTGGGGATGGAGTTGGCTTGAGGACTAGAGAGGATGTCTTTACTGGGCTAGATGTGCGTATGCGTGCACGTGTGTAATGCACATGTGCAGGGCCCTTGCCAGAAGGCTTTCTGTGCTCCCATGGGGCCAGCCTTGGGGCTTCCTCTCTGCCTTGTCTTTCCTTTTGTTTTCCTTTTTCTTTTCCCTCCTCGCTTCCCCATTCTCTCCCTCCCACCCTCCTTCTGATGGCCTTCCATCTTCCCTCCCTCACTCCCTCCCTCTTTCTCTCTCTCTTTTTTCCTTTTATTGAGATATAATTCATGTAATACATAATCAACCCATTTCAAGTATGTGATTCAGGCCAGGAGCAGTGGCTCACGCCTGTAATCCCAACACTTTGAGAGGCCGTGGCATGTGGATCACTTGAGGTCAGGAGTTCGAGACCAGCCTGGTCAATATTGTGAAACCCCGTCTCCACCATAAACACAAAAATTAGCTGAGTGTGGTGGCACACGTCTGTAATTCCAGCTACTTGGGAGGCTGAGGCAGGAGAATCGTTTGAACCCCGGAGGCAGAGGTTGCAATGAGCCGGGATCGTGGCACTGCACTCCAGCGTGGTTGACAGAGTGAGACTCCGTCTCAAAAAAAAAAAAAAAAACATATATATATATATATATATATAGAGAGAGAGAGAGAGAGAGAGAGAGATTAAATGGTTTTTAGTATTGACAGATATGTGCAACCATCATCACAGTTAATTTTCGAACATTTTCATCACCTCAAAAAGAAACTTGGCATGGCATATTTTAAGTTATCTTCCTTCTCACCACCATCTATCTACCTGTGCACCACTCCCCAAGCCATAAGCAACCTCAAGTCTACTTTTTATCTCTGTGGATTTCCATGTTCTAGACACTTCATATGAATACAGTCCTGTAATATCTGGTCTTTGGAGATCAGCTTCTTAGCATGTTTTCAAGGTTCATCCATATTGTAGCATGTGTTGGTACTTCACTCCCTTTTATGGCTTAATAATATTCTCGTATGAATGGATGAACATTTTGTTTATCTATTTATCATTTAATGGACATTTGGGCTATTCGCACTCTTCAGCTGTTATGAATAATGCTGCTATGAATATTTATGTAACAAGTTTTTGAGTGGATGAATGTTTTCATTTTTCTTGGGTATACACTAGGCATGGGATTGCTGGGTCATACGGTTACTCTATGTTTAATCTTCTGAAGAACCACCAAACTGTTCTCCAAGGTGGCTGTATCATGGTACATTTCCACCAGCAGTGTCTGAGGGTTCTGATTTCTCCATATCCTCTCCCACACACTATCTTACATTTTCATTCTAGTCTTCCTTCTGAGTGTGAAGCAGTTTATCATCATGGTTTTGATTTGCATTTCCCTGAAGAATAAGGACATTGAGCATTTTTCATGTGCTTATTGACTATTTGTGTATCTTCTTTGGAAAGATGTCTATTCATTTCCTTTGCCCATTTAAAAAACTTGGGTTATTTATTTTTTTTTAATTATTGGATCTCTTTCCGTATTCTGGATACAAGTCCCTTATCAGAGACATAATTCACAAATATTTTCTCCCATTCTGTGGGTTGTCTTTCCACTTTCTTGATAGCGTCCCTTGAAGCACAGTGTTTAATTTTGGTAAAGACAATTTTTTTGTTGTTTTTGTTGTCCATGTTTTTGGTGTAATATCTCAGAATCATTTGCCAAATCCCAGGTCATGATTTACCCTTACATTTTCTTCTAAGAGTTTTATAGTTTTAGCTTTGACATTTAGGTGTTTGGTCCATTTTAACTTTTATAGATAGCATGAGGTAAGGGTCCAAGACTATTCTTTTGCATGTGGCTATCCAGTTATTCCAGTACCATTTGCTGAAGAGACGACTACTATTTCGCCATTGAAAGTACTTTTCACCCTTGCCAAAAATCAATTTGCCATAGGTGTATGGGTTTATTTCTGGACTGTCAATTCTGTTCCATTTGTCTATATGTCTATCCTATGCCAGTATCGTTGTCCTTTTATTACTGTAGCTTTGTATTAAGTTTTGAAATCAGAAAATGTGAGTCCTCCTATTATTCTTTTTGATGCAATTATAGATAAATTATGTTGCCAGTTTCATTTCCATATAGTTCATTGCAAGTGTATAGAAATACATTTGATTTTTGTGTATTGATCTTATATGCCACAATCTTGCTGAACTCATTTATTAGTTCTAATATTTTTTGGTGGATTCCTTAGGATTTTTCTATGTATAAGATTATGTCATCTGCAAATAGAGAGTTTTACTTCTCTCTTTCCAATCTCAATATTTTTTCTTTCTTTATTTCTCTTACCTAATTGCTTTGGCCTGTACTTCCATTAAAATATTGAATAGAAGTAGTGAGAGAGGACATCCTTATCTTGTTCCTAATCTTAGGAGGAAAGCAATCTTTCACCATTAAGTCTGATGTTAACTGTGGATTCTTTATAGCTGTTCTTTATCGGGTTGAGGAAGTTCCCTTCTATTCCTGGTTTTCCGAGTGATTTTTTATAAAGAGTGTTGAGTTTTATCCAAGTCTTTTGCTGTGCCTATTGAAAAGATCATGTGATTTTTGTTTCTACTATATTGATATGCTATATTACATTATTTATTTTTCTAATGTAAACCAACTTTACATTCCTGGGATAAACCCTGCTTGGTCATGGTGTATCATTATTTTTATATGTTGCTGGATTTGGTTTGATAGTATTTTGTTCAGAATTTCTGCACCCATGTTCGTAATAGATATTGTTCTATAGTTTTCTATCTTGTGATATCTTTGTCTAGTTTGGTATCTGGGTAGTACTGGCCTCATTAAATGAGTTGGGAAATGTTCCCTTCTCTGCTATTTTCTTGAAGAGTTTGTGAAGAATTGGTATTAACTCTTCCTTAAATGTTTTTTAGAATTCATCGAAAAAGCCATGTGGGCCTGGGCTTTTCTTTGGACAGTTTTTTTATTACTAATCCTATCTCTTTACTCCTTATAGATCTGTTCAGATTGTACATTTTTTCTTGAGTCAGTTTTGGCAGATTGTATATTTCTCAGAATTTTCCCATTTCATCTAAGTTATCTAATTTGTTTGCATATAAGTCATAGTATTCTTTCATACTCATTTCTATAAGGTTGGTAGTAATGTCCCCTCTTTCATTTCTGAGTCTAGTCATTTGAGTCTTATCTTTCTCTTCTTTTATGACTCTAGCTAAAGATATGTGAATTTTGTTGAGGTTTTTAAAGAAGAGCTTTTAATTTCATTGAATTTCTCTACTTTTCTATTCTCTTTTCCATTAATTCCACTTTAATCATTATCTCCTTCCCTCTACTTGCTTTAGGTTTAGTTTACTCTTCTTTTTCCAGTGTCTTAAGGTAGAAAGTTATGTTACTTATTAAATATCTTTCTTAATATAGGTATTTACAGGTATAAATTTCCCTGTCCGTACTACTTTACCTGCATCCCCTAAGTTTTGGTTTGTTATGTCTTCATTTCCATTTACCTAAAAGTATTTTCTAATTAACCTTCTGACATTTTCTTTAACCTAGTGGTTATCTGGTAGTGTATTAATTTTCACATATTTATGAGTTTCCAATTTTTTTCCTCCTATTGGTTTCTTATTTCTAATTTTATTACATTGTGGTTGGAGGACAGTTTGTATTATTTCTATCCTTTTAGATATTTTGAGGCTTTTTAATGGACTAACACATGGTCTATGCTGGAGAATGTTCCATATGCACTTGAGAAGAATGTGTTTTCTATTGTTACTGGGTGGTGTGCTCTATAGTTATCTGTTAAGCCTAATTGGTTTATGATGTTGTTCAAGCTTTCTATTCCCTTGTTGGTCTTCTGTTTAGGTGATCTATGCATTATTGAAAGTGGGGTATTGAAGTCTCCAACTGTCATGTTGAATTGTCTACTTCTCCCTTTGTTTATGTCAGTTTTGCTTCATGCATTTTGGTGCTGTTTTAGGTACATATATGTTTATATTTGTTGTAACTTCCTGATCGATTGTCCCATTTATCATTATAAAATGTTCTTAATATCTCTAGTTACATTTTCTTGCTTTAAAGTATGTTTTGTCTGAATCCATTATAACCACTCTCACTTTCTGTGGTTGCTGCTTACATGAGTGGGGCACGGGTGGAAGAAGGGAGCCTCTATCTCTCAACTGCATTCATTCAGGACTTAGCCTCAGCAACAGGTGGTAAGGGACAGGATGAGAAATGCTGAAATCCTGCTCCTCCCAGGAAGAAAGCCCCCTGACTGGGAGCTGGTGGAGAGGGAGCTCTGTGTTCTTGGCTGCAGCACTCTGGAGTAGAGTCTCTATCTTGCTGAGCTGGGCAGAGGGAGGGAGGAAACTCTTGGTTCAAATCCCACAGACTCTAGCCTTTCTTACTGAATTTTTGCTGGCTTTCTCTAAAGATATTCCTTTACTTGCTGTTTGTCTTTGGGATCATTTCCAAGGGTTTAAACGGTTGGTTTTTTCATTCTAGTTTTTTTTTTTTTTTAATCCATGCTGGGGACTGCATGGAGTGCATCAAGGAGGCTTGTATGTGAGCCCAGAAGCACTTTTTGCCCTCTATTGCCTGGGCATCTGGCTTCATGGAGGACTGCAGTGCTGGCACAGAGAGTTCCCAGGATGGCCTATGTGCCATTGAAATAAGAAGGGACATGTAGATGCAACAAAGGGGAGACTTTTGTGACCGTTGGCATTGTTTCATAATGGCATTTCTTACCTCGGGGGGGCAATCACTGGGGTTTAAGCAGGGAGGAGAATCTGCAGGGTGGTGTGGGGCAAGGGGCAGCTTGGGGATGTGGAGGGACTGTGATTGCATGTGTGAAACAAATTTGAAGCAGGTGATCTTGAAGAGTGTGTACTTCTGTGTCATTATTCTACCTGCATGAATTTCATATTGGACGAATGTATGGATAAATTGTTCCCCTTCCCCCAGACTCAGCCTCATAGCTTTTGCCCTTAGAGATGAGACATTTTAGTTAAATTAATCTCTACTTACATGACTTTACAAGGCCTCTGTTCAGCTTATAACAGATGCATTTTAATGTAGGTGAATAAAATTGTTTGATGTTTTGTGTACAAGCCAAATCCTTTAATAAAGTTATAGCTAGTTCATTCAACCGCTCAGATCTTTCCTGTGATGGAAATTCCTTTTCATCTAAATACATTATGAAACTCTATTGAAGAGGCCTGGAAAATATCCTGGAAACCTGTTGAAAGCCCTCAACTCCTTGATCTTGCTGAGACTAAGAGGAATGATGTGGGCCCAGTTGGCTATGAGAGCTCGCATTAGGGTGGGTGGTGGACAGAAACTCTTTTCTGAAGCCATTTGCATGTTAATGGAGTAACAAGGAGCCCCAGTGACTCCCTTGTTAGTGACTCCCATGGGGAATGGATTCTGGCCACCCTTCTGGACTCCTCTTTCTGCCTCTTACAAACATGAGAATAGTGGCAGACAAGCACTGGTTTGGATAATGTCTTAATCGTGGATTTCAATTTACCTGTTAGAGTCTTTCGTGCTAGGAATTACAAAGATACATTCCCGTTTGCAAAAGGTTTTCTCTATCCAAGATTTCTGACCCTGGAAGAGAGAGAGAAGTGGATATTGGACCAATATATTCCCAAGCCATCATCAGAGTCCATTCTTATACTTTTATAAAACAATATGTCTGCCCACAACATCTGAATAGTCATCTGCAATAATGGTGGATGCAAGTCTTTAAGGATCTTAGCTCTAGTACCTTTTAAGAGAAATGGCTTGCAAGTATGTATTTAATGGTTCTCATTTTGCACCTTAATTCATCCATATCTACCTGTTGAAGATATTTTTTGTGCACGGTTCTGGGGTGGGAGCTGTGGGGATTTCCAAGGAGATAAACTGCAGTGCAAGTGTTGTTTACCATCTGGAAATGGCACGTTAGGGGTGTGGCTCAGGGAGGCCACCTGGAGCAGAAGGAGGTGGGAGGGAAATCCCCTGTGGAGGCCCTGCTGGTGCTGGATGCTCAGCGATTTCTGCTGGCTTTATCCCACATGGCTTCTTGTTCTCAGTCACCAGGGACATCTCACACAGAGGCTGGGCACTGGGAAGTGAACCGGCCTGCATCTGAAGGGCCCCATTGGGTCTGCTTCCCAGGGTTTGTGGAGTCAGTTGGCAGAGAGAGCTGGGGAGAGCCCTTCCTGCAGGTGGGAGGGAGGTGCAGGCAGGCTGTGGGGCAGGGGCCTCGGGGTTCCCTGGAAGGGCTCGTGGGAGGCAGGGAGAGAGCCAGCACCCTTCGCTGGATCTCCATGAGGCCTGGCTCAGTGCGTATTTGTGCTATTTGTGGATGTATGATGTGTGTGTGTGTGTGCTATGTTTGTGTATGTGTCTGATGGATGTGTGTTGTACGAGTGCAGAGTGTGTCGTGATGCATGTGTGTGTGTGTGATGAGTCTGTATGTGAGTGGGTGTGTGCGCACGCATGTGTGGTGTGTGTTTGTGATGTGTGTGTGGTGTTATGTGTGTGGTATGTGTGCAGTGTAGTGTGTTGTGTGCATGACTATGACCTGTGTAGTGTGGCGTGTGCATGACTATGACCTGTGTAGTGTGTATGTCTGTGGGGAGCTTGTGGGGTGCTTGCAGGCATGGGGAAGTAGAACGCTTAGCATGTGACAATCCTGAGTCAGATCTTAGAGAAACCATGGCCGGCGGGAGCCTTGTGTCCTTGGCCACTTTCCCACAACTGCCATGAGGAGTGCCCCATGTGCCTGTGACCAGGATGGGACTGAGGTATCTGCGGGGTGAGGCTTGGAGCTGGCCTCCTGGCTGTCCCCATTTACCTAAGCAGCAGTGCTGCTCTGGGAGGCCCCTTGTCTCTGGGGAGGTCACCTCTGCAGAGGTCTGCAGTGACAACTGCATGTCAGAGAGGCCCTCCGCAGAGAGGTCATGCCGATGCCCCATTTGTTACTCTAGGAGAGCCCCAGCCCTAGTCCCAGCTGTGCGGACTAGGGCGTGCAAGTACCCCCCAAACTCAGCCTTTCTGGGAAGATCCAAGTCAGCTTGTTACTTGGCTTTTTGAATAATAGAAATGATGAAAATTCAAACCTTCCTCAGTAGCCTTCAAAAAGCAACACCGTACACTTTTCTCTGTAAATAATTTAATGACTGTTTAAAAACAACATCGCTGGCCTCAGAGGTTGGTGCTTTTGTGCTAATGCAAGGGAGGCAGGCAGTGTGGGCTCAGGGGAGAAAGAAAGCATGGAGCGGGAGCCTCTGAAGCCCCGCCCTGCCCTTCTGTTTTGCACTTTTCCCGTCTGTTTCGCACTTCTCCAGCGCAAGACAGCGAAGCCCAGCACCTGCTGCCTGGAAAGAAACTGTGCTTTTCCCCTTTGCATCTCATGCCTTACTTCCCAGAGAAGCTGGGAAGCCCTTGTTTTTTATAACATAGGGGTTGCAGTATTTGGACTATATGACAACTAAAGACAAGAACTCTAAACAAAGATTGAACTCCCATGAGTAGGTTACTTTTTCTGGAACATAGGATAGCAATTCTGAAGCTGTTTTTGTGTCCTCTAGGACTGAACAAATAAATTAATACATTGCAGATGATTGGAGCTGGGTTTCTCACTGCTGGAGAAAGGAGTTACAAATATGGAAAGTGGGGAAGGTCACAATGAACCTTGTAGCACTGAGCTAAAATTGAAGTTATCAGTGTGAACTCATGGTTTGTAATATATAGAGACAGGTATAAAAACAGATATAAATGTATGTGTGGTCCCTGTCTATACATATACACATATATAGAGATATAACATATTGCATTAATTAACTATGGAGTAACAAAACAAATTGCCCCAAAACTTAGTGGCTTAGAATAACAAACAATTATTATCTCCCAGTTTCTATGGACCAGGAGTTGAATGTGGCTTAGCTGGGTGCTTCTGACTCTGGTTTCTCACAAGGATTTGACTGAGCTATGGGTGGGGGCTGTGGTCTTAAGGGAAGGAAGGAAACCTGGAAGGATCCGTTTCCAGGCTCACTCATGTGGTTGTTGGCCCAGGCCTCCCTTAACTCCTTGCCAGGGAAACCGCTCTCCAGGGCAGCTCACGAAGGGGCAGCTGACCACCCTCTGAGTGCGCAAGCAAAAGAGTGCATGCAAAACAGAAGCCAGGTCTCTTTATAACCTGGTGTCCAAAGTGACAGCCCATGGCTTTTGCCGTAGCCCATTCATTAGCATTGAGTCACTCAGTCCATCCCACACTCAAGGGAGGGGGTTACACAAAGCATGCATATCAGCAGGCAGGGACCTTGGGGCCATATGCCTACATACATATGCACATATGCATGCATGCCTGTATGCTTACACACTCATACATTCCCTGGCTCCCTTAATGGGCTTCACAATAACACTTCAATAGCAATGAGCATACTCATGCTCCAATACTGGTTTCCAAATACCATTCTCCACTAAAAGGAATCCAGGGCTGGGGCGGGGAAGTATAAGAAGAGCCTGGAACACCTTACTGTACCAGCAAGTGAGAAACTTTACTTTTGACATGGGAACATGCCAAAAGAACACAGTGGCTGCTTGAAGGGGCTCCCAGTGGCTTTCTCTGGGGTCCCTTCAGCATGAAAATAAATGACTACAATGAAGAATTATAACCTTTAGACTTAAATAAAGACCCATGGGTCCACACTGATATAAATACATATGTAAATAAACGCACAGGGGAGGGAGAAAGCTCTTTCTTCCAATGGAAAGTCCCTATTAAATGTGGAAGGAATGATGGAATCCGACAATCACCATTTGGCAACCATCAAGAATCTCTGATGAATGCTAAAAGTAGTGGGTAAAAGTCTGAAGAGTAACAACGTATTTACATAATCTCAAAGTATTTCCCATGGATACTTATTAATTACAAAGGAGAAATTAGTAACTTGACAGTGGAGAATTCTGGGGAGAACCACCTAAAACAAAGTGCACATCGCCTGTCATGGAACAAATATTTATTATGAGGCTCTGGATAAAACGCACCAAGAGGAACAAAAGTGCCCAAAGTACATCATCTGAACCTGATCTGGAGGAAGGATCATCAGACAGCCCGAACTGAGGGCCATCCTACGAAATAACCCACCTGCGTTCCTCAAAAACGTCAAGGCCACGAAAAGACAAGGAAGAACTGAGGGAAGATTCCAGAGGCTGGACACAAGATCTGGCACTGTCCTTCCCTAGCCCCCAGGCCCCGCCCCCAAGTCCGCCCCCATCGTCCTCGACCCCGCCCCCTCACCCCGCCCCCTGTTACCTCTCACGGCCCCGCCCTCTCAGCCCGGTCCTCCAGGCCCCGCCCCCAGCCCCGCTCCCTCTCATAGTCCCGCCCCTCGTCCTTTCCCACACTTTCCCTGGCAGCCCCTCTCACCGCCCTAGGATAAGAAACCCGCGCTGGGGCGCTGTCCAGGAAACCTGTGCCAGCACAGCGTGGGGAATCAGAAACTAAAGCCCAGGCTCCGAGCGCTTAGGCTCAGGCCCCTCATCGTGAAAGGGGGAAACGCAGCCTGCCCTACAGGACTTAATGCCACCGGCGGATGAGGGAGCAACAACGTGCCCCTCGCTGGCTTTTGTGGCTAAGTCTGTTCCATCACAAGGGGTGTTTAGATGCCTCCTTTAAGGCAGGGCCCCCTGTCCCCCCCCTTATCGTGCCAATGAAGGTCATCTGTGATGACTCTGGGGCATCGGTCTTGCATTTTGTCCCCCAGATTCCGAAAAGGAGGGCTTTTCATGGTGCCGAGTGCCAGCCCTTGCTGTGGCTCGGCACCAGGGCAAGTGCAACTGGCGCCATGGCCCGAGCCAGGCTCAATCCACTTCCCTCTGCTTCACTGGAAATCCGTCTTTTCCTAATAAAAACGCTAGCATGTGACTAACGTACTTTCTCAGGGGGGGAGGGGGGGAAGGTGGAAGTGCTTTACTTAGGTATTAACCATGAGTTTTCAAAAAGTTGATATAAGGAAATAGCCTCAGTCCAGCACTGCAAGTTACTGCTGAGTCCTCAGAAATCTTCTAGAACCTACGAGGATAAACAAGAGGAGTAAGAGTCACTTTGCCTGCAGCCTCTTTCTTGGGAAGCAAGATGAACAAATCCTGCCCTCCCTCTGTTCCAGTCTCTGCTCTAATGTGGCCTCTTCACCAGGGCTCCCTGACTCCCCATCTACCCCAACCCCTGCGCTCTGTTCTCCATAAACCTTCTCCCCCACCTCCTGCCTGTCCCCTCCTCCCCAACCTCGCACCAAAGCCACAGAGGCAGCAGCCCCCTTCAGTTCTCTGCTGTATCCCCTGTGCCTCCAGGAGGGCCTGGCGAGAGCTCAACATCTCCTAATGACTCAGTGATTTACTCAACCTCCCGGTGGAGCAGTGCCACCTGCTCAGCCCTTGCTAATGCCACCTACAGCAGCAGAGCATTTGCCAGCAGGGCACACATGAAGTAAGCCAGGTCACCCCAGGAGAGGCATGGCTCACCTGGGGAGGAGCTTGGTCTCCTGAATCTGCTCAGAGGCAGTGTGCAGGTGAAAGGCAATGGGTGGAGGCCCCTCAGTCAAACTTTCCTCCTTCCCCTCCTGCCAGGCTCTGGGGCTGAACAATGCCAAGGTCATAACAAATGGCTGAACCCACCCTGACTCCTTACAGATTGGTCATGCAAGTTTCAGTGCAACGATAACGCCACTGCAGGGGAGACCCTGCAGGTGCCACCTGTCCTTGTGAAAGGAGAAAGCAGGGCTTCCTGTGGTTTGTTCACAAACCCTTCATAACCTCCCCACCCCCATTAGGTGAGATACTGCCCACTTGTGCAAAATATTCCAGTCCATCAGAAATGGTTATTTTGAATGCCTCTGTGCCGGATGATAGGAGCACTGGCACTGGAGATGGAAATCCCACTGAGATTTTAAGAGTGCTTGTCCCAGCTGGGAAGTCTGTCTACCCCGGCTGAGTGAAGGGACAGTGGAGGTCATACTGGAGGCGGACTGCTGGCACTGCCACCACGCCCCCAACCCCTCTGAGCTGTGATTTTCTCATCTCTGAAATGGAAATGGCTTTGAGTGGTTTTGAGCCTTAGCTGGGATCTTATCTGTACAGTATCTGGGAGGTACTAGATTTAAATGCAATCCTGGTCATTATCAAATATGACTGCCCTGCTGAGGACCCAGCGATTTTTCATCTGTAGCCAGGACCATGTGTCCATGAAGGGCCACGGGGAGGCTGCGGGAAGAAAGTCCAAGAGGAGTGGGCTGAAGGGCAATGGGAAATGTTCTGCCAGCTCTGTACTTATTTATTTTTTAAAGAAAGAAATATCTGCTACAAACATGGCCAAGGAAACCTTTGTACCATCTGGGTGGGGGTTGCTCAGGTGCACGTTGTCATGTTATTCTCTGGGCATTTACGTAGTTTTAGAGTGAGGGGGCCGAGGAAGTGTAGACAGCAAGTGTCAACCCCGAGGAGAAGTCTTCCCCTGAAGGGGAGCCCAGAAATGGTGGGAGCTGGAGTGGAATGAAGGGTCATGGGGGGCTTTAACAATGTGACCTTCTAGAAGGTGTTTACACACACAGGTGGGGGCGACCCACAAGGAGGGGTACAGGAAGGTGCAGGGGGATACCTTGAGAAGGCTGGACGGAGACAAGGAGGAAGGCTGCAAAGACACAGTGTGACTTTGGTCTGGGAGGACATGGCTCGGGGAAGTGGCTTCTGAATGTAAGAGCTGGTGTACTGCCGGGCGAGGCTCTGTTTACTCAAAGCCCTATGTCTTGGGCCAAAATTAACAAGCAAACCCCGCAATGAAATGAATGATGTGTGGACCAGTTTATCCAGAAGAAACTGCTTGTTTTGTGTATATATTTAGAGCAGACGACTCAAACTCTCATTCCCACAGCTACATGTGGCCCACATATGGGCTTGGTTGGAACCTTTTGTGAAAACTACATTTAGCTGCCATTATTAACCAAGAGGGAGATTATACTTATGGCTTCTCTTGAAAGCCCTCAGGATGTGGGAACGCTGGCTGGTGTCCTGGCACAGCTGCAGGTGGCGGCGGGTTCCCACATGTGCCCTGACAGCTCCCTGGGACCTGCCTTTGCCCGGCTCCTAGGGGCACCTGTGGGCCCCACCTGGGGTGGCACCTGCATGCCTGAAACTCTCCATGCAGGAGAATCAAACAAGCCTGCCAGCCAAAGCACAAGCCGCCCAGCCTTATATGCAGAAAGGATTAAAAGCCACAACCACTCCTTCCTGCTCCACCCTCCCACCCCCTCGCTCCACTGCCACTGGAGGTCCTGGCCTGGGTCCAACTGGCCATTTCTGGGTGGTTCAGCTGAGAGTCCTGCTCTGGCTTCTCAGGGATACTCTCAGGTCAGATGCAGCCTCCTGCCCCTAGCTGCAGAGAGCACAGGTAGGAGGGCCCAGCTGAGGGTCACCTCAGTCCCATCTTGTGGAACGTCACCTGCAAAATGAGGACAATGATACCCCTCACATCTGCCCCACAGGCTGGTGTGAGAGCCTAGTGACACCATGCTTGGAAGACCTTTGAAACCTATTGTCCTCTGCTTCATCATCACTATCCGCAGGAAGGTGACAGGGCTGGCTTGCAGGAAATGCTGGAGGTCGTCACAGCCGACCCCTCTCCTGGGCCAGGGTTCCCTTTCCTCCGGGTTTCTAGCCTTCTTCTCTCCCAGGGGCTCTCCTCTGGGGACACTGAGAGATCCTCCTCTAGACTAGAGTCCAGGAAACAGAGCTGGATCTTTAGAGACAGTGATATTTTTCTTTGTACTTTCTTTTTTAAAAATCGAGATATAATCCACATACCCTAAAATTCACCTATTAAAGTCTGCAGTTCAGTGTTTTACATATAGTTCCAAGACTGTGAAACCATCACCACTACCTAATTCCAGAGCACTTTGATCACTCCTAAAAAAAGCCGGTACCCATTAGCAGTCACTCCTCATTCCTCCCTGACCCTGCCCAGCTCCTGGCAACCACAAATCCACTTTCTGTCTCTATGGATTTGCCTATTCTGGGCACTCTATATGAATGGAATCATTCAACGTGTGGCCTTTTGTGTCTGGCTCCTTTTGCTCGGCGTCATGTTTTCAAGGGTCATCCAGGTAGCGCAGATCAGGACTTTACTCTTTTCTATGCCTCTGTAATATTCCATTACATGAATTCATCAGTTGATGAATTTGGGTTGTTTCCACTTTTGGCTATTGTGAATAGTGCTATCAGTAAGACATTTTTTCTCTCTTTCTTTCTTTTTTCTTTTCTTTTTTTTTTTTTTTGAGACAGAGTCTCACTCTGTCGCCTAGGCTGGAGTGCAGTGGCGCGATCTTGGCTCACTGCAAACTCCACCTCCTGGGTTCAAGTGATTCCCCGCCTCAGCCTCCTGCATAGCTGGAACTACAGGCGCCCGCCACCACGCCTGGCTAATTTTTTTTTTTTTTTTTGGTATTTTTTAGTAGAGATGGGTGTTTCACCATGTTGACCAGGCTGGTCTCGAACTCCTGACCTCAGGTGATCCACCTGCCTCAGCCTCCCAAAGTGCTGGGATTACAGGTATGAGCTGCCGTGCCCAGCCAACATTTTTTCTTTTTAAAGTGAATACAAAATATGGCTAGGAAAAAAGGAAGCAAATTCATTAACTTGTTCATTTTGTGTTTGTGGGAGGGGATACAGACTTTTTCTTTAATTTCTTCATTGTCCGTGTTGTGTTTTTAATTTTCTAAAGACCAACATAGCTTATTTTAAAAAAGAGAAAAAGGAGAATGTGCCCAGGGTCACCCAGCCAATACCAGGGTGCCTCAGTCCAAGGTCTCCCCAGCTATGGCCAGTTCCAAGAGTCCAGCCTCATGGTTACATCCTTGGCATTTCTGCAGCATCACTAATATTTTCATTTTCCAATGGCACTGCTGGTTATCATTCCATCATTTAGGACATATGCATATTTAAGCTGCAATTGCAAATAATGGAATCATAGGGTATGTCTCTAATGCTAACCGTTGTAATTAAGAGCAATAAAAAGATCACAAAATGGAAGAAAGTCGTATCAGAATTCAAACAGTGGATTTTGTCAACATTGTCGGGGCTTTACTGTGAAAATGTGAGCACACGCCCAATTGTTTTTAGAGTTGTCATTGCAGTTGTCATTACATGATTTATAGTCCAATCGCATGTGTTGATGTCCTAATTCAAGGTGGTGCTGGTCAGATACCAGGAACGCTTGTCGCTTTTGCCTCCTGCCAGGCCACCCTCATCACAGGTCATGGGGTTGCTGATTTTTTGTGCAGAATGTAGGGTGTTACTAGTTAGCCCTGACCTGGTTAGTGCAAATAGTCAATTAGGAGAACAAAACCAAACAAAAACAGAAGAGCTGCAATGCAGACCCCGAATTATCCTGGCTGGACACAGACAGCAGCCAGGGTCAGGCTTTTGAATCTTTTGATATTTGCTTCTCATTTTTTACCACTGGCAGAAAAGATACCCTGGACCCGCAGCCACAGGCCTCACGCTTAGAGAAAGACCCCAGGCCCAGACTGATGGGTGTAGGATGTCCTGGAAGGAAGACCTGTGGGACTAACTTGTACGATCACTGATCTCTGACCGTTCCGAGGAGAAAAGCAAAGGAAAACTGGGCTGGGTGTTGGATTATCTAATTCTCTCACCCTTCAGAGAACTACCTTCACAGTGGTCATAAACAAGGGCTGTCATAAGCAGATAACTCCAGCTAAGGCATCTGCTGGACCTGAAGAAAAGGGTGGGACCACTGGGGAACACCTGGGGGCTGTGGGGAGAACCATGGGGCATCAGACCAGGCTGGGAGGAAGGGACGGGAGGAGAGGGGGAGCGGCAAGGTTGGCCTCTAGCCCTTCAGGTGGAGCTAGCAGAGCAGGGAGCTCCTGCGAGGCATCAGACTGGATGCCTGGAGCACCTGCTGGTATCAGACTCCACTGCTCCCCATTTACAGAGTCACATGGAGATAAGCCAGGCAGGTGCTTCTAACACAAGCTGCGCCTTGCAGATGTGTGCAGCCCCCTGCCCCATCGCAGAGGGGACTCAGGCACAGCCCGGGCTTTTTGGCATCATGCTCTTTCGAGGGGTGGTGACCAGGGACATGATGTGCCCTGTAAATGGGGGAGGCCCTGGCTTCTGGGTGCCTGTGGGTGCCTAGGTCAGCATCCCCACCTCTCCCAGCAGGGGCTCCAGGGTCTGAGTGGAGCCAGCACTCCTCCCTGTCTCCTCCCCTTGGGCCCTGCTCCTAGGTGGAACCTGGCCCAGAAACTTGCTTCTAGAAAGGGGCCCACAGATCCTGTGCCAGGTTCTTCAAAGCATTTCTCCCCTGGTCTAAGGGAGGTTGTTAAAAGTGTATATATCTGACAACCTATGCAATGTGGAGAAATATTTGCAAATCATATATCTGATAAGCAATTAATATTTAAAATATATTAATATTTACAATACCTTACAACCCAATAACAGCAAACAAATGAACAAACTGATTTAAAAAAGGACTTTACACATTTCTCCAAGGAAGATGTATGAATGGCCAACAAACATGAAAAGATACTCAACATCACTCATCTTAACTAGGGAACTAAAAATTAAAACCACAATGAGATACTATCTCATGCCCATTAGGATGGATACTCTGAAAAAACAGGAAATAACAAGTGCTGGTGAGGATGTGGAGAAATCGGAAAACTTGTTCATTGCTGGCAGGAATGTAAAAGAGTACAGCCACTGTGGAAACCAGTATGGCAGTTCCTCGAAAATGAAACACAGGATTATCCTATGATCCAGCAGTTAAGCAGGTCTCAATAGGGATTTTTTTTTTTTTTTTTTTTTTTTTTTTTTTGAGACGGAGTCTTGCTCTGTGCCCCAGGCTGGAGTGCAGTGGTGCAATCTTGGCTCACAGCAAGCTCCGCCTCCCGGGTTCACGCCATTCTCCTGCCTCAGCCTCCATGTAGTCCTGTAGCTAGGACTACAGGCCCCCATCACCACGCCCCGCTAATTTTTTTGTGTATTTTTAGTAGAGACGGGGTTTCACCATGTTAGCCAGGATGGTCTCAATCTCCTGACCTCATGATCTGCCTGCCTCAGCCTCCCAAAGTGCTGGGATTGCAGGAGTGAGCCACCATGCCCGGCCTCAATAGGGACTTTTACACTTGTGTTCATAGCAGCATTATTCACAATAGCCAAGAGGTAGGAGTAAGCCAGGTTTTCATCGACAGATGAGTGGATAAACAAAATGTGATCTATCCACACAATGAAATATGATTCAGCAGGAAGGGCATTCAGAACATACCACAACAGGGATGGACTTTGAGGACATGGCGATAAGTGAAATAAGTCAGTCACAAAAGGACAATTGCTGTGTGATGTGCGGTACCAAGAGCAGTCAAACTGATAGAGACAGGAAATGGAATGGTGGCCGCCAGGAGCTGGTGGGAGGGAGGAATGGGTAGTTTTTCCATTTTCTAAGATGAAAAGAGTTCTGGGGATTGGTCGCACAACAATGTGAATGTACTTAACACAATCTGTACATTTAAAAACTGGTAAGATGGTAAATTTTATGTTATGTGTATTTTACCACAATTAAAACAACTTTTTAAGAAATGCAGCTATCTGCGCTTCACTCTAGTCCTTGTGAGAGGTGCAGCCGACTGGGCTTCTGGGTCGGGTGGGGACTTGGGGAACTTTTCTGTCTAGCTAAAGGATTGTAAATGCACCAATCAGCACTCTGTGTCTAGCTAAAGGTTTGTAACGCACCAATCAGCACTCTGTAAAAACGGACCAATCAGCACTCTTTAAAATGGACTAATCTGCTCTCTGTAAAATGGACCAATCAGCAGGATGTGGGTGGGGCCAAATAAGGGAATAAAAGCTGGTCACCAGCGCCAGCCCTGGCAATCCGCTCGGGTCTCCTTATTGGTTGTGGAAGCTTTCTTCTTTTTGTTCTTTCTCTCTTGGCAATAAATGTTATTGCTGCAAGCAGAAAGTGTCTGGGTTGGCACCACCTTTAAGAGCTGTAACACTGACTGTACGGTATGTGGCTTCACTCCTGAAGTCAGCAAGCCCACGAACACACCTGGAAAGACGAGCAACTCTGGATGCGCCACCTTTAAGAGCTGTAACACTTGCTGCAAAAGTCTGCGGCTTCACTGCTGAAGTGAGCAAGGCCAAGAACCCACCGGAAGGAAGAAACGTAGGAAACATCTGAAGGAACAAACTGCGGACATGCCACACTCACGGACTAGGATGGGCATTTCATACTAAGCCTTTTTGGGATTTGGGGGCCGTCGTATGAGATTGACTGAAGCGGCGGTATTCGTCTTCCTGCTACCTGTGGGAACGTTCCCAACCATGGTATCAAACACCTGAACGTTCTTTCTGCTGGGGGGATGCGTCAGAGGAGGCCTTTGTACCGGGGCGATGCGATAAGCCCTGCTGCGGGTATTGACATTTGGCCCCCCGAGCGGGAGATCAGTGTTTGCCTACCAGAAGTCTGGTGGCAGAATTGCGTGGAAGCTGCTGGCGCCTCTGTGATGCAGTGGGGCTCCCAGCACTTTCTTGGCTGATGGGCAGTTCTAGATTTAGGGTGAGGCAAGTGAGGCACTCAAATGGGGGTATCAGAAATCCAGTAATTAGGATAAGTAACATTTAATGCCATATTTTTAAAAAACAAAAATCAATACAGAAAATTCGTGATGAATACAGTGTGGAAACTGAAGACAGGCTGCTGCTGTTTGCCTTCTGGTGTTGCATTATTGTGCAACAGGAGTGGTCATTTCTAGGTAGTTCGTAATTCTCTGACCATGTGGCCAGCGTGTCCCCCACTGGGTGGGTTTCTGAGGGTTGGCAATGGTGGGCCAACATTGCCCGGGAGGGTTTATATATAGTTATGTTTTTTTGGTTGTTAACTTTTCCCACTTGGTTCAAAATCCGGGAGGCTATCTTGGTAAGTATCTATGAAGTATACGTTGTTTCTTCCCTACAGAGTCCAGTAGGATTTGGCTTGATGCCTATGACAGGTCATTGGTGACCATGGCCTGCTGACCTTAGTGCTGGCCCACAACACTGCTGGAGAACACTGGGGAGGCCTGTGTGCAATAGCACATTCCCGGGCAGCGGTGGATGGGGGGCCGAGACAGGCCTGAGCGGCACCGTTTGCTCTGTAACTCGAGGAGGCCCAGGGTCACTGGCTCGGGAGAGTTTGTAATTGATGAGACGGGTCCAGGCCCAGCTACCCTGGGACGGTTCACCCTATGATTGAGGAAGCGTCAGCTCCAGGGCCGACACTTGGATGACCTCTCCAAGGCCTGGAGCTTGCTTTAGACTTGTAATAGGTTAGTATCATTTTCCTCAACATGGTGTCCCCAAAGTGCATAAGCTTTTGGGCCCCAGAACACCGCGGAAGGCACTTCTGCCTGCCCTTGTGAGTAAGGGGATAACTGTGCCATGTGGCGCACAGGGAACTGATGTCACCTGGGGCAGAGGATCCTGGGTTGGCCGGGAGCACCGTGTTGGGGTGGGAAGTGACTACGGTGTGTGTGTGTTTGGTTTTTCTTTGCTTAAAATTTAAAACAAATGAAAAAACCCTAAACTAGTATGTGCTCAATGGAACAAATTAAAAGTATACGGAAATATTGAAACAAAAAAGTGATTATCTTTTTTTCCTCTGCAACCCTAGCCCCTAGCAGTAACCCCCATGAACACTGGTGCGTTCCCTTCAGCTATTTCTTCCTGGTTCTCAGCACACATGCTCTCGTAAAGGACTTTTTAAAAGGAAACTTTAGCAACATTTATGGGAGTCTTTTTGAGCCATTACACAGACAGCTTCCTCACCCTTCAACCAGCTGCATGGTGTTCTCCGGTGTGGCTGTCCCCGGGATTCTTGCTTTCTAGAAATGATTCCATGTGGTATTTTCCATATGAAACTGCATCCTGGGGCTGGGCGTGGTGGCTCATGCCTGTACTCCTAGCACTTTGGGAAGCCGAGGCAGGCCGGTCACGAGGTCAGGGATTCAAGACCAGCCTGGCCAACATGGTGAAATGCCATCTTTACTAAAAATACAAAAATTAGCCAGGTGTGGTGGTGGGCACCTGTAATCCCAGCTACTCGGGAGGCTGAGGCAGGAGAATCACCTGAACCTGGGAGGCAGAGGTTACGGTGACCTCAGATTGTGCCACTGCACTCTAGCCTGGGCAACAGAGTGAGACTCCATCTCAAAAACAAAAAAGAAAAAAAAAAAAGAAACTGCACCCTGGAAAAAATCTTCCCAACAAGTCTGAATGGTGCTGGAAAGCTTTACTATTAAGGCCATTTCTTCGAGTTTAAGCTTTGAAAGTGGCTCTTTTTTTAAAAAAAATACAGTAAACAGTGTGGTGGAAGGAGAACTTGGGCTTTAGACGTACCTGAGTCAGCTCCCAGATCCACCATTTCTTATCTTTATGACCTTGGCCAACTTACTTAACTTTCCTGAGTCTTGATTAGCTTGTCTATGACATGGAGTAATGAGGCTGATTTCTCATGGTTTCTGTAAGGATTAAGTGTGATTAAGTGTGTAAAACTTCAAGCCCAATGTCTAGCAGCGATTGTATTCAGTAAACAGTTTTGAAGTTTCTTAAGCATTAGCTGATAAAAAAAAGTGCAACGAGGGTAATAGTTCTGCTTCTGTTTCAATGCCTGGGATCTGTTGGGTAGGTTGGGTGGACTGATGACATTGTCTGCAATTCCCTCATCCATGGCCGAGGAAGCAGCAGGCCAGTGGGATGGCAGAGCTGAGAGTGAAACCCGGGCCTCGCCTGCTGTGCTGGAGATCGGACACAATGAGACAGAGATGCTTCACTCCAGAACTCACAGCCCTAACAGTGCTGGACGTAAATCTTGGTTTGTGTTTTTCCAAGGCTTTTGCAAGTATTTGCCCACTCTGCCCTTTGTGGACGATGTCACTATCCATGTTAAATGGACTTCTGGGGCTGCTGGGGACCAGCGTGCACATGTTAAGTCAGTAAGCGCCTCTCAGATCTCAGCACCACCTGTTTAGCAGGTTGGCCAGTTAGCTGCAGTCGGCTCTGAGGGATGGAGACCCAGGATGGGGCAGATCCGAAGGGCAGGGAAGGGCACGGAGGGGCACTCCTGAAGGGCTGGGCTTGGGAGCAGCAGGGGTTGTTCCTGGGAGGCTGACCGGGTGGGAGTGGTCCTACAGAGAAGAATAAGGAGTGGCACTTGGTGGTGAGGGCGGGAGAACCCCCCAAAGAGGTTCACATGTGCGCTGTGTTCCTCTGGGGCTGTCCTGACCCAGTGTGGTCTGTGGTGACCAGTGACTCATGGTCAGTGTCTGGGCTGCTCATATATTTATAGATGAACGTTCCCACACATCTCACAACTCAGCTTGTAAAACTTGGGAGGATTATGGGAAAACAAAACAAAACAAAACAAAAAACACCTTCTTCAAAAGTTCAGTGGGGCCTTTGTAACCTGGACCACTTTGAATGTCACACAAAAAGCCCAGCATGCATGTGGCTCAACTGTTAGCTTGCAAAGCCCTCTTACGAGGTGGGCTCTGCTGGCTCCAGATATGTCAAGGGGACTCAGCCCTTCGGAGCTCCCAGGTGGGCCCAAGCCCCCATAAAGTGGTCTAGGAGGGGCCGGGATGAGGGAGAAAGTTTTTCTCTCTGGACTGAGGAGGCTCTTGAGGGGTGGGGTGGGGTGGGGTGGGACACTGGCTTAGCCCTGAAGGATGAGAGGATTGGTCCAGGCAGGAGCTCTGGGGAAAATGCTCTTGGGAGTGGGAACAGCAGGGGCAAGGCAGAGTGCAGGGTCTCATTTCTTAACTGTGGTGACCACCGTGACGGTCCCACAGAATAAAGGTGTGGTGTCGGTGCGTTGTAAGTCTGCAGAGACCACCAGCTCTCCTGGTTTTACGAACGAAGAAACTGGGGCTGTGGATGAGTTAGGGTTTTGGTAGGGGCTCTGGGAGGCGAGTGGCACCAAAAGAGGAGATGGAGGGTCACAGTGGAGCCACCAGCCCAGGCCGACCACGCGGCCAGGCAGCCGGACCTGGACCCCCAGCCCTGTCCCTCATTACTCAGGGTCTCCTTTGGCAGATTCAAAATGTTTTCTCCAAAATGGGCATTTGCTTTTGAGCCTTCCCCTTTCAGGAGGACAGAAAACGATTTCTCATTGTCTCAGGAAGTGGAGCAGGCATATCCTCCACAGCCCAGCACTTCCACACTGAGGTTTACTGGAAATATACTTGTGCATGTATGTATCTTCCAGGAGACCGCACTGTTCATAAGCACTCAACACAGAGCCGTCTAGATGCCCAGCCGCGGTAGCATGTACAAGTACATTGCCGTATAGTCCCGCAGGAATATCACACAGCAGCGAGAACAGACAAACTGCAGCTACCATATGGGTGACTCTCCAAACACAGCACAGAAGAAAAGAAATGAGTCATCAAAGATACACACAGTGTGATTCCATTTGTATAAAGTTCAAAAGCAGGTGAAGCTCAACAATGCATTATTTAGAAATACAGATGAAGTTCAAAATAAAACAATAAGGGGCCGGG
Source organism: Homo sapiens (assembly GCF_000001405.40). NCBI lineage: Eukaryota > Metazoa > Chordata > Mammalia > Primates > Hominidae > Homo > Homo sapiens. The sequence goes on from NW_011332701.1 coordinate 3,266,281, forward strand.
CACAGTGGTTCATGCCTGTAATCCCAGCACTTTGGGAGGCTGAGGCGGGTGGATCACCTGAGGTCAGGAGTTCGAGACCAGCCTGGCCAACATGGTGAAACCCTGTCTTTACTAAAAATAAAAAAATTAGCTGGGTGTGGTGACACACACCTGTAGTCCCAGCTACTCAGGAGGCTGAGGCAGGAGAATTGCTTTAACCTGGGAGGCAGAGGTTGCACTAAGCTGAGATTATGACACTGCACTCCAGCCTGGGCGACAGAGTGAGACTTTGTCTCAAAAAAAAAAAAAAAAAAAAAAAAAGATTAAAAAAGCTCCCAAAGAATCCACAAAAAAGCTACTAGAGCTAATAAACTAATATAGCAGAAGTGGAGGGTGAAAGATCACCATACAAAAATTGGATGTATTTCTGTACAGCAAAAACAATTCAATTTATAATAACATCAAAAATCAGAAAGTATCTAGAAATAAATTTAACCAAAGAGGTGAAGGCCTTGTACACTGAAAGTGACAAGACCTCGCTGAAAGAAATTAAAGAAGGCATAAATAAATAAATGGAAAGACATCCTGTATTCATGAATTGCAATGGGCTAAATGGACAGAGCAATCTGGTTTTTTTTTTTGTTTTTTTATTTTGAGATGGAGTCTTGCTCTGTTGCCCAGGCTGGAGTGCAGTGGCATGATCTCGGCTCACTGCAGCCTCTGCCTCCCAGGTTCAAGTGATTCTTGTGCCTCAGCCTCTGGAGTAGCTGGGACTACAGACATGTGCCACTATGCCTGGCTAATTTTTTTTATTTTTAGTAGAGATAGGGTTTCACCATGTTGGCCAGGCTGGCCTCCGACTCCTGACCTCAAGTGATCTGCCCGCCTCAGCCTCCCAAAGTGCTGGGATTACAAACATGATCCCCGCACATGGCCGACAAAGCAATCTTGAAAAAAAGAACAAAGTTAGAGGACTCATATTTTCTGATTTCAGAATTTCAAAGCGTCAGTAATCAAAGAAGTATGGTACTAGCATAAGGACAGACATGCAGGCCAGTGGAGTAAGATTGAGATTTCAGAAATAAGTCCATATATCTATGTCCAAGTGATTTTTAGCAAAGGTGCTAAGACCATTCAATGGGGGAAAAGACAGTCTTGTCAACTAATAGTGCTTGGAAAATTGGATATCCACATGCAAAAGAATGAATTTGGACCCCTACTTCACACTAGCTATAAATATTAACTCAAAATGGATCAGACTAAATTGTAAGACCTAAAACCATAAAACTCTTAAAAGAAAATATATGTGTGAATTTTCATTATCTTCATGATCGATGGATTTATAGATATGATACCATAAGCATGAACAAGAAAAGAAAAAGCAGGTAAGTTGAACTTCATTAAAATGAAAAACTGTTCATCAAATTCATCAAAGGACATTATTAAGAAAGGAAAAAAACCCACAACCTATAGAATGGAATACGATATTTGCAAATCAAAATATGACAAGGGTCTAATATCCAGAATATATAAAAGAACTCTTCCAACTCAACAACAAAAAGACAACCCGATTAAAAACTGGGCAAAGGACTTGAATAGACAATTCTCCAATGAAGATATACAAATGGCCAACAAACACATGAAAAGATACCCAACATCTTTAGACATTAGGGAAAAGCAAATCAAAACCATGATGAGGTGCCACTTCATTCCTACTAGGATGATTATAATTAAAAACATCCCAAAATAAAAAAATAGTAACCAGTGTTTGCAAGGATGTGGAGGAATTGGAACCTTCAGACATTGCTGGTGAAAGTGTAAAATGGTACAGTCACTTTGGAAAATGATTTGGCAGTTCCTCAGTTAAATGTAGAATTACCATATGACCCAGCAATTTTACTGCTAGGTATATACCCAAGAGAAATGAAAACAGAGACTCAAATAAACATGTAGCATTGCAGCACTATTCATAACAGCCAAATGGTGGCCATAGCTCACATGTCCATCAGTGGATAGATGGATAAACAAATTGTGGTATATGTTATACAAACAAAAGAATATTATTTAGCCACATAAATGAACGAAGTTCTGAAGCATGCCACATGGGTGAACCTTGGAAACGTGATGCTAACTGATAGAAGCCAGGCATAAAAGGTGACATATGTATGATTCCATTTAGATGAAACATCCAGAATAGATAAATCCATACAGACAAAGCACAAACTAGTGGTTTCCAGGGGCAAGGCCACAGGGAGAGGAAATGGGGAGGAACTGCTTAATGGGTAGGGGGTTTTACTTTGTAGTGTTGGAAGTAAGGACAGAGAGACAAGGTAGTTGCATGACCTCATGACTGTACTAAATACCACTGAATTGGTCACTTGAAAATGGTCCATTTTATGTGATACAAATTTCATCTCAATAAATTATTTAAAAATATGGCTGGGCATGGTGGCTCATGTCTGTAATCCCAGCACTTTGGGAGGCCGAGGCGGGTGGATCACCTGAGGTCAGGAGTTCGAGACCAGCCTGGCCAACATGGTGAAACCTCGTCTCTACTAAAAATACAAAAATTAGCCAGGCATGGTGACAGGCGCCTGTAATCCCAGCTACTCGGGAGGCTGAGGCAGGAGAATAGCTTGAACCCAGGAGGCAGAGGTTGCGGTGAGCTGAGATCACACCACTGCACTCCAGCCTGGGCGACAGAGTGAGACTCCATTTGAAAATAAATAAATAGATAAATATAAAAAATATGTAAACCTCAAAACTAAACTAAATGAAACATAAAGAAAAGCCAGGGGCCAGGCGCAGTGGCTCACACCTGTAATCCCAGCACTTTGGGAGGCCAAGGTGGGTGGATCTCTGGAGGTCAGGAGTTCGAGACCAGCCTGGCCAACGTGGTGAAACCCCATCGCTACTAAAAATACAAAAAAATTAGCCAGGCGTGGTGGCAGTTGCCTGTAATCCCAACTATTTGGGAGGCTGAGGTAGGAGAATCGCTTGAACATGGGAGGTGGAGGTTGCAGTGAGCCGAGATAGCACCACTGCACTTCAGCCTGGGTGACAAGAGCAAAACTCTGTCTCAAAAAAATAAAAATAAAAATAGAAAAGAAAAGAAAGAAGGAAGGAAGGAAAGAAAAAGAAGAAACGAAGGGAAGGGAAGAAGGAAGGAAGGGAGGGAGGAAGGGAGGGAAAAAGAGAGAAAGAAAGAGCAAAGGCAGGAACGAGCCAGGCAGAAGTCAGGCAGTGCTGCCTCTGGGAGGGAAGGAGTGCAGTGGGAAAGGGCCCCATGGTAAAACACAAGGATCTGCTTTATCATTCTCTAAACTATGTGCAGACATCTTATACACTTTTTAAAATGCTTTATTTAGCAATAAAACATCTTAAAAGAATAAACAAAAACAGGAGAGAGAAGCAGAATCTTGTAGCTTCGGATCCATGTGTGTCCCCATCTCCTTCTCCCATCACCGGGTCTACCCTGATTGTCTGGGAACCTGAGGATTCCAGCAAGGATCTTGGGGCACCTCAACAGCTCCCCTTCCTGCTTTGGCCAACATCACCTGGCCAGCTCACTCCGAAAAGCACAGCAGTTGGGAAGGTGTTGTGTTAAGAAGCTCCCCTCATTGCCTGAGTGCCTGGTCTGGGTTTCAGGGGCTAGGCAGGTGCAGCCAGTGTCTGCAGGAGAGATGCGCAGAGGCTCAGGGCCAGCCTCTTGTGCCTGCCTGGTTCCCACAGGTAGTACCCTCTCCTTTCCCGATGTTCTCTGTCCTTTGCTACCCATCCAGGTCCCTGCCCTCGAGCCTCCTCTGGCAGTGCTCCCATGGTCCAGGGAAGTCCCTCACCAGAGTGCTCAGGCACTAGGCCTGTCAGGTGTGGGCATCTGGGGACCCAAGCCTCCTGGCCCTCAGGGACTGTGATGTTTGCTGGGGCCACCAGGGTGGGGAAAGGGTGCACGCCAGCAGGAGTGAGGGGTAGGCGGGTGAAACCCTAGGCATTCACCACAGCTCAGCGTGACGGTGGAGGCTGCCAGCACGGGAATCAGACTGCCGGGCCCCTTTGTTGCTCTGCTCTTTTTCTATGATAACATTTAATGAATGATCCACATTCATGAAAATTAGCCAAAGAGCAATTTTACAAATAAAACAATTGGGGTCTTTTCTGAGTGTTTTCTGCTTATCTAGACAAGGTGTGTGTGGTTGATTTGCTTATCTGCCCAATCCAGGCCTGCCCTCCAGTGGGAGCAGGTAGCTGTCACCCACCCACCCACCCAAGACTACGTCCACCAAAGGCATTGGCAGGAATCACCACCCTTTGGGCCATGGAACTGAGCATTTAGGAACTATGGAGGGTATCCAGCCCAACTCTTTGCTTTTACCTCTAAGGGAACAACGTCCAAACCCCAAGGCAAATTGGTGGCCGGCTTGGCTGAGTACTGGCTTGCCTCTCAGAGCAAAGGGTGCATGCCTGTCTTTGACCCAGCACTTTCACTTCCATGGATCGATCACCTGGAAATACTTTTGCATGTAAATAGGCAATGTATGGATGTTTGTTGCAGTGTATTTTAAGCTAAGTGAAAAATTGGAAACCTCCACTTTTTTGTTAGTCTACCTTGGGGACTGATTAAACCAATTAACGACGTACCAAATCATGGACTATGCAACCATGAACAAGACTAACACAGAACTCTAAAGTGTAAACGTCTCCATTATGAACTGAAAAAAAAAGCGTAGTAAAATATTTCCGATGTGATCCAGCTCTACAGGAACAAACTTCCCGATATTCAAGAGCAGAGCTGTCCCACATGGTAGACCCTGGCTACCTGGGGCTGTTGCGCACCTGAGATGTGGCCAGGGTGAATGGAGACATGCTGTGAGTGTGAGATGGCACGCTAATGTTCACTGTGACATGAGAGCTGAAAACGAGGTGTGTGGCAGGATTTCAAAGACTTAGAACAATAAAGAAAGACATAAAATACCTCATTAGTATGTGTTTGGTATTGACTACATGTTGAAACAATCATATTTTAGATATATTGTGTTAAATGAATTATAGAATTAAAGTTAATTTCACTTATTTGTTTTTACTTTTCCTTTTTAAGTGGCTACTACACAGTTTGAAATTATGTCTGTGGCGCGTGTGCTATTTCTATTAGGCAGCAGAGGTCTAGAATAATACACATCAGGCCGGGCGTGGTGGCTCACGCCTGTAATCCCAGCCCAGCATTTTGGGAGGCTGAGGTGGGCGGATCACCTGAGGTCAGGAGTTTGAGACCAGCTTGATCAACATGGTGAAGCCTTGTCTCTACTAAAAATACAAAATTAGCTGGGCGTGGTGGCGGGCACCTGTAATCCCAGCTACTTGGCAGGAGAATCGCTTGAATCTGGGAGGCGGAGGTTGCGGTGAGCCGAGATCATGCCATTGCACTCCAGCCTGAGCAACAGAGCAAGACTCTGTCACACACACACAAAAATAATAATAATACACGTCAAACACTAAGCATGGTCCACAGCACGGGAGAGTAGGGATCAGGAGGAGTGTGTAAGCAGGACTTCACTTGGCTCTTCTGTGGGGTTTTCCAACTTTATATATTCATGTAGTATGCTTTTTAATGATTAACAAACAAAAAAGGGCACTGTGGCCATGATTCCCGAGGAGCAAGCTTTCCACCTCACCAAGCCTGAAGAATTTGCCCATTCCTGTGCCCTGTCTCCAGGAGAGCCAGGGCCACCTGCCATGAGCGTTACCCCTACCTTAAGGCATTTCAGGCATTACCCACCCTGGGGGAGCAGACACAGGATGGATAAGTTGTGATGAGGGAGGAGGATACCTGTGCTTGCCACTTTAATGGCAGGGGCAGACAGGGGGCCAGGGATTGGGGGAGCGGGAGCCAGAAGCCGTGAGGGAGGGGACAAGGTGCACAGCGACAAGGTCTCAGCAGCGGGGGAGGGGAGTGCTGTGGCCTGATGTTAACTTGTTTTCTTAAAGTCAGCTCTAGCATTGTAAATGCATTTTTCCCCACTTAGCAATTGAAGATACAGTTTCTGAAAAGCAGTGAGATAGATACTAATATGTGCTTTCTACAAGAGGCTGGGAAAATTGCTCCTGGCGCGATGGGCATCTGAGGTAACAGAAAAATCTCTTTCCTGGACTCTGCCTGCTCCCAATGGATGCTGTAATTCCTTCACCCATGGCTGAGTCTAACCTCAGAGCTTGCAAAAGAGGAGGATGGCAGATACTGACCCATCAGATATGCCTTTGCATATCACTGAGGGCAACATGTCTCTTGCTACTGTCTACTTAATGGAGGTTTTAAGACGTTAAATCCCCTTAATCTCTAGGTCATGGAAGGCTTGGGGGTATTGTGTCCTCTTATTCTCCTGGCTGAGGGCTTCCATCTTCCCAGGTCCAGCATTTACACACACACACCCAGACACACACACATACACTCTCAAATTATAGGACATCTTCCAAACATTGTCAATCAAAGCCAAAGCCAATTTTCTAAAAACATCTACTGCCCCCAGTAGGAGGATTTTAGGTTGATAGAAAATCTGTTTTGTTTTCACTTAGTTCAGAATGAAGATGACTCGCATCTTAAAATGCCTGAGTGTCATTTCACTTCTTGTGCTTATCAGCTTTACAGAGCAAATAAATGAGGTTGCACAGAGCCAAACCAAACACAACTCCAAACTTCTCCCAGAAAATAATCAATAAAACATAAACAGGTACAGCAAACACATTCAACATGAGTTGATATTTCCAATTACATTTTCTGGGGGAGGAGGGCTAAAAAATACACTGCAGAGAATAGACAATTTATGCTATAAATATAATTGCAAATGCCATGAATTAAAACTGCTGCTGGATAGTTCAAAACAATGGTGTTTTGAGAACCTGACCAAAGGCAGTCTTTCCCAGAATCAGTCCCGTATTCATCAAGTGCACTCATAGAGAGGCAGGGCTCCGTTCTTAATTCCTCCCTAAATATCTGATTCAGACAGAGAAAATGTGTCTCATCTTCCTTCCCCATTCTCAGTTCCTATCCCTTGTCAACGCAAACACAATTTATGCAAATATTCTTTCTTTGTTTCTTTCTTCTTTCTTTCTTTCCTTCTTTTTTTTTTTTTGATGGAGTCTCACTCTGTCGCCCAGGCTGGAGTGCAGTGGCGCAGTCTCGGCTCACTGCAACCTCCACCTCCCGGGTTCAACCTCTCCTGCCTCAGCCTCTCGAGTAGCTGGGACTACAGGCGCGCACTACCACGCCCAGCTAATTTTTGTATTTTTAGTAGAGACAGGGTTTCACCATGTTGGCTAGGATGGTCTCTATCTCTTGACCTCGTGATCTGCCTGCCTCAGCCTCCCGAAGTGCTGGGATTACAGCCATGAGCCATCGCGCCTGGCCCTGCAAATATTTTCATTCCTCCCTACCTCCCCCACTACTTTTGCTAATTTTTGCTAAGGTTTAAAAAAACATACACATTGTATACATGCACCAAAAAATCACATGTACCCCCACAATATGCACAACTATGATGTACTAATAAAAAGTACAAAAGATATATTTTCTGGGAAAAAAAGGAAAATTAATTTGTGATAGAAAATGATTAAAGAAGACAAAAAATGTAGAAATGTACAAAAGAATAAATAAACACCACCCATAAGGCCTCCATCCTAAAACAACTGATATTTCCTTGTATTTCTAGGCTTTTTCCGTGAATAGATTAGACAGGTGCATGTGTGTGTAATGAAAAACACAATAATTCTGTACGGTTATTATGCCTTTTTCTCTGTCATTTTAAAAGTGACTGCGTGATGTTTCATCCTATGGACAGACCATGATTGATGTGTCCAGCCCTCTGCTTCTGGGCGTTTGGGTTGTTTGCTGTGCTTCCCGGTAGCACACAAAGCTGTGTCAATGTTGGCATCCCTTCAGGATTCGCTCCTCAGGATGGGTTCCTAGGTGTGGACTTGCAGGGCTTTGCTGCATGTTGTTGAACTGCCTTCCAGAAACCAGTTTGCACTGCTCCCAGCAGTGAGAGGGAGCAGTAATCTCCCCTCCTGATCCTGTTCCGTGTAACCAATCTCTTCCCCAAGGCTTTCACAGGTGAAATATCAGCTGATAAAGGCTTACAAGTATAAACCCTGTCTCTCCTAGAACTTCAGCATTTTCTGGGGTTCTAAGGAAGGTGCACCTTTTCCCTGAAGCAAAGTAAGATGCTAAGGAATGACAGGCAAGAGGTTGAGGCCTGGAGCCGGGGCTCCTGAGCAGATCCCTGGCACCTGGATTTAGAAGCTGGCCCTGAGGGAAGCTCAGAGGGTTTCAGCCTCTTTGAGACCAGCTGACAGAGTACTTATCCCCTCTGTGAATCAACCTGGTGGGTCCCTTCTGCTGAGACAGCCTCTTGGAACCCAGGCTGAACACAGGTTCACCAGCTGCTCCATAGGGTCCTGTCCAGCCAGCCTCAAGAGGAGATGAGTAACAGGCCCCAGAAAGCACACCTGAGCTTGCCTGCACCTGCTCTTACTTGCACCTGAGCCTACCTGCACCTGAGGTTACCAACACCTGAGCTTAACTGCATCTGTGGTTATCTGCACCTGAGTTTGTCCACGCTTGAGTTTACCCACACCTGAGGATACCTGCACCTGACCTCCCTTCACCTGTGCTTACCCGCATCTGAGCTTACCTGCCACAGCAGTGGAATGGAGAGGGCACAGCTCAGGCTCTTTCAGCCTCCTCCTTGGCCAGGGCAGGGAGCTGGGTGAGGAGGGCCCACCCTTTAAGAGGAGCAGTCCCCATGAGGAGCATGTGAGCACTTGGGCCTGGGCCCTCATGATTGCTGTGAAGCGATGGCCCCATGACCTGACTCCCAGGCCAGAAAAGGAAGCCAGGGCCCCAAGCTTCCAGGCTGTTCTGTGTGGAATCCCACAAAGGCAGCCTTAGGATGTGAGAGAGGTAGGGGAGCTAGAGCTTTTCCTTTGAAGTGGCCCCGCCATGGCCCCCTCCCACCCAGCCGCCCTTCCCTGGCTGGAAATGTCAGCAGGGTTTGCATAATTGAGACAATTGGACATAATGGTTCTTTCAGAATCCCCTCATCAGCTGGGCAGTGTTCGTGCCCCGGGGAGCTGGGAGAAGGCGGCACATGGCACTAATTACTGCTAATCCTTCCTCATCTAAGTTGGGCCTGAGGTCAGGGTGAACCCAGCTGCAAATGCAGTGTGAGCCCCACATGACTCTCAGCCCCTTCTGAGTGCTTCTAATCCCTGCTCTCCCCCCTTCACCAGGAGCTTGCCTGCTTGGCATCCACAGTCACCTGAAAACCACCACGGTGGGAGCTCTGTTGGATTTGCTGTAACAGTATGCGTGGTTATTCCAGCTTTCCATGAGCTTTCTCAGCCCAGGAGGAAAGAAAAAACCCAAACCCTGAACTATCCCTCTCTGCAGAGGGGCTGGGTCTTCCCCAGCATCTGAGGCTCTTGGGCATTGTCCGCCTCCCGCTTCTCACAGAGGAGCAGACAGATTGGACGTAAGGGCAATTAGGGGTGTTCCCATTTTACAGATGAGGACTCTGAGTCATGTGAGAGGGTGGCTTGCCCAGAGAGCAGGTGGGGTGGAGTGGGAGTGCCCAGGTTGTCAAGTTCTGCCCATATGTAGAGTCCTGAAGCTGGAGGCTGGGCTCACTCCCCCACCCAATGCCTGGCAGACAGCCTGGGGCTCAGGGAATCTCTGAACTTCTGACGGAAGCACATGTGCCAGGCCATTTTCTGGGTCTGTCTTTGCTTTCATTCGTTTCTCTCAGGGTCTGTCACCGCAGAGTGGGCGTGCAAAGGGTCTGGTGAGTGGCTCCCACGTGCTTTGCTGGAGCGCGCACAGCCCCTGGGCGCACAATGACCGCAGCAGCCTCCCTGGCCTGGCTCCCGAGTCTTCTTTCTTGAACTGGTGTTGGCTCCTGAGGCCTGAGAGAGTCACGGCTTCAGCGGGAACCCTTCCGGGGGCTGAGGGAGGGTGCTACGTGGCCGGAATTCTGAAGGCACAGTCAGGGCAATCCGGGGCATCTGAAATCAGTCTGGGAGCAGTGGGGAAAGACCACATGGGGAAGTGAGCTGATGGCCGGCACTGCCATGGCTGGGAGGTGTGGAGGCTCTGTGGTCAGCACCAATGGCCAGCCCGACCGGCTGCCAGTCAGTGGCTCTCCAGGCAGTGGGCCCTTCACTAGACAAATAAGCTCTTTTTCAGGTTCAGATAAGATGGAAACAATGGGAGCCCCATCCTTCCCCAAGAGAACACCCCTCCTCCCCAGGGTCCATGCAGTGTGGCCTGCAACTGGGAGCTGAGATGTCTCACACAGTGGCCACAGGCCACGCGTGGCTATGGAGTGCTGGAAACAGAGCCAGTCAGAATTGAGATATGCTCCGAATGTAAAATATACACGGGATTGCCAAGACTTGTGATAATAATCGATTGCACATTGAAATATTTAGAACATGTTGGGTTGAATAGAATGTTATTAATTTTTTTCACCTGCTTCTATTTACTTTTCAAAACTGACTACTAGAAAATTTTAAATTGGCCCAGCTCACGCCTGCAATTCCAGCACTTTGGGAGGCTGAGGCAGGTGGATCACCTGAGGTCAGGAGTTCGAGACCAGCCTGGCCAACATGGTGAAACCTCATCTCTACTAAAAATATAAAAAATAACCGGCCATGGTGGTGGGTGCCTGTAATCCCAGCTACTCGGGAGGCTGAGGCAGGAGAATCACTTGAACCCTGGAGGCGGAAGTTGCAGTGAGCTGAGATCACACCACTGCACTCCAGCCTGGGTGACAGAGTGAGACTCTGTATCCAAAAAAAAAAAAAAAGAGAGAAAGAAAGAAAAAGAAAAAAAAAAGAAAATTTAAAATTGCCTCTGCTCTGTGGCTCACAGCTATGGCTCACCTTGTATTTCTGTTGGGCGGTGTTGAGCTGCAGCTGTGGGGAAAAGGGGTTCTCACCAGACTGTCCACTCTCCAGAGGCATCCTCCCCCATGAAGTCACTTGGATGACCTGGTGCATGGACACAGTGTGTGAGGACTGTGGAGAGACGCTGTAAGGTCTGAGAATCATTATGTGTCTGTGGAGCCGTCTGAGGACACAAGAACACCACCGTGAAGGGTGGATACTGACCACTCACTCCTCACCCAGCTGCGGGGGTGCAGTCCTTCTCCTCATGGGGGAGCCATGAGGACACATTCCTCAGAGGGAATAAGAGGCCGGCTGGCGGTCACAGTTGGTGAGAGTGTGGGGACAGTGACCTGTATGCTCACCTGTGTGGGGCCCTGATGAGGTCATGGGAGATCCCCAGGCTAGCAGGGGACACCCCAGGTGGAGGCCCAAGGGTCCTGGTTGGACTCTGAGATGAGCCAGCAATATTGTTTCTCATGCTCCTTTGTTCCCTGCACTTCCTGACCAATAGTTAGTCTCGAAACCTGTTCAGATTCAAGGTGGACTTTTGCAATAAGACTTTTTGGTGGTAGTGTGTCCTTCTGTTAGGAGACATCTCTTTTGCAATGCCGGCGGACTTTGGTGATGACTGTCTAGGGCCATGATATCCCTAGGACTTGCAAAATGGTGATCTTCCTTTTTTTTTTTTTTTTTTTTTTTTTGAGACGGAGTCTTGCTCTGTTGCCCAGGCTGGAGTGCAGTGGCGCCATCTTGGCTCACTGCAAGCTCCGCCTCCCAGGTTCACACCATTCTCCTGCCTCAGCCTCCCGAGTAGCTGGGACTACAGGTGCCTGCCACCACGCCCGGCCAATTTTTTTGTATTTTTAATAGAGACTGGGTTTCACCGTGTTGGCCAGGATGGTCTCAATCTCCTGACCTTGTGATCCGCCCACCCTGGCCTCCCAAAGTGCTGGGATTACAGGTGTGAGCCACCATGCCCAGCTGCAAAATGGTGATCTTCTAATTAGGTCGACTCTTCTTTATTTGTTAGCTGGAATTCATCCATAAATAGAAACTTTCCCTGGGCAGATTTGGTCACTCTGAGGCACAGCTTGCAGAGGAAAGGCAAGAAAAAGGTTTCCATCTCCAGTGGAATTGGTTGCTTCCTTGGCCTCATTCCAATGTGACTAATGCATTCCTTTTCTTCAGAGTGTCAGTATAAATTCATGGATTTGAACATATTTGATGCATTTAAATCCACAGCAGTTATTTTTCTTACTATTGTTCACATGGTCCCAGTTTCACAAAGCCTCCTGAATCCTTCTGACGCCACCCCAGGAATCTCTGAGAGCCTCTTTGCTATCTGGAATGCAAAGATGTTTGGGATCATCTTGTACATTTCTTGCCGCAGATCTAGGCTCAGGCACTTCTCCAAGGAGCCCTGGTTCCTTTGAGTGAGAAACAGTATTCAGAAACTAGGATCTGCTTCTGAACTGAATTGTTTCTGAGCCTTTTCAGCAGGCGGAACTATGAAGCTGTGTGTCTCTGTGTGTGTGTGTGTGTGTGTGTGTGTGTGTGTGTGTGTGCGCGCGCGCGCGTGCATCTGTAAAGAAAATGCATCATGATAATTTTCAATTCAAATTTAGAAACAGAGGGATTTTACTTAACTTCCTTGATTTCATGTTTGTGTCTCTTTTTGCTTATGCTAAAAGCCCTATTCCTAATGACATTAAAAGCTTTCTCTTTTGCTTTATCCTGAATATAGTTTCAAGTAACACACCCATATTGCTAACAGTACTGGAAGCAGTTTAAAAGACTGTTTTGTTGTTCTTTTTCACCTTGCATATGTCCTATTAGGTTTTTTCAAGAACTTAAAGTTATTATTCTCTGTGTGGTTATTCTACACACTTGATACACAGCGAGTTCGGGGAACACAGTATCCGAGGACTGTGGGGAGACGCTGGCAATGTCTGAGAATTATTATGTGTCTAGTGAGCTGTCTGAGCAAATAACAATAGCACTAACACTAAAGGCAGATTTCCAGTAAGATTCACTCATTGAATTTTCCATTGGATTTCCATGCATTGTTTTAGGAATTAGTTTTTAAATATAAGTCTGTTTTATAATTAAGTGAAACGTTTGCATTTTGGCAAAGTCCAATCTGCAAACAAGATTCTTTCAGAGTAGTCTGGCTGTGGCATCTGTCTTTCTCCCTCATTCTTCTTTCCCCACAAGTAAACCTTTTTCTTTTCTTTTTTTTTTTTTTGAGATGGAGTTTTGCTCTTGTTGCCCAGGCTGGAGTGCAGTGGTGCAATCTCAGCTCACTGCAACCTCTGTCTCCTGGGTTCAAGGGATTCTCCTGCCTTAGCCTTGCAAATAGCTGGGACTACAGGTACGTGCCACCATGCCTGGCTAATTTTGTATTTTTAGTAGAGACAGTTTCACCATGTTGGTCAGGCTGGTCTCAAACTCCTGACCTCAGGTGATCCACCCGCCTCGGCTGCCCAAGGTGCTGGGATTACAGGTGTGAGCCACCACGCCTGGCCGCCACAAGTAAACTTAAAAAAAAATTATTGTTTTATCCTTTCACTTTTTAAGTATAAATATATATGTATTGTTTCTCTCCGCCTCTTTCTCACAAAGATGGTAGAGGACTTTACACACTTTTCTCTGCTTTGCCTTTGGCACTTCTCTTCTCCACTTTTCTTGGAGGTGACATGGCTGCCTCTCATTTCTTTTGACAGCTGTGTGGCCCGAATCCCTGAGTGGATGCATGAGAGTTGATTTCACCAGACCCGTGTCAATGGGCACTTGAGTGGCTCTTGGTCTCTACAAATAGCACAGCAACAAAAAGTCTTGCCACATGTCCTTTTGCATTTGTCTGTAATCTTTAGGCTAGATTCCGAGAAGTGAGATTGCTGGGATTAAGGGTATAAATATGAAATTTGCTTATATTGCAAAACTTCCCTTCATAGAGATTGTAGCATTTTGCATTTCCAGTGGGATTTTATGAGTCCTTGTTTTCCCACAGCCTCACCAACAAAATACGTTGTTACACTTTTAGAATTTTGCCAATCTTATTAAGAAACGGTTTCTCAATATAGTTTTGCAATATAGTTGTCTTCATTTTTTTGGATATTGTTGTCTGGTTTTGATATCTGGGTAAAACTGGCCTCATAAAATGAGTTGGGCAATGACTCCCCGCCACTTATATTTTCTGTAAGAGTTTGTGAAAGATTGGTCTTCATTCTTCTTTACAAGTTTGGTAGAATTTACCAGTGAAGCCATCTGGGCCTGTGGTTTTCTTTATGGGAAGTTTAAATATTACTACTCCAATGTCTTTACTTTTTATAGGTCTGTTCAGATTTTTCTGTTTCTCCTTGAGTCAGTTTCAGTAATTTGTCTTTGCAGGAATTTGTCCATTTCATCCAGGTTTTAAAATCTGTTGGCATCCAGTTATTCATGGTATTCCCTTATGATCCTTTGTATTAATATGTCTAGAAAATCATTAGTGATGCCCCTTTTTCATTCCTGATTTTAGCAATTTGAGTCTTCTCTGTTGTTTAGATGGCCAGTCTAGCTAAAGGTTTTTCAATTTTGTTGACCTTTCCAGGGAATCAACTTTTGGTTTCATTAATTTCTTCTATTGTTTTTCTACGCTTTATTTTATTATTTCCACGCTAGTCTTATTTTCTTCCTTCTGCTTGATTTGGATTTAGTTTGCTTGTCTTTTTCTATTTTCTAAAGTTGAAGGTTAGGTTATTTATTTGAGATCTTTCATTCTTAATACGGGTGTTTACAGCTATAAATTTCCCTCTGAGCACTATTTTAGCTGCATCCAATATAGTTTTTCATATTTGTTCATCTTAAGATATTTTATAACTTTTCTTGTGACTTTTTTAGCCCACTGGTTACTTAGAAGTATGTAATTTAATGTCCACTTACTTTTGAATTTGTAAATTTCTTTTCTTTTCTTTTTTTTTTTTGAGACTGAGTCTTGCTCTGTTGCCCAGGCTGGAGTGCAGTGGCATGATCTCAGCTCACTGCAACCTCTGCCTCCAGGGTTCAAGTGATTCTCCTGCCTCAGCCTCTCAAGTAGCTGGGATTATAGGTGTGTGACCCCATGCCTAGCTAATTTTTGTATTTTTAGTAGAGATGGGGTTTCACCATATTGGCCAGGCTGGTCTCGAACTCCTGACCTCAGGTGATCCACCAACCTCGGCCTCCCAAATTGTTGGGTTTACAGGCGTGAGCCACCACGCCTGTCCAATTTTTTTTTCTATTATTGATTTCTAATTTAATTCCACTGTGGTTGGAGAACATACTTTGCATGGCTTTAAAAATCCTTTTACACTTATGAAGGCTTGTTTTATGGCCTAGCATATGGTCTGTCCTAGAGAATGGTCCATGTGCACATGATAAGAATGTGTATTTTGTTGTTGGGTGTAGTATACTCTTAGACGTCTGTTAGGTCAATGTAGTTTTAATTTGCATTTATCTTACTATGAGTAAGGTTGGCATCTTTTCATGTGTAAGGGCCATCTGTATTTCTGTGTCTGTGAACTTTCCACATCTCTTGCTCATTTTTCTAGAGACTCTTTTTTCTTTATTTTATTTTATTTGAGATGGAGTTTTGCTCTTGTTGCCCAGGCTGGAGTGCAACGGCACGATCTCAGCTCACTGCAACCTCTGCATCCCGGGTTCAAGTGATTCTCCGGCCTCAGCCTGCCAAGTAGCTGGGATTACAGGCATGTGCCACCATGCTCAGCTAATTTTGTATATTTTAGTGGAGACAGCGTTTCTCTGTGTTAGTCTGGCTGGTCTCGAACTCCCGACCTCAGGTGATCCATCTGCCTTGGCCTCCCAAAGTACTGGGATTATAGGCATGAGCCACCGTGCCCAGCCTTTTTTCTTTATTTTTAAAGCTTGTTCCTACATACCAAATATGGTGAAATTTTGACTGTAATGAAGTGGAAAGTATTTTTTTCCAGCTTGTCACTTGTCTTTTGACTTTACCTACTTGCCCTGGCTTCTTGCTTCCTTGATATCCACAGTCTATTTAATTGAATTTATCATTGAGATCACCTCTCCCATGCTCCAGACACTGCTGGTGCTGTGTGGAGATATGGGAATGACTCAGAAATGACTTTTGAGGATTTGCATGCTAGTAGGGGAGCCAGTGCTCATATAAACACATTTGAAATACAAGGCAGACTATAGGAAGCACTGCAATCAGCTTTGACACGCAAGAGGAAAGCATAAAGGGAGAGGGAGCTTTCAAAAGAAAGGGGAGTAATGGGCCACGTGAGGTGGCTCACGCCTGTAATCCCAGCTATTATGGAGGCCGAAGCTGGAGAATCACTTGAACCTGGGAAGCAGAGGTTGCAGTGACCCGAGATCACGCCACTGCACTCCAGCCTGGGCAACAGAGTGAGACTCTGCCTCAAAAAAAAAAAAAAAAAAAAAAAAAAAAAGATAAAAGAAAAAGAAAAGAAGAGAAAAGAAAAAAGAAAAAATAGAAAGAAGAGGCCAGGTGCAGTGGCTCACGCCTGTAATCCCAGTACTTTGGGAGGCCGAGGCAGGTGGATCACCTGAGGTCTGGAGTTCGAGATCAACCTGGCCACAACACGATGAAACCCCATTTCTACTAAAAATACAAAAAATTAGCTGGGCGTGGTGGTGGGTGCCTGTAATCCCAGCTATTATGGAGGCTGAGGCAGGAGAATCTCTTGAACCTGGGAGGCAAAGGTTGCAGTGACCCAAGATCATGCCACTGCACTCCAGCCTGGGCAACAGAGTGAGACTCTGTCTAAAAAAAAAAAAAAAAACCAGGAGTAATGGGGCTTCAAACTGAGCATATAGTTTGGATGGGAGTCCTGGCAGCAGACTTGAGGAAAGGGGGCACTTTAGAGTTGGAGATGACAGACAGTAGGGCATCAGGGAAACATCCTGTGAGCTGGAGCTTGGTTCCCAGGCTGGAGACGGGCGATGGGCAAAGAAAGAGGACAATAATGCTGGGGACAGAGGGCAGGTGTGGGGCAGGATGGGAGTCCAAGGGCTCAGGCCAGCACTGGCCAAGCAAAAGTTTTGTGAATCCTGATCTGAAAGCTCTGATCCAAAAACCTTCCTTTTCAAAGTCTTATTTGAAGTAAGGCTTATATTGGTTCAAAAAATTATATTGCTCCTGGCATTGGCTGCAGAGGTGGGCTTCCACTTTGCATACTGTTGAATTCTTTACATATATTTAAAATAAGTTAGCACTACTACTACTAGCTTAGTACTACTGATTCTCAGTTGGCAGAATCTCTGAAATAAAGAAATAAAAGTGGTAGGTTAAAAAAATCTTCATTTGTAAATTAAATTTATATTTCATTGAACAATGTCTCTATGAATTAAGAAGGCTAGAGAATAATTTAAAATCTTTGGTGTCGTTGTAAAAGATAATTACAAAAATAAACAAATGGATAACTAGATTAGGCAAAGACATAGAGGTCTATCAATACTTTTGATTACCGTAAACTCTGCTTCCATTTCTCCACTGACTGACGAAAAAAATAAAGTAGGTTTCCCCACTTGGAGGAAAATAAGGTCGTCGGATATTTGGAACGTGGGTCTTGGAAACTCCTCTCTTTGTCTGGAAGGCAGAGGGTCTTCCTGGTGAGCCTTAAGATCCAAGTTGGCCAAAATATGCTGGCCGTTCTCCGTAGGCCGCCCAGCCTCGTCAACAGGTGAACGTTGGCAGCAGTCTTTTTGCACCACTCTTCTGCACCCTACGGCTCAGGATTCAGGAAGTGAGACCTCCTGAGGCCCCTCTATTGCTCCCCATCCTCCATTGGAGGGCACAGGCCTGTGAGGACCGGCCATGGAGTTATCAGTGGGAGGATCGAAATTGGACAGTTACTTCCTGTCTGATTCTAAGAACCTTCTTTTCATTTTTTTCTCCTTTCTGTTTTCTTTCTCTCTCTCTCACTTTTTCTTTTCTTTCTTCTTTCTTTCTCTTTCTCTCTCTCTCTCTCCCCCCCCTTCCCTCCCTCCCTTCTGCTTTTTCTGCTCCTCAGTGGGTTGTGTTGCAGTGCTGGCAGATGATATGTGCTAGAATAACAAACACACGGTTAAAAACCTGCCAAGCATTTAATGGTTTTTTGTTTCTTTGTTTTAATCTTCAGAATACTCTCTACAATGAAAATAAAACCAGTGACTCTGTAGTGGAGATAATCCATTGTGTTACAGCTTTGTAGCTGTAAACCTGGTTGGTCCTGGATCCTGCCATGAGTAAAGGTTGCAGCTGGAGCTTCCGGAAATTCCTAGCAGAGAGCATTATCTGAGCTGGCTTTCCTTCTCATCAAACTCCTAACATCTCATTAATCCGCAACTCCACTAACTGCACGTAAGAAGCCCCAGTGTGTCACTGTGCTGGCATCCCTGAGAGTCTGAGTGTAACGTTCTGCCCTTTGCTGGGACCTAATGGAGGACTTTCAAATCCCAACACCATGGCTAACACTTCTGAAGTCTTCACTCTGGAGTGATGGCAAAATTCCCAAAATGTGGGTCCAATTATATGGAAGTTGATTCGACCTTTTCTTCCTTCAAGATGTCTGTGTTCCTGAGAAGAAATGTGGGCAGGAATAATGGCAAGAGATGATTTTGCCTCAATCTGACTTCAAGCTTCTTTTGTTGATAGCAGCAGACTGCATGAAAACAGGATCTTTGGGGACAAAATGATGCTCCTGAGCCCCATGTAGGCAGCTGTGGCTCCTCACAGTCCACACGGGAAGACGTCTCAGTGTTTAGAAGAGCTCAACGCATGGCACCCCTCTTCAACACCTGGCGCCCAGGGCGTTATTTCTATCTCCTGTGTCCTCATGCCCTCTTAGAACGGGAGAGCTCGTAACAGTCTTCAAGTTGATCTCCTGTTAGTGTCATGTCCTTAAGTAATGCTTTATCGCTTCTAAAATCTGAATTTTACCCCATTGGTTACAATAACCCATAAAGCAAAACAAAGCACCCACCCCCCCAAAAAAATTTGGCTGTACCTAGTAAATCGCAGTGAAACTTTTGTTCTGGGAATAGAGTATTGTTACCCGAAACTTTTGTTTAAATAAGCACAAAGACTTCGCATTTTTATCTTTTGAAAAAATCTTTGGAAAAGTCTGAAACACAGGCCAAGGCAAGGCTGCTAACAGAAAGGTAGAGAGTGTGAGCATACAGAGCTTGGGTAGGACAAGTGCTGGAAAGTGTGGCAATAGAAGAAGGGATGTGGCATTCTACTTTTTAAAGCTCATTCCTTCTTCCCGAGTTGATTCAGAAATTGAGTGGCTGGGAGCTGTGGCTCATGCCTGTAATCCCTTTAGGAGGCCGAGGTGGGTGGATCACCTGAGGTTGGGAGTTTGAGATCAGCCTGACCAACATAGAGAAACCCCATCACTACTAAAAATACAAAATTAGCCGTGCATGGTGGTGCATGCCTGTAATCCCAGCTACTCAGGAGGCTGAAGCAGGAGACTTGCTTGAACCTGGGAGGTGGAGGTTGTGGTGAGCCGAGATCGTGCCACTGCACTCCAGTCTGGGTTCTTGAGCAAATAACACCCTAGTTAAGGATTGCTAACAATTAGTCCCAAATGCTCCCCAGTCCTGGGAAACTTTGCTTAGCAGAGGTTTCTCCATCTCATGGTGCCCAGCTCCTTCCTCCCAAGGGGCCAATTAAACTTTTTTTTTAATTGGCTGAGATGAAAAGGCGTGGTGTCCACTTTGAGGGGTTCCTGATTCAGAGATAGCTCTTAGAGTACTGCGTCTGCCCAAAGGTGATATTCTCTAAACTCGGCCTCTTAGAGCTCAGGCATTCTCAACAAAAAAGATTCCACGTGAACTAAATTTGGGCAACTCTGCTTCCTGTATTTTCCTCTTGGAGATTCACAATGCATATTAGGATATTAAAATTCTGAGAAGTCCTGCCACAAAGAACCCCCTTTTCTTTCTTGTAACCCAGCATTCCTCAAACTCATTTGCCCATAGGATCTTTTTTCTTCTGAAATACCTCTTAATATTTCACATAACGAAAGTATCACAACAGAGGACTTGGGAAAAACTCGATTAACACAAGCTTAACCATCTGAGGTGCCGGTAAGTGTTCCGTGTTGGAGCAATCTGCTTCCTGAAGTCCCATTCAGAAGGCTGGAGCAGGTTCCTGACAGTAGGACCCCTGTCCAGGGCTGCTGTCTTGGCTTTAGGTAGCTAAGATCACCTCTCACTGTGTCTTCTGCCTGAATCACCCCCTTCAAAACTCACCACGGCCCACCTTCTCCAGCTGGTGAATGGTAACTCACAGGAGTGAATCTCCCAGCCAAATCAACAAGAAAGGGAGGGCTCCACAGGACAGGACCCCTGATTCTGCCTGCTCCTCCCTAACTCTCCAGGAAGAGTGCTGCCTCTGAGCCCCTGACTGGGAAAGACTTGGAAAGAGCCAGGGCCACCATGGACTGTCACAACCAACGGGGTTCTCCAAAGGGTCACCTATGCATACAGAATTCAATACCCAGCTCTGACAGTTTTTTTTTTTTCAAAATCTCTAAGGTATAGAGATAAAAATGGGTCAAACAATATCTTAAAGACAGTGACTGAGAATTTTCCAAACTGTCAAAAAACATTTTTCTTTGTACTCCTAAAATGTTTTTTTTTAACTTTAGGTTCCCCCATACAACTGCAGGTTTGTTACACAAGTAAACTTGTGTCATAGCACTTTACTGTACAAATTATTTTATCAACTAGTTTTTTGCCCTCCATCACCCACGTTTTAAGACTACTGTGCCCATAGTTAGTTCATTCCGGTGGATTTCTGGTCCCACCGCCTTTAAGAATGAAGCATGCGGACCTTCCCGGTGAGTGTTACAGCTCTTAAAGGTGGCAAGGACCCACAGTTAGCAACAGCAAGATTTATTGTGAAGATGTGAACAGCAAAACAACGACGCTCCCACACGCTGGAAGGGTACCGAGCAAATTGACTTTGCTGGCTAACGGGTGGGCAGCTTTTATTCCCTTATTTGGCCCTGCCCATGTCCTGCAGATTGGTCCATTTTACAGAGTGCTGATTGGTCCATTTTACAGAGTGCTGATTGGTCCATTTTACAGAGTGCTGATTGGTCCATTTTTACAGAATGCTGATTGGTGCATTTACAATCCTCTAGCTAGACAGAAAAGTTCTCCAAGTCCCCACTGGACACAGAAGCCCAGCTGGCTTCACCTCTCACTAGTACCCTTATTTTTTTCTGATCTTTTCTCTCCTCCCACTGTCCATCCTCCAAAAGGCCCCAGTGTGTGTTGTTCCCCTCTATGTGTCCAAGTGTTCTCATCATTTAGCTCCCATTTATAAGTGAGGACATGTGGTATTTGGTTTTCTGTTCCTGTGTTAATTTGCTAAGTATAATGCCCTCCAGCTTCATCCATGTCCCTGCAAAGGACATGATCTTGTTCTTTTTTATGGCTGCCTAGTATTCCATGGTGTATATGTACCACATGTTTTATCCAGTCTATTATTGATGGGCATTTAGGTTGATTCCATATCTTGCTGAAAGATGTTAATCCACAATTTAGGAATCCCAATGAACTCCAAGCATAATAAACACAAAGAAATACACATCTAGTCAAACGATAGTGAAATTGTTGAAAACCAAAGACAAAGGTACAATTTTAAGACATTGCAAAAGAAAAAGATTATCTTCTATACAGCAGACTGCTACTAAAAAGGCAGCTGACCTCTCAACAGAAGCAAAGAAGGGCAGAAGGTAACAAAATTATATATTCAGAGTGCTAAAAGGAAATAATTGCCAACCTAGAATTTTATGTCCAGAAAAAATATTCTTCCACAACAAAAGAAAAATGGAGACATTTTTAGACAAACTAACAGAGTTAATTTGTAATAGACTTAACAAAGAGCTTTCTTCAGACAGAAGTAAAAATATCACAAATAAAAGCATAGCACAAAAAAGAGTAAAGAACAAAGAAAATAGTAAATATGTGTGTACATCTAAATGGATACCAATTGTATAACAGAATAGCAATAATATCTTGCAGGAGTTAAAATAGATCTGAGGCTGGGCATTGTGGCTCATGCCTGTAATCCCAGCACTTTGGGAGGCCAAGGCAGGCGGATCACCTGAGGTTAGGAGTTCAAGACCAGCCTGGCCAAAATGGTGACATCCTGTCTCTACTAAAAATACAAAAAACATTAGTCGAGCATGGTGGCGGGTGCCTGTCATCCCAGCTACTCAGGAGGCTGAGGCAGAAGAATCGTCTGAACCCAGGAGGCGACCATGTCAGTGAGCCAAGATCGCGCCACTGCATTCCAGCCTGGGCAACAGAGCAAGACTCTGTCTAAAAAATAATAATAATAGATAAGTAAAAAGTAAAATAAAACAGATTTGGAATTAAATAAATGAAAAAAAACTTCTGGTTTCGGCTTGTATGTGTAAAAAGCCATCACTTTCATTCTCACAGCACGAAAAAGCTGTTTAGATCAATCAGACAGTTGAGGTCACAGGGGCAAACTGACACCCTGAAAAATGAAGAGAAAGGGAAATAGAATTATAGCTTCTAGAATCGGAGAAAATGCTAGAGCCAGAAATGGGTAGGACTGAAGCTGTAATTGATGAATTTCTGGAGGCTGACTGTGGACTAGCTTAGATGGTAAAGGTTCCAGAGATGGCCAATCTTAGGGTACCCCTCACACTTTTGTGAGTTTTACCTCCAAGCACTCCAGCAGATTCTCACAGTGAATACCACAGAAAAATCCCTTCCTGTTTCCAGCAGGGGATGGAGAAAAGTAACCCTGTTGAGACACACCCAGAGCCCTCTTCTGCTTGCCATCAAGGGAAACTACATTATCAGAGCCTGTCTTAGTCCATTCAAGCGGCTAAAACAAAAAATGTCATAAGCTGCCTGGCTTATAAACAACAAACATTTATTTCTCACAGTTCTGGAGGCTGGGAAGTCCAAAATCAAAGTGTAGGCAGATTTGGGGCCTGGTAAGAGCTTGTGTCTTCATAGACACACCTTTCAGCTATGTCCTCACATGGTGGAAGGAGCGAGATAGCTCTCCGGGGCCTCTTTTATGAGGGCACTAATCTCATCCCTGAGGACTCTGCCTCTTGATCTAATCATCTCCCTAATGCCCCAGTTCTTAATACTGTCACATTTGGGGTTGCATTTCAATAATTTTGGCAGGGACACAAACATTGAAGCCATAGCAGAGCCTAACCAATGTGGGGGAGGAAAAATACCAAACTCCAGCCCCCTCTAGTCTTCCCAGTGTTGGAAGGGAAATACCACACTCCAGCTCTCTCCAGCCCTCCTGTCTCACATAAGTTGGGGAAAAGCTGCTGAGAAGCACTTGTAGAAGTCACAGCCCAAGAACACAGGCTGAAGTCTAATTACAGCATTCTAAAGTGCCCGGCGCCGTGGCTCATGCCTGCAGTCCCAGCACTTTGGGAGGCTGAGGCAGGTGGATCACCTGAGGCTAGGAGTTTGAGAGCCGTCTGGCCAACACGGCGAAACCCCATCTCTACTAAAAATACAAGAATTAGCTGGGTGTGGTGGCATGAGCCTGTGATCCCAGCTATTTGGGAGGCAGGAGAATCACTTGAACCCAGGAGGCAGAGGCTGCAGTGAACCAAGATCATGCCACTGCACTCCAGCCTGGCCAACGAGAGCAAAACTCCATCTGAAATAAATAAATAAATAAATAAATAAATAAATAAAGTGCTTCCCTACTCCCACACCTTACCGGCATCACCAGAGGCTTCTGTATAATTCCAGAGGGTCACAGCTGAAAAACTGCAAGGCTTAGACTATTTAAGAATTTCCTAGGGAACCCAAAGATAACAGAGAGAGAGAAAAAAAAGATGCTGGAGGAAAGTGAAGCCAGAAACACCCACACCTACGGTAAACAGTGTAATCCCTGGCCAGATAAACATAAACCCTCACATTAAAGGCCTATTTACCTCACTTCTTCTTATGCAATGCATCATGTCTGGCTTTCAATAAAATAATTACAAGGTATGCCAAAACGCAAGAAAAGGCAGTGTGAAGAGAGAAAGCAAGCAAGGGAACTAGACTCAGATACAGCAGAGAGTTTGGAATCACCAGGCTGGGAATTTTAAATAACTACAATTAATATACTAAGGGTTCTGGCTGGGTGCGGTGGTTTACGCCTGTAATCCCAACACTTTGGGAGGCCGAGGTGGGTGGATCATCTGAGGTCAGGAGTTCAAGAGCAGCCTGGCCAACATGGCAAAACCCCATCTCTACTAAAAATACAAAAATTAGGCCGGGCATGGTGGCTCATGCCTGTAATACCAGCACTTTGGGAGGCCAAGGTGGGTGGATCACCTAAGGTCAGGAGTTCGAGACCAGCCTGGCCAACATGGCGAAACCACATCTCTACTAAAAATACAAAAATTAGCTGGGCATGGTGGCACGAGCCTGTAATCCCAGCTACTCAGGATGCTGAGGCAGGAGAATTGCTTGAACCCAGGAGGCAGAGGTTGCAGAGACCCGAGATCGTGCCACTGCACTCCAGCCTGGGCAACAAGATCGAAACTCTGTCTCAGGAAAAAAAAAATAGCTGAGCATGGAGGTGCAAGCCTGTAGTCCCAGCTATCTGGGAGGCTGAGGCAGGAGACTTGCTTGAACCCGGTAGGTGGAGGTTGCAGTGAGCCGAGATCACTTCACTGCACTCCAGCCTGGACAACAGAGTGAGATTCTGTCTCAAAGAAAAAAAAAAAAATACACACACACACACACACACACACACACACACACACACTAAGGGCTCTAATGAACAAAGTGGACAGCATGCAAGAGCAGCTGTGTAATATTATCAAAGAGAAACTCTAAGACATAATCAAAAGGAAAAACTAAAGATCAAAAACACCTACAGCAATAAAAATGCCATTGATCAAGAGGCTAGACATTACCAAGAAAATAATTAATGAGTTTGAAGATGCAAATAGAAACTTCCAAAACTGGAATGCAAATTAAAATAAGAATTAAGAGAAGGAACATAGTATCCAAAGATTGTGGAACAGTTAAAAAAGCTGTATCAGGCTGGGCGCAGTGGCTCACGCCTGTAATCCCAGCACTTTGGGAGGCCGAGGTGGGAGGATCACTTGAGGTCAGGAGTTCAAGACCAGCCTGGCCAACGTGGTGAAACCCCATCTCTACTAAAAATACAAAAAATTAGCTAGGTGTGGTGCATGCCTGTAATCTCACTACTCGGGCAGCTGAGGCATGAGAATCCCTTGAACCCAGGAGGCAGAGGTTGCAATGAGCTGAGATTGCACCACTGCACTCCAGCCTGGGTGACAGAGCCAGACCCTGTCTCAAAAACTATATAATAAAAATAAATAAATAAAAAGCTGTATCGTACATGTAATATAAATACCAGAGGGAGAAGAAAGAGGGAAAGGAGCAGGAGACATATTTGTAGTAACTGTCTGAGAATTTTCCAAAATTAAGGGCAGACACCAAACCACTGAACCAGAAATGTTGAAAAACATTAAGCATGATAAATACCAAAATATGTGGACCTATCGTGTTCAAACTATAGAAAACCAAAGACAAAGAGAAAATTTCGGAAAAAAAAAACAAGATGGCTTAGTCAGTTTGGGCTGCTATAAGAGAATATTGTAGAACGAGTGGCAACAGAAATTTATTTCTCACAGTTCTCAGGCTGAAGGTCCAAGATCAGGGTGCCCCATGGTTGGGTTAGAACTCTCTTCTGGGTTGAAGATTGCCAACTTCTCACTTGATCTTACCCAAAAGGCCAAGAAGCTGAGAAGACTGATTGCCAGCTTCTCATTGTATCCTCACATAGTGGAAAGCAAGCTAGCTGGATCTCCGGTCTTTTCTGATAAGGGCATGAATCCCATTCATGAAGGTTCTGTCTTCATGACCCAATCACTCCCCAAAGATCTCACCTATAATTACCATCACATTGGGATTAGGGTTTCAACACATGAATTTGATGGGGAAGGGACACAAGCATTCAGTCCGTTGCATGACAGATTAAAAAATAACTTACTGGCCAGGCGCAGTGGTTCATGCCTGTAATCCCAGCACTTTGGGAGGCCGAGGTGGGCAGATCACCTGAGGTCAGGAGTTCGAGACCAGCCTGACCAACATGGAGAAAACCCGTCTCTACTAAAAATACAAAAAATTAGCTGGGCATGGTGGTGCATGCCTGTAATCCCAGCTACTCGGGAGGCTGAGGCAGGAGAATTGCTTGAACCCAGGAGGCAGAGGTTGTGGTGAGCCAAAATCGCACCATCGCACTCCAGCCTGGGCAACAAGAGTGAAACTCCATCTCAAAAATAAATAAATAAATAAATAAATAAATAAACTTATCTATAGAGGAACAAGGGTAAAACCTATATCAGCATTCTTGTCAGAAACCATTAAGGCAAGAAGAAAATGAGAAGAAATATTTCAAGTGTTAAAAGAAACAAACCAACAACCTAGATTCTGTATCCAGAGAAATTATCCTTCAGATGTGAAAAAGAGATAAAGATATTTTCAGACAAACAGAATTGAGGAAATTTGTCACCAGTACATCTACTTTGTGAAAAATGCTAAAAGAAGTTATTCAAGAGAAGGAAAAGATATGGGTCAGAAACTCAAATCTACATAAATGAAGAGTGTTAGAGAAGAAATAAATAAAGGTAAAGTAAAACCTTTTATTTTTTCTTAATTTATCTAACAGATAACTGTTTGTACAAAAATAATAACAACAATGTATTTGGCGATTATAACATATATAAGGAAAATAAATGACAATGATGTTATAAGGAACAGGAGTGTAAAATTGGAAATACTCTGCCATAAACTACTTGCACTACTCATGAAGTGATATAGTGTTAATTGAAAGTGGGTTTAGGTTAGTTTTAAATGTATACTGCAAACTCTAGAGCAACCACTAAAAAGATAATTAATATGGTAAGAGAAGAGAGAACGTGGAATTTTATAAAATGCTCAATTGAAACTAGAGAAGGCAGAAAAAGAAGGGAAGAAAAGACAAATGTAATACATAGAAAATGGTTACAAATATGATAGATATTAATCTGACTATATTAATAATTACTATAAATGTAAATGGCCTAAATACACCAACTAAAAAACAGAGTCTGTCAAGAGTGGATAATAAAAATAAGACCCAACTATGTTGTTCACTTTATTTTACATTTTTTTCTTTTTTCTTTTTTTTACCCATTGTTTAGCTCCCATTTATAATGTCCACTTTAAATATAAAGATATAGCAAATTAAAAGTTAAAATATAGGGAAAGATATACCATGCTATAATTAGTCAAAAGAAAGCTGGAGTAGCTATATTAATTCCAGGTAAAGCAGAAAAATGGAACTTATTGGGATAAATAGGACATTACATAATAATAATAAAGGGGTCAGTTCTCCAAGAAGATGTAAGAATTTTTGATGTGTATGTGTCTAACAATGATGTCAGTTTGCAAAAGGCAAAAACTTACAGAACTGCAAGGAGAAATATAAAAATCCACTGTTGTAGTAGGAGACTCCAAAACACATCTATCAGTAATTTATGGATCCAACACAGGGAAAATTAGTAAGGATATAGTTGCATTTAACAGTACTATCTATTAACTTAATCTAATTGACATTTACAGTATAATTCATCCAACTACAGCAGAATACACATTCTTCTCAAACCCACATGAAACATTCACCAAGAAAGACAACATTCTGAGACAAAACACACCCCAGCAAAATTAAAGAATAAAAATCACGTGAAGTATGCTCTCAGACCACAATGGAATTAGACCAAAAAAAAAAAAATTACCGAAAGATATCTGGGAAATCCTTAAATAGTTGGAGAGTAAACAATACCCTTCTAAATAACAGGAGTCAAAGAAAAATTTTAAAACATTTTGAACTAAATGAAAATGAAAACACAATTTACCAAAATGTGTGGGAATGCAGTGAAAGCAGTGCTTAGAGAGAAATTTGTAGTATTGAATGTATGTATTAGAAAAAAAGAAAGATCTCCTTGGTGCAGGGGCTCACGCCTGTAATCCCAGCACTTTGGGAGGTCAAGGTGGGCAGATCACGAGGTCAGAAGTTCAAGACCAGCCTGGCCAAGATGGTGAAACCCCGTCTCTACTAAAAACACAAAATTTAGCCAGGCATGGTGGTGGGTGCCTGTAATCCCAGCTACTTGGGAGGCCAAGGCAGAGAATTGCTTTGACCCAGGAGGCAGATGTTGCAGTGAACCAAGATGTGCCACTACACTCTGACCTGGGCGCAGAGCAAGACTCCATCTCAAAAAAAAAAAAAAAAAAAAAAGAAAGCTCTAAAACCGGTAATCTAAGTTTTCACCTTAGAAAAGTAGAAAGAAGAACAAATTAAAACTAATATAAGCAGGAAAAAGAAATAAAAATCAATGCAGAAATCAATGAAATTAAAAACAGGAAATCAGTAGAGAAAACTAAAGCTGATTCTTTGAAAAGATCAATAAAATTGATGAATCTCTAGTCAAGTTAACCAAAGAGATCAGATGCAGTCACTGATATGAGAAATCAAAGAAAGGCCATCACTGCTGATCCAATGGACATTAAAAGGATAATAAAGGAATAACATGAACAAATTTGTGTCCACAAATTTAATAGCTTAGATGAAATGAACAAATTCCTTGAAACACACAATCTTTCAAAACTCATACAATGAGAAATAGGTCGCCTGAATAGGCAATATCTATTAAAAATTAAGTCAATAACTAATAAGCTGCCCCTACAGAAAGCACCAGGCCTAGATGTTTCACTGGTGAATTATACCATACGTCTGAGGAAGAAAATATACCAATTCTCCACCATCTTTTCCACAAAATGGAAGCAGAAGGAATAGTTCCTAACATTATATGAGGCCAGCATTTCCCTAATATCAAAACCAAACCAAGACATTATAAGAAAAAAAAGAAACTATAGCCAATATTTCTCATGAACATAAATGCAAAAATTCCTCAACAAAATATTAGTAAATCAAACTAGTGTATGAAATGTATAAAGAACAATACATATAGTTATACACCATGACCAAATTAGATTTATCCCAGATATGCAAGGCTGATTCAATGTCTAAAAATCGATCATTGTAATTCATCACATCCACAGGATGAAGAAAAATCACATGATCATATCAATAGATGTAGAAGAGCATTTGAGAAAATCCAATACCTGTATATAATAAAAACTCTCAGCAAACTAAGAATAGACGGTTACTTCCACAACTTGATAAAGAACAACTACAACAAAACCTACAGCTAACACCATACTTAATGGTGAGAAACTAGAAGCTTTCCCACTAAAATAAGGAATAAGGTAAGAATGTCCCCTCCTACTACTCCTTTTCAACATCATACTGAAAATTACAGCTAATGCAATAAGATAAGAAAAAGAAATAAAAGTTATGCAAAATTGGAAAGGAAGGAATAAAACTGTCTTTGCTCACAGATGACTTGATGGTTTATCTAGAAAATTCCAAAGAATCAACCAAAAAACTCTTGGAACTAATAAGTGATAACAGCAAGTTTGTTGGATACAAGGTTAATAGATTTAAGTCAGTTGTTTTCCTATATATCAGATATGAACAACTGGAATTTCAAATAAAAACATATCTTTTACACTAGTACCAAACAATAGAGTACTTAGTAATAAATTTAACAAAATATGTCCAAGATAAACATGAGGAAAACTATAAAACTGTGATGAAATAAATCAAATAAGTTATAAATAAATGAAGAGATATTTCATGTTCATAGATAGGAAAACTCAATATTGTTAAGATGTCAGCTCTTCCCAACTTGATCTATAGATGCAATGAACCCCAGTCAAAACCCCAGCAAGTAAGTTATTTGGGTCAGGGGGGATACTGACAAACTCATTCAAAGGTTTATACAGAAAGGTAAAAGACCCCAAATAAGCAACATAATACTGAAGAAGAACAAACTCAGAGGACTGACCTTACCCAACCTCAAGATTTACTATAAAGCTATAATAATTAAGACAGTGTGGTATTGGTGAAATAATACACACTCACAAAAATTTAATGCAACAGAGCAGACAGCCCAGAAATAGGCCTGCACTAATGCAATAAAGTGATCTTTGACAAAGGAGCAAAGGCAATCCAATGGAGAAAGGACGGTCTTTTCAACAAATGATGCTGGGACAACTGAGATCCACATGGAAATAAATGAATCTAGACACTGACCTTACACCGTTCACAAAAATTAAAGTGGCTCACAGGCCTAAATGTAAAACATAAAATTATAAAACATCTAGAAGATATCATAGGAGAAAATCCAGGAGACCTAGAGTTTGGCGATGACTTTTCAGATGCAATGTCAAAAGAATGGCTTAGGGAAGAAAAAAATTGATAAACTTTACTAAAATGAAAAACTTCTGCTCTGTAAAAGACATGGCTATGTACATTTAAAAAACAGAGACTAGGAGAAAATATTTGCAAAACACACATTTGATAAAGGACTTGTATCCAAAATATATGTTGAACTCCTAAAGCTCAACAATAAGAAAACAAATAGCCCAATTAAAAATATGGGCAAAAGATTTGGACACCTCACCGAAGAAGATATACAGATGGTAAATAAGCATATCAAAATATGCTCAATATCATTTTTTATCAGGAATAGTGGGAATTGTAACATCATTTGTTATTGGGAATATAAGGAACCATGGGATACTACTACGCATCTATTTGAATGGCTAAAACCCAAAAAACTGACAATTTCAAATGCTAGGAGAATGCAGAGCAGCAGAAACTGATTCATTGCTGGTTGGAGTGCCACTTTGTAAGACAGTCTGGCAGTTTCTTATAAAACTAAACATAGTCTTATCTTATGATCCAGAAAATGGGCTCCTAGGCATTTACTCAAACAAATTCAAAATGTATGTCCACACCAAAACCTGCACACAAATGTCTATGACAGCTTTATTCATCATAATTGCTAAAAATGTGAAGCAAGCAAGATGTCCTTCAATGGGTACATGCAGTACCTCCAGACAATGGAGCATTATTCAGTGCTAAAAAGAAATAAGCCATCGGGGCTGGGTGTGGTACCCAGTACTTTGGGAGGCCAAAGTGGGCATGTCGTCTGAGGTTAGGAGTTTGAGACTAGCCTGGCCCACATGGTAAAACCTCATCTCTACTAAAAAATACAAAAGTTAGCTGGGCGTGGTGGTGCACACCTGCAATCCCAGCTACTTGGGAGGCTGAAGCAGGAGAATCACTTGAACCTGGAAGGCAGAGGTTGCAGTGAGCCGAGATCGCGCCATCGTGCTCTAGCAGGGATGACAGAGTGAGACTCCGTCTATAAATAAATAAATAAATAAATAAGCCATCAGGCCCCAAGATTTGCAGGACCTTAAATGATATTGCTTAGTCAAAGAAATCAATCTGAGGCCAGGCACAGTGGCTCATGCCTATAATCCCACCACTTTGGGAGGCGAAGTCAGGCAGATCGCATGAGGCCAGGAGTTCAAGACCAGATTGGCTGACATGGTGAAATCTTCTCTCTACTAAAAATTCAAAAATTAGTCAGGCGTGGTGGTGCACACCTGTAATCCCAGCTACTTGGGAGGCTGAGGCAGGATAATAGATGGAACCCGGGAGGCGGAGGTTGCAGTGACCCAAGATCGCACCATCGTACTCCAGCCTGGATGACAGAGTTAAGACTCTGTCTCAAAAAAAAAAAAAAAAAAAAGTCAATCTGAGAAGGCTACATACTGTATGATTCCAATTCTGGAAAGGGCGAAATTATAGAGACATTAAAAAGATCAGTGAATATCAGGGTTTTGGGGGAAGACAGGGCGGGATGAACAGTTGGAGTACAGGGGATTTTTAGGGCAGTGAAACTATTCTGTATGATATGGTAATGGTGGGTGGATACCTGACATTAAGTTTTGTCAAAACTAAGAATGGGCTGGGCGCAGTGGCTTATGCCTGTAATCCCAACACTTTGGGAGGCCGAGGTGGGCGGATCACCTGAGGTTAGGAGTTCGAGACCAGCCTGGCCAACATGGTGAAACCCCGTCTCTTTCAAAAATACAAAAAATTTGCTGGGTGTGGTGGCGCATGCCTGTAATCCCAGCTACTTGGGAGACTGAGGTAGGAGAATTGCTTGAACCTGGGAGGCGGAGGAGGTTGCAGTGAACCAAGAACGTGTCACTGTACTCCAGCCTGGGTGACAGAGCGAGACTGTGTCTCAAAAAACAAAACAAAACAAAAAACAAAAAAACTCAGAATGTACAACACAAAGAGTAAATTACAATGTAAACTCTGGGCTTCAGTTAATAGTAATGTGTCAATATTGGCGCATCAGTTAGAACAAATATACACCGTGCAAGATGTTGCTAACTGGGACAGCTGTGAGGGGGAGACAGGAAGTACATGGGAGCTCTCTGTACTACATGCTCAATTTTCTGCAAACCTAAAACTACTCTGAAAAAGAAATTCTAGCCATTAAAAGAATACATGCGGCCGGGCGCAGTGGCTTACGCCTGTAATCCCAGCACTTTGGGAGGCCGAGGCGGGCGGATCACGAGGTCAGGAGATCGAGACCATCCCGGCTAAAACGGTGAAACCTCGTCTCTACTAAAAATACAAAAAATTAGCCGGGCGTAGTGGCGGGCGCCTGTAGTCCCAGCTACTTGGGAGGCTGAGGCAGGAGAATGGCGTGAACCCGGGAGGCGGAGCTTGCAGTGAGCCGAGATCCCGCCACTGCACTCCAGCCTGGGCGACAGAGCGAGACTCCGTCTCAAAAAAAAAAAAAAAAAAAAAAAAAAATTATTAAAAAATTAAAATTAAAATGTGTATGCACCTAATAATATAACTAAAAAACAGCACCTAATAATACAAATTAAAATCACACAGAGTATGGCTGGGTGCAGTGGCTGACGCTTGTAATCCCAGCACTTTGGCAGGCTGATGCAGGTGGATCACTTGAGGTGAGGAGTTCGAGAGTAGCCTGGCCAACATGGTGAAACCCTATCTCTACTAAAAATACAAAAAAATAGCCGGGCATGGTGGCGGGCACCCGTAATCCCAGCTACTCGGGAGGCTGAGGCAGGAGAATCACTTGAACCCGGGAGGCAGAGATTGCAGTGAGCCAAGATCACACCGCTGCACTCCAGCCTGGGGGACAGAGTGGAACTTCGTCTCAAAAAACAAACAAAAAGAAAGAAACAAACAAACAAAACAAAATAAACAGAGTAAAAATTGGCATAATCACAATAAGAAATCATAATAAGAAATTTAAACACATCTTTCACAGTAATTGATAATAAAACAGATAACAAATTCAAGAAGGATACAGATTTGAAGAATGCAGTTAACAAAACTGACCAAAGAGCATTCATAGAAGACTGCATCCAACAACTGCAGGAAGCCACTGCGAAACTCCCGTGGGGATGTGTGGCTCTCTCTTATGGATACCTCCTGTGATCAATGCATGTGCACACAGAACCCAGTTTGGTAGATGTTCCCTTCTCCTCCCCACTCCTCTTCCTTTCACAACTCTCCCATCCTTGGCAGGGTTAGAAGTACCTATGGTCTCTTAGAGTGGGTCCAGTGTCCTAGGAGGTGGTGGCCAGAAGCTGGGAGGATGGAGCTGATGCTGGCAGTGTAGGCTGGGTGAGTTGCCAGAAGATTTTTTTTATTAGGCATTTGAGAAATGGCTTGCTTTTCAAAGCACTTTAGAAATGCATTTGCCGGCCAGGCGCAGTGGCTCAAGCCTGTAATCCCAGCACTTTGGGAGGCCAAGGCAGACAGATCACTTGAAGTTAGGAGTTCGAGACCAGCCTGGCCAACATGGTGAAACCCCGTCTCTACTAAAGGAAATACAAGAGTTAGCCAGGTGTGGTGGCGAACGCCTGCAATTCTAGCTACTCAGGAGGCTGAGGCACAAGAATCGCTTGAACCCGGGAGGTGGAGGTTGCAGTGAGCTGAGATCGTGCCACTGCATTCCGGCCTAGACGACAGAGTGAGATCCTGTCTCAAAACAAACAAACAAACAAACAAACAAACAAACAAACAGAAATGCATTTGCCTTATGATATTCATAACTGTAGAAGTTAATGGAAAGGGTGCTAGTATCCCCATTTCTCAGCTGGAGAAATCAAGGTGTTAAGCAATTTACCCCATGAAGCTGGTTTGTGAAGGCCCCAGGCTGAAGTCTTGAGATTTCTCATTCCTTCTGGGTTTCTAGGTGATTCCTGACCTTGACTGTGGAGAAGAGGCCATTGCAAAGCTTATCTCGTGGCATCTCCAAGGATGCCCAGTCAGTTTGTGTATGTTTCTCATTCTCTGCTACTTGGGGCCTCTTGTGGGTAGCTGCCATCTGGGTGCAATTCAGAGTGGCCAAAGGCCTACCAGTCCCCAGGGGCAGGTGGCCTTTAGTTTACCAGAAAAGCATCTTAACCGCTGAGTTTCCGCAGAAGGCAGAATTCTGAGGAGAAAGGCTCAGACAGGGGAATTCAAAACAAAGCCAAATAACACAAGAGAATTCAAAATTCCACAAGAGAAAAATGTGGTGAAAGTGGGAAGGTGGCCCTGTGGCAGCTGAGGGCAGCCCAGGACAGGGAGGTGGTGAGGCTAACATTCCGTTTGGGTTCCACTGTCGTTCTCAAACCTTCACTACAACTTGACCTCACACAGCTTCCTCAGCTAAGTCTTGTTTTGTGGAGTCACAAAGAGCTCAGTTCCATACTTGGGTGGGACAGGGTGGCGAGAAGGCAGAGCTACCAGAGCTTCAAGAGGCGCTGGGTGGAAGGGGTGGAGGGTGAGCATCTAGATCTCACAGGAACCAGCAGTGACTGTGAAACGAGGGCAGCCAGGGAGCCCCAGAAATGAGGCAGGCGCTCGGCTCCCAGAGGATGAGAAACAAGGACGCGAACCAGTGGGGTTTAAGTGTTAAAGCGATGCCAAGGGGCCTGGAAGTGGAGGTCCCTGTAGCTCGTGGGGTCTGTGCCTGGAGTCCAGGAGAAAGCGCTGGCATTCTTTCCCTCGACTCAGAGAGGTGGTAACTTGGCTGACATAGCAGAGCTGGTCCAAGGCAGAGCCAGGGCTGAAACCAGATCTTTATTATCTGGACTGGATCTTTATTATCTGCAGACTTTGACCTGTGCCTCCCCTCCCCGCTCTGCTGACCAGTGCGTTAACCACAGCACACAGGGTAAGGGCTCCCCTATTCCCATGAGCTCAGGATTGGTGACTGTCTCTGGGGGCAACCAACCCACTGGCACCCAGGAGCAATATTTACAGTATTCAACAATCACTATCAATCAATGTTCAATAGTTAATGACTGTGGGGTGAGAACGCCATCCCCCTGTCCTGGGCTGTGCCCACCGGCTGCCGTGGAGCTCTGACCCCTCCCACATTTTCTAGCCTGCCCGTCTCTTTCGCTTGTGGGCTGCATCGTCTGTCTTTGTTCTGAATTCTTCTCTCTGAGCCCTGCTCCTGACTCATGAACCATAAGGGATGCTGGTCACCTGGCCGGCTGCACAGGTGCACACCCCATATCGCCAGGAGGGTGCCCAACACCACCCCCAAGCCTCGGGAGCTCTTTGCATTCTTATTTCAGGTGCCACAACCCCCTTCCTGCTCACAACTGGGGGAGACGGTGCTGGATGGGGATGTGCCAGGGATTCTCTGCTTCCAGAGCCATGAAGCCACCGCATCACTGACGGGCATAGGCAGACATGCAGAGGCAGCCCCAACACACCCCATACCACTCCAGACAGGCTCTCCACTCAAGACAAATGCCAGGGCTGGCCCCTTGGGTGGGCGACCTGTGCAGGCTCATGGGGCCCTGCCATCAGAAACCTGCATTTGGTTTTATACTTTGCTGTTGCCATCTTGAAATTCTTTACAATTTTTGAACAGAGGGCCAGCATTTTTATTTTGCATAGAACTCAGCAAATTTTGTAGCTAATTCAGATGAAAGCCCCCCCGCTCCGGCTTCCAGTCAGAGGTGGCTGCATCACTGCACTGGTTGAGAGTGCATCATCTGCGCTTCCAGCCAGTGCTGATGGCCACATGCCATTCCGGTGGCAGCCTCCTCGGGAGCTTGCAGGAGGGGAAAGGAAGCCTGCTGGAGGCTCACGAGTCAAAGGCTCAGTCACAGAGAATGGCATGTGGATCAGCCTTTGGAGCTTCGTGTAGCGCTGTTTTTGGACAAGTGCTGTGTCATTTCTCCACTGTGGACTGTGGTCAGGAGGAGCTGGAGCTGGGCAGGTCCCTTGTCCTGGAAGCTCGGTCTTGAAGGTTGGCAGGACTAGACATGGCAGGTGATCCTAGGTCAAGTACTGATGGTGCCAGTGCCACAGCAACAGTGCTGACTTGTGCTTACTGCGCAGATCTGTCCAGTAAGGGACCCGGGCCGCCTGGCCCTTTCCACTTTGGGTCATTTGGTGGGACCCTGCAGGGTTACTTCTCTTGCAGCTCCGTTGACAGAACCTCACCGCCTATGAGCCCCGGTTTCTGCCCACTCAGCTCTCTGCTGCCCCCACCTGGCCGCCTCCAGTGCCGACCTGATACTCAGCTGTAGTTTGTCAACTTTCTGAAAAATACATGAAATTGCTGCTATCTGACTATTTTGACCTACAAAGATGGCCATTTTAAGTGGTTCAACATAATACCATTGCTTAGAATGGTCTTATAAATGGGAGCAGAGGGATAGAAAGGAGTAAAGGCTGTGTGTATTACGGAGAATCCTGGCATACAACCGTAGTATATGCTAAACATAGCCCAGATGTTCGTGTCAGCTGTCTGTGGTCACTTTGGGGGCATCTGACACCCGTGTGTGGTTCCCTCCTTGCCCAGGTATTACAGAACACTGGACAGTGAGTGAAAGCCCACTGTGGACCAATGGCCATGGGTTCCGGTAGGCCACCTTGGCAGAGAAGAGAGAATATGTGAAATTCAACCAGTGGCTGACTCTGTCAGGGACATTCTGCAGACTCCACATGCTCTCTGAGCCTTAGTTTTCCCATCTGTGATTTGGAACCAAAGCATCCACTTCCTCCATGTCCTGGGCAGGGCTGGTCTTCAGCAGGGATGCTCTTCCAGGACAAAGACATCAGGGTGTTCCATACAGATCGGGAAGTAGCCACTGCTCAGAGCTGCCTGGGTGGTGTGGCTCCCCTGAAACTCCTGGACACATCTTCATGGCCCAGCAACTGAAGGGTTAATGCCGGGTGCATTGGGACCTCCAGGACCTGCCCAGTGTCTTACCTGGCATCTGACCTTTGTGCACCCCACCCTGCTATTTACAGGGTCAAAATGAGAAGCAAAAGAGATCATAAAACCACCTTTGCAAAATTTGTAACTGAGGAAGTGATGACAGTGAAAGAGACCTGACCTAACCGACTCCATCTTGCTTCTAACCTCCAAACTGTCCTTGTTCATTCCTGGGTGTAGGCTGAACTAACTTTGGGAGGAACTTAGTTTATAGTTTAACTTTGAAACAAAGATGATAACAGCCCTTTTCGAAAACAAATCCTCTTCTTCCCTAGGGACCAATCTGCCTTCGTAGGACTAACAAATTAGCTACAAGATTAGAAATAAGGTTCAGGAGTCATGAAGCCAGAGGCTGCAAGATTCCAAACCTCCTCAAATTGCTTCTGGAAATAACACCACTGTTGTAAAACCTAAGATGAGTGCTTGAGATATTTTGTAGACCCTGCATTCTGATGCACCAGCTGATGCCACCCAGACTGGTGGTAATCAGGTTCATCTGGTCTTGTGGCCCCCACCCAGGAACTGCAGTGTGGGAGGACAGCTTTGCCCCTCTATGATTTCATCTCCAGTCCAACCAATCAATGCTCCGCACTCCCGGGCCCGCTACCTGCCAAATTATCCTTAAAAGACCCTAGTCTCCGAATGTTCAGGGAGACTGATTTGAGTAATAATAAAACTCCCATCTCCCGTACGGCCAGCTCTGCGTGAATTAAACTCTCTCCATTGCAATTCCCCTGTCTTGATAAATTGGCTCTGTCTAGGCAGAGGGCAAGGAGAATCCGTTGGGCAACGGTTACAAACAGGCACAGAAAAAAGATGTGCAAATCAGTAGTCCTTCTTATCTGCAGTTTCACTTTCTGGGGTGTTATCCAGGGTCAAATAGAAAACTCCAGAAACGGACAATTCATAGGTTTTAAATTGCATGCTACTCTGCCCTGTCTTGGGCATGAATCCTCCCTTCATCCAGCCTATCTGTGTTGTTTACACCAACCATCAGCCACTTAGAGCGACTGTTGCGGCAGCACAGTGCTTGTGTTCAGGTCAGCCTTGTGCTACTTAATCACAGCCCCAACGCGCAAAAGTAGTGATGCTGGCAATTCAGATATGCCAAAGAGACGAGCGCAGTGCTTCCTTTCAGTGAAAAGGTGAAAGTCCTCAACTGAAGGGAAAAAAGCATATGCTTAGTTTGCTAAGATCTACAGTAAGAACGAATCTTCTATGTGTGAAATTATGAAGAAGGAAAAAAAAATGTGTGCAAGTTTTGCTGTCGCACTTCAAACTGCCAAAGTTTCGGCCACCATGTGCGATAAGAGCTTAGTTAAGATGGAAAAGGCATTACATTTGTGGGTGGAAGACATGGACAGCGATGTGTTCTGATTGACAGCCATCAGGTTCAGTACCAGCTACCCTTTCAGGCATCCCCTGTGGATGAAGGGGGGACTGCTGTAGTGGCAGAAACATTCTCTGATCACTGGTTAGACTGGAGGGGTCAGAGAGGGGTCCGGGGAGATAGTGTGAACCCAAGGGAAGTGAGAGTGGGTGGAAGCAGTGAGTGGGTGGCCAGGGGAGTCAGGGCACTTGGGCCCCCAGCTGTTTTCACACTTCCAGCACCAGGCTCGCCCCCACCCCCCTGCTGCCCCCTCTCTGGGCTCTCTGTGAGTGTAGTTCCTACCACTTTTATTTTTTTTCCTCACATACTAAAATGACAGCTTGGTTAAAATGAAAATCGCCAAAATGACTCGGGCTCCCAGCATAACCAAAGTGGTGCTCTTGGCTAGGCTTAGCCGCTGGGCCTGCTTTCCTGGGATCAAGGTTTTATCCACAGCCATTAATCACATAAAAGCAGATATTGAGGAGCATTAGCCACAGCCAGCTGTTACGCCGTGTTCTGGGCCATTACGCGGATTACCCCTCCACAGTGCCTTCCTGATGGCCCACTGTCTTGGGTTTGCATGGGCCTATTGGCAGCCGGGTTGACCCCAAGGTTGGGCACAAGCTCTGCCTCCCCTGGCCCCTCTGTGACCCCAAAAGCAGCTCCTCTTTCTTGCACCTCCCGACTGAGGGGCCTCCATCCCCCCGAGGAGGTCCATGGCCCGTTTCCCACAGGCCCTGCACCCTGAAAGCTCAAGTGCTCGGCTCCTGATTCAGGGCTCCAGCCCCAGCTGCAGTCCACACATGGCTGGACATAATCTATTTCTTTCAGTTACTACCCAAGGAGCCCTAGTCCTGCAACAGAGTAGCCACTGGCTACCCAGTGAAATCAGGGCTCCGATTACCACTGCCTGATGTCTCTTTTGTTTGTCGCTGTGATAACGCATATGAAAAAGTATATTTGCTTCAGAGGACGTGAGGGCATGTAAGACACAAGGAAAGGAAGCCACACTGTGGTGGGTTCTGGACTCTCCTTCTGGGTGAAGACCTCTGGCATCTTTACTTTGAGCATCACTAGTTCCCGACAGGGCGCCAGTGATATGGTTCAGCTGTGTCCCCACCCAAATCTCATCTTAAATTGTAGCTCCCATAATCCCCATGTGTCATGGGAGGAACCCAGTGGGAGGTAATTGAATCATGTGGGCGGGTTTTTCCTGCGCTGTTCCCGTGGTAGTGAATACATCTCACGAGACCTGATGGTTTTATAAAGGGCAGTTCCGCTGCACTCTCTCTTGCCTGCTGCTATGTAAGACAGCTTTGCTTCTCCTTCGCCTTCTGCCATGATTATGAGGCCTCCCCAGCCATGTGGAAATGTAAGTCCATTAAATGTCTTTCTTTTTAAAATTACCTAGTCTCAGGGATGTCTTTATTAGCAGCGTGAGAACAGACTAATACAGTAAAACCGGATTGCAGATGCATTTCACTCATTTTGTCATGAATCCTCTTCAGACAGTCTCTGTGACCCCTGAGGAATTTAGAGACACTGACCCTGGGAGTCAGGCTGCAATAAGGAAACTGCAGTGGCCGAGCATGGTGGCTCACACCTGTAATCCTAGCACTT
The DNA here is from genome assembly GCF_000001405.40 of Homo sapiens. Lineage (NCBI taxonomy): Eukaryota > Metazoa > Chordata > Mammalia > Primates > Hominidae > Homo > Homo sapiens. The sequence goes on from NW_011332701.1 coordinate 3,306,493, forward strand.
TGGGAGGCTGAGGTGGGTGGATCACTTGAGGTCAGGAGTTCAAGACCCAGCCTGGCCAAAGTGGCAAAAACCTGTCTCTACTAAAAATACAAAAAATTAGCCAGTGGTGTGTTCCTGTAGTCCCAGTACTTTGGGAGGCTGAGGTAGGTGGATCACTTGAGGTCAGGAGTTGGAGAACAGCATGATCCACATGGTGAAACTCCGTCTCTACCAAAAGTAAAAAAAAATTAGCCAATGGTGCACACCTGTAGTCAACACTTTGGGAGGGTAAGGCAGGCAGATCACTTGAGGTCAGGAGTTCAAGACCAGCTTGGCCAACATGGTGAAACCCCGTCTCTACAAAAAATTAGCCCATGGCACATGGCTGTAGTCCCAGCTAGTCAGAAGGCTGAGGCAGGAGAAGTGCTTGAACCTGGGAGGCGGAGGTTACAGTGAGCCAAGATTGTACCACGACACTCCAGCCTAGGTGACAGAGCGAGACTGTCTCAAAAACAAAACAAAAAAAAAATTGGGAGGGGGTGGGAAACTGAAGGAAAAGGACACAATAGACAATGGAGAGGCCCCATCCAGCCTAGAGCTTCTCCAGACAAGATCCCCTTGGCTCTCGAGATGGCAGATGGAAAGTATTTGTGGGGCTAGGACATAGAGACAGAGCCTGCCCTCTGGAGCTTTTCCTCAAGTGGGCCTGGGGATGCATAAACAAGTAGATAATCATATAGGGCAGTGATAAGGGCTGGGAGGGGAGAAAAAGGGAAGGGAAGTCCATGGGAGTAGCTCTTTAAGACAGAGGTGACCCAAGTAATTGAGCAAGTAAGCGGCCCTCTGGGAAGAGGATGCCCTGGCAGTCCATGCAAAGGCCCCCTCTCTGGACGGGTGGATGGAAGCCGCCGGAGGCCCGTGTGGCTGGAGTGTTGAGAAGGAAGGGGAATGGGACAGGCTCAGGTTGGGCTGGGCTTAGCCAAGTTCAGCAGGTCACCCCTTTCTGGATTTCAGTTTCCTCAAATGAAGGGATTGGACTGCTTCTAAGAATCTTAATCATCTATGTTCTAAAATGCAGAGAAGCATATTAGTTATGATGCTAATGGGGTTCAGGACATGCCAACCCAAAATATGACTATAGGAGACCAGAACATGCCATCCCACATATGCCTCTTTGGCATAAGGTTTATTTTGAGCTGGCTATTTCAAGAAACTGCAGGCACAGGGAAAGCTTTGAAAAACACCATAGAAGTTACCCTTTTGCAAGGGAAATTTAAATCTATAAAGGAAATCTCCATTTGTAAAGGTGTCTGCCTCTCTGCACCAGGAAAAGAAGAGTGACTAAATCACCAGAGACTCAGTCAAGGCAGAAGGCACCAACTTCAATCTGTGTAACAAACCTAACCTCTGGTTTTCCAGTGATTTTCCTGGGCCATCTCATTTTAACCAAGTCTTTCCCCACACCCATCCTTCTTGGTTTCAGAAAAAGTTGGTATTTAAACCTGAAGTCTAAGACCACTCTTTGAGATCTACTAAAGAGACTGACTCGGCTGGGCAAGGTGGCTCATACCTGTAATCCCAGCATTTTGGGAGGCCAAGGTGGGCAGATCACCTGTGGTCGGGAGTTTGAGACCAGCCTGACCAACATGGAGAAACCCCATCTCTACTAAAAATACAAAAAATTAGCTGGGTGTGGTGGCCCATGCCTGTAATCCCAGCTACTTGGGAGGCTGAGGCAGGAGAATCACTTGAATCTGGGAGGCAGCGGAGGTTGCAGTGAGCCAAGATCGTACTCCAGCCTGGGCAACAAGAGTGAAACTCCATCTCAAAAGGAAAAAAAAAAGAGATTGGCTCAACTCCCTGGTTATCCCCCATATATACAGGAAGGATACATATGATTAAACTTTTGTTTGTTTCTCTTGTTATCTGTCTTTTGTTACAAGAAGTCCCGGTAAGAACTCATGAAGGGTGAAGGAGAAAATTATTTTTCCTTCCCTATGATGCCATCTTTAGAAGTGAACACTGACGAAAACCCTAGATATGTGCACACATTCTGTATCCATACACATTACTACATGTGCACTCAAGCAGAGAATTATGGAAGGTTACACACCACCATAGCCAATATGGGCTTCCTAGGAAGAAAGGAGAAGGCCAAATAAAATAAACACCTTATTAAAATATTTCTAAACATCATCATGTTGAACATGATAAATGCATACAATTTTTACTTGTCAATTAAAAAAATTAAAAATAAATAAAATTTTTAAATTAAAAAAAGAGAATGATCCATCCTACCCAAGTACATGCATATGGATGAAATAATTAGAAATGCAAGATAGAATTAGATCTAAATCTACTAAGTTTGTAGGGATACCCATTGCTATAGTGTGGCTATTTTCCCCTCCAAATCTCATGCTGTAATTTTATCTCCAGTGTTGGAGGTGGGGCCTAGTGGGAGGTGTTTGCGTCATGGGGGCAGGTCCCTCAAGAGTATCTTGGTGCCGTCATCCTTGCAGTAATGAGTGAACTCTCACTCTGTTGGTTTCTACAACAGCGTATTGTGAAGAAGAGCCTGGCACCTCTCTCCTTTACTTCCTCTCTCGCCACATGATCTCTGCACACACCGGCTCCTCTTCCTCTTCCACCATGAGTGGAGGCAGCCTGAAGCCCTCACAGGAAGCAGACGCTGGCTCCATGCTTCCTATACAGCCTGCAGAACTGTGAGATTTCTTTATAAATTACCCAGCCTCAGGTATTCCTTTACAGTAATACAAAATGGACAAAGACACCCTTGAAAAAGTAAGTGGAGCAGTAATAAAGTTGCATAGTGATGAGAATTGTGTAATTTTAGTTCAGTAAAAACAAATCTGTCAACAAACCCCTGAACGTGTATAGGCGTTTTGGTCTGTGTGTGTAGAACTCCGAGGAAGGCGTGGCCATGGTCATGTTGGCCATCTCCTTCTTATCTCTGGGAGAGTGGGAGGAGGGGGTGGGAGGAGGTTGCAGCGCCTCCTCTGGATGGGTGGTAGGAATGGGGAGAGCATCGGATCCAGGCTCCATGGGGTCACCAAGGCAGCAGGAGGTGTCTGGAGGCGGAGACATTAGCTCTGTGTTTCCATGTGCCTGTCTCTCCCACACCAGCCCCTGCCGTGCTTGCTGTTTGAGCATGGGGACTCTTGTCTTCCACCACAAGGTGGATGTCACAGCACCATTTATAATCGGAAGGCATTTGTAGCACTTTATTGTTCAAACAAGCATCTCTTTCAAGCACATGGAATGCCATGTGTGGTAAATCCAGTTCCCACCCTCTACGAGGTAACTGATCTGCCATCATCACAGATTGGGTTAGGCTGCTACTGAAACAGACAATGTTGCCATTGTGGGGGCCAAGGCCCTAATTCACCAAATGGGCCACCTTCAGTCTTCAATCAGCATGATAATAAAGTTCCCTCTGTTTTAATCCTTAACCCGAACGAAGTTCCATCTCCCTGTCCTTGTCTCATAAGGAAAGTCACTTTGAAAAGACCAATCTGCTTTTTGCTGTTTGTTTCCGCTTTCCTCAGCCGCCCCCCACCCTTTTTTTTTTTTTTTTTTTGCCTATAAAGCCAACCTCCTCTGCTCAGCTCATTGGAACACTAATTCTTTTTTATGGAATAAAGTATTGCCCAATTCTAGAATTGCAAATAAAGCCAACTGAGGTATTTAAACTAAGTTTGCTGTAATTTCTTCTTTTGACAGATCTGGCAACCAAGGAAGGAACCTGAAAGAGACAGATCTGACAACCCTGAGACCCCTGCAGGAGCACAGGGAAGGCCCTGCTCGCTCTACCTTTTGGGGAGGTCCCTGTCTTCCTCATGGAGTCCTGAGAAGTTCTGCTCTCTTTTGCATTAGTGCTCTCTGATATTTTTGGCATTTGGAGTACCAAGGTTAATTTGTGCTGTGGCAGGGCACACCACCTTTCGGTTTGCAGTGACTGAGGAGTCACTGTGGCAACAAAACTGTCATTTCTAAGGTAACTGATAACAGTGGCAGTAAGTGGTTATTACTGGAGGGATCCTCTTTATTTCTTCTCTTCTCAATGGTGAGGTCTCAGAGCAAAAGTCATCGTGGCTCTGAGATACCCAAGAGCCAACATAAACATGGGATCTCTAATTTCTAAAGATCTTAGTACTCTGCCTTCTGATATGCCTGCCTTTTTCATGGACAAGAATTATGGCCCCAGAAGCTGCAGATATTCTTAAAAGTGGCAAAGTCTTACTAAAGATAATTCAGAATGACAATGGCTGTTATATGGAATGTTCCAGGTGAACACAAAACTGGTTATCTAAGAAGTGCACTTGAGTCTCAAGCCCCTTGAATTAGGCAGGGAGAATGGGATTATTATTCTAACAGGCATTCAGAAGTCTCAAAGAGACAACAAGATTCTAAAATTGCTTTTTAAAAAATTCACTGTGAAGAGCTAATAAAAAGCTAAAAGTGCAAGGCATCACCCATACCAAGGACAGTAAAACTGACATGACCCCTACTGCTCCTCTCTATCCTATTTTGCCTAAATATTCACAATCTATTAACTTTCTGTCGGAATTGCCTATATTCTCAGAAGAAAACAGTTAAGCAGTTTTCTTATAAGAGAAAACCACCCCAAACTCCAGGAAATAATACTCAAGTGACTTATATTCCCTGGATAAAAATAGAGCTCAGAGCCATAGTTTAAAATTTTCCTAAACCTAGAAAAAACCTACGGAAGTTTTCTGAAGAATTTGGGATCTCAACTAGAACTTGTGACCCTGGGTTATCTGATCTCTACCAACTAACCCGCATGTGTGTGGGAACTGGGGAAGCCCAAACATGGAAGAAAGAGGCAGAATGATATTACCTCACAAGCCCTAACTTATGGGCCAAGCAAAGCCTGAAAAATGACCATTGAAAGCCATTCTTGAAGAGCCTCAGCTCCATGGCAACCAACAACCTAGGGTGGCCTTTGGGTCCCTGAAACAATGGTTTCCAGAAAATTGTTGTCATTGGTGCAAACAACCAGGGCACTGGAAAGGGGGCCGCCCTCACAAAGATTTTGAGGGAAGCTCATAAAAAGAGCCTGCCAGCCCTCTGACAATCTTCGTATTAACCACCAAGACTGATGGGCCTCCAAGGGAAGCTCTGATAAGCTTCCTCCAGTTATCCAGTCTGAGTAGACACCAGAGCCCCTATTTCTACTTTAAACCCCACTCTTACGGGACAACCTCTCTCTTGGAATAAAAAAGAAAAATTCAATTGTGAGGGATATCAAATTGAGTTCTAGGAATGAGCCCAGGAATAGAAAATGCCTTCTTTGCCCTATTTATTCAAGGGCTGTGTCGCGAAGTCAGTTGTCTAATTAACAAACAGGTTTTTTGAGTTGAAAAGACCAGGCTGAGTGTAGTGGCTCACACCTGTAATCCCAGCACTTTGGGAGTCCGAGGCAGGAGGATCACTTGAGCCCAGAAGTTCAAGAGCAGCCTGGGTGACATAGTGGGACCTCATCTCTATTTACAAATAAATAAATAAATAAATGAAAATTTAAAAAAGAAAAGACTATGTATCAACTAAATGATTTCCAAAACACAACTTCTTGGCACTTAGCTGACTTTTAAAAAAAATTCTTTGTAAAAGAAATTTATATCTATGAAGAAAATCTATTTTTAAGGGCGCTTCCCTTTCTATATGTAAATAATTAGGAACTTTTACAATGGGGAATAAATTGGCTTGAAGTTTACATTTAAAAAAAAAATGACTTACCTTTGTATAAGGTGCTTTGGCTGGCCATTTTGCCTGAACTAGGCCTTTACCTATGACCTTTTTTGTCTTGGCAAATAATGGCAAATGGCACTTGAGACTCAAGTGCACTTCTTACATAACCAGTTTTGTGTTCACCTGGAACATTCCATATAACAGCCATTGTCATTCTGAATTATCTTTAGTAAGACTTTGCCACTTTTGAGAATATTTGCAGCTTCTGGGGCCATAACTCTTGTCCCATGAAAAAGGCAGGCATATCAGAAGGCACAGTACTCAGATTTTTAGAAATTAGAGATGTAGGTTCTGTGCCTTTGACATGTAAATTTTCTACCTCTTTCCACTCTTTTCTACCTTTTTAAGAGTCCTGCCTTTGGATGTACAAATTTGGTGTTGCCTAGATAACAACTGTTTAGGCCAATAGAACAGGTAATCAGGACATTAATAGTCTAAACAGGGGAGAGAAACTATTTGAAAACCTACAAATGAATAATCTTATTAAAACTATAAGATCTGCCTCTGTCTGTGTGTCTGTATGTCTATATGTGTTATGTATATGTGATGTGTCTCTACCAAAATATAAGAAAGAGTCATAATGAATTGGCTTAAAGAAAAAGTTAGCACTTAAATATTTTATCAGAAAAAAGAAACTAACCTCAATGCCTTTTTGTTCGTGTGACTTGGGTAAATCTTTGGTAAGTAAGACTAGTTTAATATTGTTGGTTTAATAAAAACAGCTGTGTCTTCTGATCAGCAAAATACTAATGTATTGAACTTTAGCATTCTTGCTTAGGTGGCAACTGTCTATCACTTGCGTGCTGTAAAATGGTTAGCAGGAAAATCATTGAGATGATGGCTAACTTTGTGTAACCAGCAATGTAAGCATAATTGTTAAGAATGAGTAAATTATGTGGATGTAAATGGGATACAAATATATAAATAGCATTCTCATAATTTTAAAATCTTTTTCAGTAACTTAATCTTAAAGTCATGTTATGATTAATAGATATTCACGAAACGTTTAAGGCATTTCTAAGTTAAAACACTGAAACATTAATTGCTGAACATAAGTTTAAAGTATATATGCTTTGTGCTACAGTTTGGATATTTGGCCCTCTAAACCTCATGTTGAAATTTGATTCTTGGCTGGGCACGGTGGCTCATGCCTGTAATCCTAGCACTCTGGGAGGCCGTGGTGGGTGGATCACCTGAGGACAGGAGTTTGAGACCAGCCTGACCAATATGGTGAAACTCTGTCTCTACTAAAAATACAAAAAAAAAAAAAAAAAATTAGCCGGGCATGGTGGCAGGAGCCTGTAGACCCAGCTACTTGGGAGGCTGAGGCATGAGAATCACTTGAACCCAGGAGGCGGAGCTTGCAGTGAGCCGAGATCGTGCCACTGCACTGCAGCCTGGGCGACAGAGAGAGAATCCGTCTAAAAAAAAAAAAATTAAATAATAGAAAAGAAAAGAAATGTGATTATCAGTGTTGGAAGTGGGGCCTAATGGGAGGTGTTTGGGTCTGGGGTGGGACCCCTCATGAATGCCTTTCCCCCGCCCCAGTGGTAATGAGTGAGTTCTTGCTTAATTAGCTCCTGTGAGAGTTCCCTCACGAGTTGGTTGTTAGAAAGAGTCTGGTACCTTCTCCATCCTTCTTGCTTCTTCTCTTCCATGTGATCTGCACATACTGGATAACCTTTACCTTCCTCCATGAATGGAAGCAGGCTGAAGCCCTCACCAGAAGCAGATGCTGGCATTATGCTTTTCATACAGTCTGCAGAACTGTGCACCAAACAAACCTCTTTTCTTTATAAATTACTCAGCCTCATATATTCCTTTATAGCAACACTAAACAGAATAAGACATTTTATAATCTTTGTTTGTTTGTTTGTTTGTTTTTTGAGACAGAGTCTTGCTCTGTTGCCCAGGCTGGAGTGTGGTGGTGCCATCTCAGCTCACTGCAACCTCCAACTCCTGGGTTCAAGTGATTCTCCTGCCTCAGCTTGCCAAGTAGCTTGGATAACAGGTGCGTACCACTGCATCCAGCTAATTTTTTTTTTTTTTTGTATTTTTAGTAGAGACGGGGTTTCACCATGTTGGCCGGGCTAGCCTGGAACTCCTAGCCTCAAGCGATCCGCCCCCCTCAGCCTCCCAAAGTGCTGGGATTACAGGCATGAGCCACCATACCTGGCCTCTAATCTTGTTTTTATATGGTATGGTGAAGCTAAATATGTTTGGGTCTGTTAGTAAACATAAAAAATTGTTCTATGAGGAATCACATATTTTTATAAATTATAACATGCATGTTTATAAAATGTTAGTATGTGACAGTTCAAAATTTATTTCCTAGGCTTTCACTAGAAATTAAGATTATTACATATTAAAATTTTTAATTAATATAGGTAATTCTGTACACAAAGTGTATTAAAAAAGTAAGATGTGTTTTTGGTGAGAAAATTGTAGAAGGACATGAGGATATACCTTTGTTAAAGAAAAGACTAATTTCATCTAACTTGGAGGTTATTTAGAAGATGTCTCAAAATATGGACTAAGGAAGAAAATAGAAGCAAGGCAGACAGAAACCAGTAAGTAGGAGAAAGTGGTGCAAAAAAATCTATAAATATAAGTGTGTATTTTTGATAGAAAAATGTTGAAAAGAGAAAGTAATTTTTTTTGTATGAGAGAGAATTTTGTGTGGTCATAATGACAGGGGAAAAAAGTATATTTTTGTCTTTAGGTAGAATGATTGGTTATTGTAATATGAAGAAAGAAATTTAGGACAACAAGGTTTAAGCAAGTTGTAGAAGATTTGTGGAAGTAAAATCTTATGAAAGAAATTTTGTGTGTGATCAAGTTGGTTAAAATTGGTTGTGAGGGATATCAAATTGAGTTCTATTAATGAATCCAGGAATAGAAAATACCTTCTTTGCCCTATTTATTCAAGGCCAGTGCCCTGAAGCCAGTTGTCTAATTAAGAAACAGGTTAAGTTGAAAAGACCAGACTGGGTAGAGTGGCTCACACTTGTAATCCCAGCACTCTGGGAGTCTGAGGCAGGAGGATCTCTTGAGCCCAGGGGTTCAAGACCAGCCCAGGCAATTTAGTGGGACTTCATCTTGATCTACAAATCAATAAATAAATGAAAATTTTTAAAAAGTAGAAAAGAGTATGTATCAACTAAATGATTTCCAAAACACAATTTCTTGGCACTTAGCTGTCTTTTTTTGAAATTCTTTGTAAAAGAAATTCTATTTTTAAGGGTGTCTCCCTCTCTGCATCTAAATCATTAGGAACTTTTACAATGGGGAAGACATTGGCTTGAAGTTTACATAACAAACCTTACCTTTGTATAGGTTTTTCTAAAAATTAATGTTTAATATCAAAAAAGTACACTGATGCAAAACTGAAATTTGATTTATTGTGTTAAAACAACAAGGTTTTTGTTTTAAAGTATTCATCTGCTCTTAGTAAATTATTGTGAGATCTTGTAGGTAATTGGCCTAGAAAACAATGATTCTGTTTAATCAAAATAATTTCCTATGTTTCATGTTTTCTTTATTAGGTCATTGATTACTTAGGAAAACAGACACTCATCTCTATTAAAGAGTTGAGGTTTTTGACAATTATGTTACTTCCTGTATTTTCTTTTGAAGTCTTTTAATTATCACTCTGGCTAAATGAATGACTATTATTTCACAGTGACTTGTAATCTTATTTTTGATCAAGTCTTTTGAACTTTTATTTTTGACAAACTTCCCAAAATCAAATTCAAAATTAATTTTTGACCTCAAACTAACTTTTGGACACTCCAGAAGGGCCCCTGGAAGTTCAAAAGAGAAATATTAAACCAATTAGACTTATTTGATATGTTAAATTATGTGGAAAACATTGTCAAATAAGAAATGGTGTTAAATTTTCTTTGAGTTATATTTGTATACATTACTAAGGTGTGCCACAATTGTATGAGATTTCTAGAAATCTGATGTGTTATCAAGTCATAATGTCAGTTATTATGTTAAAATGTTGTACTTTGCAGAAATAACCAAATTTTCCTGTCAATTGCATCCTTTCTATAATGGACTCTCAAAGGCTTTTAACCATTGCCACCTTAAGTCTGGTTGTCTGCAGTTAATTGCTTTATTCTGATGCCTTTCTGAAAGCTTTTTGCAGGCAACTATAATTCTAAAGTATTGTGTCTTCAAGGAGGTTTATAGAAAGAATGGAAAGAAGTCTAACAAGTATAGGCTTCCGATAACTTTGAGATACTATTGGACTGAGTAAGAAAGTCTAAAGTTCAACTGAAGAAACTGATGGGTTTGTGAAACTGCTGAGATCAAACAGAGCAAGAATTAATTACATGAAGCTGAATGAACTGATGAAGAAGAATTACGAGTTTTTACAGCTTTTTAATTTGAAGCATTGTTGGTTCATTTAATGTTTTGTTTTCCAGTTTTGTTTTGTTGTGTTTTGTTTTGTTTTGTTTTTTTGAGACAAAGTCTCCCTCTGCTGCCCACGCTGGAGTAGAGTGGTGCTGGAGTGCAGTGGTGCTATCTTGGCTCACTGTAACCTCTGCCTCCAAGCGATTCTCCTACCTCCGCCTCCTGAGTAGCTAGGACTGCAGACGTGTCACCAAACCTGGCTAATTTTTGTATTTTTAGTAGAGATGGGGTTTCACCATCTTGGCCAGGCTGGTCTTGTACTCCTGACCTCAAGTGATCCACCCACCTCGGCCTCCCAAAATGCTGGGATTACAGGCATGAGTCATTGTGCCCAGCCTGTCTTCCAGTTTTAAGGAAAGTAAGTTTTTTTTTTTTCCCTTTTAAGCTATCTATAGCTTACAGCAATTTTGTGAAGCATACTTTTGTAAACAAAAATTAGAACGTTTGCTTTTCCTTCTTACCTGATACTTCCTAAATTCAGAAGCTATTTGTGAGTATTCTTATTTTTATGGTAATATGGTTATTTGCATAACTTCAATAATAATTTGCTCTCTTTATAACAGGATACAATTAGAAACATTGGTTATACTACCAAGGCTTTGACTGGAATGTCATATTTGAGAATACGTATGGAATGTTAGGCTTCAAGAGTTCCGAGCCTTACAGTGAGTAAAAAGTCATCGCAGGTGCAGGAATCTCAATATATTGGACACTGCAGGCAAAGTCTGATGTCTGCCTTGGTTCTGCTTCCTAGTATCCAGGTTTTTCAAAGTCCCATCTGAGGCCAGGTACAGTGGTTCACACCTGTAATCCCAGCACTCTGGGAGGCCGAGATGAGCCAATCACTTGAACCCAGTTCAAGACCAGCCTGGGCAACATGGCAAAACCCGTCTCTACAAAAAAAATACAAAAATTAGCCAGTGTGGTGGCACATGCCTGTAGTCCCAGTTATTTGGGAGGCTAAGGTGGGAGGATCACTTGAGCTGGGGAGGTCAAGGCTGCAATGAGCCATGACCGCACCATTGTACTTCAGCATGGGTGAGACAGCAAGACTCTGTCTCAAAATAAATGAACAAATAAAAGTCCAATCTGAGATTCTTTGTCAAAATATGCAACAATGCAAATTTAAAAGGAGCCTATGTGGTTACTCTTGCTGCAATTATATAATTAATTATGTAAATAAGGTCAATGAGACTAAATTTATTTTGCAAACAAATTAGTTTTACTCTGTTGATCTTTGGTATAAATGGGGGTGACTATAAGACAAAAATCACATTTTAGAAGAAAGCTATAATACACCTATTATAAAACTGTGGCCCTTTTCATTGTTTTTGAGATTTTTTTTTTTTTTTTTTTTGAGACATAGTTTCGCTCTTGTTGCCCAGGCTGGAGTGCAGTGGCATGATCTCGGCTCACTGCAACCTCCGCCTCCTGGGTTCAAGCAATTCTCCTGCCTCAGCCTCCCGAGGAGCTGGGATTACAGGTGACTTCCACCACACCGGGCTAATTTTTGTATTTTTAGGAGAGATGGGGTTTCTTCATGTTGGTCAGGCTGATCTCGAGCTCCCGACCTCAGGTAATCTGCCTGCCTCAGCCTCCCAAAGTGCTGAGATTACAGGCGTGAGCCACCGCACCCAGCCCCGGCCTTGTTTTTGAGTTTTTATTATCTGTCTGTAGACTGGACTAGATTCTAACTTCTTCTAATTTTCTCCAATATCTTACAACTCTCCGACTAAAACCAAAAACTGCTCTGTTTCTGAAGTCCTATAAGGTGAAGCTGGACAACTTGATATAAATCTCAAGGGAACGTCTCATGCCCTTGATGTGTGAGCCACACAGAGTTCCCTAGAACGTGCAATGCCACAGTCAGAGACGTTCAAACTGGAAGCCAGGACAACAAGATGCTGACTTAAAGCTGTGGACAGCCTTCTCCAAGATGGCAGAAGAAGACTCCATGTCATAATGACTCTTACCCCTTTTAATTTTTTTTTACTTATGCCTGCCTCTTTCACTTGGCAGGATAATGCTGCAGTTAGAATTTCACAATCCGTATCTTCTGTGGGTAACTGGATGGAATGTTGAACCTGTCATATCAAACCTAAATAGTTACAGGACCTAACAAATCCTCTAGTCCACCTAGTGGGTAACTTCAGCAACATCCGTAACACAACTGTTTTTTCAAATTGTATTTGTGGTCTCTTTTCCAGAGGTAGCACTCTCTTTTTTAATTTAACCTACTCCTGGGAAGCTAGATGTTAGAATTGCTATGTAACAACGGAACAGGGAGGAAGCTGTGCAGTTGCTGACATTTCTCGTTGTACATAGATGAATACATCAGGTAGCGTAGAGACACGGCTGCAAAAAATCAATACACAGCCACTCAAAATGTGTAGAGGACTCACAGGCTCATTTTTTGATCTATTTGATTTTAGTTGGTTTGGTTATAGGGTTGTCTAGTCTTTTGGCTTACCTGGGCCACATTGGAAGAAGAAGAATTGTCTTGCACCACATGTAAAATACACTAATGCTAACGATAGCAGATACAAAAAAAAAACAAAAACAAAAACGCAAAAAACATCTCATAATGTTTTAAGAAAGTTTACGATTTTGATTTGGCCCAGGCTTTGAATGTGGGCCTCATTCAAAGCTGTCCTGGGCCACAGGTAGGACACACTTGGTTTATGAGGACCCTGGCTAAGGAGCATACTCCATACTCAGTATTAAACTCCTTATCGTCACAATAGTAGTCTCCTTGGTGCACTGTATCCTCTCAAAAAAGTTTTAAATGTTTGCACGCAGCCATCCACCAAATGTCAAATGATCCCTTTTCAGCTGGAATGACAAAAACTCAAAGAAATGCATTATCATGAGGATACCATAACCTGTGAGTGACACGCTGAGACTGGAAACACAGAAACTGAGAGGAGTGCTAATAGTTCTGGTCACTCTCTCACCTAGGTGACAGCCTGACAAAAGGGGGGAATTATTAAATAAAAATTAAAAGAGGCCATTGCTCTTGGACTAAGTTCCTGCTCTAGGCCCCAACAGACCAGACTAGAAATCAAAATGGAGTCACCCATGTTAAAGTTCCACATCACCAAATGGAAACTAAGTTGTTACCTGGCCTTCTGGGAAATCAGGAAAGAGAGATAACAGCCTAATTTACCAAACACGCCAATTTCAGTCTTCAGTCAGCATGATAATGAAGTTCCCCTTGCTTTAATCCTTAACTTGAAATAACCTGATATTAACCAATCCATGAGTTTTCTATTTTTTAGTCTCCCGGTCCCTGCATTACAAGGAAAGTAACTTTGAAATGACCAATTCAAGGCCGGGTGCGGTGGCTCACGCCTGTATTCCCAGCACTTTGGGAGGCAGAGGCAGGCTAATCACCTGAGGTCAGGAGTTCGAGACCAGCCTGACCAACATGCAGAAACCCCATCTCTACTAAAAATACAAAAAATTAGCTGGGCGTGGTAGCACATGCCTGTAATCCCAGCTACTTGGGAGACTGAGGCAGGAGAATCGCTTGAACCCAGGAGGCAGAGGTTGCAGTGAGCTGAGATCATGTTATTGCACTCCAGCTGGGTAACAAAAGCGAAATTCTGTCTCAAAAAAAAAAAAAATGACCAATTCAATGTTTGTTCCTTGTTTCTGTTTTCTTCAGCCCTTTTTCTGCCTATGAAGCCAATCTCCTTTGCTCAGCTCATTGGAATTAACTTATCTTTTTTTATGGAATAAAGTATTGCCTGATTCTAGAATTGCAAATAAAGCCAGTTGAGGCCTTTAAACTAGATTCGTTGTCATTTGGTCTTTTCACAGTCATCACTGGATCCCCAGCTCCAAGAACACTGCCTGGCACACAACTGTGCTATGCGCACACGTTTATCTTTATTAAAGCACCTCAGTGGGCTTGCAGAGAAAAATAACAAAGAACCGTTCTGAATTTCCATAAACATTTTACTAGCTGATAATAAGATTGTGCTCACTTTTCAGTCGGGGTTCTAAAATTAAATTAAATCTGTGACTTTTTACAAGGGTATTTCTTTAATGGCATGAAATATGTAGAAAGCAAAGAATTTTCTAGTGAAGAGGCAAGTGCAACGTCATCACACTTCACAGATATGGAAACTCAGGCCCAGAGAGGTGGAGCAGCTGTCCTGTGGCTACACATCTGAACTGGGGTTTGGACTAAGGATTCCCAGTGGCTCTTGTTCATCACTCCTGATTGCTCTCAGATTAGCTGCTCCTGCAGTCCCCAGGCGGGGAATCGAGGTGCGAGCGAGGCCTGTGTATGGCAAAGTGCAGCTGGATGGTACCACTCGGGGTAACTTGCGTCTTCTCTAGACATTTACCTGTGTTCATTTGGGGGAGCATTTCCAAGGACACAAATAGACTGATGTGGAAAAAAACCTATAACTTTTCTTAGTAGCTGAGATAACCCTGGGGATGGAGCTGCTTTAAAGGGGGCCAGGGGTCCAGGTCCCCAGGGAGGTGGGCGGCTGCCGAACAGCCTGCCAATCATGGTGGCTTCGGTTTACGGCTTCTGATCTGCTGAGTACTGAAATCTCGCCTGGGGCTGGTGTGCCTGTGGCATTGCTGGGACCAATTAAAATACAAAACAAAACAAACAAAAAAACAAAACAAAAAATGTCAGCAGAGGCTGCGAAGAGAGAGGTCAAGGAGGGACAACAGGGAGGCACAGAGATTGTGCAGTTTGTCTACTGTGTTCTCAGCCTTCCCCAAGATTTCCATAACAATGTGTCCTTGTGGGGAATGGGGCAGTCCAGGCTGACCCCAAGGGTCTAACAAAGGGACAAAACCAAGAGACAACTTTTCTGAGTCAAAGATTCTCAAATGAAATGGATCTGAATGGTAGGTGCGAGGACAGCAGGACCCGGCTCCTTGATCTTGGGAAATGTGTTAATGAGCTGGGGGTGTGCAATGAGGTTGCGCTCACACCCTCCAGCTCCAAAGGGGGTTGGGGGCTGGGAGCCTTCTGGTGGCCTGGCTCGGGCGCAGCTGCACCCTGCGTTGTGTAGGAGAGAACGCTCCATCCTGATTATGTAAATCAAAGTCCAACTGTCAACATTATGCACTAGCAAAGAATTCTCCTCTGTGATGATGTGAATTTCAATGGAGCTTCAAGGCCTCCCTCAGTGGAGGAGTGGCTTTGTTCCGTGAAAGGAGGAAAGGTAAACTCTTCATCAAAAACTCCCATGCCTCACCACGAAGAATGAAGAGACAGAAAAGCAGCTAGTGAGTGGCATGCACCTGTCTATTTCAGCAGCCTGTCATCTGTGCAGATAAGAACTCTCCTGGCCTTGGTGCTGTAAGGGATGCTAGTCACCTTACCCCCTAGCAAATGTGTGTAATCTGCACAGAAACCTGTGGGGAGAAGGAGGTGGCTGGCTGATTTTTGCCAGCACACAGACACCACCCCAGGGTAGCCTCAGTTCTGCCGTCTGTTAGACAGCTGGGTGGTCTGATGGTTCCCTAGGCATGCTGGGAGCCAGGCAGCCAGGGTGGGCACCAGGTCTCCTCCTCCCCTCCCCGCAGTCCTGGGCAACCTGCAGATGCCCTGCACAGCACACACGGCAAGAGTGCAACCCACCCGTGTCCCTCCAAGCTGCAGTGGAAGAGTGGAAGAGTGACCTCGCAGGTCTGAGAGTGGCTGGTTCATGTGAGATGCCGTGACCAACCTTTCTAAAGTGGAAAACACTCAAGTAGCCTAATAGCCAATGTCCCAGATCTACGTGGAAGGGAACTGAGGGCTGGGGAGGCCAGGCAAGAAGCAAAATCCGTGAATGGCCAGAGGGAGACTCTATTGGCTTTAGGGTGGGGGCAGGCAGGAGAAGGTGGCTTTCAGGACCCCTGAGAGTTTACCCTGGTCTCTGAGGAGCCACCGGTAGCTACTGCTGCAAGAAAACAACATCCTGGCTTAGCTGAGGGGGGCGGGTGTGTGTGTTCTCTGGCCGTGCTTAAGAAACCAAGTTTTTCAAGTATTTCAGCAACTACAAAGGGCTCTGTTTAATGCAGCATGCATAGGAACCAAAGGCTGGCCCCCTGAGCCTTTGAGGATAAACTGGGAGCTGCCTGGGTCCTTGGGGTGCATGGCTGCTATAGCTCGTCATGTGCATCTCTCTCTCTTTTTTTTTTTTTTTTTTTTTGAGACGGAGTCTTTCGCCCAGGCTGGACTGCAGTGGCGCGATCTTGGCTCACTGCAAGCTCCGCCTCCCAGGTTCACACCATTCTCCTGCCTCAGCCTCCCGAGTAGCTGGGACTACAAGCACCCGCCACCGCGCCTGGCTAATTTTTTGTATTTTTAGTAGAGACGGGGTTTCACCGTGTTAGCCAGGATGGTCTCGATCTCCTGACCTTGTGATCCGCCCGCCTTGGCCTCCCAAAGTGCTGGGATTACAGGCGTGAGCCACGGCGCCAGGCCGTGCATCTTTAAAATCCCTCTTCCATCTTGACATTCTGCCAATTTCTTCAATTCTGAAACTTGAAGATATTCTGTTGGCGAGCATTGACGATTTGGTAGTGACTTTGGGCAGCAAATTCTTTTCTTTTCTGTCTTTCTTTCTTAAATATCCTGTGCTTGCTGCATCCCCAGGCCTGGGCGGCAGAAGGAGGAGCCCATCCTCTAGCTGTGCAGGAAGTAAGGGGTAAAGCCCATTCTCCATTTCATCCTTAGGAGCTAACTCCTAATCTTGTGTTGCCCGCAGCCCTAAGTGTTCTTAAGTGTCCTCAGCCTAGCCTGGGCTCCTGAAATGGTGATGTATTTTGCATGGAAAGGGTTTCTTCTATAGGTGACTCTGGGTTAAAAGGAGGTTTCTTTCCTGCAGGACTTATCAGAGCCTTTAGTTTGCTGATGTGCATTGTGGATCTCTAACGGAGGACTCTGTGATCCCTTTGGTTTGGAGCTGGGCATGCCCTCAGGCTGGCGTTCCCAGGTGCATTTGGTGTTAGGCTATAGAGGGACCCCTTAAGAGGAGAAAAGAAGAAACTGGTCAGGCAGGCAGTTAGGGTGGCTCCTCAGTTGAATTTTTTCTTTTCCTTTTTTTTTTTTTTTTTTTTGAGATGGAGTCTTGCTCTGTCACCCAGGCTGGCGTGCAGTAGTGCGATCTCAGCTCACTGCAATCTCTGCCTCCCGGATTCAAGTGATTCTTCGGCTTCAGCCTCCCAAGTAGGTGGGATTATAGGCATGCGCACCACGCCCAGAAAATTTTTGTATTTTTAGCAGAGATGGGGTTTCACCATGTTGGCCGGGCTGGTCTCAAACTCCTGACCTCGTGATCCACCCGCCTCAGCCTCCCAAAGTGCTGGGATTATAGGCATGAGCCACTGCACTTGGCGGTTGAATACTTTCGAACAAAAGAACAGCCAGCAGGCACAGATATGGGAACTTGCACAGGGGAGTTGCCTAAGACATGCCCACAGCTACACAGGTAAGAAAGTCTACACAGGTGACTTGCCCAGACATGCCTGCCATGGAAAATTTCATCCCCTGACACATGCGCAGTAAGGGGAACAAAGCAATATGGAGTATCTCAAGCCAAGAGTCCACATGCGCATTAGGAGGACAGGGTGAAGCTACCCGAAATTCACACCCTATGCAAATAAGATGCCCAGCCCACATTGGTTTCTTGTAAAAGCGTTTGCATTCAACTGCAAAAACAGCAACCCATTCGGCCCCCTCTCTGTGGCTGAGAGCTTTCTTCTTTTGCTTGTTAAACTTTCCCTCCAACCTCACCCTTTATGTCAGGCTCCTTAATCCTGTTGATCCTGAGACAAAAAACTCCAGGCGATACCTCACAATGAGAGACTGCGACATTGTGGTGCATTGGCAAGACTCTAACACTCTGGTGAGGGTTGAAGCAGGGTAATACCTCAGTTGTTTACCGTCACTCCCAACTGGTCGGAGATTTTTACTCAAGTCTAAGACCCCTCTCCCTCACTCTCAGGCCAACTAAACAAAGCGGCCAAGTGTTTTATACCCTCCTGGCCAGAGTCCTCCCTGGAGTTCACAGGGCTGCCTTCTGCCCAGCACCCACTCCTGCCAAGGGTATCCCCTTGTCTCTCATAGCCTGGAGGGTGGCCTGCCCAGGGCCACACAGCTCCTTGGCACAGGCCCCCTTGCTGAGCAGCTACCCTACAGAAGGTCTCCAGGCTGTGCTGGCAATTCAGTGGGCATGGGGTGCTCTGGCCAGGGTTTGGTGTGGGGCAGCTGCCAGCCCCATCCAGCCCAGTGGTGCTTCTTGGCCCTGGCTGGACCCAGTGTACCATAAACTCCGTACACCTTCTTAGACATCACTGGTTCCCTCCCTGTCCCACATCCTCCTCCAGCCCTGCTGGGACTGTCTCCCTCACCTCTGACCTCACATCTCCCTCACACTGTCTTCTCTGGCTCTCCAGGGATCAATGTCCATTTGGCAAATGACCCTGGTCCTGGCCCATTCCCTGTCCTCCCACCTCCTGGCCTTGGCTGAGGCCTTTGCCCCTCAGTGTGCAGGAACCAGGCAAGTGCCCTTTTTGCCATCCCACTAAAAGTAGAGGATACAGAAGAACAAGGAATCCAAGAGAACGAGGTACTGGACTTGGACCTCCCTGGTAGGTGGCGGTGACTCCAGCAAGCTCTAGAGAGGGGGCTGGACATGTTGTCCCTAGGAAGACCTGCTGTCACATGGCTGAATGGAGTACTTACTGGCCAGCTGGCCTGCTCTCAAGCTTGGGGTCCTCTATAGCACACCCTACCCCAACTCAAGGGTCCTTGAACCCATCACTCAGGCCCTGGGCCCCATCCCTCAAGGGCAGTTGCCTGCAGAACTCTGCTCAGGCATGGGCATGGATTAGTGCCTGGGTCTGAAGTGCCCCCCAACCCTCTATGGGCACAGATGTGGGACCACCTGCCCAGCTTGGAGGCTGGTGAATCAGGCATGTCTCCGCTTCAGGAGTTCTCCCAGGACTGGGTTCAAAAGGTGTCTTCAGCAGCCCTGGGCACTGCTGCCCTGGAAGATGCTCCTGTGGAAGTGGCCCACTGCAGGGCCTTGGACAAAGTGGACCCCTGACTGAGGCTGTGAACTAAAAACAAAATTCTAAGCACCCCCAACCATCTGAATGGACCCCTCCTTTCAGCCAAGGACATTCCAAAGTTAACCTGAAAAACTAGTTCAGGCCATGACGGGAAGCAGGGGATTTGGACATGCCTCAGCATACCCTCCTTCTTTTGGAATTTAGGCACAACTGACCAGCATTGACATTAAAACAGAGACTACGTGTGTGTGAGACAGGGTCTGGCTCTGTTACCCAGACTACAGTGTTGTGGTGCGATCATGGCTCGCTGCAGCCTTGACCTACCAAGATTAAGTGATCCTCCCACCTCAGCCTCCCAAGTAGCTGGGACCACAGGCACACACCACCACATCTGGTAATTTTAAAATTTTCTTGTAGAGACAGGGTCTCACTATGTTGCCCAGGCTGGTCTTGAACTCCTAGGCTCAAGTGATCCTCTTGCCTCAGCCTCCTAAAGTGTTGGGATTACAGGCATGAGCCACTGCACCCAGCCTAAAACAGAGATCTCAAGGCCTTTGTAGCAATAAGACACTAAATTCCAGGCTGACTCTAGTATAGCATCATGACAGATAGCAGGCCCTGAAAGAACTCAAAGTATTTTACCCTAAAATATATTTCTTTGACATATTTTGGAATGGTCCTTTACAGCTGTCTGTTGTGGGGAAAATCTACATTCTGTAGAGAATCCCTTTCCCTTTCCAGGTCTTTTCCCTGATACAGGAAAGAATTAACTAAGAGTCTGGCACCTTTTTATGTCTGATAAGAAACATTTACAATCTATTCTCTCTGAAGCTGTCCACCTGGAGGCTTCATCTGCATAATAAGAACCTTGGTCTCCCAACTCTTATTTTAACCCAGACACTCCTTTCTATGGATTTCAGGTCTTTATTTTTTAGATGGAGTCTCACTTTGCCGCCTAGGCTGTAGTACAGTGGTGTGATCTTGGCTCACTGCAACCTCCGCCTCCCAGGTTCAAGCAATTCTCTTGTCTCACCCTCTTGAGTAGTGGGGATTACAGGAACCTGCCACCATGCCTAGCTAATTTTTGCATTTTTAGTAGAGACAGGGTTTCACCATGTTGGCCAGGCTGTCTCGAAATCCTAACCTCAGGCAATCCACCCACCTCAGCCTCCCAAAGTTCTGGGACTACAGGTGTGAGCCACCGTGTCTGGCCAGATTCCAGGTCTTTAGATGAACTCTTTCAACCAATCGCCAGTCAGAAAATCTGTGAATCCACTTATCATCTGGAAGCCTCCCCTCCCCGCCCTTCAAGATTTTCTGCTTTTCCAGGCTGAGCCAACAACAGTGTGAGCCACATGTTGTCAGGAGCTCCTGAGCCTGTGTCACGGGCATGTTATTGAAAACATCGACAAGTCTCAAACTGATTGAGACTTGTCTCAGATACTTTTTGGTTCACAAGGTCCCTTGGACAAGGCTTCCACCGTTGAGATTCTTTCTCAGCTGGAGAGAGGACCAGAGTCCTGCTTCCCAGGACTGGGGAGAGGATTGAATGGGATGTGTGGAGTCTCTTGGACCCCAGTACTCAAAGTGTGTTCCAAGCATGGGCTGCAAACTGTTGGCTACTGGCCATACCCAGAGGGTTCAGAAACGACAGCCTACATTTAGACCTAATTTTAGCAGTTTGAAAGAATCAATGTCTGTCTACGGAATTTAACAATTAAAGAAAACTTAGGGCTTGGATTTTGCATGTCATTTTAAAATTTCATTTTTTGGCAATTCATTTTTATTGCCTTGTATGAAAGTACAGGTCTTCAATGGATTGAAAAATTTAGCAAGACAGCAATGAGCCCTTTGTCACAGACAGATTTTGGGTTTTATTCTTTGTATGATGTGAAGCCATAGAGAGATGGGTGAGGGTGGCATGGGGTGTGTTACATTCAAGGCCTCTGATGAGGACTGGGGAACAGAGGAGGTTTTCTGGGTCTCCTCCTTCTGTGAGACAGGAATTGTTTTGAATCTGAAACTGCCTTTGCAAAATTATGACTAAGACAGTGAAAGAGATCTAACTTAATCAACTCCATCTTGCTTCTAACCTCTAAGCTGTCCTTGATCATTCCTGGGCGCAGGCTGAACTAACTTTCGGATAAACTTAGTTTATAATTTATAGTTTAAACAAAGACTATAACAGCCCTTTCCCAAAGCCGACCTCCTTCTTGCCGGGGGACTAGACTGCCTTTGTAGGACTAACATTAGCCACAAGATTAGAAATTACGGTTTAGGAGTCAGGCAGCTGGAGGCTACAAGATTCTGACCCTCCCTAAACTGCTCCTAAGAGCAGTGCTTGAGATATTTTGCAGAACCTGCACTTGATGGATCTGCTGGTACCACCCAGATCAATACACTGGCTCATCTGATCTTGTGACCCCCACCCAGGAACTGACTGAAAACAGGATGACAGGTCTGACTCCCTGTGATTTCATCCTTGACCAATCAGTACTCCTGGCTCACTGGCTTCCCCCCACCCACCAAGTTATCCATAAAAGCTCTGCTCCCCGAATGCTCAGGGAGATTGATTTGAGTAATAATCCGTGTGAATTATTCTTTCTCTTTGCAATTCCCCTGTCTCCATGAATTGGCTCTGTTTAAGCAGCAGGCAAGGTGAACCCCTTGGGTGGTTACAAATTTCCATGTGGAATTCTGCATCCAAGCAGATTCCAAACACAGCCTATGTGAGCGTACATGAAACTTCCCTGGGTTCCAGCAACACTCTCTGGGAAATGGAGGTGCTGTAGCCTCAAAGGGAGCCAAGCGTGGTCCTAGTGCTTCGGGCCCAGGGAGAGGTGAGAGCTGCTGTCCCCTGAGCCGGGGGCGTGCCTGCTACTCAGTTGCTCTGAAGAGTGGGAGACTGCAGTGGGGGAGCTTGGTGAAGGAGGCTCCTGCCTGCAGCTCCAACCACACATGGTTAGACAAGGAAGCTCAGATAACCAAGGGGAGTTTGCAGAAGTTCTTCTTAGCTCCACTCTATCACCTGTTTGTGCCTTAGGCAGGCACAAACCGTTGAGGCTGTGCTCCTCAGCTTCACCCTCACTCTTCCTGTGGCTCGCTTGCGAAGTATCAAAACATGTTTAAATTGTGAAAACATTTAATTCAAAATTAAATTTCAAAATCATAGACAAGACTGATATAACAGACAAGTGAAGACCCACAATTCTGTTTTACAGATGTTGTGACTTTACATGTGTACTTATATATATTTTTCTCTCTTAAAAGGAGGGAAGGAAGAAGGGAGAAAGGGAGGGGGAGAGAGAGAGAGAATGAACATTACTGAGGACTAAACTCTGACCTTTTTTCTCTCTTGCCCAAATTCCTATCTAAGGGACTGGGGAGTCATGCCTTACAGACCATAAAATCTCATCAGTTGGGTTTCATTTAACTGTATATAATGTGACTTACTTTCCAACCTGACTATGGCATAACATCACATGACAGATAAAGAAGGAAATCGGCCAGGTGCAGTGGCTCACACCTGTAATCCCAGCGCTTTGGGAGGCCAAGGCAGGTGGATCACTTGAGATCAGGAGTTGAAGACCAGCCTGGCCAACATGGTGAAACCCCGTCTCTACTAAAAATACAAAAATTAGCCAGGCATGGTGGTGGGCACCTGTAATCCCAGCTACTCTGGAGGCTGAGGCACAAGAATCAGTTGAACCTGGGAGGCGGAGGTTGTAGTGAGTCGAGATTGTACCACTGCACTCCAGGCTGGGTGACAGAGCGAGACCTCTGTCAAAAAAAAAAAAAAAAAAAAAAAAAAAAGGAAATCAAAATATTTTACCCCAGAATATGTTTCTTTGCCATATTTTGAAATGGCCCGCCATCTTTTGTGGGGGAAAATTTGCAGCTGTAAAGAGTTCTATTAACATAATAGAGCTTTCCCCTTCTAGGCCCTCCCACTGCTGAAGAGATTAGCTGAGAGTCTAGCACCTTTTAAAGACCTGAACAGGAAACATTTGCCATCTATTGTCTCTAAGGGTGGCCACCTAAGAGACATCATCTACATAATAAGAACTTTGAACTTCACAACTCCTTATCTTAACCCAGACACTTCTTTCTATTGATTCCAGGTTTTTGATAATAACTCTTTCAACCAATTGCCAACCAGAAAACCTTTGTATCCACCTATGTGACCTGTGGGCCACCCTCCCCACAATATGTCCCCATTTCCAGGCCGAACCAGTGTATACCTCACATGTATTGACTGATCTTTTACGTCTCCCTATAATGTATAAAGCCAAGCTCTAACCCAGTGCCTGGGCGCATGTTCTCGGGACCTCTTGAGACTGTGCCTTGGGCCATGATCATTCATATTTGGCTCAGAATAAATGTCTTTAAATGTTTCACAGAGTTTGACTATTTTTGTCAACATTATAGATACAGCTAACCATCTCCACTTTGAAGAGATGTATGTATTTATTTTGGATTTCCCTTGTTTTAGATTTTTCTATAAATAGTGTACTTACATTTATTTTTTTTTTTTTTGAGATAGGGTCTCACTCTGTTGCCCAGGCTAGAGTGCAGCTCGCTGCATCCTTGACCTCCTTGGGCTCAAGTAGTCCTCCCACCTCAGCCTCCTAATACCTGGGACTACAGGTGCACTCCACCACACCTGGTTAATTTTTTGTATTTTTCATAGAGATGGGGCTTCACCATGTTGCCCAGACTCGTCTCAAACTCCTGGACTCAAGCAATCTGCCCGCTTTGGCCTCCCAAAGTGCTGGGATTACAAGTGTGAGCCACCACGCCTGGCTAGTGGCTTATTTTTTAATCCAGCAGTATGTTCTGAGGTTTATCCATGTTGATACAGGTGGCTTGGTTCATTTGTTTTAAGTGCTGTGTAGTATTTCATTATGTGAATAAACAAAAGCTTACCTATACTGTTTTGAATGAACTGTTTGTTGTTTCTGGTCTTCTACAGCATGAATGTGAATGTGAGCATTTTTGCACATTTCCTTGTACACATATGCTAGAATTTGTCTAAGGCAGATGGGTACAATTGCTGGGCTATCCTATTATTAATCGTATTTAGGATCTTGAACTTTGACTCTTGACTTTATGTGTCTTTTAGCAACAACAAAAAAAATGTAGACAGGGATAAAAGTGCAAGGCAGAATCTCATTTTTCTTCTCCTGCATGAGTACTTGGAGGTCTTTCCTGGAAGAGGGACTGTTTTGGCCAGTGGGGCCTCCAAGCAGCAGGCTGCTGAGGGATGGAGCTCAAGGGTCCCCAGTGTCCCCAGGGATTTGCTCACTGCCTCAGGATTCCACGCTGTGCACCCCAGTTGGTCTAAGACCAAGGGAAGAGCTTCAGAGCTGGGAAGAGCTGGCCAGCCAAGGACAAAGGGTCAGATCTGCCTTGTACAAATAGAGGGCCAGGCGAGATGACCCTGGAAGACTCGTACATAGTGCAGTTTGTGTTTGTTTTTCCCACAGGGCAGCTGGTGTGTTTCAACAAACACGGTGCAGAGGGGTGCTGCTTTCGATTAGGAAACCGGGAACCGACACTGAGCTGCTGCGTCAATGAAGGGCCTAGTGTGCAACGAGATAGAATGAAAACAGCCCACTGTATGCTCATGTGATTTCACGGCTGTTTCCTAGTACTTCTTTAAGAATGGCTTCCTTAAAGCCAGAGGTATTGTCTTTCATTCTTCCACCAATAATTTTACTTCTTAAGTGAGGGCTTTTATAAATAGGCCTTAGGGCAAACTGTGCCATCAAGGTTCTTAACTCCTACAAGTTTTTGTAGGAGTTTGGCATGCACCACTGTTACAGGACAGGGGTCCAGATCCAGACCCCAAGAAAGGGTGCTTGGATCTCGTGCAAGAAAGATTTCAGGGTGAGTCCACAGTGCAAAGTAAAAGCAAGTTTATTAAGAGAGTAAAGTAGGCTGGGCTCGGTGGCTCACGCCTGTAATCCCAGCACTTTAGGAGGCCGGAGCGGGCAGATCACGAGGTCAGGAGATTGAGACCATCCTGGCTAACACAGTGAAATGCTGTCTCTACTAAAAATACAAAAAATTATCCGGGTGTGGTGGCAGGTGCCTGTAGTCCCAACTACTTGGGAGGCTGAGGCAGGAGAATCGCTTGAACCCGGGAGGTGGAGGTTGCAGTGAACTGAGATCGCGCCACTGCACTCCAGCCTGGGCGACAGAGTGAGACTCCATCTCAAAAAAAAAAAAAAAAAAAAGAGTAAAGTAGTGAAAGAACAGCAGAACAGCTACTCCATAGACAGAGTAGGACGTTCCCAAAAGTAAGAGGAGGAACACGTCCACCCTAGGTGTGATACTCATATATACGGAGAGATGTGTTCTGCTACAAGGGTTTGTGATAAAGGATTTATTTTCTTAATTATTATATTTTGCAGGAATCAATATTATCATCTTTAAAGCAAAATTAGGAATCCCTTTGTTCTCCAGATATCCAGATATCTGGACACTCCCAAGTCTGGGTCTGTTTAGTAAACATTATTAATTTGTTGCCATAACTGTAAACATCTAGAGACGAGGAATGCCTAACTTTCTGAGAATGCAGCCCAGCAAGTCCCAGCCCCATTTCCCCAGCCCTCACTCAAATGGAGTCGCTCTGGTTCAAACACCTTTGACCCCACCACAGCATGGGATCACCTCAGATAGGGGGAGGAGGTCACCTTCGTCCTTGGGCTTGAAGTAATGCAGTGTGAGGTCCTGTAGGAATGGCTGTGCGTGTGCGGGTATAAAGGAGGTGCTGTTTTTCAGTCTGGACCAAAATCGAAGTGATTCTCCCCTCCTCCCCTTTTGCTGAATTCCCTGCTCCCAGACCCTACCCATTGCAATTTCAAGGCACCAAACATACAGCAATACACTGGGCACAGGTGAACAGGTGACATCAAATTCAAGAACAACAAAAGCCTGTTCCTTTTCAGAGCTTATCAGCAAGAACAGTGTGGGCCAGCTTTGTGCTGGGGAGGAGGAGGTCACGTGGAGCCACCTGGCCCGGGCTGCACGGCCAGTGGCATGTCTCTTGTTTCTGCCAAATGCAGCAGTGCATTTGCGAATGTGAACTTACACAAGAACATGGGTATGTGCTGTCTCTAAAAATAATGCTGACTCTCACACATGCGCACAAAAGCAGATATATGCGCCTGTCCCCCACTGAGCCCCAAGGATGGATCTTTCCCATTTTGGAATGGAGGCGAGCTTTAACTCTTTATTGTTATTATTTTTTAAAGAGCCTTTTATTTTTTCTATTTGCATTTTCAGGTTCATGAGATGTCAGAGACTTGCAAACACCTGGTTCAACATCTGCTTCTGCCCCATTTTATGGACGGGGAGACTGCAGCCTGGTGAGCTGGGTATGGATGGGAAGCAGTTCCCGCCTAGGGCTCTGTTTTTAGCCCAGATAAATAACCTCTCTGAGTGTGGTCACCTGGCTCACACTGCTTCAGCGGCTCCGTTCCCAGCTCTGGGGTACTGGTGGGCATGTCGTGGGTGCTCAGTAAGTGCCAGCTGGGGGGCTGTATCCTCCCCAGCCCACACAAGGGCTGCACCTACTGCCGCTCTGCCAGCTCCCTTGCTGCCTCCCCCCACCCTTCTGTGCACAATGGGCAGCCCCCTGGAAGAAGCAGAGATCCCCACTGAGCCCTCAGGGCATGCAAGTGGTGTCCAGAGGCTTCCGGTGTGGTCTGGGCTTGCCTCCCACTGCATGCGAGGGGCAGTCAGGGAGTTAGGATGAGGTGGTGGCCTGCCCAGTCTCCTTGGGCTCAAGTGGTCCTTTAAGGCAGCCCTGGGTGCTCAGTTCCCAGGCTGGCTCAGAGTCACCTAGGAAAAGCACACCTAAGATTCAAATCAGCATGTGCTGTGGGAGGTCCTGTCTGGGGTTCCTGGGAGAGGCCGTTCCCCACAGCTGGTGCCTAGTCCTGGGAGCCTCTTGCCCTCCCAGGTTCTCACTTAGGGCCCCTCTGGCCCTCCCTCCTGTTAGATGCTGCTGCCTGCTTTCCTCTGCCAGACCCCATCCCCTAAGGGCGAGGCCCAAGCCTGAGTCATCCCTGGGTCCCCATGGCCCACACAAACATCTGATGCAGAACAGAGGGTGAGCTTGAGTCCAGCAGAGAGAACTAAGGGGCACCACCCTCGTGGGGAAAGCAAGAGATGCAAAACTCCGCAACTGCTGACTCTGGAATGGTGAAAGGATTTGTGCCACTCAGACGCCTCCCGGGTTTGCCACAGCCACTCGAAGGTGGGAGCAACTGAGACCACAGGCGTTGGACACCATGGCAGGAAACATAGGGCACCTTCTGAGAAGGGACCCTGACGTGAGAGCTCTGAACACCCCATGCCCCATGCCCACCCAGCACAGTTTGGGAGGACAGGACCCGCTGGGCCAGCACTCTGAGATGACAGAGCTGGAGACCAGTGCCCCTCTGCCCTTCCGCCCAGCTGCCCGCAGGCCACTGGCAAAGCTCACTCACCTTCTGCGACCCTGATGTGGAGCTCTTGAGCGAGCCCCGCTTGAAGGAGCTCATCTCTCTCAGTGAGCCTGTGAGCCACCCTGCTGACTCCCTCGGGTGGCCAGGCCAGTGGCACAGGGGCTGCCCTCCCTGGGTGGGCAGGAGCGGAGCCACACACTCGGCGGCAGCCCCACACTCGGCGGCAGCCCCACGCACTGGGCGAGGGGGCCGAGATCCTGGGGCGAGGCCGGCCGGAGGCTGGTTCAGCCTAGGAGGAGCATGTGCTGGCTTTTGGTGGCCCCTCCTGCCCGACTCCTGCTACCACCCCCAACATCTGTAATCAGGCTTAATCCCTCCATCCCCAAAAGGTTTAGAGGGAAGAGATTTAGCAAATGGAGATTGAAAGTAAATCTACTTTGAGAAAGTGGTGGCTGCAAAGGGTGGTCAAATGGGAAGGATTTGGGCGTCTGGAAAGGCGCATTGCGAGGGCAGACAGCCCCTTGCTGCTGGCATCTGAGGCCCCTTGGAGGGTGGCATCCAGATCCCAGAGGCCCGGTGCCCACCTGGCCAACCGCCTGAGTCTCAGAGAAGAATTTGCATCCAGGCCCAGGCTGTGGGTCTCAGCTCTCTCCTTGGAGCTGCCAGTGCGCATTTTCGCCCCGTTAATCTGGCAGCGACACAGCAAGCCTTCTTCTGAAGATCCTGTGGCCGGTGGCCCGTCTGTTCTGTGCTGCTCTGTGTGTGGGGCTCTCTGTGTCATTTCTGATTTCAGGGGTGCCTGTCTTGCCCCTTTTAAAGGCAGATGGGGTCATGGGTCTTTGCAGCACAAGCCTGGCCTGAAGTGTACCACCCTTGCTGCCGACCCTCCTCTGTCTCTTACAGGCACATGCATGTCACCTCCCACATGCAAGGGAACAGACTGGAGCTCAGAGAGAACAGGCCATGTATTCCCATCGTCTTAGATAGATTTTTATCTAAGGACCAGCAAGCTGAAAATAAAATAATAGAAGGCTGTGGAGCCCTCATAGCTGTGAGGCCAGGACCCACCACCTCCTCTGGGAGGCCTGTCGGCTGTGGAAGTTTGGAGGGTGGAGGCATGACCTCCACCTCTTGGGGTCTGGCTTACAACCAACACATCTCTTATGGTGCGGGGCCGGCCCTCTGTTCCCCTCTATCTCTCACACCCCTGAAGTGAATTCAACTGATATATTTTGAGCTGGTACTATGGGCCACATATTGTATACATCAAGTGCTAGGGATACATCTGGGAACAGCAGGGGAGAGTCCCTGCCTTCCTGGAACTGACCTTATCATGGGGAGGCAGATGCCTCGAGCAATAAACTATATAGCATGCCAGAGGGTGTAAGAGCCAGGCAGGGAAAGAAAGCAGAGAGAAAGGCCGGGCTGGGGGCGGTGGCAATTTTAAATAGGAAAGGTCTCTGAGGACCATCCTGGCTAACACGGTGAAACCCCGTCTGTACTAAAAAACAAAAAATTAGCCAGGCGTGGTGGCGGGCACCTGTAGTCCCAGCTACTCGGGAAGCTGAGGCAGGAGAATGGCGTAAACCCGGGAGGCGGAGCTTGCAGTGAGCCGAGATCGTGCCACTGCACTCCAGCCTGGGTGACAGAGTGAGACTCCGTCTCAAAAAAAAAAAAGAAAAAGGAAAGGTCTCTGAGAAGATGGCTTTTGAACAGAGACTGGGAGCAGGTGGCTGGTGAAGGAGCCCACTGGGCAGGGATGTGGGAGGAGGATTTCCAGGCAGAGGCAGCAGCCAAAGGCCTTGACTCTGGAGCCTGGCTGACATATTCAAGGAAGACCAAGAAGGCACAGGCGGCTGGGAGAGGGGATGCAGGGATGAGGGCAGCTGCAGAGGCAATAGTGCAGGACCTGGGAGCCATTCTAAGCACCTTGGGGTTCGTTTCTGATTATGATCTGATGTGCAGTTTGAAGGGACCACCGTGGTTCTTAAGGTGCACTAGCCAGCGGGTCCAGGGCTGCAGTGGGAACCTTGACAACCTGGAACAGGGTGGGGGCAGAGGAGTGATGGGTGGAGGTCTGACTCTTGAGAGTGTTGGAGGGTGGAGTCAAGAGGATGTGCAGGAGGGTCAGATGTGGGATGTGTGAGGAGGACAGACATCAGGAAGCTGCAAGGCTTTGGGCCGGGACTGCCCGAAAGATGGGGTCACCTGAGGTGACATGGAGAAGGCTGTGGATGGGGTGGGCTTGGGGGAGGGGCCACGCCTTCTGTGTTGCTAAACATAATGGCTTTTTCCAGTCCTAATTTTCTGAGGCCTCGCAGAGGATTGGATGCAGCCGATGCCTCATCCTCAGGCCGTCCCAGTTTGCCTCCTTGTCCTCAGGCAAATCCTCAGCACCCTGCGTGGTCTGACATCTTGCGTCTAACTGGAATTGTTACATTCCTTGAGGCTCTGTGCAAGCCCTCCTTTCCTCTCACTGGACCCTGGGTGACCTCCCCCTCCCTGTCAGCTCCGTTACCATGGGCACCCTCCTGCCCTGACCACCCATCCGGGGCTCTCTGCACCTCGTACTGGGCTTCCAAGCTGGCTCCCCATCGAAGAACCCGCCTCAAATGCAGCACTTCCCCACCACTCTCTGGTCCACTTCTTGCCCTGGTCTTCCTCTAGGTTTCCTGTCTCAGTGATGGCTACCCCATCAGCAAGACAGGAAGCCTTCATGCTCTGGGACTCCATGTCCTAGCCACCTCTGTACTGTGGTCTCCCAGACAGCTGTCTACACCTATGCAAAAAAGGGTAACTTTAAAAAATGCAGATCTGGTCAGGTAATGTTCCTGCTCAAAGCCCCTCAGAGCTCAGGACTGACTCAGATCCTCACCTGCCTCTAAGATGCTGCCTTTGCCCGCCTCCCTGCCGTGGCATCCTTTGCCCTTCTCCCCTGCCATGCTCCTTGGGCAGCACAGCGTTCTCTTGTCCTCAGCAGTACTGAGATGCTGGCCATGGCATGTGTGTGTAACGTTACTTGGCTAACCTGTGCCTCCTATCTCTGGGCCTCCTGGCACCTGTCCTGGATCTGTTGGGCTCACCAGTTCTATCATTTCTTTGAGTTTCAGAGCATTGCAAAAGTATGGAAATGCTCCAAACTTGTCTTATGAAGCTAGTACAATCCTAACACCAAAGCCAGATCAGGAGAGGTCACCTTAGACCAGTTCACTGGTGAAAACAGACACAAAACTTAGAAAGAATACAGTAACGGCCGGGCACAGTGGCTCACCCCTGAAATCCCAGCACTTTGGGAGGCCAAGGCAGGGGGATCACTTGAGGTCAGGAGCTCGAGACCAGCCTGTAATCCCAGCTGCTCCAGAGGCTGAGGCAGGAGAATTGCTTAAACTTGGGAGGCAGAGGTTGCAGTGAGCAGAGATCATGCAACTGCCCTCCAACCTGGGTGACAAAGTGAGACTCCATCTGAAAAAGAAAAAAAAAAAAAGAATATGGGAACAAGTTGAATCTAGTGCAGTTCTAAAAGAACAAGACCACATGACCAGCACAGGCAACAGGCATACCTTATTCTCAGGAATGCAAGGATGACTCAACACTGGAAAATCCATTCACGTAATTAAGCATATTAACAGATTAATGAAGAAATGCCCTGTGATCATCTCAATAGCTGCCAAAACCATATGGTCCATCTCAGTAGAGCCAAAAAAAAAAAAAAAAAAAAACAAAAAAAAAACCACACAAGAAAAAGAAGTCTAAACCAAAAACAAACAAAACCCCAAAATATTTGACATTTAGAAACAATTCCTTATTAAAATAGAAACAAACAAAAACTCTCAGCAACCTAAGAATACAAGGAAACTTCTGTAACTTGATGGCAGATACCTCCTAGAGGCATCCTGCAGGCATCCATGATAATTGGTGAAATATTAGAAACAGTTTCATAAAGATCAAGGACAGAATAAAGCCTGCTGTCTCCATAGTTTTATTCAACATTTTCCTGGAGGTTCTAACCAATGCAGAAATATAGTAAGACAAGAAAAAGAGGCCAGGCGCAGTGGCTTACGCCTGTAATCCCAGCACTTTGGGAGGCTGAGGTGGGCGGATCACCTGAGGTCAGGAGTTTGAGACCAGCCTAACCAACATGGAGAAACCCCGTCTCTACTAAAAAATACAAAATTAGCCGGGCGTGGTGGCACATACCTGTAATCCCAGCTACTCGGGAGGCTGAGGCAGGAGAATTGCTTGAACCTGGGAGGCGGAGGTTGTGGTGAGTCAAGATTGTGCCATTGCACTCCAGCCTGGGCGGCAACAAGAGTGAAACTCCATCTCAAAAAAAAAAAAAAAAAAAAAAAAAAAAGAAAGAAAGAAAGAAAAAGAGAGAAGTAGTATGAACATTGAGAAGGAATAGAAAAAAATATATATCTGCCCATAAAAAGCCAGGAAAACTAGCAAGCAAACTATTCAAATTAAGAAGAGGATTCAGTAAGATTGCCAGATACTAGGTCGACAGGAATAAAATAACAGGTTTTCTGTCCTCAAGCATAGTCAATTAGAAAATAGTTCCAATCATATTGCAAAAGAAACAGTAAAACACTTAGTAACAAGCCTAGAAAGAAGTGTGTAAAGTCTATAGGAAGAAAACAATAAAATTTTACTGAAGAACATAAAAGGAGATCTTGACAAAAAATATATTTTCTTTTCTTTTCTTTCTTTTCTTCTTCTTTTTTTTTTTTTTTTTTTTTGAGATGGAGTCTCACTCTGTTGCCCAGGCTGGAGTTACAGTGGCACGATCTCGGCTCACTGCAACCTCTGCCTCCCAGGTTCAAGTGATTCTCCTGCCTCAGCCTCCCGAGTAGCTGGGACTACAGCCACGCACCACCACCCCAGCTAATTTTTGTATTTTTAGTAGAGACGGGGTTTCACCATGTTGGCAGGATGGTCTCGATCTCTTGGCCTTGTGATCCGCCCGCCTCGGCCTCCCAAAATGCTGGGGTTACAGGCGTAAGCCACCACGCCTGGCCGACAAAATATATATTTTCATTCATTGCTGGAATATTTTTAAGAAATCAATCTCACAATAGCTATTAAAGTATACATACTCTTACTAGCAATTCCTATCCTGGGAATTCATTCCTTAAAAATTAAAACTGTGATATGTAAAAATATACTTTCAAGGATGTTAACTTATCTGTAAACTGTATGCCATACTGACAACATTACTCTCAGTATTTTCAATGATTGTTTATAGTGGCAAAAAAATCCCCACAAAACTGGAAACAAAGTCAGTGCCCTTCAAAGGAAAAATAGTAGAATAAATTGTGGTGCATGCACACCATGGAATAATATATAACCATTTAAAACAGTTGGTTCTATGCCAGTTGACGTGGAAGGATTTCCATAATATATTTTTATGGAAACCGAGAAGCAAGATGCAGATAGGTATAGAAAGTGTATATAGTATGATGTAATATTTTTGTAAAACAAAACATATATATATATATATATATATATAGATGTTACATCTATCTGTATTGATATCTTTTTTCTTTTTTGAGATGGAGTCTCGCTCTGTTGCCCAGGGTGGAGTGCAGTGGCGCAATCTCAGCTCGCTACAGCCTCCGCCTCCCGGTTCAAGTGATTCTCCTGCCTCAGCCTCCCGACTAGATGGGACTACAGGTGTGTGCCACCACACCTGGCTGGTTTTTCTATTTTTAGTAGAGACGGGGTTTCACCATGCTGGTCTCGAACTCCTGACCTCAGGTGATCCACCCGCCTCAGCCTCCCAAAGTGCTGGGATTACAGGCGTGAACCACTGCACCCATGAACATGTATAATAAAAACGTATTACACATGTTTACAAAGAGATTACATCTATCAGTCAATCAATTTATCTTCTAACCTATGGTGTGTTTATTTGAACGTTGAGAAAAGTATAGATGGATATATAGTAAATCTATGTTTTAATTCCAGTTTTAAAAATGTTTATTTTATGTATATTTTATTTTTAGAAAAAATACAAATTAAAAATTAAAGACATGCTCTCTCTATTTTGCCCAGCCCAGTCTCGAACTCCTGGGCTCAAGTGATCCTCCTGCCTTGGCTGCCCAAAGTGCTGGGATTGCAGTACGAGCCACCTCACTCGGCCAATTCTAGTTTTAACGTTTAGCAAAATGATACACATGTGCTGAACAGTTATACGACCCACAATAAAACTTAACCTCTGCCTTACCTTTTCCCCCTTCATCTCCTGTTCATTGAGATAATCATTTTCAATTCACTTATCTGTTTTTTTGGTATTTACCTCCAGATTCTAAATAACATACATTTAATATTATTTCTTAGTTTTTCAATTGTAGACTTTATAATTGACTTTTTATTAAGGAAGGTAAATATATAGATATTGTAGCCCTCACCACTCCCACCAACCACACTTCCTTTCCTGCAGTCTTCATGGGGTGATGTCATAGTTCTGGAGTAAATTAATATTTGGTGTTCTCTTTACTATGGAATAATTTACTTATAGTTCATATAGCGTTTGTATAGTTTCCCTTCACCTTTTAATTTTGCCTGAAGTTGATACTTGCTGAGTTTTCCTTCATTTAATTAGTTTTGTTTTTATTATTAACTTATCTCTAAACTCTATTCCAGACCTGTAACATAACTCTGAATATTGTCAAATTGGTGACACATGCATTCCATTTTCTTCTTGGAACCAACCTGCTTCTATCTGGCTGCTCTCTAGGTTGGCTCCAACCATATCACTCTAGCTTGGGATGGAGCTGGGAGTTTCCCTCCCTTCCCCGACCTGACTCTTCCCCCAACCCCATCCCAGTCTCCCTGGGGTCACTGGGGCCTTTTCACCAACTCACCTGGAAGCTTTCTCCCTGCCCTCTGTTTCCCTGAATTACTGACAAAGAAAGGCAGGGTTTCCTGGGGAACTTTTCACCTCTCAGCCCCAGGAAACTGTGGGTAGAGGCGCTGAACTTGGGGTGGAGGCAGGAGGGGTTGATTCAGAAACAATAAGCCCTAATGACCGATGTCATCTGCTCCAGAAATTACCAGCTCAGTTTCAGTTTGAAAGACCTGATTCCGGGCCAGGCGGTGGCTCACGCCTGTAATCCCAGCACTTTGAGAGGCTGAGGCCAGTGGATCACGAGGTCAGGAGATCGAGACCATCCTGGCTAACACAATGAAACCCCGTCTCTACTAAAAATACAAAAAATTAGCCGGGCGTGGTGGCGGGCACCTGTAGTCCCAGCTACGCGGGAGGCTGAGGCAGGAGAATGGCATGAACCCGGGAGGTGGAGCTTGCAGTGAGTCGAGATCATGCCACTGCACTCCAGCCTGGGTGACAGAGCGAGACTCCGTGAAAGAAAGAAAGAAAGAAGGAAGGAAGGAAGGAGAGAGACAGAGAGAGAGAGAAAGAGAGAGAGAGAGAAAGAAAGAAACAAACAAAGAAGAAAGAGAGAGAGAGAAAGAAAAAGAAAGAAAGAAAAGAAAAAGAGAGAAAGAAAGAAAGAAAGAAAAGAAAGACACAATTCCGGCCAGCAAGGAGCTCACCTTCTGCCAGGAGGACATGCATGTGAACACTTACCAGGAAGAATAAAATGACTGCTCTGAGAGAGCTACCTGTCAAATACACAGTCGTGGTTGCCTGCCGCTCTGTGTTGGAAAGACATTGAGGCCACCTGGGGACCGCAGATAAAGAACTCTAATGGACCAGCTCCGACTGCCATGGGTCAGATGAGGTGGCTCGGGCTGTGTAGTGGTCATATTCAGCATGTCTGGCTAGTAGCAGGAGCCACTGATTTTCACTAAGGGCATCATTTTTGCCAACAGATACCTGTGCTTCAATCTCTTCCCATCTGTATCTTTCTCTCTATCTTGTTTTCTTTATCTATTGTTTTTTATTTATTTTTATTTATCTATATCTATTTATCTATATTTCTCTATCTATTGTTTTCTTTCTCTGCCTGTCTGTGTCTGTCTCTCCTGCCATCTCCCTCTTCATGTTGCCCTGTAGTTTTCCCCTTAAAAACGTGTAAATTGGTTTGTCAGGGAACAAAATGTCTTCGATGGTTTGAGGCCAAGGAAGAGAAGAGTCTCATGGTAGCAGCACCCAGAGAAAGCCCAGGCTGGAGAGCTCGGCAGGAGGGCTCTTCTCTGGGTCGGGGTCAGGATGCTTCTAAAAGTGGATGGCCTCGAAACTTTCTGCAAAAACAGACTGAGGGAGCTCATGTCATTAAATGTGCCATTAGAAATCTCCAGACCCCAAAGAGTGGAAAGAATTCACTTCACATTAAGCCCAAACGTGATTATTCTCGCTCCATCCCCCAGGCTTAGCGGTCTGCATTTTGGAGCATCCCAAATCAGGATTAAAAGTGAGCATGCGGCCGGGCGCGGTGGCTCACGCCTGTAATCCCAGCACTTTGGGAGGCCGAGGCGGGTGGATCATGAGGTCAGGAGATCGAGACCATTCTGGCTAACAAGGTGAAACCCCGTCTCTACTAAAAATACAAAAAATTAGCCGGGCGCGGTGGCGGGCGCCTGTAGTCCCAGCTACTCGGGAGGCTGAGGCAGGAGAATGGCGTGAACCCGGGAGGCGGAGCTTGCAGTGAGCCGAGATTGCGCCACTGCAGTCCACAGTCCGGCCTGGGCGACAGAGCGAGACTCCGTCTCAAAAAAAAAAAAAAAAAAAAAAAAAAAAGTGAGCATGCAGGGCCAGGCCAGAGCTGAGCCCCTGAACAGAGTGGGGGAGCACCTGTACGGGGAGAGCGGCCGAGGCTGCCCTGCGGTGTCGGAGTTGGGGATGACTTCTCATCTCTGTGGCCCATCTGGCTGCCCACCTGCCACTGTGTCACAGGACGTGAGACAGGTGGACCTTCTCTGAGAGTCTGCTCTGTGCTGGGAGGGGACCTGGGCTCAGCTATGCAGAGCTGTGGGGCTTTGGGCATGTTGACTTCCCTTCCCCATAGCTGCAAAAGCCCCACATGGCCCACTGTTTTGGTCAGAGGTCCTAATATGTGGGGGAGTCCCTTGTAAACCGCAGAATGCTTCCTAATTTAAGGCTTAGGGTATTGCTGCAATGATCAAGGTTTGAGGCTAGCAGACTGGCTGCCTTGATTTTGACAAATTTGGGCACAGTCATCCACAGACACAGTCTGCTTCATTCTAACATTTTTCACATTTATTAGTTGAGTGTCTGATATTTGGAAAAGATGGAATTTATTGCTAGAATTCATGGTGAGCCAGTCCTCTAAGGCTCAGGAAGGCTGCACAGGGCAGATGGAGTCTCATCATTGTGTGCCCCAAGTCGCACCACAGTTGAGAGACCCCAAATGGGTTTTATGCCCTACGGGTGACTAGGATCACTAAGCACAAGCAATTTGGGACATCCTGTTCTAGGAGGGACGAGAACATTGCCCAGGCGGTTCTGGGCAGCTCCTCCTTATCTCAGGCAGTTGCAACCTCAGTACACTCCACAGTGATTTTAAGATCCATGAGCAGATGGGGAAGAGCTAGGTTGGCCAAGGCCAGCCAGAGACCTGTCCTCCTGCAATACAGCTCACAGTCCCTTCCCTTTGCCCTCTATCTTCCTCCAGACCCCGGCTACTCTAGGTCACATCTGGTGTCTCTCACCCTGGGTCACTGCTTTCTACCTTCCCTACTTCCAGGGCCAGGGTAGGCCCAGAGACTAGGGACCACTCTTGCCAAGCCTCAGTGGACAGTGTGTCACGTGCATATTATTTCTCTTCTGTGAGACTAGACCCCTGATCTTGCTACTGCACCCCAGAACCAAAGAAGGTGTGTGCATGGGAGGGGCTCCCACCAACACACCTCCCAGGGGGCTGCCTGAGGACCACCAAGCTCTGCCCAAGCCCCGGAGTGCAGCTTAGTGTACCATGAAGCTGCCAGGGTTCATTCTCAAGAGCATGCAGACCTGTCCCGAGAGGAGCATGTCTCTCCCAGAGCAAAAATTGGAGGCAAACTGCGTTTCAGTGTGAGGTTCTGGGGGCTCATGTTTAGATGAAGGCATCCAACTTGGTAATTGTAACCACATACTACAAACAAACATCTGCAAATATTAAAAATGCATTTTCCCTAGAGATCTCCATGAATTGTCAAGGGTAGAGTGACCAGGGTGGTCCTGATTCATGTCGCTGGCTCCTAAGGGCTCAAAGGCATAGTTACCATGCCCAGAGTGAGGAGAGGGTATCACTACTTAGGGGATTATTGGTTCATTTGGCATCAAGAGGTGCCACACCTCCATGGTGTGGACTTTGGCTCCATGGACCCCAGCCTCCCGCAACCTGCCTGTGTCTGCCCAGCAAATGAAGGGTACCTGCAGAGGTGGGAGGGGGTAAGGCTAACACTCACTCCTCTGCTTCTGCCAGTCCCTTCCCTGGCCTCCGCCAGGCATATGACAACCTTCCCGATGTCCGTGTCATCAGCTTGGGCTGCTGTGACTAAGGACCACAGGCTGGGGGTCTTCAACATTGGAAGTCATTGCCTCACAGTCCTGGAGACTGGAGGTCTGAGACTGAGGTGTGGGCAGGGCTGGTTTCTCCTGAAGCCTCTCTCCTTGGCTTAGAATTGGCCATCCTCTCCCTATGTCCTCACATGGCTGTCTCTCTGTGCACATCTGTGTCCAAATTTCCTCTTTTTTTCTTTTTTCTTTTAGAGACAGGGTCTCGTCACCCAGGCTGGAGTGCAGTGGCCCAATCATGGCTCACTGCAGACTCCAGCTTCTGGGCTCAAGTGATCCTCCTGCCTCAGCCTCCTGAGACACTGGGACCACAGGTGTGAGCCATCATGCCCGGCTAAACTAAATTTCCTCTTCTTATAAAGACACCAGTCAGATTAGATTAGGGTCCATGCCAAAGACCTCATAAACTTAGTTATTTCTTTAAAGACTGTTGTCAAATACAGTTTCCTTCTGACGCCCTCAGGGTTAGGGTTTCGGCATATAAATGCTGGGGTACATGATTCATCCCATACACCCTGGAGGAGGTTCCCTGGCCCCTTAGCTGTATGGCGTGTGTCCCTCTAGCTCTGCAGTCTCCCGAGAGTCATTTCCCCCACACCTCCGGCTCCTCAAGCTGCCTGCTTCCCACTCTGCCAGCCTGAGTTCTTGGAGGCACTCACAGTGGCGCCATGCGGGAGGTATCAGCTCTGGGTGACTTTGGCCCAGCCCATGGCACAAGAGGTGCTCAGAACCTGTTGCTGGCCCAACAGTAAGCAGGCAAGTGAACCCAAGGGTGGAAAGATGGTGCTCTGAACCACGTTTTCCTGGAAGCGCAAGCTGGGTGGGTGGGTGAGGGGCACCCTGGCCTGGCCTAGCTGCCTCCAATGGCCCCTCCATGGTGTGGGCCTTGCCTCCCTGGACCCCAGCCTCCCCCAACCCACTTTCCCATCTCTCAGAAGAGAGGGGAGCTGAGGGAAGCATGTCCCCTGCAGGCCTCACCACCCTCCTCTGGCTCTGCACCTGGACTGGCCCGGCCCCTACCCAGGGATCACCTCAAGTGCTGGTTAAGCACTGGCCCAGGGAGTGGAGGCCGGGCTGCGGGTCACCCCAGCTTTGGTAGGACCTCTTTTGTGTATGAAATAATTATACGTGTGCCATTTGATGTTGTAGCTGAGCTTTTAAAAGGCTCGGGGGAAAATGGATAAGAAATTTCAGTTTTATATGGAAAACATGCCTGGGAACCAAGCCACCCCACTGGGCTCTGAAAGCAGCAGACGCTTAGCTTAGCACTGATGGTAAGTACTTCTTCTGAAAAGGAGAGCAAAAGGATGAAAGAACATGCCCTGGATGGGGGGCACTGCGCCTGGGGGTCTCTAGCAGGCCAAGTGTTTTCAGGGACTTGTCTCTTGTCCACCCCTGCAGGCCTGTTCCTGACACCAAGCACAAAATCTGTGCCCGCTAGGGCTTGCCTCCACCCTGTGGGTGGGAAAGCCAGGGCTCAGCGGCCTTGGGCCCCCTTAGGGCTGCTGGGGTTCCAGTCAGCCTCTGGTCACAGCTGCGCCTGTCCTCCCTTCTCCTCCAGGCCATGCCCAGCACCCATGCCCAAACAAAGCCCTCTCTCCCTGACCCCGAGAAGGGATGGGCCTCGCACCTGCAATTCCCAGCACAGGGCTGGGACCAGTGGAGGTGTTCAACACATATCAGGAGAAAGGAGGCACCCTATGAAGAAAGGAGGCACCCTAAGGTGATCTGGTCCGGTACCCTAGAGCCCGCCCCTGGGAAGATGCTGGTGTGGGCAGGTGAGGCTGGATTCAGCAAGCCTGAGGCCATGCAGGCCTAGCCCCAGTGGTAAGTCCCTGCCCAGGCACACTTTAGTCCCATTTGAGGTGGTCTCCTGGGAATGCCTTAACAAAGGACCACAGACTGGGGGACTTAAAGGACAGACATTTCCTCTGTCTCAGTTCCAGAGGTGGGAGGTATGAGGCAGTGTCAGCAGGGTTGGTGCCTCTTGGGCCGTGAGGGAGAATCTGCCCCAGGCCTCTCCCCCGCTGCTGGTGTTTCGCTGGCGATCTTTGGTATTCCTTGGCTTCATCTGCACGAGGTGTTCTCCCAGTGTGTTTCGTCCAAATTTCCTCTTCTTATGTGGACATCTGTCATGCTGGATGAGGGCCTACCCCAGTGACCTCGTCTTAATTTGAGGGCCTCTGTGAAGACCCAATGTCCAAATAAGGTCACGTTCTGAGGTATGGGAGTTAGGATTTCAACAAAGAACTTCAGGAGGGGATGCCATTCAGCCCATAACAACATCCAACAGAAGAGCCAGTGCTAGGCGGGAGGGCAAGCACACCCCTCTTCTCCCACTCAATTCCAGATCTGTTTGTGGGGCCAATTAACACCTGAGGTGAATCCCTCGAGAAGGGGCCTCGTGGGCCTGACTTTGCGATCATCCAAACACTCTATGTTCAAGAGTATCATATCATCATATCATGTCATATCACATCATATCATATTGTGTCATATCATATCATGTCAGAACATATCATACCATATTATATATCATGTCATATCACCATGTCATATCATATCATGTCATATCACCATGTCATATCATATCATGTCATATCACATCATGTCACATCATATTATGTCATATATCATGTCATATCATCATATTGTATCATATCATCATACTGTCATATCATATCAGACCATATCATGCCACATCATGCCATGCCATACCATGTCATACCATACTGTATCATATGATCTCATCTCTCATCTCATCACGTCATGTCATACCATGTCATATAAATTTTCATGCTAATAGTGGCCCTCATCTGAGGCTGCTGTGTCCTTTGCTCTCCAACACCATGGTGTGTGGGAAGGACTGTGAATGCAGTGCACTCCTCCTTCTCTTGCAGGGAACAAGGAAATAAGGACAGCTGCCATGCCAGGTCTTCCTCCCAGGCCTCCTGCCAGGACCCTGGGCTGCCACTTAGGTGGACACCTGGTGCAGTGGGAAAGTCCCGGGCAGGATTTTAGGGTCTGGTTTGCTGTTGCTGAGCCATTCTAGGCCACCCCCTCCCACTCTTCTCTCACTTTCTCACCCATGTCTGGGAGTGCTGCAAGGATCATTTGTCACAGTGCTTGATCAGTGGGCTCATCCCCTTTCTCCTGCCCACACTGAGGCTGAGAGCCAGGGCACATGGGGTCCCAGGGTCAGTTTCAGTGCCATCCAGGTCTGTAACTGATTGGCTCCTGGCAGGGACTGCTGCTTATCGCCACCTCTTTCCCTGTGCTTCTGGGCCTTCTGGGTGCACACTAAAAGCAGATCCAGGTTTAGCCAGGCATGAATCCTGTGCAATTGGGTGACCCTCTTGAAGAAAATGAACACAAACTTACAAATGCGTAATTAGGTGCAAAGCCTTGGCAGGGCTGGGGTTGCACATCAAGTTTGAGCTTCACTTGCTTCAGGGAGAAGCTACCTGTGTGTACTCATAGGGGCTGGGGGCTGTGGTGGTCGCCAGGACAGGGTGAATTTGATGCCGTGCATACATGCACTCGATATTGTTTTGACAAATGGTAACCAAGCCTCATACTCCACCACCATGGGCCCCTGTCATAGGCCTGCACACCGTTAGTGCTGTAAAATGGACAGAGGGGTCTGAAAGGTGGTCCTTGTCTCTGAGGGGTCTCTCTAGAGCCAGTGAAGGAAGTGGAAGCTAAAGGCCCCACGGAGTCAGGAAGCATAGGGTCTTCTTGCTGCCTCGTGACGCTTGCAGTGACCAGTCGTGGCTCAGTCATCTCTCCCTGCTTCTGATTTTTCTTGAGGCTTGCATAGTTAAAAATAATAATAAAACCACACTCGTTGTATGGAAACCACAAAATACCCACTTTTAACTCTGACAGAATCTAGTAATTGTGTTCTCCCCAAAAGAAGAGAGTGGAAGAGCTCATTTGAAAGACGCAGCATAATTTGAGTGAACTCTTTTGAAAATCTGATTGTTGAAACATTGCCCATTGTTCTTCATTAGATGTGAAAATAAAATCCTGGAAGATTTCTTGAGATGAGCATTTTAGAGAAGAAACGACCCCAACAGACTCATTTTGTTTAATGCATCCAAGAACTCATGCATGGCTGTAAATCCCATGAAACTCCAAAACTCAGAACTCCAGAAATGTCATCAAATTTTTGAAAGCATAAAACCGAGAGAGGAAGAGTGAAAAGAAACCCCACCGTAGGTGGCTAAGAGCAGAGCTGCCACTTGGGTGTCCCAAGGAGTGACCGAAGTGTGGTCATTTTCTGGTGGGCCACCAAAGTGACCTCTTAATCTCCCCTCCACAGCAACCGGGAGTCACCCTGGGATTGGAGGCAAGGTCCATCCTGGCCCCCAGCCAGCGAGCCCTGCCTCCCATGCCTGACTGGCACCACCAGGCCTGGAGGAGCTGGTGGGGTACCGCCCTCTCTGCTGAGAGGCTTGGAAAAGCTCACTGAGGAGGCTGTAGGTCTTGGCACCAAGGTTTAATCATTGTCATATCGTCGTATTGTGTCATATCATCATACTGTGTCATATCATATCATACCGTATCATGCCATATCATGCCATGCCATACCATACCGTATCATATGATGTCATCTCTGGATGATGTCAACACTGGACAGGGTTGGCTCCCACCTGTCCTGGGCTCTTCTTGCTCCAACAGGACCCTGGGTTGCAGCCAGCACAAGGATTGTGAGTTCCAGTTCCTGAAATGGGCCCCTCACTCAAAGCATCAGGGCCTAAGTGGGGGTGACTTTGAGGAGCAAGAGGAAGAAGATCTGGGTTCTGAAAATCTCTTTTTCTTTTTTTTTGAGACAGAATTTCGCCCTTTCGCCCAGGCTGGAGTGCAGTGGTGTGATCTCAGCGCACTGCAATCTCCGTCCCC
Source organism: Homo sapiens (assembly GCF_000001405.40). NCBI lineage: Eukaryota > Metazoa > Chordata > Mammalia > Primates > Hominidae > Homo > Homo sapiens. The sequence goes on from NW_011332701.1 coordinate 3,349,564, forward strand.
CAGGCTCAAGTGATTCTCCTGCCTCAGCCTCCCTAGTAGCTGGGATTACAGGCGTGTGCCACCACGCCTGGCTAATTTTTGTATTTTTACTAGAAACCGGGTTTCGCCGTGTTGGCCAGGCTGGTCTCGAACTCCTGACCTCAGGTGTTCCACCCGCCTTGACCTCCCAAAGTGCTAGGATTACAGGTGTGAGCCACCACACCCGGCCACTGAAATCTTTATATTAATCAGTAAGGCCCACAGATCTTCCACTCCGGCATTGATACTAATCCAGAAAGCAGGCTTTGGTTATGGTCTTGGCCAATATAGCTCTGGACAATGAACCAGCTATGCAACGCACTATACAACACACCCAGCTTATTCAGCAGGTTACATAAAAGGGAAAGAAGGCAAATACATACAACAGTGTGCAGAGAAGCACCATTTGTTTTGTTACTGAATTATTAATAATTTAATTTATAATCCTGAATTTAAAATGTGACGAGGGTAAAATAGCAGAGATTTGGCATGCTGTGTTCTCCGTATTCACCCCATCCCTGTGGGCCTTCATAACCACCCCACAGTGACACCCTACTGTCTACAGCTACTCTCTGTACTATACTGTCTACACTTTGTCTGCCCATGGCCCACCATCAACAAACACCTTACTGTCTACACCTATGACCTGCGTTAATGTGTATACTTTCTATGCCTACTACCTGTGTCCTAATGTCTATGCTCTACGTCTATACTAACTGCTTGCATCCTAATGTCTACACCCTACCGTCTACACCTACTACCTGTGTGCTAATGTCTACACTCTACTGTCTATACCTACTACCTGTGTGCTAATGTCTACACTCTACTGTCTATACCTACTACCTGTGTGCTAATGTCTATACCCTATTGTCTATAGCAGGGATAGTGTTAGTAGATACAGTGTTAGTATACTACCTGTATACTAATACTAATTAGGATACCTGTATCCTAATGTCTATACTCTACCATCTGTATCTACTACCTGTATCTTAATATCTACAATCTACTGCCTGTACCTACTCCCTGTGTCCTAATGTCTATACCCTATTGTCTACAGTAGGGATAGTAGATATGGTGTTATTAGGTTGCTACCTATATCTAACATCTTTTTTTTTTTTTTTTTGAGACAGAGTCTTGCTCTGTTGCCCAGGCTGGAGTGCAGTGGCATGATCTCAGCTCATTGCAACCCCCACCTCCCGGGTTCAAGCAATTCTCCTGCCTCAGCCTCCTGAGTAGCTGGGACTACAGGCGTGCACAACCATGCCCAGATAATTTTTGTATTTTTAGTACAGACGGGGTTTCACGGAGTTCACTGGTCTTGAACTCCTGACCTCATGATCCGCCTGCCTAGGCTTCCCAAAGTGCAGGGATTACAGGCGTGAGCCATGTTGCCTGGCCCCTATATCCAAGTACCTACACTCTACTGTCCACAGCTACTACCTGCATCCTAATGTCTGCATCTACTACCTGCATATCTATATCCCACTGCCTATACTGCACCATCTATACCCTACTGTCTGTATCAATATCCTCTAACTAACGTCTGCCTCCTACTGCTCCAACAAGGCAGATTCAGGTGGCCATAATCAGAACCAGTGTAGACTCCAGGAGACTGAGGCAGCCAGAACAGAGTGCTTCCAATCTGCAATCTGTGTGGAGCCTGGCACTGCATGACCTCATCACGTCTTTTAGAAGACAAAGTGGCGCAGCAGGCCAGTGCACTCCAATCTGTAATGTGCATGTGAGTCTCCTGGGGATCTTGTTAACACCCAGTTTCTAGTGAACTCCTAGGGGATGTTATGCTGTGGTCCTCAAACCACACTTTTGAGTAGCAAGAAGCTGGATGATACCTTGGCCAGGAGGATTCAGGACTGGCTGAGTCATTACGCCCTACAGGATACTGTCAGAGTCAGTAGCACAAGCACAGTGACCTTCCCAGCCTTCCTCCCCCACTCCCCGCCCTGGGAGCTTCTGTTTGGAGAAACATGTGCCCATTTCCCTTTCAGGGAGGTGTGGGAGGATGTGTCCTGCTGGGGGACTCTCCTACACTCCTGGTGAGGTGGCCTTCATCCTCCTTGTTACTTCCCTCTCCGTCTTCCTTTCCTGCCTGGAGCTCAGACTCAATCCAGTGCCACAGGAGGAGCCTATTTTCAAGCAGGAGAATGAAAACCATTTTCCAGACAGGGTGAGGTGCAGAGCTGTGGAGCCTGGCCCTGGAGGTGTTACAGAGCCCCTGTCTGTGTCCTGGACTGCTCACCGCCAGGCTTCCAGGCACTGAGAAAAGCACCTCACTTGTTATCTCACCATTCTGCAATTTTTTTCTTATATACTGTCAATTGAGGCTCCAAAGTATGATCCTCATGGGGGTTTGCTTGACCAAATATGAGAAAAACTTCACAAGAGGCCACCCCCATAGGATATAATGTGCACTAGGAACATGCCACATGGACTGCAAATGACCCTGATCCTTCACACTCAGGGATATTGATCTCAGCTTAATTTGGGACTTAATGAAAATAGGGAATTACTTGAGAGTAGTAAAAATGTACTCTGTGGATAAAAAATACTTAATTACAGATGTAACTGAGAAACTTAAAAACTGCATAGAGCAAAAGAGAAGGAAGTAATTTGCCAAGCACCACCCACGTGCTGGGCTTTCTATATTTTACCTCTGAGTCCCCACAAAGGCCCAGGCAGAATGGCTCACTGCTGCTGTTCAAACACAAGCCGCAGACAGTGCAGGTCCATCAAGAAGCCGACGGAGTTTCCTCTCAGGGACCTTCACCTGCCCAGGAACTTTCCACCCTGGAAATGGCTCTAGCAACATTCTTGCACGGTTTTGTTTCATGTATTTACAAAAGTAGGATATTTTGATATTTTTTATTAAAGAGTGTTCCAGTTACTCTGGCTGTGTAACGAATTGCCCCCTAATTTAGTGGCTTCAAACAATAATAATCAGAGCTGGATTTCCTGTCTAGATAAGATAGTTTAAACTTGTTTCCTCTTGCTTCTCCCAACTAGATACACCCTGGAAATAACACAAAAGACAACCAAACGAGCACTTGGAAAGGCTGTAAGATGAAGGCAAACTGGTTGGGCCACAGGACTGGATAAACAGCATAGAGGTGGGCACCTTACAACTCCTTCCCAGGTATAAAACAATGACCCAGGCCTAGTGTTTCCTGCCACCAGGATTAGGTGGCCAGGGTTGGCTCATTTCTCCCATAGTGGGAGCTGGAGTCCCACTGACAACACCAGGCGAGCCCAGCAGAACTGGCCGGGGAGATCCATCACAAGCCCAGCAGACCCTCTGCTGCCAGGGGACGCGCTCTCCTGCCCTGTCAGGTCTGAGATTCCATTCCTCAGCGCAGAAACCATGCAGCCTGTGGGTCACGGGGGTCAGCAAAGAGGATCCCACCGTAACAAGCACCCAGCCTGGGAAACTTCTTTGTCTCTGCAAGACTGTGACTCTCTTCCCTCCCTTGAGACTGATGCTGAGATAAATATACCAGGCAATGGGTGGCATTATCAAGGAGGAAGTGCCCTCACTGCAACAAGTACCTAGCCTAGGAAGCACTCTTCCCCTCTGTGGCTGGAGACACACTTCCTTCACCTAGGAAGCACCAGGGAGCATGTCTGAGGAAATTCCTTCTGCTCCCTCAATCAGTACCTGCAGGGACCAGTAGGAGCCCCAGGCTCATGAGAAAAATCAAGCAGTCTAAAAAAGCACAGCAAAGTCTCTGAAAATTAGATGTTATTGCAACCACAGCCCACAAAAGTAGGTCACACCTGCATTGCTAAACCTAAACAGGGTAGTTGCCTACTAAAATAAAAAGTTTAAATAAGACCTGGAATTTCCTAATCTAAGACTCAAAATTCCAGGCCACAATAGAAAGTCATCTGTCATATCAACAACCAGAAAAATTGCAACTTAAATGAGAAAAGCGACAAACTGATACCCACAGTGAGATGAATCAGATGTTGGAATTATTTAATAAAACAATTATTTTATCTTATTTTGTTTTAGTTCTTTTGAGACAGAGTCTCACTCTGTCACCCAGGCTGGAGTGCGGTGGCACAATCTTGGCTCACTGCAACCTCCACTTCCTGGATTCAAATGATTCTTCTGCCTCAGCCTCCCCAGTAGCTGGGATTACAGGCATGAACCACCATGCCTGGCTAAATTTTTTCATATTTTTAGTAGAGATGGGGTTTCGCCATGTTGGCCAGACTGATCTCAAACTCCTGACTTCTAGTGATCTGCCTGCCTCTGCCTCCCAAAGTGCTGGGATTACAGGTATGAGCCACCACGCCTGGTCAATTTGACAAAACTTTAAAAACAATCATAAAAGTGATTCAATGATTAACTACAAATTCTCTTGAAATAAATGAAAAAAGGAAAATCTAAGCAAAGTAATAGAAGTTATTAAAAAAGAACTAATTATAGAACTGAAAAATACAACAAAAGAAATAAAAATTCACTGGATGGACTAAATAGTGAAGTGGACACAACAGAGGATAGAATCAGAACTTTAGGACAGATCAATAGAATTTACCCAATCTGATTAACAGAGAGAAAATAAAGAAATAGGCAAGTAGGCTGAGAGTGGTGGCTCACACCTGTAATCCCAGCACTTTGGGAGGCTGAGGTGGGCAAATCACAAGGTCAGGAGTTAGAGACTAGCCTGGCCAACATGGTGAAACCCTGTCTCTACTAAAAATACAAAACTTAGTTGGGTGTGGTGGCTGGCACCTGTAATTCCAGCTACTTGGGAGGCTGAGACAGAAGAATTCCTTGAACCTGGGAAGCAGAGGTTGCAGTGAGCTGAGATCACGCCACTGCACTCCAGCCTGGGTGACAGAGCAAGACTCCATCTTGAAAAAAAAAAAAAAAAGAAAGAAAGAAATAGGCAAGTCTATAGTTGTAGCTAGAGACTTTAACACCTCCCTGTCAGCAACCAAAAGAACTACTGTACAGAAACTAAGCAAGAATACAGAAGATCTGAACAAAATGATTTGCCAACAGGATCTAATGAACAAATATAGAACACTCTACCCCAAAACAGTACAATATAATTTTTTCTCAAGCACCTATGAAACATTCAACAGGAGTGACTGTATCCTGGGCCACAAAACAGATATCAACAAAAAAAATTTTTTTGAGACAGAGTCCCTCTGTTGTCCAGGCTGAACTGTAACCTCAAACTCCCAGACCCAAGCATTCTTCCCACCTCAGCCTCCCGAATAGTTAGGACTTTAGGTGTGTACTACCATGTCTGGCTAATTTTTAAAATTGTTATATAGAGACAGGTCTTGCTATACCGTCCAGACTGATCTCGAACTCCTGGCCTTGAGCAATCCTCCTACCTCTGCCTCCCAAAGTGCTGCAATGACAGGCATGAACCACTGCATCAGAACAACAAATTTTTAAAAATTGAAATAATGCAAAGTGTGTTCTCTGACTATAATTGAAATAGACTAAAAATTACAGTAACATAACAAGAAAATTTCTAAACACTTGGGAATTAAACAACAAACATTTAAGTAATCTATGAATCAAAGGAAGTCTCAAAGGAAGAAATACATGGAACTTAATAAAAATAAAAACACAACATATAAGATTTATGGACTGCAGATAAAGCAATGTTGAGAAGGAAATTTAAACCACTAAATGCTTACAGTAGAAAATAGAAAAACTTTCAATATAATACTCTGAGATCTTGTTTCAAAAATGTACAGAGAAAATAGCAAGATAAAACCAAAGCAAGCCGAAGAAAGAAACTAACAAGTGCAGAAATCCATTAATTGAAAACAAAAAATGAAATCAATAAAACAAAAAACCTGTTCTTAAAAAATCCATAGAATTGATAAACCTCTAGCAAAACCAATAAATATAAAAAGAATGAAGACACAAATCACCAATAACAGGAATGAAATAGAAAATATCACTATATCATGCACACTTTTTTCAGCTAAATAAATAAATAAGAAAATATTGCTACACATACTTGGCCCATTAAAATGGTAATAAGGAAATATTATAAACAACTTCGTGTTCACAAATTCAACAACTTAGAAAAGATAGACTAATTCCTTGAAATTCACAAACACCACACTCACTATGATGGAATAGATAATCTGAATAGAACTATAACCATTAAATAAATTGAATTTGTAATTCAAAAACACTCAGAAAAGAAATCTCTAGGTCCAACAGTCTTATTGGAGTATCTTACCAAACATTTAAAAATAATTAACACAAATACAGAAATTTTACTCTCTCTCTCTCTCTATATATATATACATGCATACACATATACATATACACACACACACACACACATACATGTGTATATATATATATGTTAGAGAGTGAGAATATATATATTTGGTAGAGATGGAGCCTCACTGTGTTGCCCAGGCTGATCTCAAACTCCTGCCCTCAAGCATTCCTTAGCCTTGGCCTCCCAAAGTTCTGGGATTACAGAAATGAGCCACCATGCCAGAATTACCTGATGGCAAAGCTAGACAAAGACAATACAAAGAAAGAAGATTGTATTAATCCGCTTTCACATGATATAAAGACAAACCTGAGACTTTGTAAATTATAAAGAAAAGATGTTTAATTGGCTCACAGTTCTGTGGGCTGTACAGGCTTCTACTTCTGGGGAAGCCTTAGAAAACTTATAATCATGGTGGAAGGTGAAGTGGAAAAAGGCTTATCTTCACATGGCCAGCAGAAGAGAGAGCAAGTGAAGGGGGAAATGCTATACACTTTCAAACAATCAGATCTCATGAGAACTCTATCATGAGACAGCACTAGGGATATGGTGTTAAACCATTAGAAACCACCCTTATGATTTAATCACCTCCCACCAGGCCCTTCTTTTAACACTGGGGATTACAATTCAACATGAGATTTGGGTAGGGACACAGAGCCAAACAATATCAAAGACCATAGACCAATATCTCTCATGAGCTTAGATGCAAAAATCTTAGAAAATTAACTCCAACAAAGTATAAAAAGAATTATATACCATCACCAAGTGGGATTTAATCCAGAGTTGCAAGCCTGATTCGACATTTGAAATCAATCAATATAATCTACAAAAACCCTACAGCTAACATCATACTTAATGGTGATAAACTGAATGCTTTCCCCCCAAGATTGGGAAGAAGGCATGTAAGCTGTTCTCACCACTCTTATTCAGTATGGTACTGGAAGCTCTAGCTGCTTCAGTAAGGCAATAGGCAAGAAAATGCAGTACAATGCATTCATAGGGAAAGGAAAGAAATAAAAACCACTCCTATTTGCAAATGACGTGATTGTCTACGTAAAATCTCAGGTAATTAAAAAAAAACTCCCAGAACTAAGAAGTGAGTTCAGCTGGTTTTCAGGATACAAGATCAAAACACAAAAACCAATCCCATTTCTATATGCTAACATGTAGAAACCGAAATGAGAAGCACAATACCATTTACAACAAAAGTGAAATACATGTGTATGAATTTAACAAAATACATGCAGAATCTCTAGGCTGAAATTTATAAAATGCTGATGAAATAAATCAAAGGAGCCCTAAGTCAGTAAAGAGACATCATGTTTATGGATTGGAGGACTCAACATAGTAAAGATGAACTATTGATCTATTAGGTTGATCTATTAGGTTGGTGCAAACATAATTGCGATTTTTACCATTAAAAGTAATGGCAAGCTCTCCCTCCTCCTCTCCCTCCCCCTCCCCCTCCCTCTTGTCTCCGTCTCCCTCTGCACGGTCTCCCTCTGATGCCGAGCCGAGGCTGGACTGTACTGCCGCCATCTCGACTCACTGCAACCTCCCTGCCTGATTCTCCTACCTCAGCCTGCCGAGTGCCTGGGATTGCAGGCGCGCGCCGCCATTCCTGACTGGTTTTCGTATTTTTTGGTGGAGACGGGGTTTCGCTGTGTTGGCCGGGCTTGTCTCCAGCTCCTGACGTGAGTGATCTGCCAGCCTCGGCCTCCCGAGGTGCCGGGATTGCAGACGGAGTCTCGCTCACTCAGTGCTCAGTGTTGCCCAGGCTGGAGTGCAGTGGCGTGATCTCGGCTCGCTACAACCTCCACCTCCCAGCCGCCTGCCTTGGCCTCCCAAAGTGCCGAGATTGCAGCCTCTGCCCAGCAACCACCCCCTCTAGGAAGTGAGGAGCGTCTCTGCCTGGCCGCCCATAGTCTGGGATGTGAGGAGCCCCTCTGCCCGGCCGCCCAGTCTGGGAAGTGAGGAGCACCTCTTCCCGGCCGTCATCCCGTCTAGGAAGTGAGGAGCGTCTCTGCCTGGCCGCCCATCGTCTGGGATGTGGGGAGCGCCTCTGCCCCGCCGCCCTGTCTGAGATGTGAAGAGCGCCTCTGCCCCGCCGCGACCCCGTCTGGGAACTGAGGAGTGTCTCTGCCCCGCCGCCACCCCGTCTGGGAGGTGAGGAGCGTCTCTGACCGGCCGCCCCGTCTGAGAAGTGAGGAGCCCCTCTGCCCGGCAGCCGCCCTGTCTGGGAAGTGAGGAGCGTCTCCGCCCGGCAGCCACCTGTCCGGGAGGTGGGGGGCAGCCCCCGCCCGGCCAGCCGCCCCATCCGGGAGATGGGGGGCGCCTCTGCCTGGCCGCCCCTTCTGGGAAGTGAGGAGCCCCTCTGCCCAGCCGCCACCCCGTCTGGGAGGTGTACCCAACAGCTCATTGAGAACGGGCCATGATGACGATGGCGGTTTTGTCGAATAGAAAAGGGGGAAATGTGGGGAAAAGAAAGAGAGATCAGATTGTTACTGTGTCTGTGTAGAAAGAAGTAGACATAGGAGACTCCATTTTGTTCTGTACTAAGAAAAATTCTACTGCCTTGGGATGCTGTTAATCTATAACCTTACCCCCAACCTCGTGCTCTCTGAAACATGTGCTGTGTCCACGAAGGGTTAAATGGATTAAGGCCGGTGCAAGATGCGCTTTGTTAAACAGATGCTTGAAGGTAGCATGCTGGTTAAGAGTCATCACCACTCCCTAATCGCAAGTTCCCAGGGACACAAACACTGCGGAAGGCGACAGGGTCCTCTGCCTAGGAAAACCAGAGACCCTTGTTCACATGTTTATCTGCTGACCTTCCCTCCGCTATTGTCCTATGACCCTGCCAAATCCCCCTCTCCGAGAAACACCCAAGAATGATCAATAAATACTAAAAAATTAAAAAAAAATAAAAAATAAAAGTAATGGCAAAACTGCAATTACATTTGCACCAACCAAGTTTAATGCAATTTCTACAAAAATTCCAAAAAATTTTTTTTTGTAGACATAGACAAATTTATTCGAAAAGTTATATGAAAAAACACAGGCCTGCCAAATGTTGTGGATCATGCCAGTAATCCTAGTGCTTTGGGAGGCCGAGATGGGAGGATCGCTTGAGGCCAGGAGTATAAGACCAGCCTGGGCAATATAGTGAGACCTTGTCTCTACAAAATTTTATATATATAAAATTACTGGTGGTACATGCCTGTAGTCCTAGCTACCCGAAAGGCTGAGGTGGGAGGTTTTCTTGAGCCCAGAAGTTTGAGGCTGCAGTGAGCTATGATCCCATCACTGCACTACAGCCTGGAAAACAGAGCAAGACCCTGCCTCTTAATACACACACACATACAATCACACACACGTATAAAACAATGAATATCACATAGCTAAGGCAATCAAGAGAGTGTGGTATTGTTGGAGGAATAGACACATAGATAAGTGGAAAATACTAGAGAACCCGGAAGTAGACCTACACAAATATGCCTAGCTGATATTTTTAAAGGTGCAAAAGTAACTCAATGGAAGGAAAGCCTTTTCAACAAATAGTGTTGCCTGGGCATGGTGGCTTATGCCTATAATCCCAGTCCTCTGAGAGGCCAGGGCAGGAGGCTCACTTGAGGCCAGGAGTTCCAGACCAGCCTAGGCAATATAGCAAGACTTCATCTCTACAAAAAATAAAAATAAAAGTTAGCCAGGCATGTTGGTGCATACCTGTAGTCCTAGCTACTTGGGAGGCTGAGGCAGGAGGATCCCTTGAGCCCAGGAGGTTGAGGTTGCAGTGAGCTATGATTGCACCACTGAACTCCAGCCAGGGTAACAGAGTGAGACCATGTCTGTCAAAATCAAACAAAGATAAAACAAAGAAACACCTTAACCTAAACCTCACAATTCGTTAAAAAATTATCTCAAAATGGATTATGGGCTAGGGCTATGGATAGAGTTACAGATTTTAAACCAAAAACACAATTGACAAAAGGAAAAACTGAAAAATTAGACCTCATGAAAAGAAAAAACTTTTGTTTGACAAAATACACAGTTCAGATAAAAAGGCAATTTATAGACTTGGAGTAAATCTTTGCTAATATGTATTTGACCCAAAAAATTGTATTTAGAATACATAAAGAAATATTATATTTGACAGTATAAAGCAAAACCAAGCAAAAATCCAATTAGATAATGGGCAAAAGACATGAACAGACAATTCACTGAAAGAGAGCAAAGGGATGGCAGATAAGCATATAAAAACATCATTCAACATCAGTAACCATTTGAGAAATGCAAATTAAATCCACTTTGAGATAGCACTATACAGCTATCAGAATATTTAAAATAAAAACTAATGACAAGCGGGATGGCAGTTTAGGAAGCTCCAGGATCCCCCAAGGAAACACTGAATAAATAACAACACTGCACAAAAATAGCTTTGTGAGAACTCTAGAAACCAGTTAAGAAACTGCAGCAACCAACTAAAAAAAATTTTTGAAGGGGTTTATTCCACTTGCAACGCAGATCCAAACATTTGTATAAAGTCATATGCGAATACTATAGGCATGAAAGATGTACGTTTACCTGCACCTGCACACATCACTGATCATATTGTACACAAGGACAGATTTTTACATTTTTTTTAAAATTTTGGGGTTGAGGAACATGTACAGGTTTGTTACATCAGTATATTGCGTGATGCTCTAATCTAGGTTTGGGCTTCTAATGATTTCATCACTTAAGTGGTGAACATAGTACTCAACAGGTAGTTTTTCAACCCTTTCCCGTCTCCTTCCCTCTCTCTCCCCGTTTTGGAATCCCCAGTGTTTATCGTTCCTATCTTTGTGTCCATGTGTACCCAATGTTTAGTTCCCACTTACAAGTGAGAACATGAGGTATTTGGTTTTCTGCTTCTACGTTAATTTGCTTAGATTAATGGCCTCCAGCTGCATCCATGTTGCTGCAAAGGGCATAATTTTGTTATTTTTTATGGCTGCATAGTATTCCGTGATGTATATGTACCACATTTTCTTTATTCAATCCACTATTGATGGGCACCTGGATTAATTCCATGTCTTTGCTATTGTGAATAAATAGTACTGTGATAAACATATGAGTGCGGGTGTCTTTTTGGTAGAATGATTTATTTTCCTTTGGATATATACCTGGGTAATGGGATTGCTGGGTTGAATGGTAATTCTACTTTTAGTTCTTTAGGAAATCTACAAACTGCTTTCCACAGGTGCTGAACTAATTTGCATTTCCATCAACAGTGTATAAGCATACACTTTTCTCCAGTATCTCACCAACATCTGTTATTTTTTGACTTTTTAATAATAGCCATTCTGACTGGTATGGGATGATATCTCACTGTGGTTTTGACTTGCATCTCTCTCATAATTAGTGATGTTGAGCATTTTTTCCATATGTTTCTCAGATGCTTCTCTGTCTTTTTTTGAAACTGTCTTTCATGTTTTTTGCCCACTTTTAAATGGTGCTATTTATTTATTTTTGTTAATTTGTTTAACTCTCTTGCAGATTCTGGATATCAGTCCTTTGTTGGGTACATAGTTTGTAAATACTTTCTCTCATTCTGTAGGTTGTCTATTTACTCTGTTGACAGTTTATTTTGATGTGCAGAAGATTTTTAGTTTAACTAGGTCCCAATTGTCAATTTTTGTTTTTGTTGTATTTGCTTTTGAGGACTTAGTAATAAAGTCTTTGCCTAGGCCAATGTCTAGAAGGATATTTTCTAGAGTCTCTTATGGGATATTTATAGTTTAAGGTCTAAGGACATTGTATAATGATAAAAAGATCAATTCTTCAAGAAGATGTAACAATTATGAACATATATGCACCAAATATCAGATCTCCTAAATCTATGAAGGAAATATTGATGAATTGAAGGGAGAAATAGACAGCTCTACAATAATAGTTGGATATTTTAGTACTATTTTTCACTTATGGATTGGTATGGTTTGGATCTGTGTCCCCACCCAAATTTCATGTTGAATTGCAATTCTCAGTGTTGTGGGTGGGGCCTGGTGGGAAGTGATTGGATCATGAAGGTGACTTCTCATGGTTTAACATCATCACCCTAGTGCTATCTCATGATAGAGTTCTCATGAGATCTGGTTGTTTAAAAGTGTGTAGCACCTCCCCACTCTTTTCTTTCCCCTGTTCCAGCCATGTAAGATGTGCCTGCTTCTTCTTCATCTTCCACCATGAGTGAAAGTTTCCTGAGGCCTCCCCAGAAGCTGTCATACTTCCTGTACAGCCTGCAGAACCATGAGCCAATTAAACCTCTTTCATATATAAATTATCCAATTCCAGGTATTTCTTTATAGCAATGCAAGAACAGACTAATACATGAATAGAACAACTGCATATAAAATCATTGAGAAAACAGAGGACTTGAACAACAGTATAGACCAATTGATCTGACAGATATATATAGAACACTACACCTAACAAGAGCAGAATACACATTTTTCTCTAGTGCACATGGAACATTCTCTAGGGTAGATCATATATTAGGACACAAAACAAGTCTTAATAAATTTTAAAAGTTTGAAATCATACAACTTAACTTTTCTGATCACAATTGAATGAAACTAGAGATCAATAGCAGAAGGAAAACTGAAAAAAACACAAATGTGGAAATTTGTATGTGAGAAATAAATAACACACTTTAAATAACCAATGGGTCAAAGAAGAAACCACAACTGAAATTAGAAAATATCTTGAGAAAAATAAAAACAAAACATGACATGTCAAAACTGTGGGTGCAGCAAAAGCAGTGGTAAGAGGAAAAATTATAGCTGTAAATGCTTAGAGTAGAAAAGAAGAAAGATCTCAAATCAACAATCTAACTTATACCTTAAGGAACTAGGAGAGGAAAAACAAACTAAACTCAAAGGTAGTAGAAGGAAGGAAATAATAAAGATTAGTGAAGAGATAAATAGAGAATAGAAAAACAATAGAGAAAATCAATGAAACTAAAGTTGGTTATTGGAAAAGATCAACAAAATCAGCAAATATTTAGCTGGATTGCATAAGAAAAAAAGAGAAGACTTAAATAACTAAAATCAGAAATGACAGAGGGTACATTAAAACTGATTTTGCAGAAATAAAAAAGGATTGTAAGAGAATACTATGAACGACTCTCAACAAATTGGATAACCTAGATGAAATGGGTAAATTCCTAGAAACACATGATCTGCAAGACTGATTCATGAAGAAATAGAAAAGCTGAACAAACCTATATCCATCAAGGAGAATGAATTAATAACAAAAAAGCTTCTAACAAAAAAAGAGCCCTGGACCAGATGTATTCTACCAAGAATTTAAGTAATGAATTAACACCAATCCTCCGCACATACTCCCCAATAAATTAAAAAGGAAGAAACACACTTTAACTCATTCTAAGTGGTATTACTTTGATACCAAAACCAGACAGAGACACTAAAAGGAAAGAAAACAACAGATCAATATCTCCAATGAATACTAATGCTAAAATCCTTAACAAAATACTAGTCAACAGAATTCAACAGCATATTAAAAGAATTATACATCTTGTTCAAGTGGGATTTATTCCTGGAATGCAAAGATAGTTCAATATATAAAAATCAATCAATGTTTTTTCATTTTACATCACATCAATAGAATGAAGGAAATAACCACAGGATTATTGCAATTGATCCAGAAAACATCTCAATTTTTGTTGAATTTGACAAAAGTCAGCACCCTTTCATGAGAAAAACACTCAACAAAGTAGGAATATAAGGGAACTACCTCAACATAATAAAAGCCATATATATATATATCATGCCTGTAATCCCAGCACTCTGGGAGGCTGAGGCAGGTGGATCACTTGAGGCCAGGAGTTCGAGACCAGCCTGGCCAATATGGCAAAACCCTGTCTCTACTAAAAATACAAAAATTAGCCAGGCGTGGTAGCACACGCCTGTAATCCCAGCTACTTGGTAGGATAAAACACGAGACTCACCTGAACCCAGGAGGTGGAGGTTGCAGTGAGTCAAGATCATGCCACTGCACTCCAGCCTGGGTGATACAGTAAGACTCTCTCAAAAAAAATAAAATTAGATTAAATTTTTTAAAAAAGCATATATGAAATACTCATAGGCAAACATAATACTCAATGGTGAAAGACTAAAAGCTTTTGCACTAAGATCAGGAACAGGATTTCTATTGAACATAATACTAGAAATCTTAGCCAGATAAATTAGACAAGAAAAAGAAAAGATGTCCAAATTGGAAAAGAAGAAGTAAAAATATACCTGTTTGGGCTGGGCGCAGTGGCTCACACCTGTAATCCCAGCACTTTGGGAGGCCCCAAGGTGGGTGGATCACCTGAGGTCAGGGGCTCAAGACCAGCCTGGCCAACATGGTGAAACCCCATCTCTACTAAAACTACAATGATTAGCTGCGCATGCTGGTGGGCACCTGTAATCCCAGCTACTTGGGAGGCTAAGGCAGAAGAATTGCTTGAACCCGGGAGGCGGAGGTTGCAGTGAGCTGAGATGGTGCCGTTGCACTCCAGCCTGGGCGACAAGAGTGAAACTCAGTCTAAAATATATATATATATATATATATTTTTTTTTTTGAAGAACTATTTGTATACCAATGCTCATAGCAGTATTATTCACAATAGCCAAAATGAGGAAGAAACTCAAGTGTCCAAGATGAATGGACAAACAAAATGTGCTATGTCCATATGATGGAATAAAGGAAGAAAATTCTGACACATGCTACAAGAGGAATGAATCTTGAAGACATTATGCTATAAGTGAAATTAGCCAGTCACAACAGGACAACACTGTAAGATTCCAATTATATGAGGTACCTCGAGTAGTCAAATCCATAGCAACAGGAAGTAGAATGACGGTTGCCAGGGGCTGGGGGCAGGAGGGAATGAGGAGTTGTTGTTTAATGGATACAGAATTTCAGATATGCAACTTGGAAAGAGTTCTGGAAACTGGCTGCACAATAATGTGAATGTACTTAACATGACTGAGCTGTACATTTATAAATGGCTAAGATGGTAAATTTTATGTTATATATATTTTACCACAATTCAACATTTTAAAAATGCTGGTGAAGATGTATAGAAAAATGGATCACTCATCTATTGCTGCGGGAATATAAAGTGGCACAGCCATTCTGGGATGCGGTTTGGCAGTTACCTATAAAACCAAACATGCAGCTACCATATGACCCAGCAATTGCACTCTTGGGCATTTATCTCGGAGAAATGAAAATTTATTTTTACACACAGCCCTGTGCATGAGTGTTCATAACAGCTTTATTTGTAATAGACCCAAAGTAGAAACAGCCCAGATATTCTTCAATAAGTGAAAGCCTAAACAAACTATGGAGCATCCATGTTATGGATACTCAGTCATGAAAAGAACAAACCATTCACACACACACAACAACTTGGATGAAATTTCAAGAGAATTATGCTGAGTGAAAAAAGTCAATTCCAAACGGGTACATACTGTCTAAATCCATTTATGTAACATCTTTGAAATGATAAAATTATAAAAATGGAGAGCAGATTAGTGGTTGCCAGGGTTAGGGAAAGGGTGGGAGGAAAGGGAGATGGAGCGGCTATTAAAAGGGATCCTTATGGGGATGGAAATAGCTGTGCCTTGATGAATCTATGTCAATATCTTGATTGTGATGTTGTACTACAGTTTTGCAAGATGTGATTATTGGGGGAAACTGGTGAAGGGTACATGAAAATCTCTGTATTACTACTAATATCTGCATTTGAATCTACAATTATCTCAAAATAAAAAAGTTTAATTTTAAAAAAGCAATAATAATAGATTATTATCTCTCCCTGTTTTCTGTGAGCATGGCAGCTACAGGTTGTCTTTGCTCCTGTGTGTCTGGGGTCTTAAGTGAAAAATGCTAAGGCAGGGGTGGGACCAACTGGAGGCCTCTTCCCGACCTATCTATCAGTAAGTTGGTGCTGGCTGCTGGCTGCTGGCTGGGACCCGAACTTGACTGTCAACCAGGACACCCACACATGGCTTCTCTGTGTTGCCTGGGCTTCCTCACAGCATGGTGGCTGGCTTCAAGTTCAAGTGTCCCAGTTAAAAAAACCAAGCCAATGGGAAGCAGTGTCATCATTTTTGACTGAGCCTCAGGAGTCACCCGGCAAATCCGCAGTCACAAAGTCTCCCCCAGACACAGGGGGAGGGAATTCTTACTTCTTCACGGGATTAGGCAAGGTTCTAGAAGGATAAATATTGTCATGGCCACTTTTGTAAAGAGTCAGCTTCCTCAAAGAAGGTCTTCCAAAGTGTAGAAAGTCCAGGCCTCAACACTCAGATCCTCCTTGAAATGCACTCTGAGAGACTAATGAGCTGTGATTTGAACCTGGGTCCCTTGGCCTAGGAGCCCCAAAAAGCTGGGGCAGTGTCTGGAGGCAGTCCCCTTCCTCCGCTTCCCTTCCTTTTCTGCATGGCTGGATGATTCGTTGGGCCCAACATGACCCAGTGGAGCCACCGTTACCAGCACGTGGTCAGGAGGAGGCTCAGGTGAGGGCCGGTACAGACTAAGCTGGAGCCCCAGATGCTGCCATTGCAGACACCTCCAGACTGTGGCCCTGGAACCAAGGGGCCTCAGCACAGGGAACTCAGAGGAAGGGCGTCGGGCAGGTATGAGGCCCCATCCCAGGCCATTTGGGAGTGGGGTAGACCAGGACTTCTTCAGATCAGAGGACTTCCCTCTTCCATCTGCTTTCCCTCAGGAAAAATGGCCTAGGGAAGATTTTTCAGCGGTTGACAGATGGGATCCATCCCTCCATCCACCCATCCAACACTCTGGGACCTGCTCGCCAGGATCCGGGATGATGGGAGCGGGAGACCAGCACAGATCAGCGCAAGGCCAAGCGGACACTTGGAAGCCCCCATTGTGGCCACCACACTCTAAGTGCCTGTACTCAGGACTGAGCTGATCTGTGTCGGGGCTGGAAGGGCAGAGGCAGGAGGGAGACCCTCCAAGGCTGGAAAGGTGGGTGCTGGAGCTCCAAGACTGTGGTGAGGGAAAGGCACTGCAACTGAGAGTGGGGCTTGGACGAGGGGATGTGGCTGAGGCCCTCACAAGGCTGCGGGTCCTCGCTGAAGTCCCTGGTTGGAGGCTGCAGCCTCAGGGAACGGGGTGGTGGAAACTCCCTCCACTGTCACAGAGAGATGGCCAGGAAGTAAGTCTCCACCTGAGGACTAGGGGAAAGCAACAAAGCCCAGCCTATGCCCCACACTGTACAGTTTTCTATTGCAGCACAGTGAATCACCACAATTTGGTGACATAGGCCAGACGAATTTATTATCTCAGAGTTTCTGTGGGTCAGGAGTCCAAGCACAGCTTAAAAAGACTCTCAGCTGGGCACGGTGGCTCACGCCTGTAATCCCAGCACTTTGGGAGGCTGAGGTGGGTGGATCACCTGAGGTCGGGAGTTCGAGACCAGCCTGAACAACATGAAGAAACCCCATCTCTACTAAAAATACAAAATTAGCAGGGTGTGGTGGCATGCACCTGTAATTCCAGCTACTTGGGAGGCTGAGGCAGGAGAATCGCTTGAACCCAGGAGGTGGAGGTTGTGGTGAGCCAAGATCACACCATTGTACTCCAGCCTGGGCAATAAGAGCGAAACTCCACAGTAAAAAAAAAAAAAAAAAAACTCTCTGCTTAGGGTCTCACCAGGCTGTAATCAAGTTTCCGTTCATTTATTTGGAGCTCCATGTTCTCTCTAAGCTCATTCAGGTTGCCCAGTTTGTAAGTTGCAAGATTCAGTTCTATCTTGCAGTTCCAAGACTCGGGTCCCCACTTTGTTGCTGGCTGTAGGCCACCCTGGGACTTGTCTCAGCTTCTGGAGACCATGCTTGGTCCTCGCGACATGGACTCTGTGTGCATCTACTCTGGGACTGCTATAAAGAAATACCGGAGGCTGGGTCATTTATAAAGAAAAGGGGTTTAATTGGCTCATGGTACTGCAGGCTGTACAGGAAGCATGATGCTGGCATCTGCTCGGCTTTGGGGAGGCCTCAGGAAACTTACAATCAGGGCAGAAGGTGAAGGGGAAGCAGATACGTCGTCTTACATGGCTGGAGCAGGAGCAAAAGAGGTGAGAGGGGAGGTGCTATCCACTTTTAAACAACTAGATCTGGTGAGGACCCACTATCATGAAGACAGCAACAAAGGGATGGTGTCAAACCATGAGAAACTGCCCCCATGATCCAATCACTTCCCACCAGGCCCCACCTCCAACACTGGGGATTACAATTCCACATGAGATTTGGGTGGGAACACAGATCCAAACCATATCAGACCCACAAGCAGTCTGCAACACGACAGTCTGCTGTCTTCTGGGCCACGTCTCCATGAAGCTTCACCTTCTTTCAAAGGCTCCTCTGGTTGGGCCAGGCCCACCCAGGATAACCTGGATAGTCTCCCTCTTGATTAATTCAATGTCAACTGACTTGTGACAATCACAGGAGTGACATCCTATCATAGTCACTGATTCTGCACACACTAAAGAGGAAGGAATTCTATAGGGAGTTCATACCAGGGGCAGGACTCTTGGGGCCATGCTAGAATCCCGCTTGCCACATATGGGTTTGGAGTCTGAATTTACACCTGTCGAATTGTGGAAATCTCCATGATTAACATCCATTAGGTCCCAGGCAGGAGATATCTTTGCAGTGCATGACAGAGGCAAATAGAAAAATTCTCACAGAAGGCTGGTCGTGGTGTCTCACGCCTGTAATCCCAGCACTTTGGGAGGATGAGGCGGGTGGATCACGACGTCAGGAGATCGAGACCATCCTGGCTAACACGGTGAAACCCTGTCTCAACTAAAAAATACAAAAAAATTAGCCGGGCGTGGTGGCAGGCGCCTGTAGTCCCAGCTACTCAGGAGGCTGAGGCAGGAGAATGGTGTGAACCTGGGAGGTGGAGCTTGCAGTGAGCCGAGATTGTGCCACTGCACTCCAGCCTGGGCGACAGAGCGAAGACTCCAGCTCAAAAAAAAAAAGAAAGAAAAATTCTCACAGGAAAAAAAAATTATATATATATATATATTATATATATATAAATTATATATATTATATATATTATATATATAAAAATTATATATATTATATATATTATATATATTATATATATAAATTATATATATAATATATATTATATATATTATATATATAAATTATATATATAATATATAAATTATATATAATATATATATTATATATATAAATTATATATATAATCACTGAAGATAACATCACAATAAAAAAATTGAACAGACACACGGAAACTCCATTCCCTGCATAAGCAAGTCAGCAGGCAAAATGAATAGGAGCATTGGGATCCATCCCAGGACCTGCAGACCTCTCCTCCTCAACAGGTGTGTGTAATATAGGTTTCCTACCGTGTACTTGGCTGTTGATCTAGATATTGCTTAAAAGGACAGTGAGATTGCATGAAAACCACCACCTACAAAGATGATGAAAATTTTCATTATGAAATTTTGTATTTCATTAAGTTTTAAGATATTTTGTAATGTTTTCCACATGAATGAAACTTTATCATATGTGACCCATTGCACTATTTGATCATATTATGTACAATTTGGGATTAATTTTCAAACCTAAGTATTGCTTTAAGAATTTGAGTAATGAGGCCGGGCACAGTGGCTCACATCTGTAATCCCAGCACTTTGGGAGGCTGAGGCGGGAGGATCACACTTGAGGCCAGGAGTTCGAGAGCAGCCTGGCCAATATGGTGAAACCCTGTTCCTACTAAAAATACAAAAATTAGCCAGCCAGGTGTGGTGGCACACACCTGTAATCCCAGCTACTCAGGAGGCTGGGAGAATCATTTGAACTTGGTAGGCAGAGGTTGCAGTGAACCAGGGTCATGCCACTGCACTCCAGGCTGGGCTGGGCATTTTTTTTTTTTTCTGGAAAAAAAAGAAAAGAAAAGAAAAGAATTCGAGTAATGATTCCAGTTGCTACCACCTCATCAGAGCAAAGTTTCTCTAAATTGAATTTAAATATATTTAAATATATATATAACAACTATTTTGTTGATTCAGGAAAGGTGTAACTTGGCTTTCCTATCATTTGAACATAAATCTATGAAAATCTCATTATCTCAACATAATCAGTGATTTTGCTAAAGCAAAGGCAGGAAAAATAAATTTTACAGAATAAATAACAGTTTATGAAGTATGACTTTATTATTCATGCAAACAACACCAACCCATCAACATCACACCCAGACATGAACAATAATTAAATTCAGCCATCTATGATATTTTGCCACGTTTCAATCATATAAAAACTGTAACTTTATACATATTAGTTTGATTTATGACCTTTACTTTTTTTTTTTTTTTTTTTGGTAGAGATGGGGTCTCCTCATGTTGGCCAGACTGGTCTAGAACTCCTGACTTCAAGTGATCCGCCCTCTTCAGCCTCCCAGAGTGGTGGGATTACCTTTCTTTTTTTCTTTTTTTTTTTTTTTTTTTTTTGAGACAGAGTCTCCCTCTGTCCCCCAGGCTGGAGTGCAGTGGCGCAATCTTGGCTCACTGCAAGCTCTGCTTCCCGGGTTCACACCATTCTCCTGCCTCAGCCTCCCGAGTAGCTGGGACTACAGGTGCCCGCCACCACGCCCGGCTAATTTTTTGTATTTTTAGTAGAGGCAGGGTTTCACCGTGTTAGCCAAGATGGTCTCGATTTCCTGACCTCGTGATCCGCCCGCCTCGGCCTCCCAAAGTGCTGGGATTACTGGCGTCAGCCTCTGCGCCTGGCCGAGTGGTGGTATTACTGCAGGTGTGAGCCACCACACCTGACTATGATTTTTACATGTTTAGACATGTGGTCAGAGGGCCCTGGACACTGTCACTCTAAGAGGGTCGCTGGGAAAAAGGCCAAGCCTGGGGATCACAGCAGAGGACACACCTGGAGCAGCTGGGTCTGAGGGACTGGGCTCCCCTCTGAGGTCACGGTGCCCTTGCAGGGAGGGCCAGGCCAGCAGCAAAGACACACATCTCCAGGTTCTGTTGGACCAGGCCTCAATGGCGCCGCCACGTGGCAGCGTGGAGCAATGTCAGGAACCTGCTCTTCCCACACCAAGAAAACTTTGCACCAAGTCCCCAGGGATTTTTTTGGATTGATTGATTGATTTCTTGAGAATTCAAGGCAAGAGGGGACTGCCAGGGGAAGATATGGGGCTTTCTATTTTTAAGGCCAGTGAATACCAGAATGATTAATTTCAAAGATAATTTGCATTCTGAGTTTGTGGAGCGACACACCAAGAAGTAGATTGTTTTGTGCACAGCAGCTGGGAGCAGGTGGCATAGAGGTTAAACCAGGGAACCTGGACCAGACCTGTGCTTATGTGCTGGCTCCATTACTGGTTAGTCGTGTGATGCCAGGCAAGTTCTGTGGTCTCTCCAAGTCTGTCTTCCCCCAAGTCAATGGGAGTCGTGGGCAGCCTCAAAGCCCCAGAGATGCTGTGATTGATTGAGACAAACTTTGCTTGGCTCCTGCACTCAGTACGGGCTCTACCAATGTAGCTCTCTTTCCCTTCTCCTTCTTCTATCCCTAACCTCCCCCTCCTCCTCCTCCCTCGTAGATGGCAATCCTTGAGTGCTTGTTGGGTGAGTTAATGAATTTGGATGCAAGCCACCAAGGGCGATGGACTTGATCGGTTTCTCCAATCATCCTCGAATTGCCTGGATTCCTACCACACTCCGCCTTCCCCTCCTTAGTCAAGTGTGTTGGACTTTTCTGTCTTTGAGTACCCAGCACACTGTTCCCCAGCTGAGGGCCTCCTGTCTCAGTTTACAGAGAAAACAGAGGAATCGGGCACTTGCCTTCCTTCCCCCATCTTGCTGTCAGCCAGCATCCCTTCTCCTCTGCTTCCATGGGGCCAGCCCTGCCTTGTCCCTTCAGCTCACCATGTCTAAGAACTTCACTCCTGCAATTACCCTCCTCTCACAGTTGGGTTACCAAGTCATGTTACATATCTCCACTCTTTCTTTTCTTTTCTTTCTCTTTCTTTCTTTCTTTTTCTTTCTCTCTTTCTTTTCTCTTTCTTTTCTTCTTTCTTTCTCTCTTTCCTTCTCTTTCTTTCTTTCTTTTTCTTTCTTCCTTTTTCCTCTCTCCCTCCCTCTCTCCTTTCTTTCTTTTTCCTCTCTCCTTCCCTCTCTCCTTCCTTCCTTCCTTTCTTTCTTTCTTTCTTTCTTTCTTTCTTTCTTTCTTTCTTTCTTTCTTTCTTTCTTCCTTCCTTCCTTTCCTTCCTTCCTTCCTTCCTTCTTTATTTCTGTCAGGCCTCTGAGCCCAAGCTAAGCCATCATATCCCTTGTGACCTGCACATACATATCCAGATGGCCTGAAGCAACTGAAGAGCCACAAAAGAAGTGAAATAGCCTTAACTGATGACATTCCACCATTGTGATTTGTTTCTGCGCACCCTAACTGATCAATGTACTTTGTAATTTCCCCCACCCTTAAGAAGTTTCTTTGTAATTCTCCCCACCCTTGAGAATTTACTTTGTGAGATCCACCCCTTGCTCACAAAACATTGCTCCTAACTCCACCGCCTATCCCAAAACCTATAAGAACTAGTGACAATCCCATCACCCTTTGCTGACTCTCTTTTCGGACTCAGCCTCCCTGCACCCAGGTGAAATAAACAGCCTTGTTGCTCACGCAAAGCCTGTTTGCTGGTCTCTTCACATGGACACATGAGACTCCTTCTTTTCTTTTCTTTTCTTTTCTTTTCTTTTCTTTTCCTTTCTTTCTTTCTTTCTTTCTCTCTCTCCTTCCTTCCTCTTTCTTTCTTTCTTTCTTTCTCTCCTTCCTTCCTCTTTCTTTCTTCTTTCTTTCTTTCTTTTTTCTTTCTTTTTTTGACAGTCTCACTCTGTCACCCAGGCTGAAGTGCAGTGGCACGATCTCGGCTCACTGAAGTTTCTGCTTCCCTGGTTCAAGCGATTATCCTGCCTCAGACTCCCGAGTAGCTGGGATTACAGGCATGTGCCTCCATGCCTGGCTAATTTTTTTTTTTTTTTTTTTTTTTTTTGTATTTTTAGTACAGATGGAGTTTCACTATGTTGGACAGGCTGGTCTTGAACTCCTGACCTCTGGTGATCCACCTGCCTTGGCCTCCCAGAGTGCTGGGATTACAGGCATGAGCCACTGTGCCTGGCCTCCGCTCACTTCCAAACTTGCTCCAAGTCTTCAACGTTTCAAACAAAACAGCAGTGGTGCCCAGGCTCTCTGGAAGCCAGGCCATCCTCCCAAGTTGGCCCACTCCTCCACCCCTTCCTGCTCGCTTGCCCTGCCCTGCTGCCTTCCCGTCCTTCTTTTCTCCACTGCTTTGTGTGAGCTTCTGAAGTCTCCTGTCCCTAGAAACTGCCCTTTGTCAAGGTCATGAATAAGCCCTGGGGCCAAATCAAGGGGTGGAAAATGGAGACAGGCAAGGGAGGCAGAGCTCAGGGAAGAGGGAGAGGGAGTGGCCTTGTGAGTGTGGACTGAGCTCAAATTCTAGCCAGGGCCTTCCAGGAGACCTTGGTCTTCCCACTGGTCTTCCTCCTTTCTTGACCTCTCACAGCCTCATCCCCCACCCATTGACTCCAAACCCGTGTCTGTGACACCCTTGTTTCAACTTCTTGTCCTTGTGTCAGGGACCCAGGAGTCCCCGAACTGGAGACGTTACTGAACTTGTGATGGACTTTCCTAACTGGCTGCAAGGAGCCTCTGGTGGGGAGGGTGTCCTGGGGGGGGAAACGATGTGGAGGGAATATCATTAGCTCCCCATGGCCCCTCACTTTCCTGGCAGAGACTCCAAGGACGGGGTGCAGCAGCAAGTCTCATCCCCTCCACGCTGTGGCTGGTCCTCAGGGCCAGGGCACCCTGCCCTTGAGACCTCTTCCCACGTGTCAGCTCATCCTGGAACACCCAGAAGCAAAACAGGATCAGGCTTCTTGGAGTTTTCTTTCCAGTAAGGAGCTGGTCACTGACCAGCAGTGCACACTGAGCAGAAATTGCCATTGGTTTCTTTTTTAGGGATAGAGAGAGCAAGTGTGTGTGTATGTGTGTGTGTGTGTGTGTGTGTGTGTTGTAATCAGTGAATCAAAAAGATTCAAAGAGGAGAGAGTAGTGACTCCACCAGAGCTCAGAAAGAGGAGGAGGAAGAGGAGGAGGTAGCGGTGGCCATGGCCCAGCTTGTCAAGGAGCCGGCTGGTGCTCCTGAATCACGGAGGGCCTCCCATCCACCCACGCCGTCACCAGCAGGTGGGGACCGTCAGCCACTTTCTGGCAAATCTCAGCAAGTCAGCACGGCAAGTTGAAAGAAGGAGCCAGTACCTCTCCAGGACAGCCTTCCCTCCAGGGCCTGCTGGGGAAGAAGGAGCCTGGGAGCTGACTTCAGGCAGCGAAGTAGTAGGCTTGCAGGGCGGGAGAAGGCCCTGAAGCCCTGGCTCAGCCCTGGCGAGTCGGGCTCCACGGGGTGCTTGTCCTGGGCCTCGGCTTCCACATACAGGAGGTGCTGGCTGTGCCGCCTGACCCCTGAGCCGCGGGGATTAGATGACTTGCCCCGGGTCCTATTACTGGGACTTTTCAGAACCCAGCGGGACCCCGGGCCTCAGACCTGGCTGCTCTTCTGGGCACCAAGCACTGCCACTTCTCTCACGTTCTGACTGCCCCAGGCCCCTTCTCTTTTGGGACCAGTGCTGTTGAGCCTCCGAGGGTCCAGGAACCGGGTGTGGTGAGGTGCAGGGGTCCTGACTATGGGTCTGACTCTGGATGGCGGCAGGACAGCATTCCTGGGCCCAATCCCCTTCCCCTGCCTGCCTGCTCTGTCCCTGCTCCAGCTTGCGCGCCTCCACCCCCTGCTATCCCCTACTTTTAGCTGTCCTCTCACCCTCTCCACCCTGCCCCAGATCCTCCCTCACACACACAGGTTCTAGGCTGGCGGCTGGTTTGGTTGTCTCCCCCATGCTCTTGGAACCCCTAGGTGCCAGGTTATCATATCCGACCAAGAACAAAATCCACCCAGCAGTGAGCTGTGAGCACTTTCTGTTTGGTTGCTGAAGCATGAATTTGTTAGAAATAACGGCGGCTGACACCACAGTACGGCCCCTCAGCCACTCCTCCTACACGGTGGAACCTTCTGGAAGGCTGGATATGAGCTACGCCTGCCTCTTTTCTTGGTTCCTCCTGCTGCCCCCAAGAGCTGACTGCCTCTGGGGCTCACCCTTGGGTCAGAGCTGATGCCCTGAGGTTCAGGTATTGGCCCTGTCATTCTGGGAGCAGGTGTTTTCTTCCCACGCATCTGTCTGTCCCAGTTGCTCCAGGTCCACAGCCATGAGCAGAGCCATGACAGGGGCCGCTGCTGTCCATGAGAAGCACAGAACTTCTGGCTGGGGGTTGCCTCTTCCCTTCCAGGTATTAATTATAATAACTGAAATGTGCTTAACGCATGCTGGCCTCTACTTAAGCACTTTACATATATTAATCCATGCAATCATGCTACAAAATGGATGCCACTATCATTCCCATTCTACAGATGAGAAAACATAGGCTCAGTGCAACTGTCTAACTTGCCAGGGTTACCCATCCATCCAGAGATCAGCAGAACTGGGCCACCCAACTGGCTGGCCTGAGTCTTGTCTTCTATCTGCCTCTCAGGATGGCCATCCATCCACATGACCATGTGGCTTTCAAAGAACCTGGAAAAAGACACCTGTTCCAGGTGGAACAGGCACTATCTGCCTGTTCATGTGGGCATAAGCAGCCCACCTGTGGGGACTGCTTGGTTCTCCAGCCTTCCACACATCCAGTGCCCACGATATGCCCATATACCATATACTGTAAAGTGCTTGGGGAAAACCTTATTCTTGGGCCCCTGGCAAGGTCCTTGCCTGACTTCTCCTTAGGATGGGTGAGGGGAAGTAGCCTGGAGGGTCTACGTCCTGGCCTGGGGTGGAGATGTCACCTGGACTCTTGGCAGTGGGGGTTTCCACCCCCAGGATAAGCTTACTACCTGAGTCCTATAGGTTGCAAGTATGCTTATGATTTTCCTCTCAACCTCACATAACATTATGTAGGCTTTGGAGTCCAGAACCTGCTAACAGTTGAAAGAGCCACGTTGCAAGTAACTGTGCGGACTTATCCTGACCTTATGCAACAGATTCTACCGTGAATATGGAATAATGTGGAGTCACTCAGCAAATGCGCCCTGAAGGCCCACTGGGCATTGGAGAAGCAAAGGTGAGCAAGAGAGACACAAAACCCTGTCCTCGGGTTGCTTGGAGTCTAACAGGGCATTGAGCACCATGAGGGCCACGCTGTTTTGAGGACACACTCTGGACATTATTCATGAATAGCTTGGTTTATTACTGAGAAAAGTATACAGTGTAGGGTTCCCCTGCCTCTCTGGCTGTTTGTCAAGACAGTGAACAGCCGCCGGGCCTCCTTTTCAACAAACCAGCCAGCGCTGTGATGAACTCCGCCCCACGTGCACCTGGGCAAGGCTCTGTCACGAGGTTCTCTCCATCACTGTGTGGCTAGGCAGGACAGAAGGAGGGAGAGAAAGCAGCCATGCCTGGGTTCTCCCAAACCTTTGACATGCCCGGGTTCTCCCCAGCCTTTGATGTGGCAGAAAACAGCTCTCTGTAAGGCAGACAGCTGCACAGACAGAAAGCCCTGCTATTTGTCAGGGGCTGCCATAGACTGAGGCTGCACACTGAGAACCCTGTGTTCTGAATGCTGGCGCAGGCCTTAGGGGGATGCAACCCCACCTTCCTCTGGCTCGGGACCCCAAAATATGGGCTGGGCATGGGTGAGAGAAAGGATACTCTTTCATTGCCCACCTCCACCCCTGTTCCCCACGAAACAGATGGAAGATCAGCAGACTCGAGGGATCTGCTGGGCAATGAGCTTTTCTGCCTCAGTGGGTTTTCGCTGGAGTCTGGGGAATGGAGCATCCCTTGCAGGGATGGAGAGGACTCAGATTCAGGAAGCAGGGACATGGAAATGGCCCTATGGTGCCATTCAAACCGAGGCAAAGGCCAAGGGGGATGTAGGCTTCCCTGCCTATTGTCTCAGCGTCACCCTAACACAGCGGAGAGGGCACTCACTGTTTGTCTCCAGAAAACCAGACCCCTGTGAGGTCAAGTGGCCCATCCAAGGTCAGTGCCCTGCTTGCTTACTCGTGATCCTCTCTGTACTAGTCAGGGTTCTCCAGAGAGACAGGGCTAATGGAATATAGATATATAGACGTAGATCTGTAGAAAAAAGAGACAGAATGTATTAGGGGAATTGGCTCACACAATTATGGAGGCTAAGAAGTCCCATGACAGACCATCGACATGCTGGAGACCCTGGGACGCTAGTGGCGTGGCTCAGTGCAAATCTGAAGACCTAAGAACCTTGGTGGGCTGCTGGTGTAAGTCCTGGAGTCCTACGTCAGGAAAGCCTTGAGTTTTTATGTCCAAGGGCAGGAGAACAGTGTATTCCAGCTCTAGGAGAGACAGCAACCAATTTATCTTTTCTGTTTGTTCTATTCGGGCCTTCATCCAATTGGATGGCACCCACACACATCGAGGGCAGATCTTCCCCCCCTCGTCCACTCAAACTCATGCCAATCTCCTCTGCAAACACCCTCACAGGCATGCCCCAAAATAATGCTTAACCAGTTCTCTAGGTATTCTTTAATCCAGCCAAATGGACACCTGACGTTAACCATCACACGGTGTCGTCTATGTCAAGTTCACTAAGGAGGATAAATCATCCTACAGTATGCATCAGAAAGGTGTTTGGGGAAAACCGGACTTGTTGGAAGGAACTGTGGGCTCATCCAAGGGTTTGCCAGTGTAGCAAGTGAGTTGTGCTCTTCACGCTGGGTTGTTGGCACTCGCTGGTCTCCCTCCCACTGCTGCTAACCTGGGATCCTCCAACCCTTGATGACGATGCCACTCAGGGGTCTGCTGGGCCACTCTCCCTGTGATATTCACAAGTGGGGACTTGAACCCCTGACTGGTGATTTGTGGGGGGCTTGCCGCTGTAGGATCCTCTTTCCACCCCTCTGAGTGGACGAGAAGGAGCAGGACAGGGAGCTGGCATTGTGTCCCTGGTGGCTCCTTCCAGGTGGGCAGCGGGGAAGGGCTGCCCAGCCAGTCAGGGCAAGTGGGAGCTCAGGGCTGGGTTGATGGCCAAGGCTGTGAGGCTCAGAGCAGATGCCTTGAGCCTTCCTGCATGAGCCCTTGGGCCAGATGGAGTAGGTAAGCAAGGATCTCAGTCACACAAGGTAGTGTCCACCATGACTTCTGCCTCCTGTCAGCCACCCTCCCTCCAAGCCAGGTCTGCTGCTGGTAATCAAAAGAAGTAGGGTTTGTCAGAATTTCTGTTTGTGGGGCATAAACTTGTAGCACTACCACAGCAAAAGCATTTGTGTGTGCAGTTGTGTTCTTCATACATTTCATCTTATCACATTATGTTTTAGTGTCTCAGATACATCTGGTCCTGATGTCTGATGGCTCCAGTTAAAAGCATGCAAAACTGCCACCAAAGCAGTGAAATGCAGATAACAGTGACAAACGGATTAAGAGGCATTATCACTTCAAAGTGTGTTTAATTAAGATGAATCTCTGTACAAGAAAACCTGAAAATGCCTGGAAACCTTACAGCTCATATAGAGAAAAAAACATATTAGAAAAGGTCCCAGCCAGGTGCAGTGGCTCACACCTGTAATCCCAGCACTTAGGGAGGCCGAGGAGGGCGGATCACAAGGTCAGGAGATTGAGACCATCCGGGCTAACACGGTGAAACCCCGTCTCTACTAAAAATACAAAAAATTAGCTGGGCGTGGTGGCAGGCGCCTGTAGTCCCAGCTACTTGGGAGGCTGAGGCAGGAGAATGGCGTAAACCCAGAAGGTGGAGCTTGCAGTGAGCTGAGATAGTGCCACTGCACTCCAGCCTGGGTGACAGAGTGAGACTCTGTCTCAAAAAAGAAAAGAAAAGGTCCCAAATTTGAGTCTTAAAAATGTACATGATATTACTAATAATGGATTGTGAAGCTGAAAGTTTTCTAAACTTTTAATTAAATTTATTATTTTGATGCTAGACTATCAATTGAACTACGTCCTGGAGGCTGTCACTTGTTTTTGTAAATACAGTTTTGTTGGAACACAGCCATGCTCATTCATTTACAAATTGTCTATGGTCACTTTCCTGCTACAATGGCGGATATGGGTACTTAATACATAGGCTTGGTCCCCAAAGCCTGAAATATTTGCTTTGGTCCTTTACAGAAGAAGCTTCTGGCCCCCTGTGCCAGATAAAAGATTAAATTACCCTTTTATGTGTTGTATAGGAAATATGACCAAAAAAACCTGCCATATAAAGGATGACTAAAGAATTTGTAGCCAAAAATGTAGGAAAACACGTATTATATAATTATGTCAGGCAGTTAGCTATAAAAAGATGTTATGTTATATTTCTGTACTTTATGATGTTTGTGATGGTTTTCAGCTCTTTAAAATTTGTAAGGTTTATTATTTTCTCATTCTAAATATTTGCTTTTATACCTAATTTTTTATTTTCCAAATTTTTAATTCTTAAAGGAGTCTTATGACTGTATAATCTCCAGACCTCACAAAACTTGGATCCACACCTAGCCATTAAGAACTAATATACTACATTTGCATTTTAGAGAATAATTCCTATACTGCATGCAAGAAATTGGTGTATCTCAATTTAACTTGCTTGCAAAGACTTCAGAGTCTTATTGCACAAACAACAGTATCTAAGAGAATAAAAGTCAGCGAAGCCTTAAAGGAGCTGATCAAGTGACAGTATGATGACAATAAAATCACAACAGGGTGTGGCTGCTCACACCAAAGCAAGGGGGTCCGTGGGACTGTCAAAACTGCCCTAGTTTCTATTATAAAAAGCCCCCTCCCTTTGCCAATTACAAAATGAGCAGCCTGCCCTGCCCTCTCTCATTCCCGTTGCAATGGGCATGGCAATGCCAAGGGGGCATCCTCCCTTCACATTTGTGCAGGGCAAGAACCAAATTCCTTGATTCTTGGAGCTCCAGAACTCCAAACAGTGAGGGGCCTATAAGGTACCCCCAGCATGGTCCCTTCCCGTGGACCTCAAAGGAAGAGCGTGATCCTCTCTGACAGGATGCCACTGACTGCAAGCCACAGAATGTCTGGTCATCAGTGGTATCTGTGATAATGACTCTGAGGGACGCCCCTTTGCCAAGGCTCAGGAATGCTCCCACGGGCTGCCGGGCCTATTCAGCATGTCTGGGGTTTGGGGTTTCTCCCTCATAAATCACGGAGGGCTGCTCCCACCCCCAGCACTTCACACCGCACAGGGCCCCAGCAGGAGGGAAAGTGTGCTTTTTCCTCACCACCTGGAAAAGCTCTCACTGTAACACTCCCCTTCCTGCTCACTGCATCACATGCCCACCCTGAGCCAGTCACAGGAAAGCCCAACACCAAGCCAATCCCGATTCCCCGGGCGTCCTGGGCACACATCATTAAAGAAAAAGGCAATGGTGTGGAAACAGGTAACCCTCAGTGTCATGTTTCGTAGGCTCCAGGTACAAACCATTCCCATGGAAAGACTAAGCCTCTACAAAGGATTTGGCCCAGTCAGCGTAACCCTGGGGAATCTTGAAAATATCTCAAGCTGGTCCATAGGACACGGAGGTCACTGCCCCAGCTCTGGGTGGGTTTCTGAGTGTGGACCTGGATGGCTCCCAAGGCTCTTTGGGGATGCTCAGATAGTATCTCCAGCAGCACCTGCAAGTCAGCAGAAGATGAGGGAGCTTCCGGAAGCATATAGACCTAGATGCTAAGATCAAACCCCAGACCACAGAGAACCTACCACAGCAGAGAGTGGCACTGTTTAGATCTTCTGACTTCCACTGTCACCTGCCTTAGAGACAGGTGAATGCCAGGAGAGGTTAGCTGCTGATGCCTGAGAAATCTATCAAAGGAAAAGGTGGGCTTGTCCCAGGAAGCCTAGGGCATGATTCTCTAAACAGCAGGCAGAATTACAGAATCTTGGTGCCAAAGGAACCTTCAGAATTAACTAATCCAGGGTTTGTCAAGTTTTTTTGATGACGAACAAATAGATTGCACTATGCTATGGTTCGAATGTCTCCTCCAAAACTCATGTTGAAATTTCATTGCCATTGTAACAGTATTAAGAAGTGGGACCATTGAGGGGTGATTAGGTCATGAGGACTTTGCTCTTATAAATGGATTAAATGCCACAGAAAGGAGGAGTTCAGTCCTTGCTCTCATTCTGGCTCTTTCTTTGCCCTTCCTCTAGGGGGTGATGCAGCAAGAAGGCCCTCACCAGATGTCAGTCCTTTGATCTTGGACTTCCCAGCCTCCAGAATCATGAGCCAATAAATTTTTGTTCATTACAAATTACCCCACCAGGCTGGGTGCAGTGGCTCATGCCTGTAATCCCAGCACTTCTGGAGGCTGAGGCAGGCAGATTACCTGAGGTCAGGAGTTTGAGACCAGCCTGACCAACATGGTGAAACCCTGTCTCTACTAAAAATACAAAATTAGCTGGGCCTGGTGGCAGATGCCTGTTGTCCCAGCTACTCAGGAGGCTGAGGCAGGAGAAGTGCTTGAACCTCCAGGAGGCGGAGGTTGCAGTTAACTGAGATTGCACCATTGCATTCCAACCTGGGCAACAGAGCGAGACTCTGTCTCAATGAATAAATAAATAAGTAACCCCACCTGTGATATTATTATGTTATAGCAGCACAAAACACATCAAGATGCACTGTAAAAGAGTACATACACCGGGCATGGTGGCTCACGCCTATAATCCCAGCACTTTGGGAGGCCGAGGCAGGTGGATCATCTAAGGTCAGGAGTTTGAGACCAGCCTGACCAACATGGTGAAACCCCATCTCTACTAAAAATACAAAATTAGCTGGGCCTGGTGGCTCATGCCTGTAATCCCAGCTACTCAGGAGGCTGAGGCAGGAGAATCGCTTGAACCCGGGAGGCAGAGGTTGCAGTGAGCCAAGATCACGCCACTGCACTCCAGCCTGGGCGACAGAGCAAAACTCTGTTAAAAAAAAAAAAAAAAGTACATACACAGGTATATAAAACTAAACAATGGTTACACACAAACAATACTTACTCTTTTATTCTATTTCATTTACACTTTAAGCACCATTAAAACAATTTCAAACCCATGGTGGGTAGCAACGCACAATGTGGACACTCCTCTTCCCACCCTGGTGATCCCCACAACAGACCACTGGATGTCCGTAAGAAAGAAGTGCTCCTGATGCCTAAGGAAGTGCTCTTGCAATGCAGTTTCAAGTGAGAAAAGGAGGGTACAGAAAAGGGGAGTAGGGAAGCGTGGGGGCCTGGGATAGAAGCCAGGTTCCTCTGATCACACTTTGTCTTATAGATTGGACTTTGAAATCATGTAAATGTTTTACATAACTATAAAACAAAATTAAGCCAAAAGGAAAAAGAAAGCAATTTCAAGGTCAAAAGTAACATGACAGACATAAAGGTATGAATCTACTTGGTAGCTTAACCCACGGAGAAAAATGGTTTCCAGGGCCCTTTAACACAAGGCTTTGTGTAATTGGGTGCTTCATCCCTAGTGAGATGTATCCTAAGGGCAAAAAGAACTGCAAAGACCAAAAAATCTTAAACTGTCTTTAGTAATCACATTGTTGGTACTAATTTTCATATTATTGTCCTGAAATTATTATTCTGTTAGTTCTGAAGCTGTAATTCTCCAAGACATAGAAACAATGACTAATTTAGTCACAAATAACTCTCCTCAACCCTCCAACCCCACCCAGTGCCCAGACTGTGGTCTCTAAATTGCATTTTCCACTGAAAGAAGCCATGCTCTCAGAGAAATGCCTAACTAACTCCCAGTGCAGGGCAAGAAATGGACAACGTGAGCCTTGGAAAGACTCCTTAGAGTGAGTAAAAAGGACTCAAGAGCCAGCTTGAAGAGCCTCATTGGCCAAAGATGGGAGAGTTTGAACATTAAAAAGAATAAAACCTGAAGTATTCAGAAACATTTCAAATGTGAAAACAAAAGAAAACCAAAACCAAATATGGCTTCATCATAATGCTCAAACGAAACAAAAGGAAGCAATCTTAATTGATCACTTTTGGAGAATGCTGGAAAGTCAAAATATTTTCTGAAAACTGGTATATAACGGGGAAGAATGGGGACTTTTCTTGCCTTTTGTATATAAACAGTACCCCAGGAGAGCCAAACTGTGGATGAGCTAATCCATGCAGAGGAATGATAGAATTAGAAAATTCCACATTGAATTCCCCACTGGAATATCGGATGAAGGTCATGATTATCAAGGGCTAAAACCCCTCAACAAAAAGCTGATGGGTCGGCCGGGCGCGGTGGCTCAAGCCTGTAATCCCAGCACTTTGGGAGGCTGAGGCGGGTGGATCACCTGAGGTCAGGAGTTCAAGACCAGCCTGACCAACATGATGAAACCCCATCTCTACTAAAAATACAAAAATTAGCTGGGTATGGTGGCAGGTGCCTGTAATCCCAGCTACTTGGGAGGCTGAGGCAGGAGAATCACATGAATCTGGAGGCGGAGGTTGCAGTGAGCCAAAATCATGCGATTGCATTCCAGCCTGGGTGACACAGTGAGATTCCATCTCAAAAAAAAAAAAAAAAAAAAAAAAAAAGCTGATGGGTCAGGCTGAAAACACCCGAACCCTATAGTATATCCTACCATCACTAAAAGAGATACAACCAGACATTATGTGTGTGCTGGTGGAAATGCCTAACATCATCTATGAAACATTTCCAAAAACCTACACTGAAATCTGATGGGTCCTCCACATCTAATCCCCTAAATATATCAGGAAATGCAGAGATGGAAGAACATGTTAAACAGAAACGGGGGTGCAAACAACATAATCCAGAATGTGAGACATTCTTCAGGAAAAACAACCTAGGTTCTTCAATAAAGTACCATAACATTCAAAAGAGAGAGAGGCCCGGGTGAGGTGGTTCACGCCTGTAATCCCAGCACTTTGGGAGGCTGAGGTAGGCAGATCACCTGAGGTCAGGAGTTCAAGACCAGCCTAGCCAACATGACAAAACCCTGTCTCTAATAAAAAAAATAAAAATTAGCCTGACATAGTGGTGCATGCCTGTAGTTCCAGCTACTCAGGAGGCTGAGGCTAGAGCACTGCTTGAATCCAGGAGGTGGAGGTTGCAATGAGCTTAAATCTCACCACTGCACTCCAGCCTGGGCAACAGAGTGAGACCCTGTCTCAAAAACAATAAAATAAAATAATAGAGAGAGAGAACAGAGGATCTGTAGATTTAAAGAGACTTAAGGGACATATCCAAATGCAGTGTGTAGGTTTATTTGAACCCTGATTCAAACAACTATAAAAAATAACAAAACAGAAACATTTATGTGTCAATTAGGGAAATGTAAACACCAAGTGGATATTGTCAATATTTAAAGATTTATGGTTAATTTAGTATGCTGTGATAATGGAATTGTGGTTATGTTTTTAAAAAGGGTGTATGGGAGGGAGTTTTTATATTTTAGAAGCATATTCTCTTGATACATTGCTACAGTAATGGCCCCCAGTGGATTACTCCTCATTTCTATGCCCTTATGATTCTCCTTCCCACATTAATGCTGGGCTTGGTTATGTGACTTGTTTTGGCTAATAGGATATTAGCAAACATGATGCAGGCAGAGACTTGAAAAGTGCTTGCACATTTGGGCTTGCCCTCTCTCGGAAAGCTGCCACCATGAAAGCTTGCCGAAGCTAGCCTGCTGGAGAGGCCACTTGGAGAACTGAGGCACCTTAGCTAACTACCCAAACATGTGAGTGAGGCCATCAAAGACTGTCCAGCTCCAACCAAGTCACCAGCTGACTGCATCCAAATGGCAGAGCCCAGACAAAACCAACAGAAGAACCATCCTGCTGATCCCAGCCCAAATTGTTGACCCACAGAATTACGATCCAATAAATGATTGCTATTTCAAGCCACTAGACAAAGCCACTAGATAAGAAATGTAATTCTGTAATATGTACAAATGAAACTACAGATGTCTGGGGATTTGCTTAAAATAAAGCCAGGGGTAAAGTGAGTGGAAATACACACACACGAAACAAGATTGATTATTTGCTGATAATTGTTGAAGCTGGTGAGGAGTATGTGAGGGCTAATTTTACAACTCTCTCTGCCTTTGGTTTTGTTTGAGAGGGAAAATTTCCATAATGAAAAGATAAAACAGGCTGGGTGTGGTAGCTCATGCCTGTAATCCCAACACTTCAGGAGGCCAAGGCAGGCAGATCACTTGAGGCCAGGAATTCGACACCAGCCTGGCCAACATGGCAAATCCCTGTGTCTACTAAAAATACAAAAAATTAGCCAGGCATGGTGGTTCACGCCTGTAGTACCAGCTACTTGAGTGGCTGAGGTGGGAGGATCGCTTGAGCCCTGGAGGTTGAGGCTGCAGTGAGCCGTGATCACGCTGCTGTACTCCAGCCTGGGTGACAGAGCAAGATCTTGTAGAAAGAAAGAAAGAGAGAAAGAGAGAGAGAAAGGAGAGAAGGAGAGAGAAAAAGAGAGAGAAAGGGAGGGAGGGAGGGAAGACAGGGAGGGAGGGAGGAAGGAAGGAAGGAGAAGGAAAGAAAGAAAAGAAAGAAAGAGAGAAAAAGAAAGAAGAGAAAGAAAGGAAGAAATAAAGAGAAAGAAAGGAAGGAAGGGAGGGAGAGAAGGGGAGAGAGGAAGGGAAGAGGAATTACTCTTCTGCCCACTGACAGATAAAGCAATCGAAACCCAAAGAAGGAAAGTGAGTCCTGTGATGTAACACAGCCAAGTCACAGCAGAGTTCATTGCTGAACTAGAGCTTCCCCGCTGGCTCCTGGGCCAAGCCCTTTCTATTCCCCCCCATGCTCATAGGCAGGGAAGTTGGAAAAAAGAAGCAATACGAGTAGGAATAATTTCTTCTGTTGCTTGAGAAAAGCCTGGTAGCAGCCCTAAGACATTAGAATATGATGAGACCGTTCATGACAAATGATGATCATTTGTGGGATATACTGTTTATGTAGTGTTTAGGGAAGAAATATTTGTTCTGCCATGTATGTGCATTACATTACATAAAAGGACAGGCAGGGAATCCCTCCTTTCCACACCCTGCCCTGTTTGGCACCAAACGCCTGTTCTGTTTTGAAAGGTTCGTAGATAACCAATCAGGGCTGTGTTATAGTGTGTCAGGACAGCAATACTAAAAAGCCATTTGCAAGTTCAAATATATTAAAGTTGTCTCTTTCCCACACATACAAAATGAGCAAAGCTTTCATTATTCATCAAATGAAAAAATTAAGCCCTGCAATTATCTGTCTATGGCCCCAGGATAGGCTGTGCATCATTTAATCAGATGTTACTACGTGAAGCCGCAGACTACGTCTGGCCACGAACAGACATAAAAGAAGGGCTAGTTGATCAAAAAAAGAACAAAACCAACTTCCAGGTCTTAATATCCAATGTTGCTTTGCCTGAAAACTTCTGAGCCTTAAAACTCAGCTGGAGTTTACAAGGAGGAAGGGAGATTCCAGAAGGTGATAACTGGGCCCCTGACACAAAAGCCAAATACAACAAAGCTAATGAAATCTTTCTCATAACCAAACTGGCAGGGCCCCCGCCTTGCTTTTTTTGAGAGGATCCATAGGGCTCTGTGTTTATATTTGAGGATTTGTCTGAAATCCTAGAGGCTTAGAGCTAGTGGGCAGAGCTTGGTGAGGCCCATGTGTCATCAAGGGCAGGAATTGGCACTCCTTGCTTTAGCTCAAATCCAGTCCTAGGCCAGGCGCGGTGGCTCACGCCTGTAATCCCAGCATTTTGGGAGGCCAAAGCGGGCAGATCACCTGAGGTCAGGAGTTCAAGACCAGCCTGACCAACATGGAGAAACCCTGTCTCTACTAAAAATACAAAATTAGCCGGCGTGGTGGCGAATGCCTGAAAACCCAGCTACTCGGGAGGCTGAGGCAGGAGAATCACTTGAACCTGGGAGGTGGATGTTGCCATGAGCCAAAATCGTGCCATTGCACTCCAGCCTCGGCAACGAGAGAGAAACTCTGTCTAAAAAAAAAAAAAAAATTCCAGTCCTGCAGGAAAGTGTAACGTGGATGTGTATGATGGGGACCCCCAGCAGTTCTCCCTTTCTCTGAGGGGCCTCCACGACCCCTGCCCAATTCCCTGAGGGTGCTGAGTTTCTGAGGGTCACACTCAAAAGAGATTTTTCTGGGCCGAGCGCGGTGGCTCACGCCTGTAATCTCAGCATTTTGGGAGGCCGAGGCAGATGGATCATGAGGTCAGAAGATGGAGACCATCCTGGCTAACATGGTGAAACCCCGTCTCTACTAAAAATACAAAAAATTAGCTGGGCGTGGTGGCGGGCACCTGTAGTCCCAGCTACTCCAGAGGCTGAGGCAGGAGAATGGCATGAACCCGGGGGGCAGGGCTTGCAGTAAGCCTAGATCGAGCCACTGCACTCCAGCCTGGGCAACAAAGAGAGACTCAGTCTCAAAAAAAAAAAAAAAAAAAAAGTCACAGATTTTTCTGTTTTAATTGCCATTTATTTAATATATAGAAGTTTTCAAAACAAGGGTCCCTGGATGAGGGTGGTAAGAAGGTTGGGGTCCTAGTCCAATGGGTTTAAGGTTCCTTTCACCTTGGAGCACCCAGGCTTGCTTGACCAGGGTGCCCACTGGCTGAGCACCTGCCTGGAATGGCCCAGTGGGGGTCTCCTCCTCCCTCCCAGGCCAGGGAGAGGGATGAAGCCGGGAAAGATGGCCCCCTCCCCCAGGAGAGCAGTGTCTGGCTCTTGGTGCAAGAGCACCTTCTCTCCCAGGTGCTGGAAAAGGTCGTATTTTACTGATTTTCCCCTTCTCCCCATTCCCTCCTTCCCCTATCTGTAGGAGGCTTGCAGGTGTCCAGCTGTCCTTTCGCAGTAGACACATGGTGGTCTCAGGAGCTAACATCGGCCCTTCTACAAGCCAGGGGGACACCAAACACTTGCCTGTCAATCGAGCTCCACTCAGCTGGGTTCAGACAAGCTCAGGGGCTACCCCAGGCTCAGCAGTGCCGACTATAGCCTTGTGCAGTTACTGCTGCACACACGTGAGGACACACAGGAAGGGTACGCATTTGACACAAGCTTCCCATGGAAATACCTTCTCAAACCTGGAGCGGGGTGAGAATGTTGCAGCCCTGGGCCCCTCCTGGGTCAGAAGCTGGCTCAGCCCAGCGTTCACAGAGGCCAGCCTCCCAGAGCCTGAGAAGAGGCCTGCACCAGGCGTGGGCACAGAAGGATGCAGATTGTGCAACAGGAGCCAAGGGCTGGAGAGGCATTCTGGCGAGAGATTTGGAAAGCTTCTGGAACAGGGTGAAACATTCATCAGGTGACCCAAGGGATAGGCTCTCCAGGAAGGAGGCCCAGCTCCAGCAGTAGCCAGAGTTCTGGGCATGTTAGGACGGTGAGGTCCTAGCACGCGGGGGGCGGGGGGCACAGGACAAGGTGTGCGGCAGTGCAGGAAGCCAGCTGAGGCACCCTGACCCTCAGGCCATGCCCTTCTGCTCCTGTGCAGGGGACAGCAGAGGGGAGCTTGGGGACTGACATCTCAAAGGCCTGGTCCCCTCCTTGCTCTCGCAGCCAGTCCTTGCTCTAGGACAGTGACCCATGTCTGCAGCCCGACCCAGCCCACCCACAGAGCCCGGCGTCCCAGAGCTGCTGGGGTGCACGGTGGTCGGGAGGTGAGTGGCTGGGCAGTCCTCCGCAGGGCTGCTGCCAGGTATCAGCCTCGGAGGTTTCCCGGAAACAGAGCCAACGCCCCCCCAAGACCTGGGCAGACCGCATGAGCGTAGGGGTCAGGGGACCGGGTCCCCCAGAGGTGTCAGAAAAATGCTCCCAGGAGGAGGACGCCAGGCTGCTGAGGCCTGTGGCTGACACCAGGGGGCAGGGCGGGGCGGCGGGGACAGCGTCCGGAGGAGGGAGCCGCCCAGACCTAGCCCGGGTGGGGCGAACGAAGAGCGGGCGTGGTGGGCGCCTGCTAGCTCCGGCTCGCGGTGTTAGGCCTTGGGGACATCGCTCGGGGACAGGAGAGCCCCGGGCCCCCGCCGCCCCGAGCCGTGGCCGGGAAGGGGAACACAGTCCATGCGTGCGGCGCCCGACAGCCTCTCCCCGCACGCCCGAGCCCCAGTGCAGGCGGCGGCCCGGCCCCTTTGTGCCTGGAGTGTCACGCGCGGGCGCTCCTGCCGCCGCGCCTGGGAGAGGCCTCCGGCACCCCGGGCCCCTTTCCAAGCACAACAGCAGCCCTGCCGCGGCCCCGCGCTGACCCACTTTCCCTCCTGCCTCCTCAGCCCGAGGCCGAGAATCCAGCGGCCGCCGCCAAGCAGGTGCGAGCCGTCGGGCGGGGCGCGCGGGAGGCGGAGAGGATGGGCCCCTGAACCACCCCGCGCGCCCCACCTCAGCCTCCCGGGGCGAGCCAGGTTTCCGGGGCGGGGGCCGCGAGGAGGAGGAGGAGGGCAAGGCGGGGGAACGGGAGGGAGAGGACCCGGGGAGGGGGAGGGGGAGGCGGAGGGGGAGGGGCAGAAGAAGGGGGCAAGGAGGGCAGAGAGATGAGCGAGAAAGAAAGGAGGGGTGCGGGAAAGGAGGAGAGGAAGGAGCGGTGGGAGGAGGAGGAGGGGTGCGGGAGAGAAGGGCTGAGGGAGAGGCGGAGGGAAACCGCACCCCTGCCTCTTTCCTGGGCCGAGGCCAGCCGGGGAGGAAATGTTGAAATGGGCGAAGTGCACATCCGCCTCCAGGCCTAAGGGGTGTACGGGTCAGGCCGCACCGACCCCGCCCTTCCCAGCCCTTCCTGCCAGACCTCTGCCTCCGATGGGCGAGCCCGGTTGCTGGGAGGCGGTTCACTATGGAGCCTGGACCCTCCCCACAGTTCAGCCCGCCGGAGGCGTGTGCGCTTCCAGATGAGAGCACTTGTTCACTGAATGACCGTGCGTACTTGGGGGGACATCTGGCCCCAGAACCTCCAGGAGCAGGGTGGCTAATGCTGAGTGCCGTGGCCTGGCACTGGGAAGCGCCGGTCCTCAGTCCCTTTCCCTGCTCCTGGGCACCCCAGGCCCCTTGGGGCGTTCTTACACTGCCTGAGTTAGACCTGGAAGAGTCCCCTGTGCCAGGGCAGGGGCTTTGCCTGCTTGGTCCTTGTTCACCCCTGTGTATAGCTACTACCTATTACCTACCCACCTGTCCACAAGTGTCAGTGCCTGATGTAGGAAGTTACAGTAATTCACAAATAAATCTATCACAAAGGGACATGGATACTCACACTTCCTTCTTACCCCTACTTCCAGGCAGCCATTGTTAATGGGTGCGTGTGTACAGTTCTGGGCACATACCAACATGCACGGATGCATGTTAACCTGCTTTGTATGGAAGAAACGGGGTCAGGATATCATAAAAAGAATTAATGGGTAATCAGTATTCATCAAATGCCAAGATCTAGTTCTGAGCACTTTGCAAATATTAATTTAATCACCACGAACCTCAGTAAAGTTTATTACTATTACTCGCATTTTTCAGATGAGGCGCCTAAGGCACAGAGAGGTTAAGTAGCCTGCCCAGGATCACACAGCTACTAAGTACAGAAGTCAGAATTTGAGCCTGACTCCAGAGCTCATAAGGTTAACAACGAGGCCTCCCACTTTTATATGCGTATTATTCCATGAATTACTGTTTACACTAAGAATATGTTCTTTTCTGCAACCAATGGAAGATTCCTAGAAGAGGAACTACTGGCTATGTGGCATTGAGATTTTTCTTTTTTCTTTTTTTTTCTGAGATGGAGTCTAGCTCTGTCGCCCAGGCTGGAGTGCAGTGGCACGATCTCAGCTCACTGCAACCTCCGCCTCCTGGGTTCAAGCGGTTCTCCTGCCTCAGCCTCCCAAATATCTGGGATTACAGGCCTGCCACTATGCCCAGCTGATTTTTGTATTTTAAGCAGAGATAGGGTTTCACTGTGTTGGCCAGGCTGGTCTTGAACTCCTCACATTGTGATCCACCCGCCTCGGCCTCCCAAAGTTCTGGGATTACAAGCGTGAGCCACCGCGCCTGGCCGTGTGTTTGAGATTCCTAGAGACATTAGTAAAACCCTCCAAAAGAGTGGGGACCTTACACCAGCCTGCCGGTTCAAGCTCCATACTGGACCTCCACCTCCCCAACCCCCACCCCCACCCCACCAGAAAAGGACCCTCCATCCCCTTCAGGTCATAGAGTGAGGAAGAGGGAAGCTTCAACAGGCCCAGATGGCCCTGGTAATGGGCACGGTGACATTTGGGCAGAGAACCCCAGGGCCCTGCATCTGCAGACCTGGGACAGGCAGAGAATGTCCAATGGGGGTGCTAGTGGCATTGCCTGGCCATGACTCTGTCCAGCTGTGGCATCATGTCCCATGGCCAAAGTGTCCAAGCAAGCCTGCTTCTGCCATTGACCTAGGGAGGCCTCTTGACACCTGCTCATTTTCCAAGCCTGTTCCTCCTGCATCCTCAAGATTCGGAGTGCCCTCCAAAATAAGATCTTTTTCTGTAGTTGTTACTATGGGTTAAGAACCCTCCTGTCTGATACATACAACTGATTACAAACTTTTAATTTTTGCCAATCTGATAAGCAAAAAAAAAGAAAGTAGTTCATGGATTTAGTTTACATTTCCTTTTTAACAGGGAGGTTGGGTAGAGACTTCTTGGTTTGCTCATGCCTGTAATCCTAGCACTTTGGGAGGCTAAGGTAGGAAGATCGCTTGAACTCAGGAATTCAAGCCAACCTGGGCAACATAGCAAGACCTCACCTCCACTAAAGGGAAAAAACAATCCATGTTCCTTTTCTTCCAACCCAACAGATCTGTGGCTGGGCAGCAGCTGCTGAGCTCAACTACAATTCCAGCCTGCTTTACAGTTAGGCTTGTCCACAGGACCAAGTTCTCAGTGACAGAGTAAGAGCAGGCCTGTGATAGGAGCCTCTTCTGTACCTCGGCCTCCAAGATGCCTAGAATCTGGCTGTGGCAGTGCCCAAGGGGAGGCGAGCAGCAGGAGAGAAGGGTCCTGGGGTTTGGGGGGACCAGGAGGAGCAGAGCTGCTGCTCAGCTCAGATCCATAACCTGAGAAAGAAAGAGGGATGGCACATTTTATGTGTTAACTTAAATATCTGGCTACATCGCTCAGATATTTGATTAGACACTATTCTAGATGTTTTTATGAAGGTATTGATTAATTGATTGATTGATTGAGACAGTCTCACTCTGTTGCCCAGGCTGGAGTGCGGTGGCACAATCTTGGCTCACTGCAACCTCCACCTCCCAGGTTCAAGTGATTCTCGTGCCTCAGCCTCCCAAGTAGCTGGCATTACAGGCATGTGCCACCATGCCTGGCTAATTTTTGTATTTTTAGTAGAGATGGGGTTTCACCATGTTGGCCAGGCTGGTCTCCTGACCTGAAGTGATCTGCCCACCTTGGCTTCCCAAAGTGCTGGGATTACAGGCCTGAGCTACCACAACCGGTGAAAGTACTTTTTAAGATAAGATTAGCATTTAAATCAGAAGATTTTGAGTAAAGCAGATTATTCTCCACAATGTGGGCAGATCTCATCCCATCAGTTGAAGACCTTAAGAGAAAAGAGACTGACCTGCTCTGAGCAAGGAGGAATTCTGCTGGCCAACTGCTTGTGAACTCCAACTTGTAATATCAGTCTCCAGCCTACCGGCTTACTCTGCAGATTTTGGATTTGCCAAGCCTCCACAACCGCAGAAGCCAATTCCTTAAAATAAATCCCTTACAACAGTTCCCTAAAATAAATTCTTCAAAATTCCTTAAAATAAATGTGTGTGCATGTGTGTCTGTGTATATATATAGCCTATGTAATGTCTAATATAGATCTATAATATATATTAGATAAATATACACATACTTATCATATATATATGTGTGTGTGTGTGTGTGTGTGTTTCTCCTATTGGTTCTGTTCTCTGGAGAACCTAATACAGAAACAAATCTGTTTATTCTTCTAGCCTCTGTATCATCAGGCCTCTTTGTTAGAGCAGGTGAGCTTTACCCTAACTAATTCAGAGGTTGATTCGTTTTCATGCATGTAGATACTTGTCATTTAGCTTCTATTATCTGCCTGTATTTTAAGGTTCTTTGTCTTAAAATGTTATGACTCCAGGAATGTTATATATTAAGTATATTAACCTTTTGACTATTATATATCTTGCAAACATCTTGTAATCAGTCACTTGTCTCTTTATTTTATTTGGAGCGGCTTTCAACCTAGAGCAGTGGTCCCCAAACCCGGGGCTGCAGACTATTCCCTGTCTGTGGTTTGTTAAGAACCAGGCTACATAGCAGAAGATGAGTAGCAGGCGCGGGAGCATGACCACCTGAGCTCCGCCTCCTGTCAGACCAGCAGCGACATTAGATTCTCATAGGAGCACAAACCCTACTGTGAACTGTGCGTATGAGGGATCTAGGTTGCACATTCCTTAAAAGACTCTTAATGCC
Organism: Homo sapiens; assembly: GCF_000001405.40. Taxonomy (NCBI): domain Eukaryota; kingdom Metazoa; phylum Chordata; class Mammalia; order Primates; family Hominidae; genus Homo; species Homo sapiens. Next base: position 3,393,536 of record NW_011332701.1, read on the forward strand.
TGATGATCTGAGGTGGAACAGGTTCACCCTGAAACCATCCCCCGCTCAGCCTGTGTCTGTGGAAAAATTGTCTTCCATGAAACTGGTCCCTGGTGCCAAAAAGGCTGGGGACTGCTGACCTACAAGATATATTAGTTATGACTCTTGGTGCATACTCTTGACAGAAATCCCACTCAACCTAGTATAATGCAGAGGACAGTTCACGGAGCAACTCAAATAATTGCCACTTTTACAATATTGAAGCTTCCTACGGGAAACATAATACATCTCTCAATTTATGTCCTTTAATACGATTAAACATTTTTCTTCATGTAGGTTCTCCAGAATTTTGGTTATGCCTATGCCTAGATTATTTATGATTGTTGTTGGTATTGCAAATGTCCTCTCCTATTGATTATTTAATGGTATCTATGGAAAGTATTGATTTTTGTGTATTTGCTCTGTGCCCACTTGCCATCTAACTGGTTGTTATATTTTATTGAACCTTTCAAAGGATATGAATTATGCTGATTTTAATGTCTTCTTCTGATTCCTGCATTATTATCCTGTTTTCTCCAGCGTTCTGTCTACTTCTTCTGCAGGCTGTTGGTTTCCTTCAAATGTCTGGGGATTTTTGATTGTCTGATCCCATTTGTAAATGAACGTCCAGAGAGTGGTTTTCAAAGTGAGATCCATGGACCCCTAAGGGTTCTTAAGACTCTTTCTGGGTGTCTGCAAAGCCAAAACTATTTAATAGGAATAAAAAAGACTTGTTTTTCCTAATGGGTGTTCAGGTGCTCACTTCAGCAGCACATATACAAATGGGTGTTCAGTGGAGTTTTCCAGAGTCTACATGATGTGTGTTATCACTACAGCTTGAAAGAAGGAGGTATGAAAATCCAGCTGTTGGCTGGGCATGGCGGCTCCTGCCTGTAATCTCAACACTTTGGGAGGCTGAGGCAGACAGACCACTTGAGGTCAGGAGTTTGAGACCAGCCTGGCCAACATGGTGAAACGCCATCTCTACTAAAAATACAAAAAAAAAAAAAAAAAAAAAGCTAGGCGTGGTGGTGCATTCCTGTAATCCCAGCTACTTGGGAGGCCGAGGCAGGAGGATTGCTTGAACTGGGAGGCAGAGGTTGCAGTGAGCCAAGATTGTGCCACTGCATTGCAGCCTGGGTGTCAGAGTGAGACTCTGTCTCAATAAATAAATTTTAAAAATTAAATACATATGAATACATAAAAATTAAATGCATAAATACATAAAAATAAAAAAATACAACAACAAAAAAGAAAATCCAGCTATTAAGCCAGACATTGGGGAGTTTTTTTGTTTTGTTTGTTTTGTTTTGAGACAGAGTTTCACTCTTGTTGCCCGGGCTGCAATGCAGTGGCACCATCTCAACTCACTGCAACCTCTGCCTCCCGGGTTCAAGCGGTTCTCCTGTCTCAGCCTCCTGAGTAGCTGGGATTACAGCCACGCACCACCACACCTGGCTAATTTTTTGTATTTTTGGTAAAGATGGGGTTTCACCATGTTGGTCAGGCTGGTCTCAAACTCCCGACCTCAGGTGACTTGCCCGCCTCGGCCTCCCAAAGTGCTGGGATTACAGGCGTGAGCCACCACACCCAGCATGTATAAGTGTTATTTATGTTAACATGCCATTATTATTTTAAGATAAATGAATATTTATTTATTTTTCACTTGAACTTCTACTACCGTAAATATTGATAGATAAACTCATATGAATGAAAGCCCGCTGAGACCCTCAGCCATTTCTAAGAGAGGGTGAAGGGTTCCTGAATGCAGTGTGTTTGCGATCTGTCAGTCTCAACCAATCATTCTTGCTGTGCAGAGTAGTTCTTGCACACAACTAAACCACCACTGTCTGGCAACCCTGGCACCACTGGGCACCTGTGGTCATGGAGACAGGCCAGGACGTTGCAAAGGCAGAGTGCCTTCCTGGGCCTCTCATCTGGGCCGCTCTCCCTGTCATTGTGGCTGACAGTGCCTGGCAGTCACCTGGGCGGGCCCCTGCTTCTCTCTTTGGGCCAGTGTTGGCTCTGGAGGCTCCTGGTGCATCTTTGTCTTCAGTCTGAATGCTGCACTCAGACTTTACCCTGGGGACAGGCAGGACACTGCCTCAGCCACCTGGGTAGCCGTTTGTGTGATTACCGTATCCAAGCTCCATGACTCATTCCTTCTCCACTGCCCCCACCCTACCCCATTTCCAGACTTGAAATGGTCTCCCACCTGCAGGCCATTGGCTCTATTGCGTTTCACCACGAATCTGATCTCCTCCGCTTTATATCTTCCAGAAATTCTCCAATGTTCTAGTCTGTTGGTGGCATTTTTCCTGGTTTTCAAGGATTTCTAAGTGTTTTTATATTTATCCTACTACATCAGAGGGTGGGGGAGATAGGTAGGAGAGGTGCAGTTGAGCCTTGAACAATGTGAGGGTTGGAGAGCCAACCCCTCACGCAGTCAGAGCTTGTATAACTTCAGGCTCCCTCCAAACTTAACTAATAAATAGCCTACTGTTAACTGGAAGCCTTACTGGTAACATTAAAAAATCAGTTAACACGTACTTTGTATGTGTATTTATACTGTATTCTTACAATAAACTAAGCTTGGGAAAATAAAATGTCATTAAGAATATCATAAGAGAAAGCATTTACTAAGTGGAAGTGGATTATCATAGAAGTCTTCATCCTCGTTGTCTTCATGTTGAGTGGCTGAGGAGGAGGGGCTGGTCTTGCTGCCTCAGGGTGGCAGAGAGGAAGACATGGAGGAAGTGGGAAGGGAGGCAGGAGAGGCAGGGACACTTGGTATAACTCTGATTGAAAAACATCCCTGTGGGTGGACCTGCACAGTTTGAACCTGCGTTGTTCAAGGGTCCACTGTGCTTGAAAGTGTTTAGTCAGCAGTCCTGAACGACATGTAAACAATGGTTGAATGAAGGAGCAAGGGAGCCTAAGGGTGGGGAGAGGCGGGTGTCGGCAAGGACCTTCCTCCAAGACAGGGTTGCTGCGAGGGGCAAATGGTGACTGATGATTCACAAGAAGGCGTACCTGTGTGACAGCACCTGTAAGCCAGGTGGGATCAGTGCGGCCTGTCGTCTGCTGTTGTCATGTGGAGCTCAGCAAACGGTGGGAGTCCTAGGGGACAACATACACAGCTTAGCAGCAGGTGCCCCTCTCTTCGAGCCTAATTTAGCCAATGGGAGTTTAATTTAGCCACGGGGGCGTAATTGCTAGAAGAAAAGAGAAGAAAAAAAACCTGATGCCCTCACCGCCTTCCAATCCTGACTCTTTAGGAAAAGCCTGGATCTCCGACATCTCCAGAGCGCCTGACCAAGCGTGAGAAGGCGGGATGTAGCCGGGGTGTGTGTGTCGGGGGGTGGCAGGATGCTCCCCAGAGGCGGAGAGCGGCGCGTGGGGGGTGCTGCAGGCGTCCTGGGAGTTTGGGGGCGCCGCCCTTCCTCCTGCCTTGGGCCCAACCGGTGGATCCTGTCGAGTCTGTTGTGGTCCCCTTCTTAGGAAAAGCACAGAGAGCCCTTTAAAGATGTTGACCTGACAGCAGCAGGGGGCCCAGGGTGACCACGGAGCAAATCAGGGAAAGGAAACCTAGGTCGCCACACATTTGATTTAAAAGAAAATAACTTCCCTCCTGAAGCAGGGGCTGGGGTAGGTGCCCTGGCACAGGCACAGAACCAGAGAGAACCCTTGCCGCTGCTCCGGAATGTCGGGCCACACCCTCCGGATACGGGAAAGGCTTTCTTCTCCATTTCAAATGACCCTGTTTCGCCTTTTTTAGATACAAATGTTTATTTGGTCTGACTTTGAAATACCTCGGAGCAGCTGAAATAATTGAAGGCAGCCCTGTAAGAAGCAGCACTTCCAGACCTTCTCACGGGCAAACCCTCTGCTGGGACCGCCAAGGGCCCCCGCGAGACACCTGAGGGTCAGCACAGCCCCTCCCTCCCTGTGCCGTGCTGGCCGTGCCGCAGCTGGTCACCCGCACGAGGACCTCGAGATTGCCCTGCGGACTGGCACTTCTCGAGGGAAGTCATCGCAGCTGCCATGGAGCCAGCATTTGTCGGGGACCTGGCACGCAGGCCACCGGCTCTGGGAGAGGGCTGAGGAGCCGTGGGGCTCACGTTTCAGGGATTAGCTTGTGTAACTTGACTTGTTCCCCCAAATTCTACAAGTACAGAGAATATGCAGAAATCTGTGAGAGAAACAACCTTCTGCAGCTCGTTGTTGTGGGGATTATATTAGTAAGATGCCTAGAAAATACGATTCAGAAGGAATGTGGGTGCGTGTGACTTTGTGGTGGGTGGGCTCCACTCACCACCCTCCCTCCGCACCTGTCCGAGGCATTTGAACCAGAGCAACTCCATTTCGAATAGGGGCCGGTAAAATAAGGCTAAGACCTACTGGGCTGCATTCCCAGATGGTTAAGGCATTCTAAGTCACAGGATGAGATACGAGGTCGGCACAAGATACAGGTCATAAAGACCTTGCTGATGAAACAGCCTGCAGTAAATAAGCTGGCTAAAACCCAAAATGGCAACAAGATGTGTCCTCTGGTGGTCCTCACTGCTACACTCCCACCAGCACCATGACAGTTTACAAATGCCATGGCAACATCAGGAAGTTACCCTATATGGTCTGAAAAGAGGAAGCATGAATAATCCACCTCCTGTTTAGCATATCATCAAGAAATAACCATAAAAATGGGCAACCCACAGCCCTTGGGGCTGCTCTGTCTATGGAGTAGCCGTTCTTTTACCCCTTTACTTTCCTAATAAACTTACTTTCACTTTATTCTGTGGACTCGCCCTGAATTCTTTCTTGCCTAAAATCCAAGAACCATCTCTTGGGGTCTGGATCGGGACCACTTTCCTCTAACACACCCACTGAGAAGTGCTTGCTGATGTTAGGGTTCACAGTGTCAGGGGCTGCCGTAGTGTCACCCCATTCTACAGATGAGAAAACAGCCTCAGAGTTTTTTGTTGTTGTTGTTTGAGATGGAGTCTCACTCTTTCCCCCAGGCTGGAGTGCAGTGGCGTGATCTTGGTTCACTGTAACCTCCGCTTTCTGGTTTCAAGCGATTCTCCTGCCTCAGCCTCCCGGAGTAGCTGGGATTACAGGTGCCCGCCATGCCCGGCTAATTTTTGTATTTTTGGTAGAGACGGGGTTTTACCCTGTTGGCTAGGTGCCTCTCAAACTCCTGACCTCGTGATCCGTGGGCCTCTGCCTCCCAAACTGCTGGGATTACAGGCGTGAGCATCAGAGTTTTTAAGTCAGAACTGGAGCCTGAGCCCGACAGGTGACACAACCCGGCCTTCCCTGAGGGGCTGGCACGCCGCAAAAGGTCGCCAAGCTCTCCCTCTTCCGGTGTGAGGTGTAGCTCGCCGGTGGGTATGCACAGGGAGTCCTCTATTTTGCTCGGTTTTGCCTGGGACCATGTGCTCTGTGTGCTGCATCATGGTCTCCACAGTGGATCTCGGTAGGCACAGCTGGACTTGGTCCTCAGTTGCCTGCTGTGCCCTGCTGGGGATCTTTTTGCACGGGCCATTCCCCCTCGCACTTGCCTTCCCTCCCCCGCTCCTGGCTGGCTCCCACTCTTGGCCGGGGCTCAGGCAGGATTCTCTACTAGACTCAGCAAGGCACCTGCAGTGGGCCTGTAATAGGAGGGAGTGGTGGGTCCGGAGTTGGTTCCTTCCAGTGGGATTGTGGTCTTGCTGATTTTGAGAATGGAGCCCCAGACCTTCCTGGTGTTACAGCTCTCAAAGAAGACAAGGACCCAAAGGGTGAGCAGCAGCAAGAGCTATTGTGAAGAGCAAAAGAACAAAGCTTCCCCACCACGGAAGAGGACCCCAGCAGGTTGCCTCTGCTGGCTCCGTGTGGAGAAGGGTTGGGGGGGAGGCAGCTTTTATTCTCTTATTTGTCCCCGCCCATGTCCTGTTCCTGTCCTATCAGAATGCCCTTTTCTCAATCCTCCCTGCGATTGGTTACTTTTAGAATCCTGCTGATTGGTCCATTTCACAGAGCGCTGATTGGTGTGTTTTACAAATCTCTTGCTAGCTACAGAGCACTGATCGGTGAGTTTTTACACAGCACTGATTGGTGCATTTTACAATCCCTTGCTAGCTACAGAGCACTGATTGGTGCGTTTTACAATCCTAGCTACGGAGTGCTGATTGGTTCGTTTTACAATCCTCTTGTAAGACAGAAAAGTTCTCCAACTTCCCAGTGGACCCAGGAAGTCCCGCTGGCTTCACCTTTCAGTGGGGCTGTGTTTAGGGGACAATTCCACTCAGGCATAGTGGCCTGATCATGGGGTGCAAAGCTGGCGGCCAGACAGCCTTCCAGGTGGTGACTTTTACTATACTGGGGATGTGGCTTTATGGAGCTATGCTGGCCCACTCCCTCCAGAAGGAGCCTGATGGATCAAAGATGGAAACCAAAAAAATACCGGAAGAAAATGATTAAAAACAAAAAACGAACAAAACAAAACTGTTGGCCAGTTGCGGTGGCTTAAGCCTGTAATCCCAGCACTTTGGGAGGCCAAGGCAGTCAGATCATTTGAGGTCAGAAGTTTGAGATCACCCCAACAAACATGATGAAATTCTGACTCTACTAAAAATACAAAAGTCAGCTGGGCATGGTGGCGTGCTTGTAGTCCCAGCTACTCAGGAGGCTGAGGCAGGAGGATCACTTGAACCCAGAAGGTGGAGGCTGCAGTGAGCCAAGATTGTGCCACTGCAGTCCAGCCTGGGTGACAGAACAAGACTCTGTCTCAAACACACACACACACACACACACACACACACACACACACACCCCTGTAATCTTGCAAAGGGGTGAACTCTTTAATGATCTTGCAAAACCCTGTGGCCATAAACAACATAATTGATTTATTCTACCCGATAAGAAAAAAAATATATCTGCATGGCAGAAAACATCCTGCTTAAAGTTAAAAAAAAAAAAAAGATAAACAGAAAAAAATTATGGCACATTTGTAAGATGGAATTTACCCTGCAGTCATGAAAAAGAATAAGGTATGCTTATGTCTATGTGAAAACAGAATCATATGCATAATAATATATGCAACTTATGTCACAGGCAAAGGGCCACTAAAAATCAAAGAGAAAGAAATCCAACAACTGAATTGGAAAATGGGCAATGGGAAGAAATCCTTCCCAGAAAAGAAAAATGCCTCTAAACATTCAAAAATATGCTGACTGTCATCACAATAACAGAAACGCAAACTGAAATATCAATGAAATCCTACTTTCTGCTATCAGATCAGCAAGTTCCAAACTTTGACAATCGCCTTTCAAGTGAGCTGAAGGGACATGCTCCATGGGGGAATGTAGTCACATTTACCAGAACTACACACATATGTGCTCTGGCCCAGCAAGCCCACTTCAGAGTCTTGTCAAGACATGTAATACAGAGGCTCATCAAAGCATTGTAGTGATTGGAAAAGGATAGGAACAACTTAAGCACTATCAAGATTAATTACATCACATCCCTAGGTCTGCATTACCATGCAGTCATTAAAAAAGAGGGAGGTGGCCATGTGTGGTGGCTCTCAAGGTGTAATCCCAGCACTTTGGGAGGCTGAGGCAGATGGATCACTTGAAGTCAGGAGTTCGAGACCAGCCTGACCAACATGGTGAAACCCCATCTGTGCTAAAAATACAAAAACTAGCCAGGTGTGGTGGCGGGCACCTGTAATCCTGGCTACTTGGGAGGCTGAGGCAGGAGAATCACTTGAACCCGGAAGGCGGAGTTTATAGTGAGCCAACATCACGCCCCTGCACTCCAGCCTGGATAACTCCGAGTGAAACTTCAGAGTGAAACTCCGTCTAAAAAAAAAAAAAAAAAAAAGAAGGAGGTATATTTAGGTCTATGAAACACAGCAATCTTCAGAGTATATTGTTTCATGAAAAAGAGGAAGCTAGAGGGTATGTGTATAGATTTATCTCATTTGTTCGAATGAGTGTATGTGTGTGTGCACACAGAAACTCCTGGTAGGATGCATAAAATATGGACGTTAGTGTGTTTTCTCTGGTGCTATGAACTGAATGTTTGTGTACTCCTCCCCCCAAATTCATATGTAGAAATTTTCGGCCCCAGTGCGATGGCATTAGGAGGTGGAACCCTTGGGAGTTTAGGTCAAGAGGATGGAGACCCCAAGCTCTCTTCCTCTTTCCCTGCCACGTGGCCATCTGCAACCTGAAGAGAGCCCTCCCCATGACCTGACCATACTGGCACCTTGATATGGGACTTCCAGCCTCCTGAACTATGAGAAATAAATGCCTGCTATTTATAAGCCACCCAGTCTATAGTCCTTTGTCATAGCAGCCTGAGCTGACTGAGACCGTCAGGTAAGTGGCCTGGGGTCTGGGGTGGTAGCATTCCTATTGTCTCCTTTATTCTGTTGGAATGTTTGACTCCAAGCATAAAGGACATTTTTAGTTCTTTTGTTTTTTTGGGTTTTTTTTTGAGAGGGAGTCTCACTCTGTCACCCACGCTAGGGTGCAATGGTACAATCTCCACTGCAACCTCTGCCTCCTGGGTTCAAGCAATTTTCCTGCCTCAGCCTCCCGAGTAGCCAGGATTACAGGCGCCTGCCACCATGCTCAGCTAATTTTTGAATTTTTTGTAGAGATGGGGTTTCACCAAGTTGGCCAGGCTGGTTTTGAACTCCTGACCTCAGGTGATCCACCCACCTTGGCGTCACAAAGTGCTGGGATTACAGGCGTGAGCCACCATGCCCGGCCATTTTAAGTTTTTTAAAACACTCAAAGCCATGCCTTGGGGAGGCTGCAGTCTGGCTCTGTCCCACCCTTGCCTGCTGCTGGTTGGAAGTGGGACCAGCCCAGCTGCTCCTTGGGTCAGGGTCTACAAGGCCAGCCCTGGAAAGGCAGATCCACAACACAGCCAGTGCAGCACCAGGAAGGGTGCCCTGGGCTGAAGTCTGCATGGGGCAGCAGAGGCAGAGCCTGCCAGACCTGCAGACATTTCTGCAGTTGATTATGTTCTTACTTGTCCCTAAGATGAGCACTTACCTAGGCATAGCTGATGCCCTCTGGTGGGGCCGGGGGGGGTGGTGTCCCAAATCTGATGGTGGAGCAGCAGGGGATCCCCTGTGGGTAGAGACCAACAGGCAGGCTCTGTGCCGTGGGCTGGCTGGTGTACCCAGGAGACCTCAGCTCACACCCTCCTGGGAAGGACTGCCGGCCACTTCATAGGTGGAGCACAGAGGTGCTGGCTCCACCCCCTGTGTGTGCGTGGCACTCTGTAGTCACCAGCCTGGCTGTCTGCCTCCTTGTTCCAGGCATGGTCTCAATGGCCTCAGACCCTCCCTCCTGAGCCTGATTAAGAAGCAAAGCACCCTGCAGTAGGGGACACTCTTCTTAGGAGGAGGCGGCAATTCTCACTAATAAGTGCTTTTCTTCTACCACATCATGTACATTAAGTGGTTTTTTTTTTGTTGTTTTGCTTTTTTGTTTTTTTGTTTTGTTTTTGTTTTTGTTTTTTTGGATACAGAGTCTTGCTCTGTTGCCCAGGCTGGAGTGCAGCGCTGCAATCTTTGCTCACTGGACCCTCCGTCTCCCGGGTTCAAGCGATTCTCCTGCCTCAGCCTCCTGAGTAGCTGGAACTACAGGTGTGCGCCACCACACCCAGCTAATTTTTGTATATTTAGTAGAGACAGGCAGGGTTTCACCATGTTGGCCAGGCTGGTCTCGAACTCCTGACCTCAAGTGATCTGCCTGCCTCGCCCTCCTAAGTGTATATTTTTCTTTTCTTTTTTTTTTTTTTGAGACGGAGTCTCGCTCTGTCACTAGGCTGGAGTGCAGTGGTGCCATCTCAGCTCACTGCAACCTCTGCCTCCCGGGTTCAAGCGATTCTCCTTTCTCAGCCTCATGAGTAGCTGGGATTACACACGTGCGCCACCAAACCCAGCTAATTTTTGTATTTTTAGTAGAGACGGGGTTTCACCATGTTGCCCAGGATGGTCTAGATCTCTTGACCTTGTGATCCACCCACCTCGGCCTCCCAAAGTGCTGGGATTACAGGCATGAGCCACCGCGCCTGGCCGTGTATATTTTTCTAAATAGACACCTGACCATGCTTAGGTCATCCATCGAAATTCCCTAGCACTTGCTGGCTTCCCTGAATTCAACTGAATTGCGCGTGCCCACTGCTGCTGCATAACCTATGGCGGGCACAGCCATGGGATAAAGTGGGCAGTGTGCACACATTCCCCGCACAGTCTGTGGCCTGGCCAAGCCCCTGGGCATTCGAGGCTCCCGGCAAGGCTTCGTGTCCCGACAGTTTTGGGTAGGGGCACGAGGTGGGTGAGCCCGGATCCCAGCAGCAGGCATGGCTCCCTGGGTTTTCATGTCATCTGTGCCCCCTTCTACCAGGATCCTGCAGCAGCTGAAGGGAGACCCCTCTCCTTTTAAGGGTTAAACCCCCAGTGGCACAGAGCAACTTACCTGCCCTTGCATGGTGAACACTCCCATCTTTATCACATCAGTAATTCTTGCTAAAAGCAGATGTAATTTTGAAGGTGGGTAAAAGTAACTTGAAAAGTTGGTGGGCAGATGGCAGAGAGCCTGCTCATCCTTCTTTCAAACTGTCATCAGCTGCACAGGTCTCAGCTGCCATCTCATACTATTATTATTGCTATTTTGCATGTGTGCACACCTCTTTCTGTGGGTGTGGAGGGAGGGGACTGAGCAAAGCCTCAGGGAGGCCACATACGTTCTCAGCGCCATGCTTGGCTGGTGACTGGTCATGCACCATTGGCAGGGCCTGGAGCACGTGCAAGGAACAGAGTTCCCGGCTCTGCACACTCAACATGTGTGTTTCATACTGTCACCTGGCTGGCTCCTCTTTCTGGGTCTGTGTGAGCAGAACAGAACACACACTGGGGACAGAGCTTGCCCGAGGGGCTGCCCAGGTTATTTCCATCTTGGTGATGATGACACCACCCTGAGCTCATTTCTTCTTCACAGCAATCCCAGGAGATGGGAACCACTGTTATCCCCATTTTCTTGATAGGTAGACTGAGATGTGAGTGAGGGGAACAGATGGGACAAAGCTAGGACCCAAGGACAGGTGAAGGCAAGGAGGGACGATGCTGCTAATAATCAAGGCCATTCATTTGGTCCCACCCAGAAGCCTGGGCAAGTGGAGACAGCTGGCACTACAGAGGCCATGGGGCAGGGGCAGTGGAGGCCAAACCAGGGGGCTTGATCAGCACTCTGTCTGGGAAGCCATTGAGATCCCAGGTTCCTTCCACAGCATGCCTCAGACAAGCCTGGAAGTTTGTTCTTTGGGGAAATTGTAGAAAGGTGGCTCTAGGCTCAGGGGCTGAAGGACAGCAGAAGGCAGGGGTGGGGTTCTGGACTAAAAAGGGGTCGAGGTATAAGAAGAAAGACTTCACCTACACTGAGGAGATCCCCAAGACCCCCTCCCGACTCTACTCCCAGGAAGTTGGCAGCATGACCTACAAGTACCAGGCAGGACATATGTTCCTAGAGAGGAGACCTAAACATGTTTGCAGGTAAGGGTTGCCCAACAAAGAATCTGCTATAGCCACCAGTCTATAACCATCCCCTGCCAGCAAGAAGTCTTCAGTGAGCTCTTCAGGGCTGTGCCCTTGGAGATGAACCAACTGCCCACGGTCACTGAACACAGGAGTGAAGCAGCCAACATGGAGCACAACCAGCAACACATAGGGAAGAGGCACTCAGAGGAAGCAGAGGGAAGGGGCAGAGCAAAGCTCAACATGAAGCCCCTGTCAGTCACATTCTTGGGAGCTGATAGAGGAGATTGCATCCAGGAAACAAGAATGGCATTCTAGGCTGGGTGTGGTGGCTCACACCTGTAATCCCAACACTTTGGGAGGCTGAGGCGGGCAGATCACCAGAGGTCAGGAGTTCGAGACCAGCCTGGCCAACATGGTGAAACCCTGTCTCTACTTAAAATACAAAAATTAGCTGGGCATGGTGGCGCATGCCTGTAGTCCAGCTACTCGGGAGGCTGAGACAGGAGAATCACTTGAACCCAGGAGGTGGAGGTTGCAGTGAGCTGAGATCACGCCACTGCACTCCAAACTGGGCAACAGAGCAAGACCACAGACACACACACACAAAAAAAAGATTGGCATTCTAGGAGAAAGGGATCATCAAAGCACAAGAAAGAGGACATTTAATAAATAAGATAGAAGGTGGAGTCAAGAAAATTGCTAGAAAAAAGACAAAAAGATTGACAATAAGACACCAAAGACAACTAGCATGTCAATCAGATGATTTGGGGTTCCACTAATTAGAGTTACAAAAGGTGAGACCAGATACAAGGGGGAGACATTTTCAAATAAATAATACAAGAAAATTACCAAGTGAAGGATGGGAGCCTCTGAACGGAAAGAGCCTGTTAAGGACCACCATTTTAGAATTCTACACCAAGGCATGTCACCATACAATCTGAAAGCATTCAGGATGAAGAGAAAGCCTCGCAAGCTGGAGGTTGCAGGGGAGAAGAACAATACACACAAAGATTTAAGGATGAAATGTCATTAGACTTCACGATGGCAGCACTGGAAGACAGGTGACAATAGAATAATGCCTTTGAAACTTTGATGGAAAATCATTTTCCACCTAAATTTCTATATCTTTCCAAATTATTTTTCAAGTATAAAATAGTATAACTGCATTTCTAGGCATACAACATCTTTAAAACCTTTGCCTTCTGTGTATCCTTCCTCAGGAGATAGTGGAGGATGCGTCCCACCCAAACAATCAAGTAAACCAAGAGACAGGAGGACCTGGGGTGCAGGAAGCAGGACCTAGCCCAACGGGGAGACCAAGAGAGACCCCAAGGTGGCAGTTTGTAGCAACAGAACAGGAAGTCAGAGGGCCCTGGGAAGAAGGCCTCCAGGGAAGGCGGAACTGCCAGCCTATGGGATGTGTTAGAGTTTGAAGCAGTTGTTGATAGGTGTTTGGCAGAAATATGGAAGTATTTGGGGGAGAGTTAGCCTTAAGGACATTGACAACTAAGTGAATGATAGAAGGAAGCATTTTCCTCTGGGGCAGGCAGCAGGAGTGGATAATGAGAAAGGAACAAGTTCATTGCACACTATTGGGCTCTGCAATTAACACAATTTGATAGTCCTAGTAATGTAAACACTGATTATTAACCCAAAATTATGATCTAAAGATATATTGGGATGATGGGTGGGGGAGGAAAGTGGGAATACAGTGGAAAGCAAGTGTCGAATCACCACTATTGTGGTAGAAAGTCAGCAAATAATGTCAAGATATAATAAATAAAAATAGCCATATTTCCTTATGTTTTCAGAAGCAGATTTAAAGAAGGAAAGTGGTGGCCTCTGGACTCTGGAATGAGAGCGCCAGGGAGAGAATGCTGCATAATTGTTTGGACTGTATACTACATGTGTGCATCACTTTTCTAAAAATACAAAATTAATGAGGAAAGGAAGAGGCAGCCCTGCCAGTTGCTGGCTGCCATTGTGAGCTCTTTGGAGAATGGGATGCGGGTGCAGGAGTGAGGGCAGTCAGCATCAGGGGGACCAGGAGACTCTGGGGAGTTTGAGTCTTTAAGAAATGGAAGACGTTTCCATCCAGTGGGCAACTAGAGGCAGACATCCTGGGTGTGAGAAGCCAGCGGGGCTTTTCTCTCTTCTGCAGGAACTCCTGCCAAGCTGTGGCAGTTGCATTTGTTGGTGGGAAATGGCCCGCAGAAGAATCCAGCCCCCAGTGCTGAGGTGCATGGGAGAGACTGTGGTGGGACTAGGAGAGTGATGGTCTCTAGGCAGCTTGGAGAAAGCAAGGGATAGCATGGCTCCTTTGTGGTGGGATTGGAAGGATGGAGGGGAAAGGAGGTTGGGTGAGGGCCTCTGCCTCTCAGGAAACAAGGCTGAGTCAATGTGGTGGGAGCAAGGTCGAGGTTCCATCTCATGCCAGGAGACAGAGCCATGAGTCCCCCGAGTTCAAGGACCAGGTGAGATCCTGGTTCTCGTGGCCCTTCCCTTTCCTCCGCTGGGGTCTGTGCTGGCCCCTGTCAGTGGCCCTTGCTGAGGAAGGGGCAGAAGGGTGGTCTGCAAGGGAGGGAGGAAGTGGGAACCAGAGAGGTGGGAGGCAGAGAAGGGGCTTGACTGCTGGAGGCAGCTTAGGGGGAGGCTGAGCCCCAGCCCCAATTCAGCAGAGCCAGGAGGCAGAGATGTGGGTGGGTGGTGTATTAGTTTTCTATTGCTGCATAACAAATGGCCCCAGAACTTAACAGCTTAAAACAACACACATGTATATATCACATAGTTTCTGAAGGTCAGAGATTTGGGAGCGGCTTAGCTCATTATTCTGAGTGTCGAGGACACGTGTGAGATTATAGTTGAGCTGTTGACTGGGGCAGTGGTCTCTGAAGACTGGACTGGGGTGGAGGAACTGCTTTTATGCATACTTATGTGACTGTGGGCTGGAGGCCTCTGTTCCTCTCCACATGGGCATCTCCAAATGGCTGCTCAGGAGGTGGCTTTTCCTGGAGCAAGTGATCATACAGAGATAGAAACAGAGAGACAGAGAAACACAGACAGAGAACATAACCAAGAGAGAAGCCATGGTGCCTTTCAGAACCCAGCCTTGAAAGCGGCATGTCATCACTTCTGCTGTATTCTCTGGGTCCTAGATGCAGTGTGGGAGGATTCCACATGAGGCTGTGAAGGCTGGGAAGCGAGATCACTGGGGGTCATGCTGGGGGTCATCTTGAAGGCTGACTGAGCGCAGCTCATCAACTGGGCACCTACTGTGTGAGAGACTCTGAGCTTCAGGCTGCGGCTGTGATAAGGTCTTGAAGAAACACCTGCTCCCAAGGGACTTAGGCTCTCAGTGGAATTCCAGTTCTTCTGTCTGTATCCCTCACTCCAATCAATCTATATCTATCTATATCTATATCTATATATTACTTTTTAAAATTGTTATCTATTTATTTTATTTTTGAGACAGGGTCTCACTCTGTCACCCGGGCTGGAGTGCGGTGGTGCCATCACAGCTCATTGCACCCTTGACCTCCTGGGCTCAAGTGATCCTCCCACCTTAGCCTCCTAAATAGCTGGGACTACAGGCACGTGCCATCACTTATGGCTAATTTTTGTATTTTTGGTAAAGATGGGGTTTCACCATGTTGCCCAGGCCGGTCTCGAACTCCCAAGATCAAGCAATCGGCCCACTTCGGCCTCTCTAAGTGGGATGAGATTATATGTGTGAGCCACCGCACATGGCCTTCAATTCTAATTTTAAGAATAGAATAGTTGGCTCCTATCTGCTTCCCCTTTTCAGTCTTATCACACTTACATGTTCCTTATTAGTCTCGTGCTATCTCTTTGCTGTAAGTTGGGCATATTTTATTAATTCTGTTCGTCAGATGGGAAAACTGAAGTTACAGAGATAGGCCAAGTATCGGCCAAAGGCTTTCAGTGGTGATGAGCCCAAGGATGGGAGGACCGGGAAGAGAGCTAGAGGCTGCAGGTTCCTTAGACGCCCACCTGCAGTGGTGGCTTTCCCATTCCTTCTTACGTTTCACAGATGTCTCTGTTCTAGGCACTGGGGACATGTCATGAACAAAAAATACTCCAGCCCCTTCTCTGTGGAGCTTATGGCCCAGGAGCGGGACAGGCGTTGGTCCAAGTATTTCACAGATAAGTACATAATTACAAATGGAAAACACCGATTTGAAAGCAAGTGCAGGATGAAATGAGATTGCACAGAGCCTGACTTGGCTCAGGGCCCGGGAAGCACCTCTGAGGAGGAGGCCTAGAGCCGCGGGTCATTCCCGCCTGACACTCGGATCAGAGAACAAAGAGGCCCCAAACCTTTCAGTTATCTTCAGGCTAATATTAGCATGAGAGACATGTGAATAATTTACTCTTTCTCAACAAATGTGGTTAATACTTAAGGGTAAAAAGGAAAAGATTGAGCCCGAAATTAAAAAATGAAGACAACCTTCAATGATGTATTTCTGCATCAGGCAAGGTGTCTTCTTATGGGAACAGCAGAGTCACCCAGAAACAAGGGTGTAATTATAGCAGTGCCATCTGCGGCACTAAAATAAGAATGATTATCAACACTATCTTTCAGGTTTTTCACTAAGTCAGAACAATTTGCTAAAAATAATCTGTACTGTATCCGCAACGCCCCCAAACAATGTGTGTTTTCCCGTCACCGCGGCTGCCAGCTCCCCACGGGCCGGGCCAGGGGGCCGAGGGGGCTGTTCAGCCCCGCTGGCAACCTTGTCCCCTGTTGGCTGGCTTTCATTGTGAGCATTGTCACTGGAGCAGTGGGAGATGGGTGGAGGGAAAGTTAAGGCTGGATTCCAGCCAGCTCGGGAGGGCCACGCAGACACCAGCTTGATTGAAGAAGGCTGGGTGCATTTCCCAAGAGCCTCCTGGTGGTTTCAGGGCCCATGGCCAGATCATCAGTTCCTGGAATCCCGCTTGGTCCAGAGGGAATGAGTCATACCCCCAACCCCCAGCATAAGGGATGAAAATACAGAAGCCAGATACGAGTTCCCTTGTGCTCCATGCAGAGGTTTCCTTCCAGATTAGAATACTTAGGTCCCCAATCCAGAGCCCCCCTTCCTGAAGTCAGAATTGCCGTGGAGTCTGCAGGGTCACAAAGAGGCGCAGTAAGCATAGGGACTGAGCTCAAAAAGGCGGGTGGAGTGATGATGACATTTCATCCTGGTCATAGGGCCACTGTTGCCTCTATGGAATATTCATGCGAAAAAAAAAAAAAAAGAGACCTAACCTAATCTAGTGCAGGGCATGCACTAGATTTCAGAACCTGCTTGCCCCCTGACTCAAAGGAGTCTTTGAGTAGTGTGCAACCTGTACAGCTGTTCATGGCGCCCTGTGGTTGCCATAGTCATGAGAACTCCTGTATGCCCCACAGCACCAAGGGCCTCTTCCCCAAGCAAGAAGAGCCCCTGCCTCAGACTCAGCAACTCTTTTCCCTGAGCAGAGCAGGATGGACGCATTCAACACTGCCCTTCGGATTTCCTCAGGGTATGGGCAATAGTGAATTCATGTTGATTTACTAATCAACTAATCAACTAATTACTAAGTTCTTAGGGTAATGATTTTCGAGTCCCAGGAATGTTTCCAGGAGGAGCTCAAGGCTGATAGGGGTAGGAGAGGTAGGCTGAGCAAAGAGAGTTCTGGACCCTCACCCCTGCTTCACCCGGGAGAGCTCATTTTTTCTTTCTGCCTTACTTGTTGGACTGCTAAGTAAGAGTTACTTTGGAAGAAAAGATGCAACAGAAAAACCGCCCTTAAAGGGCCGCATCCAAAAATGTTCATCATGAGATAGGGACTAAATCATGTGTCCAGATGTGTCCAGAGAAAAGTAACAGGAAATACAAGGTGACATCATCTGGACCCCAGTCTGGGAAAAGGAGCTGGGTAATTCAGACAAACCTGCCTGCTGGAAACAACTGGAAATGTTAGAACATATTTAAAATATTCTTTAAAAATTTTGTATTTTATTTATCTTTTAATTGATGTATAATAATTTTAAATATTTTGGGGATACATAGTGATGTTTTAATACATGTATGGTGATCAAATCAGGGTAATTAGCATACCCATCATCTCAAACATTTATCATTTCTTTGTCTTGGGAACATTCAATATCTTCCTTCTAACTACTTGAAACTATATATTATATTATTGTTAACGATGGTCATCTTACAGTGCTAGAGGCCATTAGAATTTATAATTTATTCCTCCTATCCAGATGTAGCTTTTTTTTTTTTTTTTTTTTTTGAGACTGAGTCTCACTCTGTCGCCGCCCAGGCTGGTGTGCAGTGGCATAATCTCAGCTCACAGCAATCTCTGCCGCCCAGGTTCAAGCAATTCTCCTGTCTCAGCCTCCCATGTAGCTGGGACTACAGGTGCATGCCACCATGCTGGCTAATTTTTGTATTTTAAGTAGAGAGGAGGTTTTACTATATTGGCCAGGCTGGTCTCAAACTCCTGACCTCGAGTGATCTGCCCACCTTGGCCTCCCAAAGTGCTGGGATTACAGGCGTGAGCCACTGAGCCCAGCCCAGATGTAGTTTTTAATCCTTTAACAAATCTCTTCCTAGCCCCTCCTTCCCCTACCCTTCCCAGCCTCCAGTGTGCTCTGTTCCACTTTTTACTTCTATGAGATCAACTTTTTTAAGCTTCCACATATGAGTGAGAGCATGTGGTGTTTAACTTCCTGTGCCTGGCTTATTTTACTTAACATCATGTCCTCCAGTTCCATCCATGTTGCCATGAATGACAGGATTTGCTTCTTTTTTATGGCTGAATAGTATTCCATTGTGTGTATATATCACATTTTCCTCATCCATTCATCTGTTGTTGGACAGATAGGTTGATTTGATACCTTGGCTGTCGTGAATAGTGCCGCAATAAATATGGGGGTGCAGATGTACCTTCAATATTCTGATTTCCTTTCCTTTGGGTAAATGCTCAGTAGTGGAATTGCTGGATATATGGTAATGCTGTTTGTAGTTTCTGAGGAACCTCTGTACTGTTCTCTATAGTGGCTGTACTAGTTTACATTCCCACGAATAGTGTATAAGAGTTTCCTTTTCTCCATAGCCTCACCAGCGTTTGCTATAAATATACTATCTTAAAAGTGCCAAAGAACCAGCAAGATAATGAAGAACTGCCAGGCCAGCTTCTGGGGAAAGCATGCATTAAGAGGGATAAGAATACTGGGGCCTTTGAAGGCTCTTTGGCCTTAAGGGACAGAGTTGAGGCTCAGGGGCCACCCAAGGTGGGGAGTCAGGGTGGAGGCCCTTCCCACACTGAAGGCCAACACCTTTGGGGTAAGGGTGAAGCAGCAGGCAGCCACCTCAGGCAGCAGTCGGGGCACCTGCACCAGGTACTTCAATCAAAGGTGACTGAAGACAGGGAAGTGGGAGGCAGGTTTCATAGGGCTGAATTTTCTACCCAGGGAAAAGTTTTTTCAAGAATAGGGGCAGTATAAAGACTGAGGGAGTTCATCACCAGCTGACTCTTCCTGAAGGGATTTCTGAAAGATGCATTTCAGTGAGAAGGAAAGTGGTCTCAGAGGAAGGTTTGAGGAGGAAGAAGGAGTGAAGAACAGGAAGTACTGAGAGGGTGAATAAAAACAACCATTGATTTCATAAAGCAATGTCTTAATCTGTTTTCTATTGCTTAGAACAGAATACTTGAAACTAGGTAATTTATATAGAAAAGTAATTTATTTTTTTCAGCTATGGAGGCTGAAAAGTCCAAGGTTGGGGGCCGCATCTGGCGAGGACCTTCTTGCTGGTGGGGACCCGTGGCAGAGTCCCAAAGCAGCTCAGGGCATCACAAGGGGAGGGGACTAAGTGCACTAGCTCAGGTCTCTCTTCCTCTTATAAAGCCACCAGTCCCACTCCCATGATAACCCATTAATTCATGAATAGACTAATTCTTTTATCAGAGCAGAACCTGCATGACCCAGGCACCTCTTAAAGGCCCTACCTCTCAATATTGCCACACTGGGGGTTAAATTCTAACATGAATTTTGGAGGGGACAAGTATTCAAACTATAGCAAGCAGTATTAATAATGTCTAGTGGAATTAAGAAAACCAAAACAGAATTAAAGATCTAGATAAGAAAACTTATATTCCAAGCACAAGTTACATGGAGCTCATGGGTTCCAAGGCCCTTCTATTATCTGAGTGGAGGGCAAAAAGGTATTGAGTTCAGAGTCTTATATATTAAGAATTCATAGTATATGTTAATACATTATTCTAATTCTTAATTTTATATTTGGAATTCTAGGGTATTCATTAAAAGATTGGAGCAAGGGTATGGAGAAGAAAAAAATAAGTATACTTAAAGAAGGGAGAAAAGATAAGGAAACAAAGCAAGTATACAATTACAGGTTAGATTAAAATCCAAATATATAAACAATTACTTTATATATATGGACTGAATATTCCAGCTAAAAGACTAAGTTGCTCAAACTAGATTTTAAAAATTACAGCTATACAGTTTTTTTTTCTTTTTTTTTTTTTTAGACAGAGTCACTCTGTAGCCCAGGCCGGAATGCAGTGGTGTGATCTCGGCTCACTGCAACCTCTACCTACTGGGTTCAAGTGATTCTCCCACCTCAGCCTCCCACACAGCTGGGATTACAGGCGCTCCCAATCACGTCTGGCTAATTTTTGTATTTTTAGTAGAGATGGGGTTTCACCATGTTGGCCAGGCTGGTCTCGAACTCTTGACCTCAAATGATCCTCCTGCCTTGGCCTCCCAAAGTGCTGGGATTACAGGCATGAGCCACCTCGCCTGGCCAGCTATGAGAGACTTGTAAAACACAAGGTTACAGGACTGTTGAAAGTGAAAGGTTGGAAAAAACATAGGGGTTCAAAGAAAGGGGATGTCATTACATTAATATCAGACAAAAGACTATTTTGGCATAAGCATTTTATTAGAGGCAAAGAGCATCAAGTAATAACAATAAAAGACCCTGTTAAAATCGAGGCTTAGCCAGGCGCGGTGGCTCACACCTGTAATCCCAGTACTTTGGGAGGCTGAGGTGAGCGGATCACAAGGTCAGGAGATTGAGACCATCCTGGCTAACAGGGTGAAACCCCGTCTCTACTAAAAATGCAAAAAATTAGCCGGGCATGGTGGTGGGCATCTGTAGTCCCAGCCACTCAGGAGGCTGAGGCAGGAGAATGGCGTGAACCTGAGAGGCGGAGTTTGCAGTGAGCCGAGATCAGACCACTGCACTCCGGCCTGGGCGACACAGCGAGACTCCGTCTAAAAAAAAAAAAAAAAAAAAAAACGAGGCTCAGACATGCACAGCCCCTGCCATGGCTCTGTCCTCCATCGCACTAACACTTGGGTGGCAAACGCAGAGGAGGACTGGCATCTACTGGCCAAGTAACCTTGTCCATTTGATTACTTAGTGCCTCTCCCGGGTGGATTCAAACATCCTTACACCCCGTGCGCACCCTCATACGTCTATCCACTACCTCTTCCCTGGGGCCTTTCTGTCCCTGAACTTCTGGTCTCCTCCCAGGCTCCTGACCATAAGCCCAGCCACTCCCCACTGCCCATAAATCCACGGATGTTTTTACCTTGGGCCTTGGAAACATGAAGTGAATGACCAGGTGCACCACAGAATGCTCTGCCCATTAGGAAGATGTTCATCGTCGGCAGATGGTGACTACTGCAGCAACCCTGCGTGGTGCTGTGGTGCAGGTACTGTCTGTCTTTGTCTTGCCCTGACATACTGGGTTGATCCATCCATGAACTGAGCTCGGGCTTTTTCCTCCACTGTTACCTGATCATGGAAAGGCCCATGAGGTGTGAGGCATGAAGTTAGAGGTGAAGGAAGAGATGGCAATGCCCAGAGTTGGATGATGAGATCTGGAGTCTGCCTGTGGTTCATCTAGCCCAAGAATCAAAGCTGCCTGTTCTGTAGTCTGGCTCCTGCAGAACCCCTTCTGGATCTGGGAGCCACTCAAAACTAGCCCAAACTAGCAACATTCTGTGTCAACTGGAAAATGGGTAGACCAGTTGCCACATGCAGAGTATTATGCCTCCAAAACCGAAAAACCCCACTACTCATTGCTTTTTTTCTTCTCAGACCTAGAAGTCCAAGGTGGAACAACTCACCCTTTATTTGCAAGTGTAATACATCATTCCCTAGACTCCTGGGCTCCTAGAAACACTACAAATGGGACAGGCCCCTGAATCCTTCTAGGTTTATCTCCTACCCTCAAGAGATCGTATCTTCCGTGGTATCAAGAGAACTTGTCACTTCCTGCCCTTCAGGTCTAGTTACCATGGTATCACCAACACAATGGACCAGTGAGCTGCTCTGCGGAAAGTTCATAGAGCCCCATTCCCTTCCTGAAGACCATATTATATCAGAGGACAGGAGAATCAACCTACCCCATGGGCAAAGCTCTGAATGTTTGCTTTGTCTACCACACGTGAATACAAGCTGCTTCTGACCCTCCTTCTGATGGGTATGGAACAGATGGCGTTCACCAGATCAACAGCTACATACCCATACCAAAGTCTGTGTTCATCTGCTCCGATGAAGAAGCTCCATGTGGCGCAGCAGCTGCAACTGAGCTGCTGCATGGGAAAGTTTATGGTAGTCCACTCTCATCCACCATAATCCATGCGGTCTCTGCAGGGAAGATACTAATGATTCAAATTCTAGTGAATTAAATGGGGATAGGATGGGGACCACTACCTTGGCACTCTTAAAATCTTTGATGGTGGTCCAACTAGCTGATAGTCCTCCATTACACCTTCCCTGGGCATAATATAATTTTTAAAGTTTTTTACTTTATTTTTGTAGAGATGGAGTCTTTCTTTTTTTGTTGTTTTGTTTTTTGTTGATTTTTTTTTTTTTTTTGAGATAGGGTCTTACTTTGTCACCCAGGCCAGAGTGCAGTGGTGCAATCTTGGCTCACTGCAGCCTCGGCCTCCCAGGCTCAAGGGATTCTCCTGCCTCAGCACTCCCAGTTAGCTGGGACTATAGGTATGTGCTATCACACCTAGATAATTTTTGTACTTTTTTTCCTTTCTTTTTTTGAGACGGAGTTTTGCTCTTGTTGCCCAGGCTGGAATACAATGGTGTGATCTTGGCTCACTGCAACCTCTGCCTCCCAGGTTCAAGCGATTCTCCTGCCTCAGCCTCCCAAGTAGCTGAGATTATGGGCATGTGCCACCACGCCTGACTAATTTTGTATTTTTAGTAGAGATGGGGTTTCTCCATTTTGGTCACGCTGGTGTCGAATTCCCGACCTAAGGTGATCTGCCCGTCTCGGCCTCCCAAAGTGCTGGGATTATAGGCATGAGCCACTGTGCCCAGCAATTTTTGTACTTTTTGGAGAGACAGAGTCTTACCATGTTGCCTAGGCTGGTCTCAAACTCCTGAGCTCAAGTGATCTGCCCACCTTGGCCTCTCAAAGTTCTGGGATTACAGGTGTGAGCTACCATGCCTGGCCTGAAAGATAGAGTCTGTGTTGCCCAGGCTGGTCTTGAACTGCTGGCCTCAAGCAATCCTCCTGCTTCCACCTCCCAAAGTGCTGGGATTACAGGTGGGAGCCACTGCGCCTGGCCCCATCATTTTTGATTTACTCTCTGTCTTGGCTGACGGGGGAAATTCAGGGGCTTCCACTTGGCCTTCTCCAATAGGCTCCACAGGTCAAAGAAGCAATTTGTGGGTTCTGCCAACTGCCAAGTAAGTCCATACTAATTAAACTAATTCAGGACATAACCACTGGTGGTTTCATGGGCCCAGTGGACACACTGTGAGACGGATTGGGTCATTTGTTACCTGATTCCCACAGTCCCCGTCCTAACAGGAGAGGCATGATGGCACTTCAGATATGAGTATTGGCTCAGACCATAGCCAACTGCCCTCAAAAACCTGGTTACTTTTTCCAGAGTGTGGTGGTTACTCAAGTAGAATGCCATGGGTCTTTATGGAGAAAGACTGGAGGCCTCGCTACTGTATATACTCACCATAGTGTTACGGGGTTCTTTCTAACAGAAACCAGGCCCTGCTTTAGTCAATGTCAATGGGTTCTTGGTCCAAAAACAGGTTCAAGACTGGAAAATGGGCAAAGGACCACGACTTTCTGTGAACTCCTCTTGGTTTTTTCTTTTTATAACATAAAATTCATCATTTTAGAGTGTGTAATTCAGTGGTGTTTAGTCTACTTCTCTTTGTATGGATTTGCCAGATACTGGACATTTCATACAAATGGAATCCTACGATGTGTGTCCTTCTGTGCCTGGCTTCTTTCACTTGGCATGATGTTGAGAACAGCTTCATCTGGGTTGTAGCATGTGTCAGGCAACTTCCCATTTATGGCTGATTGATATTCCATGGTATGAATATGGGACATTTTGTTTGCCCATTCATCCACGGTTGGACATTTGAGTATGAATCCATTCTTAACCCTTTTATTTATGTATATTGAGCAGTACTCTGGATAGTTGCCCATCTACTCTGCCTCTAGGGACATCCTGTCCTATTGGCCATCTTCAGTCCATGTATCTCTGAAAATTAGAACACTTACCCCCTTTCTCTTTGTTCTGACCTTGTGGCTCATTCTATTACAGTAATTATACCCACCTTGAAGAAGCAAGTGCTGCAGTGAAGTGCTGCTGCCTGGTCCTTGCTAGTCAAGATTCTAGCATCCCTCCTGCTCCTGGAGAGCCCTGCTCCGTGGTAGCATCTCCGACCACCAGACCTGGCTTGTTGAGGATGGCTACCACTGAGCTTTTTAGCAATACTGGTGCTACCCTCACCAGCAAGCTCCTTGTCACCATGGTAAGTGTCCTCCAGCCCTTCCAAGGAACACTGGCAGATGGTGGGGTTTCCAGTCTCCTAGAGCAGACCGATTCTTCCAGCTGCATCTCTGAGCCTTTTGGTCCCTGATCCCTTCCTCCACAGTCAGCCTTGAAAGTTCAAGCGTGACTTCTCTGTTGCTTTTCTCTTTAGAAAGTGGGCCATTGCTTTTGCCCAAGCTTCCAGAGTCATTCCAAAAGCATACTGGAATCATTCTAGGGCCCTTCCCTAGATGTTAAATTTTGTGCTATGGTCGAATGCCCTCCTATCAACAAAGCTCTCTTCTCTGGCTCACTCTTCTGTTGCCCTTGACCCAGCCCCTTCAGCACCAAGTCTGTGCTGGTGAGCATTAGCCAGATCCTGTAGCTCTTTCTGTGCGTATCCCTCTCCTTCCTGGGCAGGCCCAGCACAAGCCAGGGGCCAGCTAGGACCCTGACACTTGGGATGGTGATCTGTGGATTTGAGAACCTTGAGCCCCCAGGTTCCCTTGCAACTCTCTGGGGCTCCCTAGGGTTTTGTCTCACTTGCTGGAAGATCAAGTCTTATTCACTATTTGAAGACAATGCAAAGGCCTCAAAGGTAGCCTTTTAAGACCATGCTGGCTCCCTCTGGGACTAGCCCCAGCTCCCCTCCTGAGCACCAGACCAATAGCTAGAGCTGGAGGCAGGCAGCACAAACCAACTGGGCTGGCTCAGCAGAAAGGACCTTTCTTAGGAGGGTATTGGGCAGCCAGGCTGCAGAACCAAGCTGGGATCAGGACCAGGAACCCAGGGAACTTTGGAGCAGACACCATGTTCGAGGCCACGTCACTGGAAGGGGCCAGGTAGGATGCTGTTGCTGTTAATTTCTGAGGCAACACACTCCCCTTTCTGTGTACAGATTCTAACCATCTCTTCCTGACCGCATCTCTCATAATGAGTCTAAGCCCCATGCAGGAGCATCCTGGAGCCTGAGCCTAAGCCCAGGTCACTGGCCCATGCCCTGCTGGGGTGGGTGGGCAGGTGAAGACGATGCTTTTGGTACTTGGGCTTCAGAAGTCACCTCCCACCCAATTCCCACCATGGCAAGTTCCCTTCCAATGCAGAAAGAGATGAGAGTCTTGGTCAAGTTGAAAAGTTTTCTTTGTATCTTTTACCTGTCACTCGGTGAGAGGCACATGGGTGGGGGTGCTAGGCTATTCCTTCAGCTTTGCCATCAGACCACATGCGTCTCTGCAATGTGGGATTTTCCTGAGGACTTTTCTATTCAGTGAGAGCATTCCAGACTTCATCTACAGGACTGAAGACCTGCTGGAATGTGGGAATGGTGCCATGGGGTACAGAAGGATGAGGAAAGATGCCAAAACCTTCTCAGCCTCCTTGGAATCACCACATGGGTTGGGGGCAGTGGCTTCTCACCATGTTTGAGCTTGAGGTTGGTCCTGCCCGATGGCCATGGTGTTGGCTTGGAATGTGGAGCAGATACAGGCCATCCCCAGGGACTTCCTGCAGCAGGGGGTACAAGAATGTGCCATGTGGGGCTTCCAGATTCAACCTCTTTGCTTTGGGTGACAGATGAAGTCAGCCAGGCATTGGCATGTGGGAAGTGGCCTGGGACCAGAGCTCTGTACTGGGTCGATAGACATGTCTCTTCAGGTCAGTAAAATGAAGCACAGCCTCAATAAAATAACCCAAAAGGGTGCTGAGTTACTGTAGAGTCCGTGCTCAATTGAGAAGAGGAGCCCAGCCCACAGCAGCCTCTTCATGCCCCCTCATTGCTGGGTGCTGCTCAGCTGGTTGTGCTGGGGAGGGATCATGTCCCCAAAACATACGGACTTGCTCCAGACAATAGGGTCACCCTAACTGATCATTTTGCTCTGAGCTCTCTGGCATCCCTGGCAACAATGGAAACCCAGTGACTTATGTAGCTGGCATAATCAGGTGACAAACTTTGCTGGTGCATGTATTAGTTTACTAGAGCTTCCATAAAAAAAACCACAGACTAGGGGGAGCTTAAACAACAGAAAGGTATTTTCTCACAGTTCTGGAGGCTGGAGTCTGTGAACAAGATGCTGGCAGGTTTCTAGTGGTTTCTAGTGAGGTCTCTCTCCTTGGCTTGCAGATGGTCATCTTCTGCCTGTGTCTGCACATGGTGTTTCTCTGTGCGTCCTAACCTCTTTTTCTTCTACAGATACCACTCAGATGGAATTAAGACCCCACTCTAATAATCTCATTTTAACTTAACTACCTCTTCAAAGGCCCCATCTCCAAATACATTCAAATTCTGAGATACTAGGGGTTATGACTTCAGCATATGAATTTGGAGGGAATGCAGTTTGGCCCCTAACAGCATGAAATTTACTTGCACCCTGACAAGGAACATTGATGGGCAGTTGGTCCTGTGTCTCCTCCTGGCTCTGCCCATCTGTGGACTGCAGCGCACTGCTCACGGGCCCTTGTTGGATGACGATTCCTGCTTCAGCAGCATCCTTCTCCTTTCCGTACAACCTCACTGCCTAGTCACAGCTGAACGCAGCGTGGAGAGTTTATTCTCAGTAGAGTGTGAGGGGCTTATAGTTCCTGACGTGCTCTCCCTTCCTGAATGATACGCTTTGGGAAGAGTGAGGGAGCAAGGTAGAGAACATGGTTTTTGGACAAGAGCTAGGTCAGACTAAGGAGGGAAAGACTGTCTTCCAGTCGCCGGTTCCCTCCAAGCCCTTGGGGGACTGCTTGTATCACCGAAACCTGGAAACTGAGTCAGGGTCCCACTACAGCGCCGACTGCCTGTGGTCCTTTAATTGTTCTGAACATCGTTTCCTTCACCAGTGAAGCAAATGCTGCCTTCGTATCTACCCTCTGTGTTCTCATCGATGTGTGTGATGTTTCACGTGACAGATCAGTGCTTGTCACACAGATGCCGCAATACCCTGACTGGCCAGGGATCACTGATGAGGGCTTCCACGACCACTTGCCTTTTGCTCCCTCATCTCGGGATGGCCTCTGAAGGCACCTGCTCATGTTGGGGGCTGCGTCCCCTGCAGTTCAGCGAAGGCACCTCTGTGCTGCTGAGCGCTCAAGAGGTCATGAACCAGGCTTTGTAGGGAAAGTGTCGGCAGGATGGTGGCGCAGTCCTGGATCTTGGAGGAATGTTAGATGCTTTCCGTGAAATCCCCTCATTTTACAGCTGAGAACCCTGCACTTTGGAGAACCCCAGAGCTGCTTTCTGTGAAGCATGGAGAAAATAAGAATGTGAACACAGGCCCCTGGACTCCCTCCAGAGCCTCGGTTTCCCTCCCCACTTCACTGAGAAAGAAACTATGAGGTTGGCTGGGTGCGGTGGCTCATGCCTGTAATTCCAGCAGTTTGGGAGGCTGAGGTGGTCAGATCACCTGAGGTCAGGAGTTTGAGACCAGCCTGGCCAACATGGCGAAACCTTGTCTCTACTAAAAAAAGAGGTCGGCTCATCTAGATCTTTGTGAATGATAAATACAAATTTTAAACACATAGCTGCATTTAACAGTTGAAACAAGCCATTCTGAGTTTGAGAACACAGCCTTCCCAGGTCCAGTTGAACTGGATGGGGCCTTGTGCCGGGGTCTGCTCTGAATAGCAGCCTTCATGGAGTTGCCTTGTCTGTGTCAGATGTCCCCTTGGGCCTTTCCATAGCCAAGGGGACCAATGGTGGCACCAATGGGCTGACAGAGGAAGACTGGGAGCCCAGTGGCTGCACATGTCCCACGGACACCCACTTGTCTAATGACAATGCTTTGGGCTGACTAAATCAGCAGCGGAGAGGGAACCTGAGAGGCGGGAGGAGAAGCAGAGCAAGGCAGAGTCAGGGGACCGAGTCCTCCAGGAGGCAGGGCCAGCCCAGCATGGGAATTGGGGGCTGGGGGAGGAAGGGCAGAGCCTGGCCCAGGCCTGGCACACAGCAGATGCCATGCTGTCAACTCAGGGCTGGTGTGGATAGGCTCAGCCTCTCTCTGGGGTCTCTCTCTGAGCCTCTGAGCAGGTGGGCCCTGCAGAGGCCCTCAGAGGCCATTGGAGTCCATGAACATTCTCCAGGGCCAGAGAAGACCATAGAGACAGCAGAAGGAGGAATGCCCTCCTTCCACCAGAAGCTCAGCGCTTTGCAGGGCCAGAGGGCCGTTATTGTGGTAGGGTGGTGGTGATGGTGACGATGATGACACTCAAATCCATGGACTAGGGGGAGACTGTCACCTCACATACCCCCTGACACCCAACTGCCAGCCCACGCTTGAGATATGATGACAAAATCTTCGTGCTTGGGCTCCACAGCCTTTTGCTCCCGCTAAGGGACAACTCTCCCTGGGATGGGGACTTATCTCATTGGGCTGGGCTCAGGGAGTTTCCTGGAGGTGTGCTTTGCTGGGGAAGATGGCAAAGAGCAGGTCCCTGGGGTAAAATAAGGAGAGAGGGGCTGCAGAAAGCGTTCTGTGCCCCAACAGCCTCCACCCCTCCCTGCAGCCAGCGAGGGCGGATGGGAGGCTGTCTGCCGCCAGAGCCTGGCCTGTGCCTCTCTGGAGGGCCTCCTGCCTGTGCCTCTAACACTGCACTGTTCACCATGCCTGCGCCTGGGCACACTCAGAGGGTGTGCCCAGCAGAAAGCTTCAAGAACACTTTACCTGCCCCAGGCCATTCCAGGTTGACCTTCAGAGGCCAGGCAGGCACAGGCTTCCCCTGGGCCACTCTCAGGTAGCCCCTGCAGATTTTGAATTAAACATTTGAGGATTTCACATAGCAGAAAACCAGTTTTTTATCCTGCCAGGAAAAACTTGATGATTTGGCATTCCCACAGGCTGCCATTGGTGGGAGGGGTGGGCTCAGGTCCAGGTTTAGCCCCTACAGCTGGCCTCACTCACCCACCACACCCCTGCAGGCCTCTGAGTAAGTGCCCTCCACTGCGGCTCCGTGCAGAGAAGTGTATTTTTTATGTATTTTTATTTTTATTTTTTTGAGATGGAGTCTCGCTCTGTTGCCCAGGCTGGAGTGCAGTTGCACCTCTCGGCTCACTGCAAGCTCCACCTCCCGGGTTCAAGCAATTCTCCTCCCTCAGCCTCCAGAGTAGCTGGGATTACAGGCGCCCGCCACCACACCTGGTTAATTTTTGTATTTTTAGTAGAGATGGGGTTTTGTCATGTTGGCCAGGCTGGTCTCGAACTCCTGACCTCAAGTGATCCGAGAAGTGTATTTTTTAAATAAAGGAGTTGAAGGGACGCTATGCTCCTTTTTCATCCCTCATGTTCATTCCATGGGCTGCATCACAATGGTGACGCTAGGACTCATCTAATAGTGACAACATGAGACCCTAGGTAGCACTTACCCTCTGCTGGGCATTACTCTGTCTCAGGAAACTGAGGCTCAGCGAACTTGAGATCCCTCACCTGAGCCCTGCAGCTGGTGAGTGGTGGAGCTGGGACTCACACCCATGCAGAGGAACACCAGAGCCTGAACCCTCCATGGTCGGGCGGATATTTTTCCAAGCATTCTCCTCCAGTCGGTCACTTCATGAGCATAAGGACATGGTCCTCCGCCTGGGAACCCCGGGTGCCTGACGGTTCCCACAGCTCACAGCCTGCCCCTCTGTGTAGCCTTTGGGCTGTGGTCCCCCTCTGATCTGAGGCCAGTCACCTCTGCATGTCCGGGTTTCTGCCTGATTCCAGTCCCTGCCAGGGCAAAGGTGGTCCCCCTGTTGAGGGGCAGGGAGGGAGGCAGCCTGTGCTTTCTGCTGTCTCCATGTGCAGCCTGCGTGAAAGCCAGCAGCCTCATGGTCCAGTCACGGCACAGTGTGACAGTCACAGACAGAGAGGCAGAAAAGACACACAGAACACACAGCTATCTTTGTTTAGGCTGCCTCCTTTCCAGCCCTGATTACTTCAGGACGACTCTTGGATCTAACATAACAGAGTGGTCTCCACACTTGGACACAGGAAGGGGAACATCACACACCAGGGCCTGTCGTGGGGTGAGGAGAGGGGGGGAGGGATAGCATTAGGAGATATACCTAATGTAAATGACGAGTTAATGGGTGCAACACACCAACACGGCACATGTATGCATACGTAACAAACCTGTATGTTGTGCACATGTACCCTAGAACTTAAAGTATAATTAAAAACAAACAAACAAAAAAAACCAGAGTGGTCTTCTTCTCTGCACATTCCAGTGGCAAGACAGAGTTTAGGGGATGCCAAGAGGCCAGCACCATCCACGACTCACTCCAATTTTCATGTAAAGACTAGTGTGCCAAGTGCCGCCTAGATGTGAGCTGTGCTGTCCAGCATGAAGGTGAGACTCTCTAACCCTTAGCACTACTCCATGCCCAAGACTGGAGTCACTGACCCAGCCTGGGGCCAATGGCAGAAGGGCTGCCTGTACCCACACTTGACTTCTGGGGTCCTGAGAGAGAGGAGTGTCCCAACCTCTTATTGCCCCCTTGGGGCAGAGGTTGGGCCCTGAGGTGACAGACAACCTCAAATCCTAGGCTCACTTCGGGTCTTGAGACGTGGGCTTCTCTCCATTCTGTTTTAGAAACAAAAAAAGCAAAAATGCATGATTTCAAGGCGGAGAGGAAGTCTTTGGCTGTTCCATGTTCTTTTCCCTTGTCTCAGGCATGCAGCCTTGCCTGGGAAGGGGCCTGCAGACCTTGGAGGACTTGCTCAGCGCAATGGACAAGCAGCCCTTCTGTCAAACACTCCCCATAGGAAGGTAAAATCAGGTCCCGTGGGTTACCAGAGGGTCGAGCCTCTCCAGTGGGGACTTGCCCAAGTCGCTGTGCGTGCAACTGCACATCCTTGCAGGCAGTTTCTTGCATATTTCCAGTTTCCAGCAGCACCCTGCATTACAGAGCCTGCTTCAGAGTAAGCCCCTAGACCCAGAGCTGGCTCCCAGAGGAACAGGATCGCTAGAACTTATTAGAGCCCCTAATAGAACATCCTGCCACTGACATGCTACTCGCCTTCCAGAAAAACTTGAAGATCCTCAGAGATAGGTGCCCAGAAATCATGGGTTAAAACTGATTTTGGACTTCACAAAAGTTTGATTCTGAGCCTGGAGCACCCAGTCCTGAGCTGAGCATTCTCCTCAAAGCTGGGACTCCAGTCTCCATGTGCCCCAGGTGCACTCCGAAAGGTGGCTTCCAGAGTGTTCCAAGCCACCAGGGTTTGAGCAGGGCCATATGACCACATTTGTTTGCATGTATCTCCAAACAGTGAGAGATCATAGTGAAGGGTGCCTTTGGCTTCAGTCTGGGGATAATGCTTTTAGTCCTAGGAGCAGCTGAATTCTTCCCCCAGATCCAAAATTTTGGTCATGTTCCCAGAAGGCAGCCCAGCTGGGGAAAATGATGAAGGCGGAGGCTGGCTTCCTGTGGGGTCACAAGAACCTGCAGGTGATGGGGCGAAGGTCTCCTCCAGCATGTTCTTCCACTGGTCGCGTTACATGCAAAATGCCTTCTCAACACCCCTTGTCTTCTCCAGCAAATAGATGTCTCTGGGCTGGCTCAGTTTAGACTCACTCAAGACCAATTCTCTACACATACTTGCCTCAAGTTATTTCTCCACAAACCTGGCATGTAGGTAATGATACAGATGAGGAAACTGAGGCTCAGAGACTTGAAGTGGTGGGGGCAGGGATTTGATTCCAAAGCTCACGCCCTTGACTCAATTGCTATCTGCCTCCCTGCTGTGTTGAACAACTGGCCCTGTGACAGATATAGTAGCATCATCTCCAGACTGCACGAGAGAGACTGAGCCCGGGGAGTTAGCTAATCAATTAGGATCACAGAGCTTATTAGTGATGGATCAGGACCCACCAGCTGTTAGCTGGCCCCGTGTTTGGTCCCCCATCCCCATTGTGATGGTTTTAAAATAGTCCACAAATGCTTTGCTATTCTTCCCATCAAATCTCCTCTCCATGAGTGTGGGCTGTACTTAGTGACTCACTTCTAATGAATAGTATGTAGAGAAATGATAGTGTGGAAAAAATAGTTACTTACGTTTAGGGGTTGTTCTCTCGCACAGCGTGTGTCTATCTGCAAATAACTCACAGCTCCTGGAGGACAGTAATCTTGTCATAGTCATTTCTTTTATTCCCAGTACCTTGCGCTCTGCCTAGCATATAATAGCTGCTTGATAATTATTTTAATACACAAATGAATGAAAGAAATCATGCAAAATGTTGTCATTGTCATTTCTCCAAAGATATTTATGGGTTCAGATACATCAGCGACTTAGAAATGTTGTTAAAGCTTAGATTTCACCAAGAGAAATCATTAGCAACTCTCTACCATGGTAGGGTCAAAGCTGGGGGCTTACAAAATACAATGTTCAATGTGAATCCTCTAGCTTTTCCACCTAAATCTGTGAAGAGTCCAGATGCTAACTTAAGCCAGAATTATTTTCTTCTTTTTCAGGAAAATCAAAAAATTTTTAGACTCACAAGTACTATGAACTCAGAGTAAGAGATAACTTTCCTATGAAGAGCTATTCCAAAATTTTTATTTTTCTTTTTTTCCTTTTTTTTTTTTTTTACACTGAGTTTTACTCTTGTTGCCCAGGCTGGAGTGCAATGGTGCAACGTCGGCTCACTGAAACCTCCACCTCCCAGGTTCAAGCGATTCTCGTGCCTCAGTCTCCCAAGTAGCTGGGATTATAGGCATGTACCACCACACCTGGTTAATTTTTGTATTTTTAGTAGAGACAGGGTTTTGCCATGTTAGCCAGGCTGGCCTCGAATTCCTGACAGGTGATCTGCCTGCCTCAACCTCCCAAAGTGCTGGAATTACAGGTGTGAGCCACAACACCCAGGCTTTTTTTTTGCGGGGGGTGATGGGGGGTCTCACTATGTTGCCCAGGATGGTCTTAAACTTCTGGCTTTAAGCTATCCACCTCAGCCTTCCAAAGTGCTGGGATTACAGGCATGAGCCACTGCGCTTATCCTCCAATGTTTTAATAAATAATAAAGCATTTAGGCCGGATGCAGTGTCTCATGCCTGTAATCCCAGCACTTTGGGAGGCCAAGGTGAGCAGATCATGAGGTCAGGAGTTCAAAACCAGCCTGGCCAGCATGGTGAAACCTTGTCTCTACTAAAAATACAAAAATTAGCCAGTCATGGTGGCTCGCTTCTATAGTCCCAGCTACTCAGGAGGCTGAGGCAGGAGAATCACTTGAACCTGGGAGACAGAGGTTGCAGTGAGCCAAGATCACGGCACTGCACTCCAGCCTGGGCGACACAGCAAGACTCTGTCTCAAAAAATAAATAAATAAATAAATAAATAAAGCATTTAATAAAATGCTATTTTGCAGGGGGATTTCTTTTGTCATTTGCCAATGAGTGTTATATATTAAATATTTTAAGCAAACATACTAACTTTAAAATTGTATAATAAAATATATATAATAAAATTATGCTAATCCAAAAACTTCTTATGCAAAGCATGAAAACTAATTCTTATAATTAATGCACAATAATATATTTAGCTATATTTTGAGTTCATTAAACAAAATGAATCATTATAGCACTTTCATACTATATGCAGAAAATTACATTTTGTGGAGAATATATGCATATGTACATCATATATACATAATATGTCTGTGTCACTGATCCTTCATTGAAATTGAATTATCTCAGGCAGAAAATTCACTATGAAGTTGGTGTCAGTGACACTACACAAACTGTGTTATGATATTTTATTTATAAACAATAAAGTTCAATAAAACAACTTAAAAAAAAAGAACATGGTAGAAGTGACTGAGTGTGACTCTGGAGACCAGGTCCTGAAAGGCACTGTGGCTTCCTCCTTGCTTGCCCTCTCTTGTCTCTCTTGCTCTGGAGGAAGCCAGCTACCATGTCTTGAGCATGCTCAATGGCCCATGGAGACCTCTAGTCAACAGCCACCTGGGTAACGCTGGAAGCAGACCTCCAGCCCCAGTCAACCCTTCAGATGCCTGCAGCCCTGGCCAGTGTGTCTGGACTGCAACTCGATGCAATGCTGAGACTGAACTGCAGAGCTCAGTAACTCCCAAATTCCTGACCCTCAGAAACTTCATGAGATAATAAAAGTTTGTTATTTCAGCTGCGAGGCTTGGGAGTAACTGGTTACACGGCAGCAAATAGCTAATAAACCCATTCCATTTCCCGTTTTTATGATCTTCTGTCATCATGTGCTTGGCACCACTCCCACTCCACTCCAGAGAAAGTCCATGCCATGAAGAAGTGAGGATGTTTTTGGACGTTCTTTTGCACAATAGCATGGTACAACTGCTCGAGCCGTTTCTGGAATATTTTCCAAGAAACTCACCTTCTTCCAAAGGATGAAGAGATCCCAAGGCTCCTCCAGGCCACAGCCTAGAGCTATTCCTGATCTTTTTCATCCCAGAGAACACTCCAAGGCTCTAAAGTAACTACAGTGAGTCGTAAATGAAAGGGAGCCATGCCCAGGGTACTGGTGCCTCTGGCTTGTTGCCTGGGGCACAGGAGCCACCTGTGAGGAGCAACAGCAGCACCTCCAGGTTCTGAAAAAGTGGACAAAAAGGGATAAATGTGGGCCCAAGGCTAGACAGAGCAGAACAGTGGCGGCCACCATAGCAGGCTCATCTATGGGAGGAGCAGGGGCAGCCAGGAGCAGGGGCAGCCAGGAGCAGGGGCAGCCAGAAGCATCCACAGCCCTCCTGGAAGCCTCCATCTTGGGTGACAAGCTGTGCCTCATTTCTGAGAAGAAACGCATGCTGCTACTGACAGCGGTTGCCTCTGGGGCGGGGGACTGGGTGGCTGGCCGGGAAGGAAGACACATTTTTTATTCTGTGTACCTGACTTTGTCTATTGAGTGTTGTTCTATGGGCATGTGTTACCTCTTTAAAGATAGATCAATTACATATATTTAAAGTTATAACTAATCAATTACTACACTCTGCTTAGGTGTTCCTAAAAAGAAGGAGTTTGTGGTTCCATAAGTTTGGGGAACTGAGCTAATGAGCCCCCTTTATGGAGTGACACCTTAATGTCTTCAGGAGCTGAGAAATTCTGTAGTAGAGGATCATGTTTAATCTGCTTAAACCTGAATTTTCCAAGTTTGTTCTACCACATAACTATTTTTTCATAAACTCTGTATAAATAGCCCTGACTATAAATAGCTAGTTGTGTGTTTTATGCCACAAAGCTCGGGTCTGGGCCATTGACAACATAGTTCCAGTTACACACCCTTGGACACCAGGTGCAGGGCCAGAAGGAAGGACCTGAGGGAGGGCGGTGTGGTGTGGCCAGATGTCAGGACGGGAACTTGAAGCAATAGAGAAATTGAGAGTGTGGAAAGGGGATCTCCAGAGAGAAAATCCCCCAACCTACTCTATAATTTTCCCAACGGCAGGCCTGTGAGTTTTCACGCTGCCACCCAGGCTGGAGTGCAGTGGCGCAATCTATGCTCTCTGCAACCTCCACCTCCTGGGTTCAAGTGATTCTCCCCACTCAGCCTCCTGAGTAACTGGGATTACAGGCACCTGCCACCAAGCCCAGCTAATTTTTTGTGTTGTAAATACAGACAGGGTTTCACCATGTTGACCAAGCTGGTCTTGAACTCCTGACCTCAAGTGATCTGCCCGCCTCAGCCTCCCAAAGTGCTGGAATTACAGGCGAGAGCCACATTCCTTCATTCTTAATTCACAAATTCACTAAACATACACCGTGTTTATGGCCTGGGCCTAAGTGAGGTTTGTTGTCTGCCCTCAGGAAACTCACCTCTAGTGAGGAAGATGTGCAGAAAACAGCAGCAGGAGACAGTGCAGCCCCTGTGGGCTTAGGAAAGCCTCTTCCAGAAATGGCCTATGTGCCACACCCAGAGTGTGAGCTGCACTCAGCCCAGGGGAGAAGTGTGGAGGGTGTGCCAGCTGCCCTGGGGAGCCCGGGGCTTCAAGGAGCCAAGAGCAGGCAAGTGGGGCTGGAGCCTGGTTGGGGCTGTGCTGGTGGCTGCCAGGGTCGCTGCCCACACCCGCCGTCTGTGCTCTGCTCTGGGGCTCCGGGGTTTCTGCATGTGCCAGGCACCTCACCCACTGGCTTCTGGTTAGGCCCTGTGGTAGCACCTAACATAGGAGGTGTGGCAGGAGCTCCAAAGGCAGGAGGAAGAGAGGAATGTCCGTATCACAGCATGGCAGTTGTAGCAGCAGGAG
The DNA here is from genome assembly GCF_000001405.40 of Homo sapiens. NCBI lineage: Eukaryota > Metazoa > Chordata > Mammalia > Primates > Hominidae > Homo > Homo sapiens. Next base: position 3,430,120 of record NW_011332701.1, read on the forward strand.
CTGGATGATTAGGGACCCCAGAAGCCTGAGCACAGGCGGCACCTTTATCAGCAGTCACAGCTCTGGCAAAGAAGATGCATCCTCCTCGATACAGAACAGCAGTGCCAGCTCCTCCCACAGCCCCTGCTTCTCCACCAGGGCAGCAGCAGGTGCTGACTCTGGGCTCTAGCCCAGTGGTGCAATGGGTTGAGTGTTTGTGTCCCTCCCAGTTTCATATATTGAAATCCTAACTCCTGTGGTGATGGTGTTGGGAGGTGAAGCCTTTGCTGGGGGTGATTAGGCCCTGAGAGTGAAGCCCTCATGAAGGGGATGAGTGCCCTTATGCAAGAGGCCCAAGAGAGACCCCTTGTCCCTTCTACTATGTAAGCACGCAGCAAGAAGTCACCGACTGTGAACCAGGAAGCCCTCACCAGACACTGATTCTGCTGGTACCTTGATTTTGGGCTTCCTAGCCTCTAAAACTATGAGAAATAAATTCCTATTGTTCATAGACCACTCAGTTTATGATATTTTGTTATAGCAGCCAGAATGGACCAAGACAAAGGGTACTAGTGATTCTTATCTGTGGGTACCTCCCCTTCTTCCTCTTGTTCCCTGGCCTGCTCCTCCCTTCTACTCCTTTATCCTTCCAACACCTTTGTAATCGGTTCTCTGCATAATATGTGAAATACCTAGCATGGTTTCTGTCTCCCAGGCTGAGTCAGTACTGCTTCAGGAAACAGACCCTCCAAGCTGGGTCTTTGTGGTTGGGTTGTTGACCTGTGTGAGTATGAGAATATGAAAGCAGAGATAAACTCATTACCCATGGAAAATAGGACATTGGTGACCTGTGGCACTGCAATTACTTAGTTGTCACCTGTGGTTGCTTGGAAGGGAGCATCTACTGAAGATAAGACTTGGGGACAGCGGCCGGGCATGGTGGCTCACGCCTGTAATCCTAGCACTTTGGGAGGCCAAGGCAGGTGGATCATGAGGTCAGGAGATCGAGACCATCCTGGCTAACATGGTGAAACCCCGTCTCTATTAAAAATCCAAAAATTAGCCGGGTGTGGTGGCGGGCGCCTATAGTCCCAGCTACTCGGGAGGCTGAGACAGGAGAATGGTGTCAACCCAGGAGGCAGAGATTGCAGTGAGCCGAGATTGCACCACTGCACTCCAGCCTAGGCAACAGAGTGAGACTCCATGTCAAAAAAAAAAAAAAAAAAAAAAAGAAGACTTGGGGACAGCAAGTTGCCACCATACTTGACCCTTATGGCAAAATTGATGTCCACAGGGACTATGGGTGGATGGCTTCTGAGGTCACTGAAGGGATTCCAAATAGGACAATAAAGATAAAGACGAGGAAGAAGAATAGAATGAGAAAGAGGAGAGGAAGAAAATGGATAAAGTGGACCATATTAAAATGAATAACTAATTTCAAGAGATTTATTAAGAGAATAAAAAGAAAAACCAAACTGGGAGAATGTATATGTGACACACATATTTGATAAAAGACTTATGTCCAGAATATATAAAGAGCTTCTAGAAATCAACAAGAAGAGAGAAGATAATCCAACAGAAAAACTGGTTAAAGAGCTTGAGTGGGCCCTTCACAAAAGAGCGTGTCCTAGTGGCCAACAAACATATGAGAAGGTGCTCAACCTCATTGGTCATCAAGGAAACACCTATCAAAACTACAGTGTGTCAAAACCACAATGAGATATCACCTCACACACAAAAGAGTGGTTATAATTTTTAAAAAAGGAAATAAGTGTTGGTGAAATGTGGAGGAATCAGAACCTTTATACATTGCTAGTGAGAATATTAAATGACGCAGACACTTTGGAAAGCAATCTGGTAGTTTCTCAAAAGTTTAACCTAGAGTTACCATTTGACTCAGCAATTCCACTCCTAAGTAGAGTTTCCAAGAGGAATGAAAATGTGTGTTCACACAAGAACCTGGACGTGAATGTTCATAGCACCATTAGTCATGTGCTGCTATGTTCATTGGCTGCAATGTTCACAGGAGCCAAAAAGTGAAAACAATCCAAATATCTACCCACTGATGAATGGATTAACAAAAAGTGATGTTTCTGTACAACAAAATGGTATTTGACCATTAAAAGGAATGAAGTACTGACAGACATGCCACCACATGAATGAACCTTGAAAACATCATGCTAGTTAAAAGAAGCCAGTCACAAAGACCACACATGACCTAATTCCATATATATGAAATGTCCAGAATAGGCCAGGTGCTGTGTCTCACACCTGTAATCCAAGCACTTTGGGAGACGGAGGTAGGCGGATGGCTTGAGCTCAGGAGCTTGAGACCTGCCTGGGCAACATGGCAAAACCTCATCTCTACCAAAAATACAAAAAAAAAAAAAAAAGCCAGGTGTGGTGGGGTGCACCTGTTGTCCCAGCTACTCAGGAGGTGGGAGGATTGCTTGAGCCTAGGAGGCAGAGGTTGCAGTGAGTCGGGATCATGCCACTGCACTCCAACCTAGGCGACAGAGTGAGACCCTGTATGAAAAGAAAAGAAAAGAAGAGTCCAGAATAGGCAAATCTATGGAGACAGAAAATAGATTAGTGGTTGCCAGGGATAGGGAGAAGGGGGTGTTGGAGGTGATTGCTAAAGGTTATAAGGTTACTTTTGGGGGTGATGAAAATGCTCTAAAATTGATTGTGGTGATAGCTGTATGACTCTGCATATACTAAAATTCATTGAATTGTACACTTCAGATGGGTGTTAGAGCTCAGCTGTAATAAAGAAAAATAAAGAGAAAAGGAAAGGGAAAGAAAAGAAGAAAGAAAAAGAAGGAAGGGAGGGAGGGAGGAAGGAAGAAGGGAGGGAGGGAGGGAAAGAGAGAAAGAGAGAGAGAGAAAGAAAGAAAAAAGAAAGAAAGGAAGGAAGGGAGAAAGAGAAAAAGAAAGAAGAAAGAAAGAAAGGGAAGGAGGGAAACAAGGAAGAAAGAAAGAAGAAAATAAAGAAGAAAAGAAAGAAAAAGAAAGGATGGAAGAAATAATGAAAAGAAAGAAAAAGAGAAAGGAAAGAAAGAGGAAAAGAGAAGAAAGGAAAGAAAAAAGAAGAAAGAAGGGAGGGAGGGAAAGAAGGAGGAGGGGAGGGATAGAGAGAGAGAGAAAGAGAGGAAAGAAAGAGAAAGAAAGAAAGGGGAAGAGAAGAGAGAAGAGAAAAGAGAGGGGAGGGGAGGGGAGGGAAGGGGAGGGGAGGGAAGGGAGAAAATGCAATGCCACCACCTACCCACTAGAAAGGCTAAAATGTAAAAGACTGAATCCCAAACATAGTTGAGGATGGAGAGAAACCAGACTGCAGTGGGGAGAGTGGCTTGGCGTTATCACTTTGGAAGACAGGTGCATGACCAAAGCTGAACATGTGCTTGCCTATGACCCAGCAATTCCACCCCTAGGAATATAACCAACAGAAATACATATGTGTGTGTGTGTGTGTGTGTGTGTGTGTGTGTGTGTGTTCACCAAAAGATAGGTCCTAAGAATGATCAAAGCAGGCCGGGCATAGTGGCTCATGGCTGTAATCCCAGCACTTTGGGAGGCCGAGGTGGGTGGATCATGAGGTCAGGAGTTCGAGACCAGCCTGGCCAATACGGTGAAACCCCGTCTCTACTAAAAAAAAATACAAAAATCAGCTGGGCTAGTGGCGCGTACCTGCAGTTCCAGCTACTCAGGAGGCTGAGGCAGGAGAATCACTTGAACCTGGGAGGCAGAGGTTGTGATAAGCGAGATTGCGATGAGCCGAGATTGCGCCACTGCACTCTAGCCTGGGTGACAGAGTGAGACTCTGTCTCAAAAAAAAAGAAGAAAAAAAAAAGATGAAAGCAGCACTTTGTAGTAGACAAACACTGAAAACTACCCAAATATTCATCAACAGTAGAATAGACAAATAATTGCTTTTATCCTCGTACATGAAATCTTCATAACTACGAGTATCAACCATGCACAATCACACAGAACCACAGAGATGACTCTTAGACACAGAGAGTTGAGAGAAAGAAGCCAGGCCCTAAAGTACAGACAATATGCGTCCATTCGTACAAAGTTCAAATAGGCAGAACTGCCACCTGGGGTTAGGGTCAGGGTGATGGTCACTCTAGGGGGTGGAGGGTAGGCCTTGGAGGGGCCCAGAGGGAGCTCTAGGGTGCTGGCCATGTGCTTTTGGCCTGGATGCTGTTACACAGATGTGTGCTTTATGTCGGGTTGTACACTTACAATTTGTGTACTTTTTCTTTTTTTTAGGCAGAGTCCCACTCTGTTGCCCAGGTTGGAGTGCAGTGGCACCTGCATCGGTTCACTGTGGGCTCCGCCTCCCGGCCTCAAGCGATTCTCATGCCTCAGCCTCCTGAGTCGGTGGGATTACAGGCATGCACCACCATGCCTGGCTAATTTTTTTGTATTTTTAGTAGACGGAGTCTTACTAGATTGTCCAGGCTGGTCTTGAACTGCTGGCCTCAAGGGATCTTCCCAGCTCAGCCTCCCAAAGCACTGGAATTATAGGTATAAGCCATGAAGCCCAGCCCCTATAAGTAGTCCTGAGGCCTGTTGGCATCTACAACTTTGTGTGCTCTCCAGCCAATGCAGCTCTCCTTCGCCTTCTGCCTGCAGCTCAGCTAGTCGGGGCTCTTTACATGATGGGATCATTGAGGCTTTATTTGTGCCTTTGGTTGTTGCTGCACTTCCTCACTGACCTTTATGACCGGACAGCAGGTACTTGTAGGAACCCCAGAGACTCCCCCTGGCTTCTGGACCTTCCTTCTGCCTTGGTGTATAGCAGCACCCAGCTTCCCCTTGGTAATCAGGGTGGACCACCCCGGATGAGAGGGCACTCAAGGCAGCAGGAACAGCACGTTTCAGGGTATGGAGCAGTAAAAGGCATGCACCTTTGGGGTAAGTCAGTGGAGCTGAAAGATGGAGCTTTGCAAGCAGCAGCGCCTGTGGCTGGCAGGGATCCAACCTCCCAGCTGTTGTTTGATGGGCACTGGGTCCCTTTCAGGATTCTAAGTCAGGAGGGACAAGGTGAGAACTCACCATGTTTTGTCAAAGATGCATGGATGGGAGATGGGGCCTGGGATCCGTGTCCTCCGCTTGCCACTGGCAATCCATGCTCCTTTGTTGCAGAGTGAGGGCTTTGAAATCTCAGAGATCTGGTCTAAACTTCCTGCTCGGCCACACCAGTTGTGTGAGCTTGAGGACATGAGTGAGCTCAGACTCCAGATTATTCAGGTGTAAAGACAAAGGTGATTGTGGGGATTAATAAGGTAATGTAAGTGACATATGGCAGAGTAGACACGGTTTGCCTTGGCTTCCTTTGGCTTATCTGGAAGTTATTTCCTCTGTAAAATGAGGTAGGCACATCGATGCTCTACGGGGTGCAAGAGGACTTAGGTGGGTCAGTCCAGTGGGGAATCATGGGCTGGCTGTGGTCTGAGGGGCAGCCCACAGGAGTCCAGGCAGAGGAGGGTCTGGAGGTGGGAGCTGCAGGAGCCCTGAGTCAGCACCACGGGGCATCTTCACCAGCTCATCCCCAGCCTCTCCATGTATGGCCCAAAGCTGGCATTTCTGATTTCCAGACTCTGCCTCCTGGCACCCACGGTCTTTGTGGATCCCAGAGAGGCTCACCCTGGGACTCAGAAGAGGTGTGCTGTGGAGAGGAAGGAGGCCGAGGCAGCCTGGGGGAGGAGGAAAAACCCAGCATTGGGGGTGTGAAGACCCGTTTAGCTTTCAAACTGGTTCCAAAGATTTGTTCAGGAATTACTCCAGGGGAGGAGTCACCCCTCTCTTTGGGGATGTCTCTGGCGTGTTAAGAGTTTCAGGTAGGATTTTGCTTGGGGAAAAAAGTTCTTCAATATACACACACACACAGACACACACACACACACACATACACACACGCAAAAACAACCAGGGGCAAGTTAATATCTAAGCTCTCTTTCTAGTGCACATAACAGTGACCTATCACCAGTTCCTCCTGGATCCTGGGTAATCCTTTATGGACAGGGACCTTATTTTACATTGTACCCTCAGGGTACAGCCTGGTGTGGCAGGCAAGCCCTTGATGACTGTTTACTGTCCAAGCTGAACACCTGAAGGGGTCACACTACAGGCCAGGCTTGTAGACATCCGACAAAAATCAAGAAGCCTATCTGGCCCTAAATCTGTTGCTGTTCATCCATGTCACACATATCACATGCAAACAAGGCTGCATTGAGATTCTGGAAGGCAAACACACGGCCATATGCCATCTTCTCTGGGCATAGTAAATCAGGTTCTGGGGTGCATGTATATGAGCCCCACACCTTCAGCGCCTCTCAGCACTTTCCTGGGGTCTGATCTTTCTGATCCGGATGAGTTGACTTTGCCCCAGCTACGCTGGATTAGCGCAGGGATGTGCACTTGACCAACCAAAGCCCCCTCCTCAGGAGTGCAGAACTGGCCCCAGGAGATCCTAGCTCACTTTACCGAGACATAAACTTGGGGGGATTTGGGACAGTCATTTCCCATGGCAGGGTCTGGGAGCACAGGGCATCTGTCTGCAGAGGAAGGAGCTCCAAGCCAACGCAGAGAGAGTTTGAGGTGATTCTGCTGCACCCTCCCCAGGGCTCTCTGGAGCTCCAGCGTGGCTTCCTTGTCTCAAGTTCCTCTTTCAGTGTAAAGTCAGCTAGAATTGGTGACTTGCAAAAGACCTGAATCATGCACTGACCTTTTGGCAGGCCCTCTCTTGCTCTAGAGAATCTGGCCTAAGCATGCAGACTCTGGAAATTTATCCCACAGCACGTGCATAGTTTTCGATGCGTCATTTACCCAATGAGGCTGAACCTGGAATTGGACTTCTACCTGCCCGTCCTTTCCAGGTTTTAACTATGTCCTAGCTCTCTTGACTTGAGCTGGGAAATTCCCTATGCCACTTAGACTCTGCAGCTCAGCTCAAAGGCCCTGATGTGATGCCCCCCTGAAAGCCAGGGCAATCCCACCTCTGCAATGCTGTCGCCGCCACCCTGCCATCTTCCCGAACCTCTGCTCTCAGCTTGTCTCTCCCCAGCCTGGGTCCTGAAAAGGTTCCACTGAGCACAGTGCCTGCTCCCAGCCATCTGTCTTGCCCTCAGCTGTGTGCCAGCCACACGCTAGCCAGGCCCGGCCTGTCCTGCTCTCGCCCTGTTCCCTCCCTGGCTGATTTGAACCCCACACTCCCCTCCCCACCCAGCCAACATCTGGGGACTGCTTCTTCGGGGACCAGCCCCACTGTGTCTTGTCTGATCTCCACGTGTTTCTGCAGTGGCCCTTTCCTGGGTGACCCGTCTGCTCAGAGCAGAAACTGAGATGGGCAGGCCTGCGCCACCTTCCCCTTGGCGCCTTTCCAGTGCTGAGTGTTCTGCCTGGCACAAAGCCAGGGTTCCGCAAACGCTGGTTGAACCGAAACCCACTGTGGTTGCCGGTTCCTGAGCTGGTCTTTCTTCTCGTTCCCATGCCCAGCTCCCAGCCACGAACTGTGGGCTGATCCTGTGGCCGGCTCCCTGTCCTGTGGCCCAGAGAGTGTCTTCGGCTGGGGATCCTGCTGTCGGGGCCCTGCTGTGCCTGCTGCCAGGGCCTCACCAGCCTGCTCTGAGCAGCTGGGCCACACTGAGCACCTGCCCTGCCCTGCTTGGCAGTCAGGAAGGACTTCCTGTTTCTGCTTCTGAAATGGACTGCCAGCTCCAGGGGGCGGCAGGGGACCGGCCCCAACACCCCTGCCATCCGAGTGGCACCTAGGCTGCCCGGCAGCCCTCCCTCACCCCTTCTTGTGTCTCCTGCTATGGGTGGGCTTCAGGAAACGTGCACTTAGCAGGCTGAGGCCTAAACTCAGCTATGGGCTTAGGATCCAGAGGAGGAGCCCTGGAGAGCAGCACGCAGAACCTTTTGGCTTTGAGAAGGAGGGGGATGAGGGGCAGGGGGCAGGGGCGACTGTGAGGTCCTGGGCTTGGGGACCCTAGGGAAGGAGTGGAGCAGCTTTAGGGACCCCATACAAAGGTCCCCAGGCCTCACATGAACCGTACCTCCCCAGCACCTCCCATGATCCCCATCTCCCCACCCTGGACTAAGCACTGGGAGGGGGCTGCCGGGAGGAAAGGCCCCACTGTGGGAGATAGGGGAGTAGGGAGTATCAAAGGGGCACAGAGAGAAGGCATTTCAGGAAGCACCTTCACCAGGACTGGCCACAAATAATCCCCAGGCAGAGTCCATTCCAGTGGTTCTCACCTGCAGACCTGTCCCTGCCTCCTGCCTTTCCCTGTGCATGCTCTGAGCCAGAAAGGACAACTAAGAGACGGTGACAGAGGGGCTTCAGGACGCCGCCTCTGTGGGGAGCTGGTGGGCTGTGGCATCCCTTAGGGGGTAACCCCACTGCCCAGACTGCTGGGCTCCAGGGAGTGGAGGGGGCAGAGGGCACCCGCCCCCACCTCTGCACTCGGTGGTCCTAGGGCCCCCGGTCTGCAGGGTCCATTGGGGCAGCAGCTAGAAAAATGTCTGGCTACAAGGGACAGGGGCCCACCCCAGAGGCTTAGGGCAGCAGCTCGTTTTCTGCCACAGAGAGAGGTCTGGGGCAGGCAGCTGTGCACGTTCAGCTCTGCTGTTCGAGGGCCTTCCGGGGGGCCTCCCTCCTGGTGTGGTGCTCTAGACACTGGGCCGCCAGCAAGGGGTGAGGAAGGCAAAGGCCTTGCCTGCTGCGGCATTGCTGATATCAGGGAAGCAATAGATTTTCCCAGCCGACCTTGTTTAGGGTCTCAGGCCACCCAAGCTGTGAGCTAGGCTAGGAGAGTGAACGGGGCTGTCGAAATGGACTTTGACCGCAGCCGCCGAACAGCACTCAGGAGTGGGCGGGATATTAGGATATTGGAGGGTTCTCCACAGTGAGAGCTCTTGTGGCTGCCACCAAACAGGGCAGGGTCTGGTGGGGGGGCAGGAGGATCAGGGACCTGGAGTCTGGCATGGGGTGGCCTGTCTAGGCAGAAGCTCTGGGGAGTCCCTGGGAAGGCCCCAAGCCCCAGGGTCAGGAGTCTCTTTTTAGGCTGAGGGGGCATCGACACCCGGGTGCAGGAGTCTGCATGGGTTGGCCGAGCACACAGGTGTGAAGGCAGCCCTTTGATGTGCCTTGATGGTGCAAGGAGAGAGCCGGGTGGTCTTGCAGTCACCAGGCTGGGGCTCCAGCCCCACGTTACAGCCTTGCTGTTGCCCTCTAGTGACCCCTTGCATCTTGGAAGTGAGGCGACATGTGGTAAACACCTGGCACCTGCAGGGACTCCCTGGGTAGCCCTCAGAGGAGGCCACGGGGTCAGCTGGGGACGCAGAGGGTGAGACAGAAGAGAAACTGGGATGGGGCTGACTTCCAGGAAGCCGGGACATCATGGGGCCCCAGCTTAGTCTGGCCCAGCTGTCAGAGGGGCTGCTGGTTCAGAGCCTGGGGCCTTCTTAGTTGAGATGCCAGTGCCGGGCGACTGGTGATAAACGTGGCCCCTATCCCAGAGCAGTGCACACCGCCTTAGGCATTGGCTATATCCTAATCTCACTAGAACACCCCTCGGCCAGCGTCCCCCTCCACCCAGCACCTCTGGGGAACACTGGGGCTTCCTAATGAGTTAATCTGCTGGGAAGGAGTCCAGAGGCAGGCACAGCGCAGAACCCCCCCCCCCGCCCCGCCCCAGCCCCCTCCACTGATGACACTGTTGACACCGCGGAGAGAGGCCTGCTCAGTGGGTCGTTGTGCTGAGAAACGAAACATTGCCTAACCCCAGGGAGAAACCACAAAAAGACAAAAACACGCAATGTCGCTGCAGCTGGGCCTGAGGGCTCAACCCAGATCCTGCTGTCTGCAAGGCGGGTGCAGCTGTTGTGTGGTTTGTGTTAAAGGCAAGAAAAAGAAGGGTGGGATCATGTTCAAATCCCCAAAAGATACCCCTCTGCCAGAGGACGAGTGGCGTTTGTTTAGGGACAGTGGGGCCTCGTTTCTTTGTCATTGAGTGGGTTAGTTCCACTCTCTGAGCAGCCCTGACTGAGTCTCACACCTGCGCTGGGGTCCCCACTTGTTCAGAGCTGGGGCTGGAGAAGCAGCGAGTCCCTGTCCGGGACCTTGCATGCTCCCTCACGCCCTGCCCCCTCCCCCTCCAGTCGTGGGACACTGCTATATTGCCGAAGGGATCTCAGGGTACACTGGGACCTGCTCCGAGCAGCTCCCTCAGGCGTCAGAGCAGAACTGGGCAGTGAGGTGAATACAGTGATGTGCCAAGGCAGATGGCAGGGCAGAGGCCGCTGCAAAGGTGGCTCCAGAAATCAGGAGGGCTGAAAAGGAGCTGCTCTCATCCCGAAGAGGTGCATGTCATGAGTTTGCAGCTCAGGCTGGAGTCCACCATTCTTTATCCTTTATGCACAGGTCCCCCAAGGGCGTCTAGGGCCGGGGCTACTGACCGGAAGCCCTGCTCTGACTCCCCACCTTCCAGAAGGTGCTCTGATCAGGCCTGCCCGCTCCCACCCGCAGCCCAGTCTCAGATCTGCCAGTTCTCCTCAGAAGGCAAAGTTCTGGGGACTTGGGGCCACTCATGGGTTGGAGACTGAGTTGGGGGCTAGAGGCATGCTTAGGGCCCAGCCTCCATGGCAGGGCCAGGAAGTGAACCCCAGCCATCAGTGGGGCAGGAGCCAGGTGCCTCCCAGCAAAGCCCCAGCCCCAAGGGCTCCTCCTGTCCGCTGCTGCCCTCTCAGGGGCTGCCAGACCAGCTGCCCCACTCCCATGCTGCCGCCTGCCTGAACATCTCTTTTCTAGGCCCCGCCCAAACCCTGAGTCTTGGAGCCCACCTGCCATGCAGAAGCTGCACTGCAAACACAAATACACACACACACAAATACACACATGCACAAATACACAAATACACATGCACGAATACACACGCACATACAAATACACACACACACGCACAAATACACACATGCGCACAAGCACACACACACATGCAGGCACACACACATGCACACACGCACACACCCACACCGGGAGCTCCCTCCCTGGAGCCTCCCCTTCACATGGTCTCATCCTGCTTGTGCCGGCAAAGTCCTTTAAGGCCATACCTTAGTGATATGTTCTGTGTCCCTGAGGGTGGTGGCCCTGTGGTTCCTGGCTCCAGTCTGGTCTGACTGACCCCCCTGCCCTCTGCTCTCTTCAACACTTGGCACCTTAAGGCTGAAGGCCCCTGTGGAGACAGCGGCAGTCCGTCCACCCAGATAAGGGTAGCGTTTGAGTCCAGCTGCTGCACCTGTGGCCCTAATCTCAACACATGCCGCCAGTTGCAGACCTGGGGAACAATGCCAGTGCAGCAGGAGAATGTCACCAAATGCCTGCTTCATGACAGAGGAGGTCCTGAGGAGCTGAGTTAGGTCTTGAAAAAGTTTTGTCCCACCACCGGGGACAAAATGGCATTGCTTTATGTGTCACTAATCCTTGGAGAGGCTCCTTAAAGATGGAAGAGACTAGGGGATCTAAACACAGCCTGGGTTGCCCAGGCCTCACTGGGACACACCCTGGTAGGAATGAGGGTGAGATGCCAGTGCTGGCCTCTTGCCTCTCTCCAAGATCAGCGAAGCTGGGCACTCATTAAAGGGGTGAGGACAGACTTTATTGAGTAAGAATGACTGCAATCCAGAAGAGGGACCAGGGTGAACTGAGCTCAACTTCCCTGAAACAGAAGGCAGGGGGTAAAGGTGCATGTACTAAGAAGACACTGGGGATGTTAAGGAGCTTTGGTCCATGAGACTAGGCCACCTGGGTGTGATAGTGACTAGGCCACCTGGATATGATAACTGGTGCTCATCTGGAGGAGAAGCAAATTCCTTGTGTCTTTAGTGTCTTTTTTTTTTTTTTGAGATGGAGTCTCACTTTGTGGCCCAGGCTGGAGTGCAGTGGCGTGATCTTGGCTCATTGCAACGTCCACCTCCCGGGTTCAAGCAATTCTCCTGCCTCAGCCTCCCAGGTAGCTGAGATTACAGGCGCCTGCCACCATGCCCAGCTAATTTTTTTTTTTTTTTAGTATACAGGCGTGTCCTGTATACTAAAAAAATCTCTTCTCTTGACCTCGTGATCTGCCCGCCTCAGCCTCCCAAAGTGCTGGGATTACAGGCATGAGCCACCACGCCCAGCCTTTAGTGTCTTTATGACAATGGTGCAGGTTAGAGCAAGAAGCCCACCCAAGTCAGCCCCGTTGCCTCCCACAGGGACTGGGAGCAAAGCCAGAGTGAGAGCCTCTGGAAGTTCGCATTGCAGAGGCAGCTCCCAGGACCTTGTGGAGACAGTTCTGGGTGGTGGCAGATTTACATTCTCAAGGGGCAGCGAAAGCCTTCACAGTTGCAAGCTTTCTGAAGTGGCTGCTCAACGAGAGGGTTCAGGGGCCTATCCACCTGTCACCAGGTTGTGGCTGTGACAAACAGTAAATTCTCCTGGCAGCACTGCGCTCTCTCGGGCAGGCCCCTGAGGGTGACTTGGGGCATCATCCTAGGGACACGCCTGTTAACAGCTATGCTGGTATTTTTATAAGTCTCTTAGTGATGGGTGGGGGGTGCAGAGGGACAAAGTCATTTGCGCTGAGAGTCTGCAGTTTTTATAGACCAAAGGTGACGCTGAGTGGAGAAGAGGGCTCAGTAGAGGCTGACTGGTTTGGTCAAGGAGAGATTCTTTGCCAGCTCCTGCTGCTGCTGTATCTGTAGACTCCTCCCCTCCAGGGGACATCACCCTGGCACTGCTGGTCACCTTCTAGGCACTGCTGTTCCCAATCAGGCATTGTTAACATGCACAGGAGCCCATGGTGGTCAAGGGAGGGCTAAGAGAGAGTGTCCTGGGCACATGCATTGGATGGGCCCCCAAAGAATGCAGTCTGGGCCCTGATGCTGGGTCATGGTTTCTCGAGAAGTCCTGAACCTTTTCACCATTTTCCTGAAGTCCTGCCCTCTCCTTCAGCTCTGCAGGGCACACAAACCCATGTTTCTACACCATGTAAGAAGTCATATTGCCTTGGGGCCACCAGGCTGTGAGGAATCCCAAGCTAACCACATAGAAAGGTGATGTGGAGGACCACTAAGGCACTAAGCAGGTGAGGGAAGGCTTTGGGGACCTTCCAACACAGACTGGTAGCCAAGTGAGCACAGCCAAAAATGTGACTCTAGTCAATGCCATGGGATGATAGTAGCCAAGAGAATCATGAGAAATAATAGATCACTGTTTGGGGTGGTTCAGCAATATGTCCTCTGAACCCCAGTGAATGTCATCTTCCAGAGAATGCTATCATTAGTAAGGATGATGTGGCAGCTTTCGGGACCACATCGTGATCTTGTTTTTTGGATATTATCATCAGAAATAAGCTGTGAGGGAGAAGAGTGAGCTGGGGAAAGAGAAAGAGAGTGAGCAGGGGAATGGAAGTAGTGTTCCCTAGAAGCTAGGGCCCCGAGCTCCTAGGGAAAAGGATTGGAATGACAGCAGCTCCCTCCATGTAGAAGCCAAGAGATCCCTGGGGTCCACAGGAAGCTGAAAAGGTGTAAACATGGAGGCCTCAGGCCCAGAATGGCTCAGGGAAACTGTCCTAGAAGGTCCTGAAGCATTGTGTGTTCCTCCCCACTGACCAGGGCCCCCAGGATGGCAGGAGTCTGTGCTTCAAGAAGGGTAAAGCGTGGGCTAAGGGAAAGTGATTCCAACTGGGGTGAGAGGGGAGGGCTTTGGGTGCAAGTCCAGGAGGGATAGGAAAGAGGAAGGGCCCAGGATACGGTGGCCTCTGGAAGAATCAGGGGAGTTTAATGCCTAGGGGGTTTAATGCCCAGACCTGGAAACATCTAATTGGCAAACAACTCTATAATCAGTTAACTTCTAGCCAGGAAAACAGAAACTATCCCAGGCATTTTAAGCAGAGGGTATTTAGTGCTGGAATCGATGACAAAGATGTTGTAAAAGCTGGAGGAGCAAATGGGCCAAGAGGGTGTTACACAGAGATCTGAGGCTGCTCCTGCTCTGCGCCTGTATTGAGCTTCTGCAGACACCAACTGTGTCCCAGAGAAGGGGCCACCCTGATGCCCAGCCTCTTATCCCCATTGCCTCTGTTACTAATGCTGCTGGGGCCACTCCCATTGTCACTGCAGGAGCAATCACCCCACTGCCACCATTGGAGCTACAGCCAGGAGCAAAGTGGCTTCCTCCTATCTCCCACCCGTCCACTTCCCATTGGCAGCACTTAACCAGAAACCAGTTGCAAGGGAGCCTGGGAAATGTAGTTTTCAGGCTTCTAGCCCCTTGACTACTAAGGAGAGCAGGGTGGGCAGGCATGGAGCTGAGGGCCAACAGAGTACTCTGGCACAGAAGCTGCCAACTTAACTCAATGGCTCTTATTTTTACTTTGAAATGCTCCCATCCTTCCAGCAGTACAAGCCATTTGTGGTTGCATCCCCCTGTGCACAGCAGAATTCACATAGTCAGAACCGGCCAGGGGGACTCTGGAAAGCACAAGTATGAGTCTAAGCGCTGCGACCTCGCAGGGACTTCTCCCATATCTGGGCCCCCACATGATGGTGGTGTGAAGCTCCAAGGTGGATATTGACTGAGTGACTCCTCTTGGGGCCGGGTTCCAATGTGGGGAGGCAGGAAGCAGTTTCTTTCTCCTCAGAAGACACTAAGACCAGTTAAGTCTTGGGAGTTGATGCAGCCAGATTTAAGAACCCAGAGGCCCTTGGGATAGCAGGCTGCAGATAAAATCGACTTACAACTTAGCCACGGCTGGAGCATGGTTCAGGCTGATGTTTACTGTAGTGATGTAGAGGCCAAACGTGACCTCAGAAAGCACCCAGCAGGCGGAGTTTGAGACATCCCCGTGGGCAGAGCTGGTGCTGAGGCTCAGGCTGTGGGGTCGTGGAAGGGATGCAGGAAAGAAGGTTCTAGACCAGGGCTTGACACTTCACTCTCTGGGGCCACATGGGCTGAGGCCTGGGCATGCATCCCTGGTGCTGATCTGCTCTGTGGATATTAAGGTGCCTACTGTGTGCTGGCTGTGGTCTCTGTCATGCCGGGAGGTGACGGTGTCTTCTCTGGAGCCCCTTGCCCTGGCTCTCTGCCCAGTGGTTCTGCCTCTGCCACGTGGAGGCCTTCAGCTCCCAACAGGGGTGGAGGACCTCAGCTGCCCATCTCTGCCTCCCCAGCCCCAGCCCAGTGTCTGGCAGTGAGTGATGAATGCAGGCATGCTGATCCCTGTTTGCAAAGCTTGGTCAGGAGGCCCAAGTGGAATCTGGGCCAGCCTGGTACAAAAGGACATGATGGACACCTCAGGGGATCCTAGGCCACCGGAAAGGCTCTGCGTGGCCCAAGGTTTCAGTCCCAGAGCCAGCCTTTTTGTCTTTGGCTTCGAAAACCTCAATCGTAAAATGGAGCTAATAAAAACACCAAGCCCAGATTGGAGGACGAAATGGCATATGGCCCTGGTGGGGACTCCACCGGGGGGGAGGCATGGCCCAAAAGGCTTGGGTTGCGTCAATGATTCCCATTCTGTTTGCAGGAGCCTGGCATGAGCAGAAGTTCTGAACCCACTGGGCTGTGCGGTGGAGGAGCAGGTGGGCTTTCCACACAGAGCCTGGCCAGCATGGAGCAGGGGGAAAGGGAGACTCACGCTTTTCATTCCAGGGGCTGCAGGTGACAGTTTGGCAGAGGCCAGGCAGGTCTGGCTGCCAGGCTGAGGAGTTTGGACTTGGAAATTTAAAGGCCCTTCAGGAAGCCTCTGCAGAAGACTGGTCTGTCATTGACAATTAAAAGAAAAAAATAGACCACAATGCAAGGCAAGGAGTGGCCTTTGGTAGAAGCCGGACAGGATCCAGGTGGGTGTGGCCGGGCTCAGGTGTGGGCGGGCCCAGATCCTGTGCATCCTGCTCCTGGGGCCTCCCACCTCCTTGCCCTTGACACCTGCCTCACCCTGGTAGTTTCCAAAGAAGCCCCAAGGCCCCCGCCGTGGCCCTGCCCCCACAGGTGGAGGAGCTCCAAGCCTCCTGTGGGAGATGGAGCTTAGCTTGGGCCAAGGAACCTGCACCCGTGGAGGATAGTGGGCAAGCTGCTCTGCCCTAAGCAGGATGGCTATTTTGGGTTCAGAACCAGGCTGGATGAATTGTGTCCTTCTGCCGGCAGCCCTGGGAGCTCCATCTGCTCCAGGGAACAGGTTGAGAGCTTCATCAGATGGTCCTTAAAATCCAGGCCCTCTGCGGAGGCCTGCCTGGGCCTGAGCCACTTCTGACCACGTCCTCCTGAGGAGAGAGGCCATTTATTTTACTGTCTCCGGTCTCTGAAGGGAAGGAGGAAGTAAAAGTTGAAAAACAACAGGAATGAAGTCAGTGGCAAGACCAGCCGGTGCCACTGGTGACCAGGCCTGAGGTTAAAAGATTAACGCCGCCCCCACTCTAACCAGATGTGCTCTCAATCTATCATGACCCTTTCACGTGGAACCCCTTAGATTTGTAAGCCCTTCTTGAGACGTGAGTCTGCCGAAGTTCCCGGCCAAATAAAGCCAAATCCTTCCTTAACCGGGTGTCTGAGGGCTTTTGTCTACGGCTCATCCTGCTACACTCTAGCTGGAATTGGAGACTGCAGCCCCTCTCCGACCTGGGCCACGACACGCAAACAGCGTCTCCTGCCTCCTGCACAGTGGCCAATACCAGGCCAAGAGCTTCACCTTTGTTACCCGGCTTCATCTTCACAAAACCCTGGGGGCAGTAGGTGTGATTTTACTCCCATCTTATAAATCTGGAAACTTCCATTTACAGAAGTGACCCGATCCTCTCAGAGGATGAGGCCAGCAGGCAGTGGAACAGGGATTTGGACATGAGTCGTATCCCCCAGATGCCATGCGGTTGACCAGGCTGCCATCCGGAGCTTCCGTGGGGCCAGGAACTGCCTCTCAGGCCTGACGGGATTCAAATATGCACCAATGCACTCCTCAGAGGAGAGGTGAGCGAAGGGGGACCCCATGACCCTGAAGCCTACAGTCTCAAAGGGAAAGAGGACCCTCCACCCACGTGTGGATTGGCAGGCCTGAGTGAGGCACTGTTCTCTGTTACAAGTGTTGCCCTCCCCCGCCACAGCCATGGGCTGCACTTCCGTCCTTTGGGCAGCCTCAAAGGCTCTGCAACTCTCCCTAAAGACACTAATTTCACCCCCAGGGCCATCCAGGCCAGGGGAGCCTCTTGACAGAAACCTTGCATGTATGCGGTGTCTCTCACCCAGGCATCTTCCTCCTTCTGCACAGAGCCCTGTTCTTAGGGCTGCTTAGGCACACAGGTGACCCGGATGTTCTCTCTTGGATGCGACCTACTGTGTGTCTTAAGTTTCTGGGGCACAGTCAAGAAAACAGCATGGGCCGGGCGCGGTGGCTCACGCGTAATCCCAGCACTTTGGGAGGCCGAGGCGGGCGGATCACAAGGTCAGGAGATCGAGACCATCCTGGCCAACATGGTGAAACTCCATCTCTACTAAAAAAAAAAAAATACAAAAAATTAGCCGGGCGTGGTGGCAGGCGCCTGTAGTCCCAGCTACTCAGGAGGCTGAGGCAGGAGAATGGCGTGAACCCAGGAGGCGGAGCTTGCAGTGAGCCGAGATCGTGCCACTGCACTCCAGCCTGGGCAACAGAGCAAGACTCTCTCAAAAAAAAAAAAGAAAAGAAAAGAAAAAAGAAGCATGGCTTAGCCTCCTAAACCTTTTGGACAAATAAACTTCGCACCAACACGTGAAAGGGCAACAGCTGATGTTGAGGAAACATGGCTCTATTTGTTCTCATAATCTTTATTCACAATCTCAGTAAGATCTCCTTTGAAAACAAACAACAGAATAGTGTCCTGGGTGCGCGGCACAGTCAAGGGTTGCGAGAGCCTGCAGTCCTCTACTTGCAGGGCAGCTGTTAAGGGCTTGGGAGCTGCCCTCATTCACCCCTGCTGGGTGTCCCTTGGTTCCTGGTGTCTGTGAGGCTCCAGCAGATCCTAACCCAGCCTTGAGCATGTGAGGCCCTTTCTGAGCACCCTCGTGGGCCAGAGGCAAAAGCACTGCTCCTTTCTTCAGGCAGGGCTCCAGCCAGGGGCCCCACAGGAAGGGGCATTTCCTGAGCTCCCAGAACAGCTGGAGAAGGGGATGATGCATCTGTTGGGGAAGGTGGAGGAGCCTGTCGGCCTCATTACTGTCACTTCTCAGAGACCATGAGGCCTAGGGGTGGTGATTGGCTGGATGTAGATGCAGGGAGAATGGACTTGTGCTTCTGCCCACTGGCCAGTTCACAGCGCCACAGGCTCCTTCCCTGCTCTCGGTTGGTTCCCAAAGGAAAAAGTGGAAGCATTTTTATTATCCTGCTATCTGGCTCTGGAATTCCCCTTTGGAAGGAGCAATGGCGGGATAAGTCCCCACGGTAGAAGGAGGATCCCAGAGGCCTGGTTGGAACCGACTGCTCTGCTGCCCTGAGCTGCTCACAGAGTAGAATGAAGGAGAGGATTGAGTACGGGGCAGGAGAGCCCACCTGTGTGTCTGAGGGTGTGCGGCCAGCCCATCCATAGCATTTGCTCCACTTGCGGTTAGCACATGAGGAACTGTAGAGGAGAGGGACAGTGGCTCATGCCTGGACACTTATAAGGCAGAAGACGCAAAGCTGGGCTGGCAGCAGAGGGGCTGGAGGAATGCAAGCCTCACGGTCAGCTGCAGTCTCCAGGCCATGCCCCGGTTGCCTGTCAGCTCTTGGGTACTTGGCACGGGCTCTGGGTGCTGCTGTGCAGGTTGAGTCCCACCCAGAGTCCTGCCCTTCATTCTACAGGAGAGGGGCCATTTCTGATTGGATCGCAGAGTGGCCACACGGGCTGTGGGAGCTCTGCCAGGCTATTGTGCACAATGCTCCATTACCCCAGCCTGTCTTGGAGACCCTCCAGCATCTGCCCAGTTGTTCCCTAAAGTGATCCCATCTCCTAGGCCTGGAACAGTGCCTGCCCTGCTCCCATGTCAGACACGAACCCCACCCCGCTCCGGGTTCCCTGTCCTCTGACATGCATGGTGACACTCTCCAGCACCCCTTCCTTTGCCAGGTTCCCCCAACCTGGGGCTGGCCTCCTGCCCCTGACTCTAGGGAGCAGGCCAGCTGGACGCGTCACCCCTCAGCTGGCTCCCACCGTGACCATGGCATGAGTGATTTTTATTTTATTTTTTGGACTTGCCAAAGAACCACCACATCATTGTGTGGTGAGCCTGGAGGACAAGCCATCTGCGGGTAGAACCCAATAGACATGAATCATCCATTCATAGAATGACCAGATGGTCTGGGCTCCCCTGGATAACGGTGTGTTGTTGTCCACCCAACAGGAATACAAATTGCTCCTGGTCCCCTTCTTATGGGAATGGAAAGGACGACAGTCCCAGATGGATGGGTTCATGCCACGCCCCTGAGCTTCATTCTTCTGCTCTACCCTAGACACTGCTTCTGATGCCTCAGCTGCAATGGGCAGTACTTGCTTCAGTTTGGATGGTCCACTGCCACTGATACCACGTATCTGGTTTTTGTAGAAACTAGGCTTGTAAATTAAATGGGGATATGACAGGGACCACCACCCCTGAACTACTGAACTTTTTGAGGGTGGCATTAATCTCTGCCACTTCCCCCCTGCCATGTGATACCATTTTTGATTTGCTATCCTGGCCAGGGGAGGGGAGACCCAGAGGCTTCCACTTGGCCCTCCTGCTCTGATGGCTCTTCCCCCACAGGTGAAGGAATCCATGTGGGTTCTGCTGACTGCTGGGAATCTCCATCCTAAGCATATGTGCAGGTGGTGGAGAGGTGACCCCTGACCACAGTGAGCCAGACTCGGGATCTGGTCCCTCATGCTCCTCCCCACCATGGGCCCATGGAGATACTGGGACCTCCACTCATCAATGTCAACTCAGATCCTGCGTCCAGCAGAGTCCCACACATTTCTGGATGTCTCCCTTTCCCCTGTGCATGGAAATGCAAGTCCATGGCTGAGGAGCCCCTTGGGGAAGGCCTGGAGGAGTCATTACTGCCCACACTTGCCAGGGTTTGCAGGTCAGTCTTCACAGATCTGGTATCTCCTTCAGTCTGGGTTCTGGGTCTGAGGACTGGCTTGGGGCCAGAAACCAGCCAAAGGATTGTGATTTGGGGGTGGGAGGTGGCTGCCCTCAGCCTCCTGGTCGTCCATCCTGGGTACTGTTTATCGCACAATTAAGCCATGCCCTTGTTAACTGCCTACCCAGCTTGCCTCTGTGGACTCTGGGTTTGAGGAACCACCTCTGCGGCTCTCTGCACAATGGGCCCCAGATGCTACTTGGAGTGGCCATCTGCTGAGATAATTGCATCCACCTCGCTTCTGAAGGTTAAGCAGCACCATCTGTTCTCTATGCCATCGAGACTTTGTCATCATCCCTGTTGCTATTAAGGTCCTCTAGAAACCTCTACTGTCAGCCCTGACCCTCAGAGGACAGCACCACTGACTTCTCAACCACGTGCCACCCCCTCACCAGTGCTCTTTGTCACTTTGGTGTATGGGGGTCCATCAGACCTCCTGGGTTTTCCAGCCTTACTCAGAGCCTTTGGTCCTGAGCTGTCCCCTCCCAGGCATTCCAAGAATCACTCTAGCACATGGTAACACCATCTCCTGGGGTCCTGGCTGGGTTGTGACATTGCACATCAGGGGTCTCCTGGGGTGCAGGCCAGGCCGTGAAGTTCCGCATCAGAGATCTCCTGGGGTCCTGGCTGGCTGTGAAATTCTGCCTCAGGGTGGGTGTGCCCACACTGACAGGCTCTCCCTCATCCTGTGCTCCGGCATCCTCAGGCCCAGGCCCAGGCACACTCTACTGGTCTTCCTGGTCCAGCCTGGGCCTGCAGCTTCTTTGGCATCAAAGCCTTCCCTGTCCATGACCCAACTTGGATGAACCTTGAGGACATTACTTTGAGTGAGATAAGCCAGTAGCAAAAGGACAAATCTTGTATGAATCCACTTACATAAGGAACCCAGAGTAGCCAAATCCACAGAGACAGAGAATAGAATGGTGGCTGCCAGGACTAGGGGGGAGGGGGCAGTGAGGACTTAGTGATGAATGGGGAAGAGTTTCAGTTTGGGAAGATGAAAATGTTCTGGAGATGGATGTGGTGACGGTTGCCAGTGTACTTACTGCCAGGGAGCTCTACACCCAGAAATAACAACTTTTATGTTACATGTATTTCACTCCAATTCTTTTAAAAATCAAAACCAGGCTTCTACTCCCTTAGCAGGTCCAGTCCTCTCCAGTCGGGCTGCATTGGGGTTTGACCCTTCCCATCAGTCTGGCTGCCTGGAGGGATGGTGGAGGTGCGTCTGAAGGAAGCACTGTCTTGTCAGACACCACCAGCTTGAGGCCATTATGCAGTCTTCAAGCTGGCTGGGGGAAGGGACACTATTGCCTAAGGGGGAGTGGTCACTTCCACAGGCCTTGCATGTACATAGGAATCCGAAGCTCTAGGTCCTCACTTGCACCTCCCCAGACTCCCCGTCCCAGATCTCAGGGTCCCTTCCCTTCCCTACCGAGGTCCTGACCTAGCTTGGGACACCCCTGGAGGCTGAGAGCTCCACTACACCTAGCAGTAACTTTGCGCCATGTCCTTGGTGTGATCCACCTCTCACTTCCATCCCCCAAATTCCCCAAATGCCGGAGATCAGGGAGGACTTCTGACTTTCCCATTTTGATTTCATTGGTTGTCATTCTCCATCATCTTCTGAGTGGTGCTCAGAGCAGCCCCGTCCTCCGGCTCCAGGTCCCTTACCCACTAGGATGTTGCGTCAGCTGGTCGGACCCCTTCCCCTGGCTAGAGTCCCCCTGGTTCACCACCCATGCTCCATACAGTGAGGAGGGCAGGACGGGGTACAGAGAGAGACAGGCTCACGATGCCCTCGCACCCTGAAGGGGCTGGGCCTCTGCACCAGCAACATTGGCGGGTCATTGTCCCACTGGTGGCAGCATTGTCTCAGGAGGGACCTTCCCTGAGGCAGAGGACAATTACTGGGGAGGAACAGGCTGTGAACCAGTCTCTGTCCAGTGGGTGGGGTGGGCATGAGGGCTGTGAGGAAGGTGTGGGGCGGAGCGCCTGGTGTCCACTCCCACCCTGCATTCAGCAGCCCTCGCTGTCTCCCCTCTGCTCTGCACTGTGGCTGCCTTGGGCCGCCTGGGGCTAAGGTTTGTCCCAAACCTCCAGTCCTGCAACGGTGCCCCATCCCTGGCATGGTCCCCACTCCACCCTGCCCCAGCAGGAGGCCAGTTTGTCCTGGATGGGAAGAAGGCCTCACGGGCAGGGGAGGCTCCCACGCATGCCACCCCTTCGGCCGTGCCCTGGGGTTCCGCTCTTGGGATTCTTAATGAGTTTATCCTTGAATGTGTGTTTTGTAAGTGAAGTCAATGGGGCAATGGAGCATCCACCAAGGCTCCTTTCCCTGCTTCCTTCACACCCCCTGTTAGGTGTTCTGGGCTGCCACCTGCCCTGCCACAGGCCCCGGCTGTCCTGCACAGACACTCCACGGATGAGACAGAGCCCTGGGCACCTGGGAGGTCTGCACATGCCCCACAGGGATCCCTGAGCCCAGGGCTGATTTTAAATAGCAGAGAAAAACACCCTTCCTGCTTTCTGAACAACGGCCCACACTTTCATTTGCTGCCTGCCCTGCTCTCAGAGTGTCTTCTCAATGGACAAACCAGAAGGGCCTGCAAGCTGCTGACTGTGGCCCACACAGCCCACACACTGGTCCCCAAATCTCACCTTCTTCCCCATCTTCTCTTCATGAGGAAGAGGCTCAGCCCCTTTCTCCCTGCCCAAACCTAGAAACACACTCCAAGGCCGAGTCCTATTAACTTGGGGAGGGTGGGAGTGTTAAACTTGAGCTCACCAAAGATTTCTGTGATTTTCCGAGATTGCATATATGACTGATTTGGGAAAACTTGCAGGGAACACAAGCCACATCCTGCCCGTAGGCCCGGCTTCTGTAGCGCCTATGGTGACCAGGTTGGCACTGACACCGCTGTGCCGCTGCTCTGTCCTGGCCCAGACATGCTGTCATGGCCTTGGGTGCCAAGTTAAATGAGGTCTGTCACCTGTCCCCTGCTCATGGAGCTGAGTATGTTTGAAGTTCATTTACTGTGTATTTTCCCCTCGGGGTGTGACAAATGAGCCCTACCCCCAGACAACAGTGCCAGAAATCCAAACAGGGTTGGGCTCTATCCCATCTGCCTGGGGCTCAGGGAGTCCCTCTGCTGTCCCCAACACCCACTCCTCATATCCCACCCCCCAGCACATGGAGCTGGAGCTGGGAACTCGCAGGCCCCTGGGGACCCATCTGCGCTGTTTGTTTGGGTGAGAGCTCTGTATTGACAGCAGCTCTCCTGGCAGCCCTCGGCAGAGAGAAGGCTGTGCCAAGTGGGTATCAAGCAACGGTCGGGCACACGCTCCAGATGACACATGCGGGGGTGGGGGCGCAGCCCTCTCCTACCCTGGGGGAGCCACCTCCCGATAATCCCTCCCATGGCTCCCCGGGGAGGGGCAGGAGAACACAGGATGATTGTCACAGATCATGTGCTGGGGAGGAGAGCCTCGCAGACCTGAGGCCGGGAAAGGGGGCAATGAAAACAGCCCTTTGTCCAGGGCCTCATCTGCCACACACTGGGCTTGTGTTTCTTGCTTTATGACAATTGGGCGAAACATTAGACTGGGCATCAATTATTCAGATTTCACTGTGAGGTCAGAACACAGCAGCTCCGTCCTGTCCCCACCCAGAGAGAATGAGAATGCCGGGGGAGTCAGTTCCAGGCTGTGGGAATTTAGACAAACTCCTGGGTGGGGTGCCTGAGCCCCCTGCCCCCACACTTGCACCCTCAGGTCTCAGCTGCCCAACCCCCACCAGGTCTAACCCTCCTCGACCCCCACTGACCAAACTGCTTTCCAGGTATTTGGGTGGCACTGAACACTAGGAGGCATTTCTCCATTTTCAGGCAGAAAGTGCAATTGAAGGAATTCTCTGGTGCTCAGTGACCTTCTATCCAAACCCAAAACACACACACAAACACACACACACACATGCATGCACACACACACATGTGTGTGTGTGCATGTGCAAAAGGCACAGACATTTCTCTGGCTCTGTTTGCTTAGGACCCTGAGCCTGATCCCTTGCCTGGCCAGCTGCCCCTCATGTGCTGTCCTGGAGCCCCTTCCAAAGCATCATTCACACACGGCTGTGGTCCTGGCTGCCACCCACCCTTCTCCTAATGTAAGTGTTTCGAGCCACACGTTTCCCTCCAAGCACTGTTTAGCTGTATCTGGAGATTTCGACAGGTTGTATTTTCACTACCATTCAATTCGAAAGACTGTAATTTTTCTTGTTATTTCTGCTTTGACCCGTGGAATTTTTAGAAGTATTCTGTTTGACTTCCAACTATTTGGGGGATATCCAGACAACTTTATGTGATTTATTTCTACTTTGATTCCACGGCGGTCAGAGGATATTCTTGGTATAATTTCCAGCCATTTAAAATGTATTGAGACTTGTTTTATGATCCAGCATGGAAATAATGTGTCGTCTGCAGTGGGAGATGAAATATTGTGTAAATGTCAATTCGGTCAAGCTGGTTGATGGTGTTGTTCAAGTCTTCTCAATCCTTGCTGATTTTCTGTCTGTTGGGTGTTGAAATCTTCCACTGTAATCGTGGATTTGTCTGTTTCTCCTTTCAGTTCTAGCTGTTTTTGCCTTATATATTTTGAAGCTCTCTTATTATGTGCATGCACATTTAACATGGTTAAACATAACCGCCATAACAAAATCCCATAGGCCGCGTGGCTTAAATAACAGAAATGTATTCTCACAGTTCTGGAGTCTGGAAGTCCAAGATCAGGGTGGCAGCATGGTTGGGTCCTGGTGAGGGCTCTCTTCCTGGCTTGCAGACAGCTGCCTTCTCACTGTGTGCTCATGTGGCCTCTCCTCAGTGCATGCATACACAGACCAAGAAGAGTCCCTCTCTCTTCCTCTTCTTTTTTTTTTTTTTTTGAGATGATGTCTCACTCCATCGCCCAGGCTGGAATGCAATGGCGTGATCTCAGCTCACAGCAACCTCCATCTCCCAGGATCAAGCAATTCTCGTGCCTCAGCCTCCCGAGTAGTTGGGACTGCAGGTGTGCACCACCATGCCCAGCTAAGTTTTTTATTTTTAGTAGAGACAAGGTTTCACCATGTTGGCCAGGCTGATTTTGAACTCCTGATCTCAGGTGATCCGCCCCCCCTCACCTCCCAAAGTGCTGGGATTACAGGTGTGAGCCACTGCGCCCAGCCTCTCTCTTCCTCTTCTTACAAATACGCTAATCCTTTCAGATCAGGGCCCCATTTTTACAACCTCATTTAACTTTAATCAATTCCTAAAGGCCCTTCAAATACAGTCACCACAGGGGTTAGGGCTTCAACATATAAATTTGTAGGGGACACAGTTCAATCTATAGCAGAAGGTTATACCTTTGGATGAATGGACACTTTTACTAATATGAATACTCCTCCTTATTTCTAGCAGTATTCCTTTTACTGAAGTCTATTTTATTTGATATAAATGAAGCAATTCTTACTATCTATGATTAGTGTTTACATTATACATATTTTTTCTATCCTTTTACTGTTTATCTCCCTGGGATTTAGATTAAAAATATATTTCTTATAGATAACATGTATTTGGGAGTTTTTTTTTTTAATTCAATATGGCCGTTGCTGCTTTTAGTTTAGTTCTTCTTTTTTTAGATATTGAAATAGTTGGCTTTAAATTTGCCATCTTGCTACTTGTCTACTTTTTGTCTATCTGTTCCTTTTTCTCTTTCTGTTTTTTTGAATTGTGTATTTTTCAATATTCCATTTTTATTTCCTCCATTGGCCAATTAGCTATATGTATTATCTTTATTCTTTTACTAGTTGATTTAGAGTTTACAAGATCTGTCATTAACTAATCGAATAATAGTATACTTGCTTACATAAGGTGGAAAACCTTAAAGTGATATACTTTCATTTCTTTCATCCTTTGTCTTCCCATTGTTAGCCTTCCATCCCACTGTTATCGGATATATTATGTCCACATATTTAATAAATTCCACAGCATATTAATATTATTATTGTTGTAAACAGTCCATTGCTTCTGAAGACTTTTTTTTTTTTGAACGAGAAAAGTTAACAAGTTGTCTTCCACAGCACTTAAAAAATATCCATTTGACTGTCTCCTGCCCTGCATTGTTTCTGATGGTCATTATTATTTTTGTTCCCTATACGTAAGGTACCTTTTTTAAAAAGAGACTTTATTTTTTGGGGTCACAGCAAAATGGAGTGAAAGGCACAGAGATTTCACAAATGCTGCCTGCCTTTACACACACATCACCTCCCCCCGCATACGCATCCCCTGCCAGAGCGGTGCATATGTTACAACTGATAACCTACACTGACACATCACTATCACCCAGAGTCCACAGTTTACATTAGTTTTTATTCTTGGTGTCATTAATTCTCTGGGTTTAGACAAATGTATAATGGTATTTATCCACCATGATAGTATCATAGAGAGTAGTTTCACTGCCCTAAAAAAATCTTCTGTGCCCTGCCTATCCCTCCCTCCCTGAAACCCTTGACAACCGCTGACCTTTTTACTGTTTCCATAGTTTTGCTTTTCCAGAGTATCATATAGTTGGAGTCACAGTCTGTAGCCTTTCACATCAGCTTCTTTCACTTGGTAATATGCATTTAAGTTTCTTCCATGTCTTTTCATGGCTTGATATCTCATTTCTTTTCATCACTGAATAGTATTTCATTGTCGGGATGTACCACGTTTTACTTATTCATTCACCTACTGAAGAGCATCATGATTGCTGCTAAGAATAAAGCTGTTATAAACATCCATATGCAGGTATTTCAGACACAAATGAACATCCAGTGGACTAAAGTTTTCAATTCCTTTGGGTAAATACCAAGGAGCACATTGCTGTATTGTACGCTAAGAATATGTTTAGTTTTGTGAGAAACCACAAACTGTCTTCCAAAATGGCTGTAGCATTTAGAGTTCCCCGCCAACAATAAATGAGAGTTCCTGTTGCTCCCCCTCTTCATCAGCAATTGGTGGTGTCAGTGTTCTGGATTTTGGCCATTCTGATAGGTGTGCAGTGGTAGCTCACTGTTGTTGTAATTTGCATTTCCCTGACGACATGTGATGTTGAGTATTTTTTCATGTGCCTATTTGCCACCTGTACCTCTTCCTTGGTGAGGGACATAGTGTGTCTTTTATTGCTGGCTGATTTTGAGATGTTCTCTTTATCACAGGTTTTTAGCAATTTGAATATAATGACATTGCCCATGATGCTTTTTGCATTCATTCTTCTTAGGTTTCAATGCATTCTTTAGAATAGTGTGTTTATATTTTTCATCAAATGCAGAACATTTTCAGTTATCGTTTCTCCATACATTTTCTCTGCCCTTGACCCCTTCTAGGACTGCAATTAGAGATAAGTTACACCCCTTGACATTGTTCATCTTTAGAGATGTTACACTCCTTAACAAGTTCATTTTTTTCCAGTCATTTCCCTCTCTGTGCTTTAGCTTGGATAGTTCGAGTACCTTGTCTTCCATTTTACTGCCTTTCCTTTTGTCACATCACATTTTCTGTTAAGCCTATCTGGTGTTTTTTCAGACTTACATTATTTTTTAAAATTAACGTACAGTACAATAAACTTTTTTTTTTGGTGTACCATCAAAACTGACAAGCTGATCCTAAAATTCGTAGGAAAACATAAGAAACCCAAAATAGCCAAAGCATTCTTGATAAAGAACAAATTTGGGGGTTCGCAATTCCCAGTTTCAAAACTTACTATAAAGTCATGGTAATCAACACTATGTGGATGTAAAATAGCAATAGACATATAGATCAATGTAATAGAATTGAGAGCCCACAAGTAAACCCATATATTTATGGGCAATTGATTTTCAACAAGCATGACAAAGACAATTCAATGGAAGAAGTAATAGTTTCTATAATAAGTGGTACTGGGACAACTGGATACCCACACAGCATAAGAATGAAGATGGACCCTTAGCTCATACTATTTACAAAAATTAACTAAAAATGTTTCAAAAACCTAAACATAAGAGCTAAAACTATAATATTTTAGAAAAAAACATAGGCATAAATCTCCATCATTTTGGATTAGGCAGTGGTTTCTTAGATATGACAGCTAAAGCATAAAAGAAAAATAGATAAATTGGCATCAAAATTTAAAACCTATGTGTTTTATTTTTTATTTTAATTTTATTTTATTTTATTTTTGAGACAGAGTTTCACTCTGTTGCCCAGGCTGGAGTGCAATGGCACGATCTTGGCTCACTGCAACCTCTGCCTCCCGGGTTCAAGCAATTCTCCTGCCTCAGCCTCCCTGGTAGCTGGGACTATAGGCGTGTGCCATCATGCCTGGCTAATTTTGTATTTTTAGTAGAGATGTGGTTTCTTCATGTTGGTCAGGCTGGTCTCGAACTCCCAATCTCAGGTGATCTGCCCACCTCGGCCTCCCAAAGTGCTGGGTTTACAGGCATGAGCCACCATGCCTGGCCCTAAAACCTATGTGTTTTAAAGGACACTATTACAGAGAATAAACAGCCCAATGGAATGGGAGAAAATACTTGTAAATAATATATTTGACAAGTGTCAAATATCCAGGAAAATAATATATATATATACAACTCTTACAGCACAATAATTTAAAAAACTAAATTATGAGCAAAGGATTCAAATAGACATCTCTCCAAAGAAAAGATACAAATGATCAATAAGAACATGAAAAGATTCTCAACGTCATTACCCATCAGGATAAATGCAAATCAAAATGATAAGATAACAGTTCACACCCACCAGGGTTGCTATAATCAAATATCTCAGACAGATAACAGCAAGTGGTAGCAAGGATGTGGAGGTATTAGCACCTTCATACACTGCTAGTGGGGATGTAAAATGGTACAGCTGCTTTAGAAAACAGGCTAGCAGTT
Organism: Homo sapiens; assembly: GCF_000001405.40. Lineage (NCBI taxonomy): Eukaryota > Metazoa > Chordata > Mammalia > Primates > Hominidae > Homo > Homo sapiens. Next base: position 3,459,214 of record NW_011332701.1, read on the forward strand.
CTTTAAACAGTTAAATATAGAGTTACCACATGACCCAGTAATTCCACTCCTAGGTATAGTCCCAAGAGAAATAAAAACGTATGGCCACACAAAAACTTGTACACAAATGTTCCTAGTAGCATTATTCAAATAGCCAAAAGTGGAAACAACTCATGAATGGATAAACACAATGTGGTATACCCATACAACAAAAAATTCTGCAGCCATAAAAGGAAGTACTGAAACATGACAACATGGCTGAGCCTTGAAAATATTTAGCTAAGTGAAAGAAACCAGACACAAAAAGCCACATATTATATGATTCCACTTATACAAAATGTTCAGAATAGGTGAATCCCCACAGACAGAAAGCAAATTGGTGGTTTCCAAGGGCTAGAGGAAGGGACAATGAGAGTCACTGGTAATGAATACAGGTTGTTGTTACTTTTTAATCTTAGGAATGATGGAAATGGTCTGGAACTGGGCAGTGAGAATGTTTGCGTAACTTCTGAATATACTAAAAACAACTGAACTGTGCACTTCAGAATAGTTTTATGGTGTGTGAATTATATCTAAATTTTTTAAATGTTTGAAAAAATCATTTGGCCATTTTCATGTGAGTCTATTTCTGACTCTAATCTATTTTATTGGCCTATGTTTCTGTCCCTTCACCAATATCATACTGTCTTCATTGTTGTAGCTATAATACATAGTAAGTCTTAAAACTGGGTAGTGTGAATCCTTGATCTTTATTCTTCTTTTCTAAAATTGTTTAACTATTCAAACATCTTTTGCTTTCAATATAAATTTTAGAGTTATATTGTCTATGTATATAAGTATTGCTGATTTTTAAAAATTTTTAATGTTTAATTTTTATGGGTACATGGTAGGTGTAGATATGTATGGGGTACATGAGATATTTTGATACTGGCATACAATGCATAATAATTACAGAGTAAATGAGGTATCCATCATCTAAAGTATTTATCATGTCTTTGTTCTGTAAATAATCCAATTATACTTTGATTTTTAAATGTACAATAAATTATTGTTGACTGTAGTCACCCTGTTGTGCTATCAAATACTAGATCTTATTCATTCTAACTTTATTTTTGTACCCATTAACCATCCCCATTGTTGGGATTTTGATTGAAATTGTGTTGAGTCTAGAGATCAATCTGGGAGAAAACTGACATATAAAATATATTGTCTTCCAATCCATGAACAAAGCATGTTTCTTTATTTATTCAGGGCTTCTTTTATTTCTTTCGTCAATATTTTGTAGTTTTCTGCATATAGATCTCAACCACGTTTTGTTATATTTATCATAAATGTTTCATTTTTTGAAACTATATGTGATTTTTAAAAAATTTGTGGTTAAACAATTTTTTAAGAGTTCAATTTTATTTATTTTTTCATGTGTTTCAAAGTCATTCACGTGATCCAAAATCCTAAATGTACAAAAGAAATTTGTACACTGAATTCTTTCTTTCTTCCCAGTCTCTCAATCATCCAGTTTCCCCACAAGCCGCAGTGTTAGCATTTTCTTGGACAAACCCATAGTTATATTTTATGCATATCTCATGCTCTTCCCTCTATCTTATTTCTCTAATAGTTCACTATATTCACTGTGATACCTCAGTGTAGTTAAAATTTCATCTCTCTTATTGTAAATGAGGTTGATTATACTTTCTGAAGCTTTAAGAGATATTTGTATTACATTTTGGTTTCTAAATGTACATTGCTAGTAAATAGAAATACAATTGACTTTTACATGTTGACCTTTTATCCTGAAACCCTGCAAGGCTCATCAATTAATTCCAAAATCTTTTGTGTAGATTCATTAGAATTTTCCTCATAGGCAGCTACCAGTGAATAGGAACAGCTCATTTTTCTTATAAAATTGGTGTGCTTTTATTTCTTTTTCTCACCTAATTGCACTTGCCAATACTTCCAATACAATATTAAATAGGGGTGATGAGACCAGACATCTTTGCCTTGTTCCTGATTTTAGGGAGATGCATTCAGTAATTTACCATCATAGATGTCCTTGATTATATTAAGGATTTTCCCCACTATTCCTAGTTTGTGCAAAGTTTTTTTTAAATCATGAATGGATGTTGAAATTTTTCAATACTTTCTGCATGAATTGACATTATCATATGGCTTTTCTTCTTTAGTATGCTAACATTGTGAATTATATTGACTAATTTTCAAATATTGAACCAGCCTTGCATTCATGGGATAAACCCCATTTAGGTATAAGGTATTTTAAAAAATATATTTCTGGATTCTATTTGAGAACATTTTGTTGAGGTTGTTTGTGTCTCTGTTCATGCAGGATATTGGTTTGTAGTTTTCTTTTCCTGCACTGTTCCCTGGTTTTAGTATCAGAGTAGTGATGGCTTCATAAGTTGAGTAGAGAAGTGTTTCCTCCTATTTTATTTTTCTGGAAGAGATTGTGTCAAATTGGTGTTATTTCTTCTGTAAGTGTTTGGTGGAATTCACCAATGAGCCTAGAAATTTCTGTTCCAAAACAATTTTAATTGCAAATTTAATTTCTTCAAATGACATAGGACCATTCAGGTTGTCTGTTTCTCCCTGGGTGGGTTTTGGTAGTTTGTAGCTTTTAAAGAGTTGGTTCAGCCAGGCGTGGTGGCTCATGCCTGTAATCCCAGCACTTTCGGAGGCTAAGGCGGGCAGATCATGAGGTCAGGAGTTCGAGACCTGCCTGGCCAATGTGGTGAAACCTGTCTCTACTAAAAATACAAAAATTAGCCGGGCGTGGTGGCGGGCATCTGTAGTCCCAGCTACTCAGGAGGCTGGGGCAGGAGAATCACTTGAACCCAGGAGGTGGAGGTTGCAGTGAGCTGAGAGCATGCCACTGCACTCCAGGCTGGGCAACAGAATGAGACTCCATCTCAAAAAAAAAAAAGAGTTGGTTCATCTAAAATTTAAAATATAGGTACATACATAAATTTGTACATGGAACTCCCTTATTATCTGTTTAATGTTTATGGTGTGTAGTGATATCCCTTCTTTGCTGATATAGGTAGTTTTTATCTTTTTTCTTTTTTCTTCATCAGCCTGACTAGAAGTTAGCTAATTGTACTGATCTTTTCAAAGAACAATTATTCTGTTTCATTTATTTTCTCTATTATTTTTCTGCCTCCGCTGATTTCTTCTCTCATTTTTATTGTTTCCTTCCTTCTTCTTGTTTTGGGTGTATTATGCTTTCCTTTGTTTACTTGATTAAGGTAGAAGTTTAGATTTAATAATTTTGAATTATTTCTTTTTTTCTAATAAAAACATTAAGTGATAAAAAAATTTTCTAGCCAATGCTTTAGCTATACCCTCAAATTTGGATATATTTTCAATTACATTTAGTCAAAAATATTTTCTAATTCCTCTTGAGACTTCTTGTCCAACGAGTTATTTCGATGTGTTAATTTACAAGTGTTTGCTGACTTCCCACTTATTTTTCTGTTACTGATTTCTAGTTTAACTTCATTATTGTCAGAGAACATACTTTGAATTATTTAAATTTTTAAAAATTAGTTAAGGTTATTTTATGATGCAAGATATAATCCATCTTGTTAGATATTCCACATGTACTTGAAAAGAAAAAATTTGTGCTCTGCTATTGTCAGATGGAGTATTCTAAAAGTGTCAACTGGATTCTTTTGGTAGATGGTGTTGTTCAGGTCTTCCAAATCCTTACTGATTTTCAGTTTACTTCTTCTATTGGTAATTGAGAGAAAGGTATTAAAGTTTCAAACTATAATTGTGAGTGTTTCTATTTCTTCTTACAGTTTTGTCAGCTTTTGCTTCATTTATTTTGAAGCTCCATTGTTAGCTGTATACATATTTAGGACTTTTATGTGTTCTTAGTGAATAGACCTTTATATCATTGCTCTGATGTCTACTTTTTCTAATATTTATATACCCACTCCAACCTATTTGTATGGTATATCATTTTGCATCCTTTTACCTTTATCTTATCCATATAATAATATTCTAAATGGGTTTCTTATAGACAGCATACAATTGGTTCTTGTTTTCTAATTCCATTCTTATAATCTCTCTCCTTTAATTTGTATGTTTAAACACTTATATTTAATGTAATTTTTGAAGTTTGGGTTTAGATCTACAATTTCTTTGTTGGTTTTCTATTTGTTCCTTGATTTTTTTATTCTGGTATTTTCCCCTCCCTTCCTTTATTTGGATTATTTAAATATGTTTAGTATTTAATTTATATTTAATTCTTCAGATTTTTAAATGATATCTCTGTACTTTCTTAAGTGATTGCACTGTGGATTACAATATTCATTGTTATATATATATATATATATATATATATATATATATATATATATATATATATCTTTTTTGTAATCTACATAGAATTAGTATTTTACCACTTTAGGTGGAATTTTAAAAACTTTTTTTTTTTTTGAGACAGAGTCTCACTCTGTGGCCCAGGCGGGAGTGCAGTGGCACAATCGCAGCTCTCTGCAACCTCCACCTCCTGGGTTCAAGTGATTCTGCTGCATTTGCATTTCAAGTAGCTGGGACTACAGGCGCGTGCCACCATTCCTGGCTAATTTTTGTATTTTTAGTAGAGACAAAGTTTCACCATGTTGGCCAGACTGGTCTCGAACTCCTGACCTCAAGTGATCTACCCGCCTCAGCCTCCCAAAGTGCTGGGATTACAGGCATGAGCCCCTACACCTGGCTGAAATTTAAAAATTTTACTGTCATACTTTACCCTTTTCCCTTTATCATATAGTTGCCATATATGATACATGTGTGATACTACCCCCAGTGAAAATCACATCAGTGTTATACTTTGACATTAAATGGTCATACATATTTTAATGAATTTAAGAGGATAAAGATAGTGTGTTATATTTACCCATATATTTGCCATTTCTGTTTTTCTTCTTAAATTCCCAATGTTTCAAGTTTGCCTCTGGTGTCATTTTCCTCCTATCTAAAAAAAACTTCCTTTAGATTTTTTTTTTCTTAAAGGAGATCTACTGGCAATGAATTTTCTTAATTTTCCTTCATCTTACAATATATTTATACCATTTTCATTTCTAAGGAATATTTTCACTGGACAGAAAACTCTGGGCAGACAGTTTTGGGGTTTTTTTTCAGTATTTTTTAAATGCTGTGCCACTTTCTTCTATCCTCTGTAATTTCTGATGAGAAATCCATCATCATACAAATACTTGATCCCCTGTTTAATGTTTCATTTCTGTTTGGCTGCTTTCAAGATTCTTTTCTTTGTCGTTGTATTTAGCAGTTGATTATCCTGTGTCTGTTCATTAATTTGTTTAAGTTTATCTTGTTTGGGATGCACTGAGCTTCTTGAATGTGTAAGTTCATGTCTTTCACCAAATCGGGAAATTCTCAGCCAGTAGTCTTTCCTTCCTTTCTTCCTTCCTTCCTTCCATCCGTCTTTCTTTTCTTTCTTTCCTTCCTCCCCTCCCCTCCCCTTCCCTCCTTCCTTTCCTTCCTTCCTTCCTTTCTTCCTTCCTTCTTTCTTTCCTTTCCCTTCCCTTCCTTCTTTCCTTCTTTCCTTCCTTCCTTCCTTCCTTCCTTTCTCTCTCTTTCTCTCTCTCTCTCTCTTTCTTTTTTCTTTTTCCCTTTCTTTTCTTTTCCTTTTCTTTCTTGAGACAGGGTCTTTCTCTGTTGCCCAGGCTGGAGTGCAGTGGTGTGATCTCAGCTCACTGCAACCTCTGCCTCCCTGGTTCAAGCAATTCTCATGCATCAGCCTCCTGAGTAGCTGGGATTACAGGCATGAGCCACCATACTCGGCTAATTTTTGTGTTTTTAGTAGAAACGGGGTTTCACCATGTTGTCTAGGCTGCTTTTGAACTCCTGACTTCACGTGATCCACCTGCATTGATCTCCTAAAGTACTGGGATTACAGGCGTGAGACACCACACCTGGCCTCAGCTGGTATTTCTTCACATATTATATCAGTACCACAGTCTTTCTCTTCTCCTTCTGTGTTTCAATAATACAAACATTAGATCATTTCATGTTATTCCATAGGTTCCTGATGCTCTGTACATTGATTTTCTTTCTTTCTGCTATTCAATTTCTATTGCTCTAGCTTCAACTTTACTGACTTTTTCCTCTGCTCTCCATTCTGTTATTGAGTCCATCCAGGGAATTTTTAATTTCACTTGTTGCAGCTTTACGTTCTAAAATTTTCATTTGTTTCTTGTTTGTATTTTCTATTTCTTTGCTAAGATTTTCAATCCTTTCATCTCAAAAGTTTCCCTTTAGGTATTGCAGCATGGCTACAATAGCTGCTTTAAGTCTTTAAAAATTCCAACATGTGTCATTTTAGGGTTGATGCCTTTTGATTGTCTTTTTCCTTTTAGTTTGAGATTTTTCTGGTTCTTTAAATACAAGGCATTTTGGGTTGTATCCTGGACATTTTGGATATTATGTTATAAGGCTCTGTGTCTTATTTAAATCCCAAAGAGAATGTTGACATTTTTGTTTTAATACACAATTGACCTGATTAGGTTTGGGCTACAGGTTCTGACCCACCACCTGTGGGCTGTGGTTCCAATGTCAATTCAGTTTTCAAAGGCTTTGCAATAATACTATGTGACTCTGCTCTGCCTGTGCATTCTCCATGGGCTTGTCTGGGACCTGGGGTTGTGGTCTACCTGTAAGCTCAATTCTCAAAGCCTGTGGTGTGCTATGAGGAACAGATCCATGCCGACGCAGCTCAGAAGTGAGCCTAGAAATTCATACACAATTCTATGGGCTTTCTCTCTTGAGACCTTTTCTTTCCATTATCTCCTCTGGAGCCTCCCTTTCTCAACCTGTGGCCAGAAAGGCCAGGCTTTAGTTTCTCACTCTGCTACACGCTTCCCACAACTGTGACTGCATCCAGAGCCAATCTGTGGGAGGATCCAGGGAGAGAAAAAACAATGACACTTTGTCTTACACTCCTGGTACCATGGCTCTTCTGGTCAGAGAGAAGGATTCCTGTCCATTAGAGTTTTAGGCACCCTTCCAACAGCCACTGCCCTTGTCACCCCTGCTGCTGTGGGATTGCTTGAGGCTGGGAGGGAGAGGACAGAAAAATAACCAGGGTATTCCTCTCACTCTCTGACTCTCAGGATTCCCCTTTCCTGCTCTTTTAGCAGAAAGAGAAGGCTTCTCTTGGAGTGCTCTTTGTCCACACCCATTGTGCCCTCCCAGGTTTTGGGGGAAGGGGCTTTGAGTCCAGGCTGGGTAATACTGGAGGAAAAGTACATGGGAAATACATCACTAATTTGGTGGCCCCCCGGCTTCTGGCCTCATTCCCCTGTCAGCTTACCATTGCTTTTTCAGAGTTCTCAGGCGGCTGCCCCTTGCCTTCTGTCCAGGAAGCATCATTTCACTCAGTGGAAAGGCAGATGAAAGGTGCTTATTTCTTCTCGCCCAGATCAGGAGCCTACCTCCATCTAGTCAATTTTTCATTTCAGATAGGGTATTTTTCCAGCTCTAGAGTTTCCTTTTTTTTTCTTTTTGTGATTTCAATGTCTCCCCTTGTTATGTTTGCATTTTTTAAAAAAATCCTTGAATATATCTATAATAGTTGTTTTAAAGTCCATGATTACTAATTCTATCACCTCTGCTTTTTCTTGGTCTGTTATTATTGATTCTTTTTTTTGTTTGTTTGTTTTGGGTTACATTTTCCTGCCTTTTGCATGTCTAATAATTTTTATGGAATGCTGGACTTGAGAAAATTGCGTTATTGAATATCTGGATTTTGTTGTCTTCCTTTAGAGAGTGTTGCACTTTGTTCCGATAGGCACTTAATTCCTTTGTGCATCAACTTGAAACTTTCAAGATTTGTTTTAAAACTTTGTTAGGGCTTTATCTAGGGTCATTTCTTTCTGTGTTCTCTATTGAACTACAGGCACATGCCACTATAGAAGGGGGATACATTCTGAGAAATGCATTATTGGGCAATTGTGTTGTGCAAACAACATAGAGTGTTGAGTGTGCTTACGCAAACCTAGATGGTATAGCTTGCTACACACCTAAGTTATGTGGTACAGCCTATTGCTCCTAGGCTACAAACCTGTGCAACGTGCTGCTGAATACTGTAGGCAACTGTGACACAATGGTAAATATTTGTGTATCTAGACATATCTAAACATAGGAAAGGTAATGTGTTGTATTATAATGTCACATGGCTACGATGTCACTAGGTGAGAGGAATTTTTTAGCCCCATTATAATCTTATGGGACTCCTGTCATATATGTGATCCATCGTTGGCCAAAAATATCGTTATGTAGTGCATGACTGTAATTTGGTGTTCAGTGAGGACTCTCTCCTCTGGCTGGCCAGAACTTGAGGGCCTCCCAACCTGTGTGAGCTCTGGTTACTGCAATGTCTACAGCTGCCTATACCTGTGCATTGTGGTTGTATGCCCAGCCCCATGGATTCTTGCCCTATATAGGTACACATCTGTGTTCATCTGAGACTCAGGGTGACCCCATGCAGATTCATGAACCCCTTTTTCTTTTTTGTTTCTTTTTTTTTTTTTTTGAGATGGAGTCTAGCTCTGTTGCCAAGGCTGGAGTGTAATTGGCATGATCTCAGCTCACTGCAACCTCTGCCTCCTGGGTTCAAGTAATTCTCCTGCCTCAGCCTCCCGAGTAGCTGGGACTACAGGCACTCACCACCATGCCTGGCTAATTTTTGTAATTTTAGTAGAGATGGGGTTTCGCCATGTTGGCCAGGCTGGTCTTGAACTGCTGACCTCAAGTGATTCACCCACCTTGGCCTCCCAGAGTGCTGGGATTACAGGCAGAAGCCACCATGCCTGGCCTATGAGCCCCTTTTTCTGCCTCCTCAAACTCCAGTTGCAGTTTCCTCAGCTCGGCAAGACCACTGTTCTCTGCTGGATCCCCTCTCTGTCCCAGGGCTGGGAAATGCCTGCAGGCAAGAAGCCAGGTCGATTGTAGGGCTCATGCTCTCTGCCTAGCTGCTCTGAGGGATCATGTGCCTGCACTGCCTGTTATTTGCAAATAGTTTTTTCATATATTTTGTCTGGTTTCCAACTTGTTTGCAGCAGGAAGGCTAGTGTGATGCCAGTGCTCTGTCTTAACTGGAAGTGAAAGTCTGCTTATTTTAATCAGAATTATTGAATTATTGGACTGCTTTGACAGCATGTAGACAAAGCTCTAAGTTGCTTTTTAAATATGTTACCTGGTGGAGCATGATGACTCATACCTGTAATCCCAGCACTTTGGGAGGCTGAGCAGGGAGGATCACTTGGGAGGATCACTTGAGCCCAGGAGTTCAAGGTTAGAGTGAGCTATGATTGTACCACTGTACTCCAGTCTGGGTGGCAGAGTGAGACCCTGTCTATAAAAAAAAATACATAAAATTAAAATGTTACCTGATAAAAGAGATAGCCTAAGAAATTTAATTGAAATAAATATTGTACAGCCTGATTGCATTTTCAGACTTCTGACACAGTCCCGTGAAACTGTCTTAGGGAGATCCAGGGAAGCCTGTTTCTTAGAAAAAGGCTGCCATACTCTAAGAAGCAGCTCTATGATAATATTTGCAAAGCAATTAAACACAAACTTGTACTCCTGATTGTTACTGCAAAAGTAATACCTATCCATCATTGAAAATTTAGAATGTAATGGCAAGTCCCCCAAAAGAATCACCCATAGTCCCCATCAGTTAGCACTTGTCACTCTTTTTATTGTAGCACTAAACATGTATACTCTGTTGTCAATATATCCACACAAATAGTCTTGTATGAAAAAATTAGCTCATAATGTATGACTTCTATAAATGCTATGTTTGGGTCTCCCTAGCAGGGTGGATCTGATGGAAGAATTAGGGAGGTTGTTGATGATGCAAATTTACAAGCCAGTTATTTGCTGCACTGACCCGAAGTAGGCGAGTTGTTGCATGTGGATGGTGGCAGGATGGATGTGGGATGGACGAGTTCACTGAGAAGCCTCCGAGGGCTGTGGCTGCTGGGATGGCAGGGGAGTGTCCCTTGTTTCCCCTGGACATGCAGTGAGGCACAGGGAGAATCGATGCACGGGGAGAATCGATCCACGATAGGACCAGCCCCACCCCTCCTTCCCCCTAGGAGGTGGGATGGCAGACAGAGACACTTACAGACCATCTGTCCCAATAGTCCATAGAAGCCTTCTGGAGTCACAAATTTGCTGTAAGTTTATCTTCATTTAAAAAAATTATGTTGTAAACCAGAATTAAATAAAAGACACCAATTCAAGAAAGCTATATTGTGGAAATAATTTTTTTAAAGGCAAGTTATAAAAAGACAGGATAATTGTATTAAGAAACTTGAGACAAAGCCTTGTTGCTGTGAATAAGCTTAATTATTTAAATTTGACCTTCTTGGCAGTCAAGGCAAAAAAAAAGGAAAATAAAGAACATTTATAAAGCGCTTGCTATCTAACACAGTTCCGTGATTCTTTATTAGAAACCCTTGGGGGTGGATGCTTTTCTGATTCAGAACATTTGGATTTTAGACCAGTAATAAACTGCATATGTATGTTAAGTAACATGCTAACAGGATCGGGGTGGCAACTCATGACCAAGCACATTCATACATTTTTGCTGTGAAACATGCAAATATTCACACTAAGACTTTAACTATCCTTATATCTGACCAGGTCAGGTTTTGCCACCAAATGAGTTTGCCACAAACTTATGGAAAAAGTCTTGGTTTTCAGGAATATTTAGATTTTGGAACTGTGAGTTAGAGACTGCAGACCTGTAATAGAAGCTGTTAATTAATCTCTAGGGAGGGAGAAATGTTTTCCTACTTCACAAATCTAATACCATGTGGACTTTAAAGATATTGCACAACAAAAGGAGCAGGTTCACAGTGGATGTTTTACAAAAAAAATGCATTGTGTCAACAAACTCAACTGAACTCTATTGGACGGGCATCTGGCCTGCCACCAGGACGCCGGGAGGGGCAGGAGAGGGCAGGACGCAGCCCTGGATGCGGGATGACCTTTGCCTTTCAGGTACACATTGGCGGGTGGTGTTCTGCCTCAGGGGGCCAGAGCACAAAGGCAGCAGGGATTGAGTCCTGGGAGGAGGCCAGGGACTGAATCAGACGAGGCTCTGCAGGGCAGTGCCAGGTGTAGGGTGTTTGTTTGGCTGCAAGTGACAAAGACCCAGGCTCAAGCTGGAGGAGCAACAGGGACTGAGGATCTTGTAGCAGAAAGTGCAGAGGCAGGGTGGCAGTGGGCACCCTATGCCAGGCTCCAGGGTGTCTCCCTGAGTGTGGCCCTCCTCCGGGTGTGGCCTCACCCTTGGCTGGTAAAAGATGTGATATCCTGACAATGGCAAAAGTCCAGTGGAACATGCTAGACTATTTCTTCCTGTGGGTCTCTTTTATCAGAGAGGAAACCTTAGCCAGGAATTCCCAGCCGACTTTTGTTTATGTCTCATCAGCAGGACAGGGTCCTCAGCCCCTCTCAGCAAGTGGGGAGAGAGTCAAACAGCTGGTAGTGGCCAGCCAGGACGGTCCCCACATCACTGGCAGGGAGGAGGGGGCACATCAAGGTGAGCCTCAAATAGTGGGGAAACGGGGGTCACAGCCAATGGGCCGGCCACCCATTGAGCTCACCAGGGGTGGGGAGAAGGGTATGCGGGGATAAGACAGAGCTAGTGGGAAGTCAGCCTTAAAACCCTGGGGTGGGTTGCAAGGACATGGGTGATGACAACCAAGGGAAGTCCTAGGCCTTGAGCTCGTGGGGAAAGGGGCCAAAAGGGCCTGGGTGAGTCTGGTCAGAGCTGCTCCTTCAGCATGGAGAGGCTTGGGAAAGCAGTGGGTTTGGGACTAGCGGAAGTGAGGGGCTGAGCCCCAGCTCGGGCAGTGATACGGGGGCCAGATCAAGGCACCTTTCAGGGCTGCGGGGCTGAGCGCACCCCAAAGCCCACCTGCTCCACACCTGTGCAGGAAGGGCAAGCCATGTGTCTTCTGTACCTGTGTGCACCACTCCAGTCTCTGGAAGTGTGGGTTGCTTCTCCCACACCAAGCAATGCAGTTCTCTACAAATGCCAAACAGGTGTCCTACAGTGTAACTCAATTCTGACTCAATCTACTTTGATAGCATCAGACCCCACAGGTTAAGGGCTGGGCTCAGTCCCAGAGAGCTGCCCCGCCCCGTCACATGCTGATTGCAGGTCCAGGTTGTCACTTGTGTTTCTGACAAACAGGCTGTAAATCAGGGGTTCCCGGGACTCCCTCCCTGGGTTCAGTCATTTACTAGAATGGCTCACAGAACTCAGGGAAACACTTTACTTACGTTTACCGGTTTATTTTAAAGGATCTTATAAAAGATACAGATAAACTGCCAGATGGAAGACATGCACAGGTGGTCAGCGTGGAAAGGGGTGGGAGCTTCCGGGCCTCTCTACGTGCCACCCTCCCAGCCCCTCTGTGTGTTCAGCATAGGGTTCTCCCAACCTGTCATTTCAGGTTTTTATGGAAGCTCCATTACATAGACTGATTGATTACATCACTGGCCATTGGTGATCAAGTTGACCTTCAGCTCTTCTCCCCTCTCTGAAGGCGGGTAGTGGAGCTGAAATCCCAACCCTCTGATTATTGGTTGGTTCCCCTGGCAACCAATCCCGCTCCTGATTCTACCCAGGAGTCCCTAGCCACCAGTCCCTCCCATGAGCACACAAAAAGACACTTATGGCTTTGGAGATTCAAGAGTTTTAGAAGCCATGTGGCAGGAAAGAGGGTGGGGAGACCACAAAGGCCAAATGCATATTCCTCATTATAGCGCAATGTCACAATGTCCTGGTGTAGGAAAGTGATGGGTTCAGCTACCGCACTGCTGATGGGATACCTTCTATCCGTTTACCTTGACAGCTAAGTCTTCACAATGACCGGAAGGCCAGCCTCAAGTGTAGGATCCTGGAATCCGTTCTGCACAGAAGTGTGGCCTAGGCCCCGCCGGTTCCCCTCGTCTCCCACTCCTTGCCCATCCCACAGTCCCGCTAGCCCAGCCCAGCCGAGCCCAGCCCAGCCCACATGGGGATTATCACTGGAAACAGCTGCCCCTTCTGGCGCAAGGCCCACAGCTGTGCACCCCTATCAGGAAGAGACCCGGGGAGACCCATGAGGCCCAGGTGGAGGTGTCTGGGGGGAATTCTAGGCCCCAGGGCCAGCTGCATGGTCTAGAAGGGGCACAGGTCTGGGTGGGCAGATCTCCTGGGCCCACAGACTCCTTGTCTGTGGGGAGGGCACCACTGGAGGAGGGCCCGGAATAGGAGCTCTGATGGTGGCACTGGCCTCCATGCAGGGGGTGACAGGGGAATGCAGGGAAGGAGGGGAGGGAGGACTCTAAAGGAATACCGCATCACCTGGCCTGGGCCAGGAGGAGCGTGGTGCCCCCTTCACCAAGATGGGGCCTCCCAGGGAAATGGCTGGGCATGCATTCTTTTCTTTTTTTTTTTTTTTTTGAGACAAAGTCTCACTCTGTCACCCAGGCTGGAGTACAGTGGCGTGATCTCAGCTCACTGCAACTTCCGCCCTCTGAGTTCAAGCGATTCTCCTGCCTCAACCTCCCGAGTAGCTGGGATTACAGGTGCCTGCCACTGCTCCCAGCTATTTTTTTTTTTTTTTTTGTATTTTTAGTAAAGACAGGGTTTCACCATCTTGGCCAGGCTGGTCTTGAACTCCTGACCTCATGATCCACCCGCCTCGGCCTCCCAAAGTGCTGGGATTACAGGCGTGAGCCACCGCACCCAGCCGCATTCTTTTCATGTTAGTGTGGAGTCTTGGTATTTTTGAATGGCATAATATTCCACCGTGCAGATGGTGCCTCATCACACCCGGGCATCCCCGTCACCCCAGGGTGCAGGCTGTGCTGTTGGGAGGTTTGGAAAGGAGAGGAACCCAAGGGTAGGCTCCAAACAACACTCGGGCCAGGGAGGGCTCTCTCTTCTCCATTTGGGGTGTTTCTTGTTGATTTGTTTCCTTGTTTGTGGGAGCCTTGAGCAGGACTGGGGGCTTGCAGGAAGGCATGGGCGGCATGGGCAGAGCAGTCTTGCTCGTTTTGTTTGTGTGAAAGCTGCGCTCCTGGAGGCAGACCCCCAGGTGGCTGGAGGCCCTGAGGTCTGGAGCTCCCTTTTCTCCTTGCAGCCGAGTTGGCCCGGGCTGAGGCTCTAAGTCAGAGCCGTCCATGCATCAACTGCAAGAGAAAGGGAGAGTGTGGGGGCCCTGGGCTGGAGCAGAGACAGAAGGACCAAGCTCTGGGAGAAGTTGTGGCCTGGGTGCTGGCCGCCCCTGGAAGGAGTGCAGCTGGGGGCCCCTGGATGATAGCCCTCCTCCAGGGCACTATGATTACAACTCGGTGTTTGTTCATGCCCCCACCCAGGCCCCAGAGCCTGCCTGGCCTGGCTCCTGCTATGTGGGGTCAGATGCGAGGATGCTGAGCCCTGACCAGGAAGAAGGCAGTGGGGCACACCCACCCAGCCCACCACCCACCCTCTGCTGTCACGTGTCTGCCAGCCAAGAGGAGGCCCACAATGCGGCTTTGTGTGGCAGCTGGCTCTGAGCACACGCAGAGTGTCTGGGGCAGTCCTGGCCAGCAGTGCCAGCCCTGGAAGCCAGAGATGCCAGGTCGCGGAGGGAGGATCCACCCCGCCCAACCCCTCCAGGGCCTGGGGCCAGGCGCTCTCCAGGAAACACCTGGGCTGGCCAGGCTTCTTCAGGGGTCACCCAGGACCCCTGGAGGCTGTGTCTGGGGAACAGGAAACTTTCAGCGGAGGCCTGGCTGTCAGTCCCCAACTAGTAGGGCCTGTGGGGTACCCTGGGACCGCCAGGCCACCGGTTGGACCAACTCAGCCTGCCTTGGGATTCCTAACAGAGCTCCCTGGTCCTGGGTGAAATGAGAAAAAAGAGGACAGCTTTGCCCATGTCTGTAATGCTGAATGTTTCTATTATTTTTAATATGAGTTTTTTGAAATGTTAAAACATCCTTTTTAAATGAAATTATTATAGTGCCTAGAGATTGTTTTTATGACAACATCCTTAATCGGCAAAATTAAAAGTCTCCAACTCTATTTTCAGCCTGTATAAAAATGTGGCTCCTGAAGCCCCCAAACATCGACCCCTCGGTGCTGGCTGGGCTGGCTGGGCGCCTCGTGCAGGCGCAGCTGGGCAGCCGTGGGGAACAGTTGGTGGGCAGCAGCCGGGAAGTCACGTCTGGAGGGCCCTGTGTGGGATGCCTCAGAGTTTCCCAGAGCTGGGTGGGGGTGGGGGCTCTCCTGAGCTGGGACCTTCTCCCATCTGGACCAGGGATGGCATTGACTCTCCCTTCCCTGCCCCTCCCCACCCCCACTGCCTTTGTTCACCTTGAGAACGCACACTTGTGCAGCCCTGCACAGCTCCCCTGCAGCCTGTGTGGGGCAAGGGCAGGGCCCTGGTGTCCAGCCCGGCTCTCAGGAACACCCTTGGCGATGCTGGGCAGGAAGCCCCTCCTCAGCTCCTCCCTTGGCAGATAAGGGTGGTGTCAATGGGCTCTCTACAGAGTCCGTCCTCTTTGGGTTGCCCTAGCATTGCTACAAACAGAGCATTCAGTAGGAAGGAACAGACCTTTTGCCCGAGTGACTTGGCCTGGATCTGAGAAAAACAGCCATCCTTCAGCCAGCAGGGACCATCCCCTGCTTCGTGGGGATGGCTGCTGTGTGTGGGCAGGCAGGGACAGCCCATCTGCCACGGCTGCCCAGTGGCGAGGTCCCTTGGGGACCCTGCCGAGAAGTGAGTGCAGGGCCTTACTGTGACCAGCTCACCAAGAGATGTTATCGGGCCTGAAGCAGGTCCCGAGGGGATTAGGCCATCTGGAGTGAGGGGCTGGCAGGGAAATTGCTTCTCGTTCACAGAAATGTTTAAGAAACAAATCCAGGAAAGGCCTGTTTTGGTTATTTTTTTTTTTGAATGACACAGTAACGTGTCAAACTTAATTTAAGAAACACCCTCAGATATTTTTATTTTTTTTTTGCATTGGATTTGCATTGAGATTTTTTAAAAATGCAAAAGGGCCTTTCTACTGGGCCTGAATCTTGCAAGATTTCTAACCCATTTCAGTCCTGTAAATAATTAGGTGCAATTGGTTGCTGAGACTGATTTTCCCAGACCCGTGGAGAAAGGCCCCAGCCGTGAGGGGCTCTGGGAACTTAGGGGACAGCACCTTATGGACACCCCTACTCAGGAAGGGATCATTGAAGAGATGCTTCTGGGCCTGGAACATTCTCCGCCATCTGGACCTTTCTGTATGCATAGAGGGGACCAGTGGGAACTGTGGGACAGAGGGAGGTCTGCACACCCTCCCTGGACACCATGAGGCCCATCTTGGGTCCCCTGAGTCCAGACCAGCCCCCAAGAAGCTCACAGTCTGGTAGGAAGCCGAGGAGGCAAACGAACAGGAACAGCCCTAAATAACTGCACAGTGCCCAGGCTGCCAGGAGAGTGTGTGGGCAGAGAAGGCTCCCAGAGCAGAAAAAGGATGCTCAAGGATGTATTCCAGGCCAGGGAGCAGCGTGTGCGGGGGCCGTGCGGAATGGCGCATTCTGCAAAATGCAATGTGGCGTCTGGCTGGGGGGCCACTCCGCACTCCCTGGCCTGGCTATGAGTCCAAGCCACCCAGGGGTGAGCTTCTGTAGAGCAGGAGTCCCTGGCTCTTCCCTGAGAGGGGACGTCATGGCCCCAGGTGTGGCTGGCAGAGGACCTGCAGGCTAGGGAAGAGGGCATGAGGTCGGCAGGTTAGAAGTGGCTGGGGAAGCACACGCAGGTCGCCTCTCTGTGGCAGTTGTCTCTTCTGTGAAGTTGAGACCGGTGGGGGAGATAAAGTACTAAGCACTGCAAATACAGAGATCCTTGGAGAAATCGAGTCACTGGAGTCTCCTCTAGGAATGGGGGGCTGCTGGGGTGGGGCCAGTTCCAGGCACGGAGGGGGCTGAGGGACACAGCAGGACAGGCTCCAGACCATCCCCAAGTGGCCTGAAGGTGACCTCGACCCCCTCAGCTGCCTTGTGTGTGTCCCTCCGGCCCTGGCCCAGAAAGGAGATGGTGCATGCCTGTTTCTAGACCTCTAGACCCCTCGTGGGGTCCCTGGGCTCTCTCTGCCAGGGACAAGCAGGGGCACCTTGCTCCCTTTACAACTCCCACTGTCCAGCGAGAGTTGGAGCTCGCTGAGTGCCACATGCCGTTAGGACCTAGGTGGGAGATGGGGGTGCCGAAGAGGGGATGGGGACTGTGGAGAAGTAGATGAAATTTCCCTAGGCTGGCTGGATGTGCCGCAAGTGTCTGAGCAGGGGCTAAGCCCACCCCCTTGAATCTCAGACGGAGCCACTGGGGCCCGGTGAGGCCCAACAATTGTCCCCAGAGCCTCAGAGTGCCTACAGGGCACAGTGGGAGGCAGCACTGAGCTGAAAGGAGCGTAATCTCTAAGCAGGTTTAACCTAAAATAGAGCCTGATAGCTCAATGACAGATGCTTAATTTGTCACAATATTTCTGTCATTATGCTGGGACAGATATTCTTGGTTTGTTCAAGAACAAGGTCTTTTTTTTTTTTTTTTTTTGAGTCATTATACAGCATAAAAGAGACCACACCCCAAACAAGATTGGGACAGCGCTGGGCCCCTGAGCCAAGCCAAGAGGAATCACCCCGCCCACACAACCACCCCGCCCACACAGCCTTCCCTTCCCGGAGCCACGAGCCACAACCAGGCCTACCTGGCTGGAAGAGGGGCTTCAGGGGCTGACTCCACCTGGGAGTGGGTGAGGGGAGGTGACCTCAAGCTCCTTTAAAGCCTTGCCTCTCAACTCCTCACTCCCAAATCCCTCCAAAGGAGATAAAATGACTCCTATAAAGATTAGAGATCATGCACCAGCATGAATGCATGTGAAAAGTGACAGGAACACAAATTCATGCGATGGGGGTCTCAGACTTTTGTCTACCACCAACTGAGAGTGATAAGGCCCAAGAGGGCCCCCTGCAGAGCTGCCTGCAAGAGATGTTGCTCTGCCTTCAAACGTCATGGGATGATGTGTGCTATTCAGCATACTCCTGTGTTTGTTTTCACTAGTTTGTAAAAGGCGTTTTCAAGCACTCACCATTGCCTGTGGAGTGTGGCTCACCCTCCCTGCCCACCCCAGAACACAGTTTGAGAACTAAGCTATTGAAGATGGACCCTTCCCCAAGCCCCAAGCCTAGCGCCTCTCCGTTTCTAGCCCAGCTAAGGGATGGGACCATAGCCCTGTAGCACTAGTGTGAGTGGGAGCCGGAGCCAGCCTGGCCTGCACCCCCACCCCCCAGCCAGGCACAGCCTGGAGTGGGAGGGCACCGCCTGAGAACCTGCAGGAGGAAGACCACTGGGGACGTCGCCAGAAATTGGCAGCCATGGAGACAGTGGCCCTTCCCCTCGGTGAGGCCCTGAATAGCCTTGCTAGTTCCTGCCCCCTGTATAGCCCACAAGGCCAGTCTCACCAGGGAAAATGGGACACTGCATCCCAGGCCCATGGGGACAGAGGGGTGCTGCCCGCTGGGCCTGGCTGGGCTGGCTGGGGTGGCTGCACCCAGGGGTCAGAGTTCATCTTCGGCCTTTCTCTGCAGGGTCAGGCCTGGGAGGTGCTGGCCACCACAGTCATAGTCCAACCAGCTCAGCCAGCAATGTCCAGAGTGACGCTGGCTTCATGCCACGGGACAAGGCCAGTGGTCAGGGTGGTGCCTTCCTGGGAAATGGCTCTTTTTTGGAGAGACAGCCATGATAGAATGACTTTGCAAGCTGGAAGGGCTGGGATGGGGCTGGGGTTGGGGTGGAGGTGGGGGCGAGGGTACTTAGAAAGCAATGAACAGCATCTGGTGGGGACTCACACCTGTGTTCACGCAGTGGGCACCTGTGGGCAGCTTGGCCAAATAGCCCCGAGAGACCAAGCAACTTTCCTGCCCAATGAAATGCAATCTGCTTTCTTCCTTTTCTCTAGTCATTATTTATTCATTTGAAAGATGCTTTTATGATAGAAATTCAGGGCTGCACACAGGCGTCTCTAATGAGGGCATTCGGGAGCAGAGAAGGGGACCAGGCATCCCCGCTGGGCGTGCTGGGAGAGGCTAACAGCCTTCACGCTTTGGAGAGCCCTCAGCCTGCTTCAAAGCTCCTAGCCTTTCTCAATTTCTCCTCCAAGGCATCACAGGGCAGCGGTGTGCGGATCAGATCCTACTTTTACAGGTTAGGTGGCTGAGGCCTCCATTCCCCGGGTTACAGAGACACCTGCCCGGAGGGAGCCCTGCTGGTGGCCTGCATCCTCTCCCTGGGTTCTGGCGCAGCTCACAGTCTGAAAATTACAACTCCCTGTTGTTGCTATGGTGACTGGTTGTGTTATTCTAGCCTACAGAGCTGTGTGCTCCACCTTGCCCAAGATGGTCTGTTTTTGCAGGAGAAAGTCTCTATCTCCAAGTCTCTCTGTGTGTGTGTGTGTGTGTGTGTGTGTGTGTGTGTGTGTGTGTGTGAGAGAGAGAGAGAGAGAGAGAGAGAAGAAAGGAGAGAGAGAGAAATGGGCACACTGCCCTTCCTGCTGCCCCAACCTTTTCCCTGGGCCCAGTGGACCTTCTGTCCCTGCCCAGCAGGCTGCCTGGGTCCCCAAGATACTGGCCCCATTCCTTTCATAGGACACCGACTCTGGGCCACAGGCACTGGCTGTGCAGGGGTCCTTCCTTTGTGTCTCCTTGTGAGGTCAGATCCCTGTGTCAGTGCACAAAGGGCACCCCGTTCTTGTTTCATTTGCAGACTACTCTGTGACATGGATGGACAGACCATCATCTATTTAACCAGGCTCTCTAGATGGACAGTTGGGCTGTTTCCAATCTCTGGTCATCACAAATCTGTGAAAAATAACCTTGAATATATGTCATTTTGCACATGTGGGAATATGTGTAGAATAAACTCCTAGAAGTAGCATTATTGGGAAATTAGTATCTGCATTTCTAAGTTTGGAAATTTTTGCAAATTGCTGTCCGTTGATATCATCCATTGTGAGCCTAGTACATGCTGAACACTGAACTCAACATTTTATCTGGATTATTTTATTTCGTCTCACCGTGGCCCTAAAATGGAGCTTATTCCGATGCTGGTTTTACAGATAAGCACACAGATGCTCAGAAAAACTCAGCAACATGCCAAATAGCCATCTGGGCTGGTGGGGTGGGGTCGGGATGGACCCTGAGTCTCCAGGCCCCTGTCAGGCCCTTTCCTAAGGGCACACAGGCCCAGCCCTGGGGCACCTGCCCCGCCCAGAGGGCCTGGACCCTTGACCTGTTCTCCAAGCCCCATTCAAGCATGCAAGCCTTGTGCACCAGGAGCCCGCAGACGGGCCCTCCTCACACCAGCCAGGCTCTCCTGGAACCAGTCACCGGCCACCCCATTGGGGCCTTGGGATGCACAGTCCTTCTGCCCCTGAGGCTCTCCCCCATGAGATGCTGTCCTCAGCCGGGCTGGCTGGTCCGAACTTGGGAGCTTGGCTTGCTCGGAGGGGTCTCCTCGCTCAGCCCTCTCCCAGCTCCCCAGTCTCCTTCTTCCAGGCCAGCTGCACACTTTGGGGTGATGTCCTCCAGCCTCTGCATCTTTCCTGGTCAGACTGTGAGTTCTGAGCCTCCGGGCCTGCGTCCCAGGCCCAGCATGATGCTCACCAAGCCGGGTGCAGGAGAGGACAATGGGAGAGGCAGGGCAGGCCCAGGGAAGCTAGGAGCCACCGCCTTTCCCGGGAGGGCCCTGGCTTCCTCTGAATCACAAAGTGGTTAGCATGCAGGGGAGTGCGCCGGTCCCCCGCCTGTATTTGCATGACAAAAGCGCCTGCCCAACGGCTCTCGGTGGCTTTGTTGAGAGCTGCAGCCTCGCTCAGGCTGAGCCTTGGGAATTGTTCCCCGACATTGGTTGTTCCTGGGCTCCACAGCTACCCCGGCCGACAAAAGCCACATTGTGGGGCTGACGGCAGCTGCCAGCACCTGCTCCCTGCACCGCGGCTGCCTCGAGGCTCTGCGCCGCGCCTGATGCCTTTGCTAGGACACAGCCAGGGGCAGACCCCGAGGCCCTGGGCATCATCCAGAACACATTGTGAGGGGTGGGGTGGGTGGTGGGGGAAACTTGCCTGGTTCCCAAAGGGCCTGGGGGGATGGCCTGGGGCTGGCCATGGCGAGGTGAGGACTCCAAGGTCACCAGTGTAGGCTGGAAGAGGGAAGAAAACCACAAACCCCAAGCGTGCGGCGCCCACGCTGCAGCATTGCATTATTTGATGCTTCGCTCACAACAGGTGTTTTTCTTACTCTTCAAATGGGGAAACAGGCTCAGAGAGGTTCACTAGCCAGCCCAGTATCACACAGCAGAGCCGAGGTTTGAAGGTCCCGGCCCCTCGGGGCATGCTTCTCACAGCGGTCCCAGAGTTTCCCCTGGCCCTTTCCCCTTTCCCTTCTGAGCTTCTCAGTCCTTTCTCTCTCTCCTCAATGGCCTTGCCACAGCATCCAGCTGCCTTGGCGGCAAGCACAGTGCCCTCCGCCCTCGCTGCGTCCCTGGGGTGCCTGCCGTCAGTGGCATCCCCTTCCTTGTGGAGCACTTCCCCCTTCCTCACTGGTCCTGGGGCTGTGTCCATTACATACCACTCCCTTGTGTCTTTTATGGATCCACAAACTCCTGTTAGCCCACCGAGCCCTGTGCACCCCTCCTCTTCCCCAGAAGCTCCTCCTGAGCCCTGCTGCCTTCTCTCCATGCATGGTCCTGTGTCCCGGCTGTGAGCACCTGCATTTTGGCACCTGGTACCTAGCCCAGAAGCTCCACCTCAGTGCCTGCAATCAGCCAGCGCTCATGAAACTAAATTAACTTCACGACTGTATTCCAAATGCAAATGTTGTCGCTACTCTGACTTACAGGAGAAAGTCTTAACTAGTGCTTGCCTCTGGCTCACCTGAAGGGGCTAGGGCCGTGCCAGTCACAGATGCGAAGGCCTCCGCACACCCGCAGGCAGCGGCCTTTCCTGAGGCCTTGACAGAGACAGGAACTGTGTAGGAAAAGCTGTGTTGAAGGCCATCCCCTCCAGAGATCAGAGCAGGGAAGGGGGCCATTACCACTGAGTCACCCTGGGGTGGGAAGGCTGTGCAGCAAACCTGCAAACAGCATGAGGAGAGGAGCCCTGAAAGCCACCGCCTGCTCCTGAGGGACACAGCCCACCTGCAGAGACTCTGGGGGAGGCTCCCTCCTTCTTTCTCCCGGGGATCTCCTGCTGGGACTCCCTGAAGTCCAAAACCAACCAGAGGGAGGTCAAAGGAGTCCATGATGCACCCAGTGGACTGGGGTAGAGGTGTGTCCTCTGAGGAGCCAGGAGCACAGCCCCCAGGGGAAAGGTTGGCCCAGCTGGAGGTGACACTATGACTAGGAAACAGGGCTGTGGGAAGGATCAACATGCAGCAGGTGCAGAAGCCAGAGCTCAGGAGGAGAAAGGCCCAGCAGCCTCAACAAGAAAGGGAGGTGTGGGGAAGACCCCAAGGAGAGGCTGCAGGTGGGCCGGGCCAGCAGGAGAGCTGTGGGCGGGACCTCAGTGTCACAGCCCAGGAGGAGCTGAGCCCTTGCCTGGGCCCCACCCTCCCCTGCCTGCACCCCTGCTGCACAACCATTCAGCTTGTGGGGGAAGACAGAGCCAGCTGCAGGCTGTGGGGAGAAGGACCGGTGCTTGCCCTCCTTTTAGGTCCCAGGGACTCCCCCATCGCACCTGCGAGGAAGCTTTTGGGGGTCAGAGCTGCCTTGATCAAGCTTACAGTGAGCTTGAAAACCCTCGGACACACAGGCTAACAATTCTCACCAGGAAAACCCTGGGACATCTCAGAGAGGCAGAAGGGAGTTGTGGAATTAGAAACATTTCATCCTCTGCTCCCCCACTACTGGGAAAGCAAAAACCCACACCTCAGAGCATGCTCATTTGCTACGTATCCAATTAAACCTTAAAGGGCACTTGGAATTTGAATGAGTTCCCCAAATTGTCCCAAGTTATGCAACTGAGTCAGAATTCAGGGTCTGTAATAAGACCCCGGGGGTGGCCCACACTGGATGGGCTGATCCAATGGATGTGCCCAGCCACTCTCCGGTGCCACCTCCCCTACAAGAGCTGCCAGGTCAGAAACTTGCTTCCCCCATCTCCCCCAGTGCTGGCGGGGACAAGCACCCTGTGGCCAGTAAAGTGAAGCAGAAGTCTTCTGGAAAAGCAGCTTCTTCTTACGGAGGGCACAGGTTGCTGGCTTCTACCAGCCTCCCCGGGCTTCTGACTCCAGCTGCAGACCTGGAGCAGTGACAAGTGTCTCTAGAGCAGAAAGCCAACACTTTAAGGATGGTAGAGGAGCCGGGTCCCTGTGGGCACCCCTGAGCCACTTCCCTGGCCCTGGGAAGGCCCACCTGCCAACCTCTTATGATGGGAGACCCCTGTTTGTTTAACTGGCTGTCAACTGATCTAACAGATCAACAGGCTCCAACATAGGTCCCGGGCGTGGCTTTGTGTGGCCCACTGTGTCTCTTGCAGCAGGTTTCCCTCCTGTGCAGGGGGCCTAATTCCTGCATCATGGAGTGTCTTATCAGCTCAGGAGGCTATTACAAAATAGCACAGACTGGGTGGCTTATTTCTCACTGTTCTGGGGCTGGGAAGTCCAAGATCCAGGCGCCAGCAGCGGGCTTTCTCCCTGGCATGGAGATGGCCGTCTTCCTCCTGTTACCGCACATGGTGGAGATGTTCTCTCTCTCTCTTCTCTCTCCTCCCTCTCTTCTTAAAAAGTCACGAATCCAGCTGGGCACGGTGACTCATGCCTGTAATCCCAGCACTTTGGGAGGCTGAGGCAGGTGGATCACCTGAGGTCAGGAGTTCGAGACCAGCCTGGCCAACATGGCGAAACCCCAACTCTACTAAAATCACAAAAATTAGCCGGGTCTGGTGGTGGGCGTCTGCAATTCCAGCTACTCGGGAGGCTGAGGCAGGAGAATTGCTTGAACACAGGAAGTAGAGGTTTCATTGAGCTATGATTGTGCCACTGCACTCCAGCCTGGGTGATAGAGCAAGACTCCATCTCAAAAAAAAAAAAGGTCACTAATGCTATCCTGAAGACTCCGCACTCATGACCTAATCACCTCCCAAAGGCCACCGTCACACTGGGGGTTGGGGCCTCAACACATAAATTTGGGGATGTGGGGACCAAATTCAATCTGTGGGGATGAGACAGGAGCCTGAGAAGCCTGAGTGCTTGGTGTCATGATGGGTGGACAAATGTAGACGATTTCCTAGTAATCACCAATTTCTTCCAGACATAACCCCCTGCCTTCTGGAGAGCACACTGGGGGAAGACGAGGGGTACTCTTTTTTTGTCTTATCTCTAAGAAAGGATGGGAGGGTGACTGGGTGGGGGCAGGGCTACAGATGGCTGTGAGCCTGAGAACAGCCCCATGGCCTAGGGTCGCTGAGAGTGGGGCTGGAGGTCTGTGGTCCTGGAAGCAAACTTCTTAAAGGGCAGGAAAACCAACGGTGCCTTTGTCAGAGCTTAGCTGTATCTTTACAGACAACGGTGGCAGTGAGAGGATGAAATGTTCTGGTCCCTGCAGCTCCCTTCTCCACCCTCACCGGCACTCTCCCAACACACCCCGAAGAGGTGGGTAGGCTCCAGAAAAGCCCTAACATGGGGTATGACCAGGGTGAGAGTGCAGCATTCTGAAGACAGAGATCTCAGTTTGGTTGATAAAGAAGCAATATTTAAGCCAGGCTCAGTGGCTCACGCCTATAATCCCAACACTCTGGGAGGCCAAGGCAGGCAGATCACTGGAGGTCAGGAGTTTGAGAGCAGCCTGGTCAACATGGTGAAACCCCGTCTCTACTAAAAGTACAAAAATCAGCCAGGCGTGGTGGCAGGCGCCTGTAATCCCAGCTCCTCAGAAGACTGAGGTGGGAGAATTGCTTGAACCTGGGAGGCGGAGGTTGCAGTGAGCCAAGATCACGCCACTGCACTCCAGCCTGGGTGACAGAGTAAGACTCCATCTCAAAAAAAAAAAAAAAAAAAAAAAGGAGCTATTTGGATAGAAAAGAGATTAAGAGTCCATTGCAAAAATGTAAATATGGTCTGCATATTATACAATATTCATAGATTAACAATAAAGTTCTTCAGTCCAATACAGGCTCTGCGGCTATCCAAGAGCAAGTCCTCCTTTTTTGCAAATGTGTAGGGCAAAGTGTTGTGATGTCAGCAGCTGACTTTCAAATCATTTCAAAAAATATAGAGATATAGACAGAGAGATGGAAAGAGAAATACAGTGAACATGGCAATCACTGAAGAGCCGGCGAATCAGAGTAAAGCGTGTTCTTTGCACTACTCTTTTGGCTTCTGGTTGATTTATTATTATTATTATTATTTTGAGACAAAGTCTCCCACTGCTGCCCAGGTTGGAGTGCAGTGGTGTGATCTTGGCTCACTGCAACCCCCACCTCCCAGGTTTAAGCGATTCTCCTGCCTCAGCCTCCTAAGTAGCTGGGATTACAGGCGTGTGCCACCACTCCCGGCTAATTTTGGTATTTTTAGTAGAGACCGGGTTTCACCATGTTGGCCAGGCTGGTCTTGAACTCCTGGCCTCGTGATCCACCTGCCTCGGCCTCCCAAAGTGCTGGGATTACAGGCGTGAGCCACTGCGACCAGCTGAAAATTTTTGAAACAGAATGTTGAGGAGAAAAACAGGAGCTGCTAGGCTCTCTGCTGTATCCCCTGACTTTGAAGGCATGTGTCCTGGACAGTCCTGGCATTCTGGGCACTGCCCTCTCACCCTGCTGCAGCCCCGGGTGGTCGTCTCCTGTGGATCAAGTGCCTTGCAGAGCCCTCTTCAGCACCGAGGAGATATTTATGTGGCAGCCCCATGAGAGGCAGGACGATGCTCCCCACTTTAGGATGAGGGCGCCAGGCATTTGGGGCAGTCCAGCCAGGACTCCAGCCCAGCCTCTGCCCTGCACAGCGCACCTTGGGCAGCCCCTGGGGGCCCCAGAAGCTTCTTGGCTGCAGCTGCGTGCTTCTCACCGTGCTCCCCTGACAGACTGGATCTGAGATCTTCCCCGGGGCAGCCCACTCTGCTGACCAGGGTTGCAAGGTGGCCTGCTGGGAGAACCAATGGCAGAGCCACCAGCTGCCCACCAGATCTCCCCCAATGGGTCTGTCCCTGCAGATTCAGAGAGTCAGCAGAGGGTGCTGAAGCTGAGCCATGAGGCTGCTAGGAGAGGAAGCCCTGGGATGCTAAGAGCCAAAGGGGCAAAGCCAGCAGAGAGGGGCAGCTGCAGCATCTGCAAGAGAAAGGATGAGAGCCAGGAGAGGGGGCTGCCCACAGCAGTCACTGCCAGGTGGTCCTCCTGTCTGAGCATCCAGTTGTCCTTCCCCAAGCCTTGTTTCTGCAGGTCCCTCCAGCAGAGCTCCCAAGGCCCCCTGGTGAGCTCTGCTCACTGCATCCTCGCAAGGGGCTGCGTTGGGTCCAGACTTGGCACTGGAGAGGGCCGTATGTGCGAGGGGCAGCCCTGCTGCGGGAAGAGAGGACCTCCTTATTCTCTCTTATTATGTAGCCGGAGGACGCAGCAGGGTGGGTGCAGAAGCTCCTCTGCCCGTGGGGGGCTCCTGGGCCACCGGCAAGGCTCTGGGTCCCGGGCAGTGGGTGGAGGGAGAGCAGAAGGCAGCAAGGGTTCCTCTCTCCCAGTTCGGGGTCTCTTGGAAATCACAGATATCGTGCTGGGCCCTTAGATCCCACGGACCCAAGTGTGGTCTCCTGGCACGCCCAGCTGCCAGG
The DNA here is from genome assembly GCF_000001405.40 of Homo sapiens. Taxonomy (NCBI): domain Eukaryota; kingdom Metazoa; phylum Chordata; class Mammalia; order Primates; family Hominidae; genus Homo; species Homo sapiens. The sequence continues at coordinate 3,486,078 of NW_011332701.1, forward strand.
GAGGTTGGCGAGTCAGGGATTTGTATTTTTTTCCCCCTTATCTCTGCTCAGAGGCCCTTGGGAAGATATACCCACGGTGAAGGAAGAGGGCCTAGAAATACCATGATGGAGTCTATATAAGCCAGTTGTGAAAAAAGAACTATGGTGAGCTTATCTTTTAGGATCTGTGGGTTTTTTGCTTTTTTTTTTTTTTTTTTTTTTTGAGACGGAGTTTGGCTCTTGTTGCCCAGGCTGGAGTGCAATGGTGTGATAGCTCACTGCAACCTCCGCCTCCCAGGTTCAAGCAATTCTCCTGCCTCAGCCTCCTAAGTAGCTGAGATTACAGGTGCCCACCACCACGCCCAGCTAATTTTTTGTATTTTAAGTAGAGACGGGGTTTCACCATATTGGCCAGGCTGGTCTCGAACTCCTGACCTCAGGTGATCCACCCACCTCAGCCTCCCAAAGCGCTGAGATTACAGGAGTGAGCCACCGTGCTCGGCCAGGATCTGTGTTTATCTGGTAGTAACCTTGGCTTAAATATCAAGAAATATCAAGAAATGTCAGTCCTCCACCCCCCTCAATAAAAGAAGTTCAGTGTTAGGCAGTCCAAGTAAGTTATGGGAGGCTCCATGATGTCACCAGGGACCCAGGCTTCATTCCACTTTCCCTTTGATTTTTAGCATATGATTTCCAGTCTCAGAGTTGCCTCATATTCACAAAATGGCTGCTGGAGTACCAGCTATCACATTTGCATTCCAAACAGCCAGTAACAGGAAGAGGCAAAGGGTACATTTTAGCTACTTGTTCCCATTCTTAAAAAGCTTTTGGCAAGCCTTACCTAACAACTTCTGTTTATATCTCAGTAACCTCCAATTCTTTCAAGGGAGGCTGGGAAATGTTTTTTAGCCAGGTACCTTGCTGCTTAGAATACAGTTACAGAAGGAAGGGAATAACAGATACTGGACAGGTGTGGTGGTTTTGAAAGATGTCTCCAAATGTTTGGAAGTTTCTCCCTTCAAAAGGCAGAGCCAAATTTCCCTCCCTTTGAATCTGGGCCAGACTTAGTAACTCAGAAGAGCCAACTAATAAATAGGGTAAAAGTGATGCTCTGTGATGTCTGAAGCTAGGCCATAAAAAGAACAGCTGTTCCCTCTTGATCACTTGCTCTAGGTCAGGAAAGCCAGCTGCCATGTTATGAGGATGCTCAAGCAGCTCTGTGGAAAAGTCCAAGTGGGAAGGAACTGAGGTTTCCCACTAACAGCCAGTGCTAACTTTCCAGTTGTGTGAGTTACTGTCATGGAAGCAGATTCTCCAACCCCAATCTGGGGCAACAGCAGCCCCAGTCAATGTCATGACTATAATCTCATGAGAGACCCCAAGCCAGCATCCCCCACTGTAGCCACTCCCAAATCCACAGAAACTGCAAACATGGTAGTAAATGTTTATTGTTACTTTAAGCCACTACGTTTTGGGGTATTTGGTTATGCAGCAATAGCTGCCTAACAGTAAACAATTAGCAGTGGCCGTCATAATGTGTAAAAAGAGAAAACTAGTCTGTTGATGGCAGAAAAGAGTGAAGAAATGGTTCTTTCCTGAAGAAAATGAAGGTTATCAGCAATTTTTAACTTATTATGCTTTTAAGTACTTTTCCATTTAAATAATGATACAATAAGGCAGGTACTGAAGCATGGGTCTATGGAGACTGTGTCAGAGGGGCCAGGTCTGAGACAGCCATCATCCCTGTCATCTCCCTGAGGAGGTGACTGGGCCGCAAGGACCCCACGTGGACAGTGGCCAGGTGGAAGAGTGGTGTGGGATGGGCACCCCTCCTCCCTTCAGAGGAAGCTGGCTGTGAGGAGGCAGATAGCTCACCAGCGGGGACCCACCCGGCAGCCGCAAGTACTGGGAAGTCTCAAGTCGGTCCCCAAGTCAAACGTGGTATAGGTCAAATCCCCGTGAAAATGCCTTAGCCCACCCGTCAAGTGCAGACGTCAGACCCAAGGCCAGCAGCACCGGTTGTTCCCCCACAACTGATTTGGGACCTTGATCACATCTGCAAAACCCCTTCACAGAAACACCGAGTATTTGACTAACTGGGAGAAAGAAGGTGAGTACAGACCACAGGCAGGATCCTGGGGCCATCTTAGAATTCTGCCAGCCACAGCACGATTGCATCACTGCTTCTCAGTTTTTCAGTTTGGAGCCTGTCTGTTGACTACATTTGCTCCCCCCAGGGTTGAAAGGGATCCTTTTCTTGTGTTTGAGCACTTGACCAGTAGTTTCTTGGTTTATAGAAACTATAGGCTGGGCGCGGTGGCTCACGCCTGTAATCCCAGCACTTTGGGAGGCTGAGGCAGGTGGATCACGAGGTCAGGGGATCGAGACCAGCCTGGCCAACATGGTGAAATCTCGTCTCTACTAAAAATACAAAAAAAAAGTAGGTGGGTGTGGTGACGTGTGCCTGTAGTCCCAGCTACTCGGGAGGCTGAGGCAGGAGAATCGCTTGAACCCAGGAGACAGAGGTTGCAGTGAGCCAAGATCGTGCCACTGCACTCCAGCCTGGGTGACAGAGGGAGACTCCATCTCAAGAAAAAAAAAAAGAAAAAGAAAAAAGAAACTATAAACCAAGTTGTTTGTTCCAGTTACTGTTGCTGTGTAACAAACAAGCCCAAACGTAATGGCCTAAAGCAATAACCATTGCTTCTGTGGGTCAAGAATTTGGACAGTGCCCAGCAGGGATGATCTGTTTCTGCTCCTCCCATTTGAGGCCTCAGCTGGGAGGTCTGTAAGGCTGGATGATTCCAACAGATCAGGGCTGGAACACCCAGGGCTGGAAAGCTAAGGACCTGCTGCCCCATGCACATGCCTGGCACTGTGTCAGGGATGGAGGGAAAGCTGGGCTCAGCTGGCCCGTCCCCAAACACCCACCAGATTGAGTAGTTGGACTTCTTACATGAAGCTCAGTGCCCCAAGCAGAGGTATGTGTGAGTGCCCGTGCCCAGGGAGCCAGGAGGAAGCTGCCCCACCTTTTATGACCCAGCCTTGGAAGTCACAAGGCTGCCCTTCTAGGCCAAAGCAGTCACCAGTGGCCCAGACTCGATGGCAGGAGCATCAAATAAGTGTGTGGCCATTTTGTTTTTTTTTTTAGACCGAGTCTCACTCTGTGGCTCAGGCTGGAGTGCAGTGGTGCAACATTGGCTCACTGCAACCTCCATCTCCCGGGTTCAAGCAATTCTCCTGCCTCAGCCTCCTGAGTAGCTGGGATTACAGGCGTGCACCACTATGCTCAGCTAATTTTTTTTTTTTTTGGTACTTTTAGTAGAGATGGGGTTTCACCATGTTGGCCAGGCTGGTCTCGAACTCCTGACCTCAAATGATTTTGCCTGCCTCAGCCTCCCATAGTGCTGGGATTACAGATGTGAGGCACCGTGCCCGGACTGGCCATTTTTTAAGAAACTGCAACAACACTGTATGAACAATCTCTGCCTTGAAGCAGGGGGTTCCTTCAGCTCAGCAGGGCCATGAGCTCAGGGGATCCCTGGTCCCTCCTTGCTTGCACTGAAGGTCTCCCTGAGATCAGGGGCAGCCCCCATGCCAGCCGGTCCTCTCTGTGTTGCAGGCACGCGGTGGAGCCACTGTAGTAGAGATGTGTGCACACCGCTGGGGTGGTTACATTCATGGGCAGCTCCCCTGGATGTCTCACTGTCAGCAGGCCCAGGAATCCAGGCTGCAGTTCCTGAGCTGAGCTGTCTCAGTCCAGGATTACCGCGTCATAATGACACCTGGGCAGATAAAGGTCTTTGAGGAGAGACTTCAAGGAGACCACAGATGTGGCTGGAGAATTCCCCCATTGACTGGGCACCTATTTCCTGAATGGCTGCTCATCCAAGGCACCGGGCGCCAAGGGGAGATGGCTGGTGACTGACCCCAGAGCTGGCTGAGAGCCATGGGCATTCTTACCCCATTGGAGAGGAGTTGTTTAAGGATCTACCTTGTATCCACCCACCAGACCCAATGCAGACCCCTCAAAGGGTCCCAGTCAGTGGTTTCCAGTGGGAATGATTTCTGGACTTTCAGGAAGTGACTTCAGGTTGGAAATGGCAGCCTTGTGGCTGCTCTCAAGTTTCCTGTAATATGATTAAATCTGATTTTTAACTTCTTCTCCTTTCTCTTTCATTGAGGGGAAAACAGTCTTTTTTTTATTCCTGGAATATTAACATCCCTCTTGGTGCAGTTCTCTGCTCTACACAGGAAACAAGTTCACACCCCATACCAAATCAGAAAGCTCCAGTTCAAAGAGGCTCAGATAGAAAGAACTACTGAGACCTATATTCTGAAAATATTTTAAATCAATTTGTTGAACTATAAAATCAGGGCAAGAGCTCCTGACTCTTCAATATACTGTCCTACAAAGACAGCCCAGGGCCCATAAAACTAACTGAATACATGAAGAACATGATAGATTGAGGATTCACTGCCTGCCGCCCCCAGGTTAACAACAGACCATGTGTGCTGATTGCTGAGCTCAACCTGACCATGAGTGACCTAGCAGTTCATTTCCAGCTCCACTTCCTGTGATTTGATGGTGCCTAGATGCTACTGACTGGTACTCACTTTAGCAGTAACAAAAAGAAAAACTTCATGTGTATCGGAACGGCTAATCCTTGCCATCTTTCAGCTCTAGATGCAAACAGCCCAGAATTCAAGGCAATCATAGCCTACATTGTTCATGATAAATCCTCCCAATCCCATTAATAAGAACACTCATTAGAATGGATTCCCATGACAGCCCAGAATGAACCAGCCTGGCTCTCCCTGAATTGATTTGGTAAGTCCCTGCGTTAACTGGCTAGCTTCCTGTAGGCTGGCAGTGGGGGCACCAGTGTGAGGTGAAAGGACTCTAGGCCAAGAGCCTGGGCTCTGCATCTTGCTACGTGTGGCTCTCGGAGTCTCTTGGCCTGATGGAGGCTGAGTTTTCTCACCTGGACATGTGAATGAATGGCACCTTCTGTGTAGAGTTCCTGTGTGTGTCAATGTGCCTGGTGAGCGCTGATGGGTGGGGGTTTATTGCCATTGATCAGAGGCTTGGCAGGAATCTCAGAGTCAATGGGATAAAACGCAGCATTTGACCCTGAGACCTAACTGGGGAGAGGATCACCAGTTACGAATGGCAGACAACCAAGGAGTGAGAGTGGAAGGGGACACGTAGAATGGATAATTGTCGTCAAGGCTGGAGATCGTCCCAGATCACGACGGAGGGCAGGGATCCCATGTCAGTTTTCATGTTTAGGAGTGGGAGCCATCTGCTCTGGCAAGCCTAGAAGGGATCGTCCGTCATTTTAACATGCTTCCCTTGTACATTTGTTGCAGACACTGTAAATACCTCTCCAGTGTTTCGATGGCTCGGATTCAGAAGCATTGCTGGTTTTAATCTTTCCCCGTGTAAATGTGCACCAGATGTGAAGTTGGCTTTCGTCCTTTAGAACTTGATCAATTATTTTGCACTCTGGACTAATGGGAGACAGGGCATGAAAACAGAGTTTTCTACCCCGATCCCATGTCATACGACAGAAAATGGCTCATTCTTTGTACAACGCCAAACCATCAGTGACTGAGATGAGGTTTTTCTCAGAAGTTCCTCATCCAACAACCCTATTCTGAAATGGTCAGGCTTGAGGGCTGCAAAAGCTTTGGGGTCAAAGCCCTCCTTGGATGGAAGGATTCCTTGGTGACATTATGAGTACATTAGGAGACAGGTCAAAAGCAGATAGGAGAGTGTGTGGGGGGCTTGAGCACTTACACATGACTCCTGGGCTGAGGAGGACATTGCCTGCCCTCTGAATTGGGGGGCACTGAGCGCTGACACTATGAGACATCCTGGATAAACCAAACCACCCTCAGCTCCAGGCTGGGCTCTGTGAGCAGAAGCAGGGCTTGCAGGCAATGGCTACCCTGGGAGAAAGGGAGGACGGTGCCCAGAGTGGGCATCTCACAGCCTGGCTGTCACCAGGAAGCCTAGAGAGCCACACTCCAGAAAAAAGTCCAGCCCCACTCTACCTGGCACCTGTTGTTTTTCTTCCCTGTCCCATTTTCCACATTGATTACGGTAGGCTAAGTCCCAGTAACAGGTGGACCCCAGCGTATATTGTGGTTCAAACACAGTGATGGTTCGGGAGCATGTTCTTGGCCAAAAGACTTTTGCGTCCCAGGCTCGTTCTATTTGGTGGCTCCATCATCCCCTAGAGCTCTGTCGCCATAAGCATGCAAATGGCAGGCAGGGAAGGGAAGCTACAGCATGGAGACCTGCTCTCTTAAAAGCCCCAGTGCAGAGGTGACAGGCAGCCCCTCCACTCATACTCCCATGTTGAGAATTAGTCACCTGCTCACAACTAACTACCAAGGTGTCTGGGAAGGCCGGGTGCTGTGGCTCACGCCTGTAATCCCAGCACTTTGGGAGGCTGAGGCAGGCGGATTACCTGGCTAACACGGTGAAACCCCGTCTCTACTAAAAATACAAAAATTAGCCGGGCATGGTGGCATGCACCTGTAATCCTAGCTACTCAGAAAACTGAGGCAGGAGAATCGCTTGAACCCAGGAGGCAGAGGCTGCAGTGAGCAGATTGTGCCACTATACTCCAGCCTGAGCAACAGAGCGAGGCTCTGTCAAAAAACAAACAAACAAACAAAAAGGTGTCCGGGAAGTGAACTGAGTCGCAACTGTGGAGAGGAGAGATTTCACTGGGCAGCTAGTAGTCTCTGACCCCATCTTTTGATTTTTGTTTTTCCTTACATCTAAGTTAACCATGCATATCACTTGAAGAGTCAAGTCATTCTATAAGGTTTGTTAGGAAACACAGCAGTCCTTCCCTCCTTTCCTCCCCTTTCCATCCCTAGAAATTATCTCTTTTTCCTCTTTTACCTAATTATTTCCACGACTCAAACAGCATGGGTATTCGTTTTCCACTGCTGCATAACAAAACAGCACAAGCTTAGTGGCTGGAGACAGCACCGGTTTAGCATCTCGAGGTTCTGTGATCAGAAGCCTGGGCAAAGTGCAGCTGGGTTTCTGCTCAGGGTCTCAAGAAGCTAAAATCAAGGTATTGCCCAGGCTGTGTCCACTGCAGCTTGGGTCCTTGTGCAAGCTCCACGTGGTAAGAGTCTTCTTTGTGGTTACAGGGCTGAGGTCTCCATTTCAGTTGACTGCCATCCGGGGGCCACTGTCAACTACCAGAGGCTGCTGGAGTTCCTTGCCATGTGGCCCCTTTGTCTTTAAAGCCAGCAATACGGACTCTTCCTCACTTCAAATCCCTGTCTTGCTTCTACTCTCTCTGAGCTCCCTGTCTCTGACCTTTGACCCAGATTGAAAGGGTTTACAGGATTAGTACAGGCCCACCCAGATACCGTCTCCCTATCTTCCAGTCAACTGATTTGGGACCTTGATCACATCTGCAAAACCCCTTCAGTGTTTGACTAACTGGGAGAAAGGTGAGTACAGACCACAGGCAGGATGCTGGTGCCATCTTAGAATTCTACCAACCACAGCACGATTGCATCGCTGCTTCTCGGTTTTTCAGTTTGGAGCCGTGTCTATTGACTTCCCATTATGTAGACAGGGACTTCCCTCCCACCCCTGTGCCATGTGTACACATGAGTGCCCAATTCCCCTACCAGATCCATACAGAAAAGCTTATAAGATCAGTGTTTAGTATTCATTATTACCATTATGAAAACACTATTTGCAACTGTGCCAAGTAGTCAACTGTAACGGACTTTCCTTTTGTTTTCTTTGGAGCTTTTTATGGTCTTTTCTCTTCATTTAGTTTTCTGTCTACTTATTATTTCAATCCCAAACCCTTCACCAGTTTTCTCAATCTTCTCAAGTCAGATTGGGTATTGGAGAAACTCTTAATGTGTCCCTGAATAGTTCAGTTCCTTGCCTTTTGGGGACATCATGGGTCTACTCCTGGCTCCCTGTGGACAGGATGGTGTCTTAGTCTGTTCAGGCTGCTATTACATAATCACCAGAAACTGGGAGGCTTATGAACAACAAAAATTTGTATCTCACAGTTCTGGAGGCCGGAAAGTCCAAGATCAAGGAGCTGGCAGATCCGGTGTCAGGCAAAGCCCTACTTTCTGGTTCATAGAAGGCCATCTCCTTACTATAACCTCACATGGTGGAAGGGGCCAGGGAGTACTCTGGGAGTACTCTGGGGTCTCTGTTCTTTCTTTTTTTTTCTTTTTTGAGACAGTCTTGCTCACCTAGGCTGGAGTGCAGTGGAACGATCTCAGCTAACTGCAACCTCTGCCTCCTGGGTTCAAGTGATTCTCCTGCCTCAGCCTCCCAAGTAGCTGGGATTACAGGTGTGCACCACCATGTCTGGCTAATTTTTGTATTTTTTTTAGTAGAGATGGGGTTTCACCGTGTTGGCCAGGCTGGTCTTGAACTGCTGACCTCAAGTGATCCACCTGCCTCAGCATCCCAAAGTGCTGGGATTACAGGCAAGAGCCACTGCGCCCTGCCTGGGGTCTCTTTTCTAAGGACACTAATTCCACTATGAGGGCTCCACTCTCATTACCTAATTACCTCTCAAAGATCTCTCCTCCAAATATCATTATATTGGGATTAGGATTTCAACATACGAATCCTGGAGAAACACAAACATGCAGTCTTTAGCAGACGGTCCATATGACCAGTTATGAGCAGAAATGATGTGTGTCACTTCTGTGCCAATGCAAGACCTTACAGAAAGTCCCTTTTTCCTCTGCCATGGTGACTGTCAGAGAGTGGCTGCTTTGTTGATCTGAGTGCTGGGGTGAGGATGATAATGACAGACAGCAACGTCTCCATCCAACCCTCAATGTACTGAGAATTAGGCTTTTGTTATTTTAAGCCATTGAGCTTCAGGAACTATTTGTTACTGTAGCATAACTTAGCTGATCCTGACTGGTCCAGAGAATAGTAACCAGGAATGGGGCACTGCTGCAACAGAAAACAAGATATGTGGCTGATCAAGCAGGCAGTGGGAAAATGGATTCTGAAGGCTCGAAGCATGGCCATCCATGTATTGAATGGCATAATATTTAGTAAATTGTCACCTTGGATAACTTAAAAGGTTCAGGGAAAAGAGACTAAGGGTGTTACTCTACCATCAAAGACTGAGAGGCTCAGAGGATCTGCAATTAAGTTGAGAGACAGGCATGTCTTGAAAAGTACTGTGAGTAGATACAATGAAACCAAGTGAAAGCAAAGAGACTAGGTAAGATGTTAACTACATTTTTGAGAAACTAGCAGTGCCCAAAACTAGGATTAATACAATCTGTGGCTGGAATACAATTTCCGGCCTCCAGAACTGTGAGATATAAATTGCAAAAGGAAAAACTTCCCGAGGGTGGAGTAAAGCCCTGACTGCCCCATCCTCAAACTCCACAGTGAGCAGATTTGAGGCTATTCAAGGACTAGTCTCACTTTAGGGCAGGGGGCAGTATCTGCCCAGCAGGGTTTCAGGATTGCTATGGATACTGTCTACTGTGTGTCTCCCCCTCCTCCCTTTTCTGAATTAGGCTGTTAGTTGTGTTATTCTGTCTCTTTGCACTTTCAGCATTGGGTGTGCATACGAGCAGCGGGGGCCCAGACAATTCATCTTTAGGCCGTAGGTCTCTAAACCAAGAGGAACCACATGAGCCACATGAAGAAGCCACTGTTCCTCCCACGGGGGTCCTGGGCTTTGACTGGCTGCCATAGAATGTCCCTCACCTCAAATTCCTGTTATCCTGTCTCTGGGCTCTAGACTCAGACTAAAAAGGCATGTGAGATGGGTCAGGCCCACCCAGGGAGGGGTAAAATGTATTTCGTGTGTGGGAAAGAAGGGATAGTTAACACCCTTGGGTCCATGCTATCCCTTGTCTTCTGTGCGGCAACCAGCACATTCTAGACAGAGGCTGCTCCATCAACCTGCTGTCCCCAGGTGCCTCCCTATGGACACGCAGCATGGCCAGAAATAAACCTTTGAGCTTTGCAGTGTGGCCCAGCCTCTCCTGACTGATACAGGGACTCTGTTCATTCTACCTCTTGAAGACGTGTTCCTGGAGCTGCCGATCTGCTCCAGCCTGGGCTGCTGACACTCTGCACCTGGCTGGGCAGCTATCACCTGGGACTTACTTTCCCTTCCATCCTGCAATGACTTCCCTGCTTTGTGGATCACGTCTCCTGCTTTCTTGGTTTACATCTTTGTTTTGATGAAGTATAATCTCTGGTGGCTTCCTACTATGAGAAAGGATGCATGGGGGATAAATTTTTTGAAACCTCATGCGTCTGAAAAATACTTGGTTTATAGTTTGGCTGGGTGAAGGCTGGAAAATAATTTTCCTTTACATTTATTTCCCATGGCTTTGTTCCCTTCCTTCTAACTTCAACTGGTTGTTGTGGAGAGGCCCACAGTCATTCTGACCCGACTATCCGTAGGTGACCTGTTTTAATGTTAGGACACTTTTGTCCCCTGCATTCTGAAACTCACCAATGATATGCCTTGGCGTAGAGCTATTCTTTCCCACTGTGTTGGGCTCTCTCCCTTTCAGCATATGTCGTGAAGGCCTCTCTTGGATTAATAATTCATTGACGATTTTCTCTCTTGTGTTTTCTCTGATCACCTGTTTGGGTCCCTACTCATTGATCAATAATTTTTTTGGTTGGTCCACTAATTTAGCTTTTCTCTACTTTCCATTTTTTAAAAAAAATTTTGGTTCTACTTTCAAGGAGGTTTTTTACTTTTACATTTCTGTTACCTTGTAAACATCTCAAGAACACTTTTTTTCCCCTGAATGTTTCTTTATATATGTTCTCCCTTCACAGGTTGTATGTCTTTTAAAATTTAATGACATTATTGATGGTTTTGTTGATGTTTCTTTCTTTCTGCATAGTCTGTTTCTTCCAACTTGCTTTTTAAAAACTCTATTGTGGCTTTGTATTTCATGACACAGGGTTTCCTGAGATGCCGGTCAGCTCTGGCTCCCTGCTTGTCCTTGGCCTGGGAGGGACTGAGAGGCTGATGAGAACTTCTGTGCACATGAGTGGCAGTGTTAACTGTGGCCTTCCCTATAGGGTGAGCTGGCTGTTTAATTGGGCAGCCACAAATGTTAGAATGTCTGGGTGTTTCCCCTTGGCATGGTTGGCTACCCCAGGAAAGACCCTTCTAGTCTCCTGGCTGCTTGCATTCTGAAATCCCAAAAAGGGGTTTGTGGGTCTCAGCATCCAGTATCCATGTGTGTATTTAATCCCCTGATCCTATTACCGTACCTCTGTCCTTAATTGTGCCTGGTGTCCACCTACCCAAGACGCTGCCTTTTAGTTTTTTCAGGTCATAAATATCCAGCCTTTCGTCAGAACAAGGAAGGGGCAGTTGTCAGGCTGCATGAAATTGGGGTGCAGATATGGGCATCTGAGTGCTCCTCAAGCTGACGTTCTGCCAATCTTATTTTCACCCCCGTTTACTCTCACATTCAGAGGTACGTAGTGCCACCCATTAGTGAACCTTCTGGGGGATTCCATGGAGTATGTTCTTAGCTTTCCTTCCTAGCTACTATCTCAGGGTTTCATTTTCTTGGATCTGCTAAGTATTTTAGCTTCAAGAACTGCGTTGCTGTTACTTCCTCTCTTGTTCTCCCTGTCTTTGTGGATTTCTGCCTTCTAACAAATGCTCCAGAAGGAAGTTAAAGTCAATACATACTAACCATCCACCAACTTTACCCAGAAACTCAACCACCCTTTCAGCCTTCAGTCTCTATACTCCCCAGACACACCTGCTCTGCTTTTCTGTTGCTTCCATTTGAAACGAGACGACCCAGCCCTCACATATACATATGCCATCTCTGTCAAAATCTTACTTAGAAAAGAAAACATGGACTCTTAGCTAAGAGGAGATTTTCTTTGGGGAAGAGCTGTCTGTCCGGAAGACCCTTCCATGTAGGTTTGGGATAAAGTCAGTGAACACCACGACAATCATCAAATGAGTGGATTTTTGAGAAACCAGCCAAGGAGCTCAGTTTTCTATACAGAATGCCACAGAGCACAGTCAAAATTCTTTGGGACCCACATTCTTGGAAAACTCTTAGGGGGGTGCATCAATGCAGAGGACCCTTGACCACGTAGGGCATCCCCTCACCCAAGGCAGGCCTGTTTTGTTCATGGCTGTAGTAGCCTAATACTAGAATAGTGCAGACTCTAGACGGCCTACCATTGTGTATGCCGGCTGGGGTGACCCAGTGGGGAGACGTGGCACCTTGAAGATTGGGGAGAATTCTGCTGGCTGGAAAGGGGCCAGGAGGGTATGGGTGGCTGATAAGCTGGTGTAGGACCACTCCTTCCTTAAGAAGTGACTAATTGTGACATGTGGTGGGAATAGAGGAACATTCCGAATCATTACTTGGTCAGGACACACGTCTCTTATTAAATGTCATCAACACAATCTGCCTGGAAGAAACACGATTACTTTCTACCAAGCACAGACCCTCCTAAAGGGACCAGACCCAGTCCAGCACCTTTAGTCTCCCCAGAGGGTAGCAACTCAATCAGCGAGACCGCATTTCAGGGTTTTAGTTACAGATACTGAGGGTGCTCAAACATCCATGCAGTTTGCTGTTCACCGTAACACGCAACCCAGAATGGCCGTTTCGGTCCCTCGTCGGTTACCTGAAAACCAGTCTTACTGAGCTCCAACCCCAAATTAATTTGGTGAGAACTCGAACTCGGCTATTAACCTTAATTCTGAGAGAAGAATGACACCCCCCTCCCACTGCGAGGGTCCACTGAGGGTGAGTGCCCGGGCTCCTTCATTCTCCAGGCTCCTCTCAGAACACAGCAAGGGTGGCTGACTCCTTCGAACGTCCATTAAGCACAATGCAACGGGGCGAGGCAGTAGGGGGTTTGCTGAGCCCGGTTCCGCGGCGGTGGGAAGTTATTCACCGGCGTCTCCGAGGACGGCCCAGGCCTGGAGAATGGCTGGGGCCGCGGGCTGGGGTAGGGGTTACCGTGAGAGTCAAGGGCAAGGTGGCCCAGCCCGGGCTGGGAGGCGCGGGCTGGGCGCAGCCGAGCATTTCCTCCGGGAGGCCCAGACAGCGGGCGGGTGGGGCGCGGTGGGCGGGGTCCTCGCAGCTGGTGGCGTTTGAAGCCCCCCCGACCGCGGTGGGAGAGGGGCAGCCTAGAAGAGTTGGCAGCGGGCCTGCGGCGGGATGGGGAGGAAGGGGCCCCGCGTTCCCTCAGCAGCGGCGCCGGCCGCCCTGGCACGTAGTTCGCTTCTGGAGGCACAGGCCGCGGTGGGCGCGCCACCCGGGCTGCCAGGCTCACCGCCAGCTGAGGCCAGTCCTGCTCGGGCTGACCCGAGCTGAAGGGCAGCGCGGCCGCACCCCGGACCCCAGGAACGAGCCCGAGTCTGTCCCTCCCGCGGGAGCTGCCCCGCCCGGACTCCCGGAGCTCTGCAAGGCAGGGGCGTGGGGAGGGCGAGCGGCCTGAGGCTCTAGGCGCGGCCACCCGGCAAGCCGGCGGCGGAGGGCGCGGCGCGAGTGCGTTCCGCCCCTAGGCAGCCCCGCGCCCGGCCGGGCAGACACGCCTCCCCGCCGGCGCCCATCGCGGGAGGAACAAATGGCGCCCTCCAGAAACCGCTCCCCTCCATGCCGGGGGCCAAGGCTGTCACCACATAAAAGCTCCGGCAGAGAAGTGCTCGCTGTGTCCCCGCCGCGGGGGGTACAAGCAGCCGCTCCGCGCCGCGACTACCCGGCCCGCCGCCCCCGGACGTCATGCGTCAGCGCGCCCCGCTCCAGTTTCCGCCCCTCCTCCCACCGGCCCAGGGGACACGCCCACTGGCGCGCGCAGGGCCCGGGACCGGGCACGCCCCTCTAACGGCTCGGATTGGCCTGGCCGTGCACTCACGGACCAATGGCGTCTGTCCCGGCCCTCGGTCACGCCCCCTTGCCCAGGCGCGGGCACGCGACCGCTCCGTTCCGCCGGTGCGCGCTCTGGGGTCCCCGCCCCCTCCGCGCGCGCAGCTCCCCGCAGCCGCCGCCGCCTGTAACCTGCGCCGCCAGGATGTGGCTGGGGGCTGACGTCGGGTCCAGATGTGGCCCCGGCCCCGCCCACCCCCGGGGCCGGGCCGCCCACACGGAGCCGCGGCGCGCACGGCAGCTGTCCCGCCTGCCACAATGCGCGGCGAAGCTGCGGCCGCGACTTGGCGAGGTGGTCCCTAACGTTGCCGCTCGGCATCCTTAGAACCGGCCGCCCCTGACGCCGCGCGGGGACCCCAGTCGCCCGCGCGCCCCATGCGCTCACTCTTCGGTGCCCGGCCGGGCCGGCGCCTCGCAGACGCGGAGCCGCGCGGGTGACGGCACAGGCGGCTGCGCGCCCAGCCCAGCCCAGCCCAGCCCGAGGAGAGGGCGCGCCGCGCCCCCGCCCCCCGCCCGCTCTCCCGAGGCCGTGGGTGCGGATGCGCGGCTGACGACTCGCAGCAAGAGCACCGCCGCCGGCCCCAGCCCGCAGCATGGCAGCCGCCGCCTATGTGGACCACTTCGCCGCCGAGTGCCTCGTGTCCATGTCGAGCCGCGCGGTCGTGCACGGGCCGCGGGAGGGGCCGGAGTCCCGGCCCGAGGGCGCGGCCGTGGCCGCCACCCCCACGCTGCCCCGCGTCGAGGAGCGCCGCGACGGTAAGGACAGCGCCTCGCTCTTCGTGGTGGCGCGGATCCTAGCGGACCTCAACCAGCAAGCGCCGGCGCCCGCCCCGGCGGAGCGCAGGGAGGGCGCCGCGGCCCGGAAGGCGAGGACCCCCTGCCGCCTGCCGCCGCCCGCCCCCGAGCCCACCTCCCCCGGCGCCGAAGGCGCGGCGGCCGCGCCCCCCAGCCCGGCGTGGAGCGAGCCGGAGCCCGAGGCGGGGCTGGAGCCCGAGCGGGAGCCGGGGCCCGCGGGGAGCGGCGAGCCCGGCCTCAGACAAAGGGTCCGGCGGGGCCGAAGTCGCGCCGACCTCGAGTCCCCGCAGAGGAAGCACAAGTGCCACTACGCGGGCTGCGAGAAAGTTTACGGGAAATCTTCGCACCTCAAGGCGCACCTGAGAACTCACACAGGTCAGTGGGGCGGCGCGGGCGCCCGGATCGCGCGGACGGGGTCGGCGCGAGCTGCCCGACCACGCCCCCGGAGTCCCCGATGGGGCGCGAGGTGGGGGCCGGGCGGGCCGGAACGCCCGGGGCCTCGCCCCTTCCCCTGCCGCTCCGACCCGCGGCTGGCCCCGCGCGTCGCGCGAGGCGGGTCTTGGCTCTCGGAGCCGGCGCCCGCCAGGCGACCGCGCCCCCGCCGGGCACGCCCCCTCCCCGGGCGCGCTCGGGTGGGGCCGCGGGGGCGGATATAGTCATCTGGGCTGGGGGCGGGGACCCCTCCCGGCCGGGAGGCGGCGCGGGCAGGTGCGGGCGGCCTGGGTGTGGACCGCAGGCGGCACTCGTGACGGTGGGGCGCCCGGAGCGGGGGCAGGGGACGCTCTCCGGGGTCCCTCCTCGTTTCCTCCCCCGCTGCCCGGGCGCGCGCTCAGGAGGGGAGGGGCCGGCCCCGGCGCGCGGCGGGCGAAGTTCACGCAGGGACAAGGTTTCCTTCGCCACTCGGCACATTCTTCGCTCTCTTCTTCCTGTAATTTTTCCAGCGCTCTAAGGTTTAATTTGTCGTAACCAAAGTCAGCGGCGGCGCTTGGCGATGCGGGGGGCGGTCCCGGGTCCCGCTCCCCGCCTGCGGCTCTTTGTGGGAGCCCCCGCCCATCCGGCCCGGCGGGGGCGCGCCCGGCCCTAGGCTCCTCGGCCTCGAGGCTCTCTCCGGAAAGGAATGCCCTGGCCGCTGCCCATCCTCCGTGCTGCCCTCTCGCCTGCCCACCTCTCACCTGCCCTGGGCCGGTGCGGGGCGGGCGGCACCTGCACCAGGGCGGGCGCTGAGCCTCCAGCCTGGGGATCACCGCCCGCCCCCGCCAGCCCAGCGGCAACAGTTCCCACGCGCGGCCCGATACTTTGTAGTTGATTCATCTGTGGCGGTTCCCTCCCCCCTTTTTGTTTCGTTTTTAACATAAAGATGAAAATATTTTAATGGACGGCAATCCTTCCCCATTTTGGTGTAAAGAATTGTATGCTTCCTCTGAGCTCACGTGAGTTCTTCTGTGACACTCACCTCTTCTACCTTGGGGGCAGGCTCAAAACCCGTCTACTGAATACTGTTGTCTTGTGACCAAGGGTGGTGGTCTCTCATTTGTAAAATAGTTCACATAGTGATTAAAAGGCATAAAAAGAAGCTGCAGCCTTGGATACCCTAGAGCTGAAGGCCCCTTTTTTTTACCATTTGGAACTGAAAGGGCCCAAGGTCTGCAGGTGAGGCTTTCAGATCTCGGACTAACTTTCCCCAGGGAGGCTTTTGTGGCCGCTCCAAACCACGTGGCAGGTGATGGGGTAGAGGGTGAGAGCGGGGCCATTTCTAGGCATTCGGGGTCAGTTAAGGGTGTGGGGGCTCAGGTTGGGGGTGGGAGTCAGTGTGGGCTCAGAGTTCAGCTCGGGACGCGGCTGCAGGGTGGGTGTGGCCCTGGGGGAGGGGCCAGGCTAGGCTCAGCTCGGCTCCAGGTGGATCCTGAGTATCGGGTGGGGGCAGCGATTGGGGCGTGGCTGGGGTTGAGATCCGCTTTGGGGGATGATGCCCGTGCTGGGCAGGATACTTAATGTTTGGGAAATTTTTCTACGGCCTCTGTCAGGGTGGCCTGCCACTCGGCAGCACCGGTAGCGGGGAATTGAGGAGGGGGGTGGCCGAGGGGAGGGGCTCGCCGTCGTGGGCGGGGCCGGCTTGTCAGGGCCTCAGCCTTGGGATGTCTTCCTGGTGGGTTCATCTCCCGCTTCAGGCTCTGGCCCCGCGCGAGCCTCTTGACTAGAATATTGGCGCAGGGGCTCTGGAGACCCGGGCCTCCCGCTGTAGGTGGGGCCAGTTTCCTCGGAGCGCCTGGAAACCGAAGGCAGGCAAAAGAGCACGGGACCAACCCTTTGAGTGTCTGCAGTGTGCTACAGTGCTCGTTCTTGAAGCAGAGAAACTATTCCACCCTTCAGGTGTGCAGACATCAGAAGTCCTACCTCCAGGGTGGAAGCCGGCCTCCAAGTTGGAAGTGCACAGGGCTCCGGCAGCGGGGTGGCGGGGAGTTGGGAAGAATGCAGATTTCCGGGCCCCTGATGCCGACCTAGTACACACAGTTCCAGCGTGCAGTTGGGAGTGCATGTTACCGGTACCCCAGGTGACCCATTATGAGAGTTGAACTGCCCAGAAACCTGCCTCTGGAGGGAGTCTGGTTCAGCATCTGGTGGAGGGCACCCCTGGGAAGCCCATTTCCAGCCCCTTCCCAGGTGTGCAGAGCATAAGTAACTGGTGTTCCTCAAGGGAGAAGAGGAGCTTGCTGTTGGGGGAGAAAAGAGCATCTTGCAGAAGGGAGAAACCCAGGCAGGCCTCAGGGATGACTGAGAAGGCAGGGCACAAGGTGATGGCTTTGCTGCAGCCGTGGGCTCTGAGGTGTCCGTGGTTTGTGGGCCTCTAGCAGCATTGTGGGGTCTCTGCAGTCAGTGACTGAGGTCATGCCGGGCCCCGTACTCCATTAGGCTCGGGAAGGTGCCCCCGCCCCACTTCCCGCATTTCCAGGATCCACAGTAATTTCATGGCAGAGGGTGAATATCACAACCAGGAAGGTGGCCAGCTGCTCTGTGCTGTTCCTCTATGTGACCAGGGACCGGTTCCCAGATCTCCCTGCAACTTGGTGATGTCTGCCCTGACCACCTGCAAAGTCTTCAGGGACATGAGGTCAAGTATGTGAAGACCCTTTGAGAAGTGCAAGGGTCAGCCTTGACTCTGGAGGCACTTGTGGTCCCTTGGCCGTGGCTCTGCTCTGATTTTCCACCCCCACTCTCTGAACAGCTGCATGCTAAGAGCTTTCTGTCCTGGTTAGCTGTGTAGCAGTGTGGTTTCCCACTCCCACTCTTCCAGGAGTTATCCTGTGGACACATTGGTCTCTGTCACATTTAGGTAATTGTTGATATTATAACAATGCGTAATAACACAAAACCAAGAAAAACATCTTTGCAGCTCGTGCTACTTTATTATTTGGCCAATTAGAACTTCCGAGTCCAGACCTGGAAAGTTTGCTAAGAGGGGCTTAGGGGAGCAGCAAGACCAGGAGCAGATTTTCTTGGAACCTGAGGTGCTTTGATGCAGGAATTCAAGGACTCACCTTCGATAGGTCAGGCTGGGGCCCTCTTGAGGGCAGACTGGTTGCCCAGATCCTGCCTCTGGAGAGTCCTGCGTGTTGTCCTGAATGGGGAGACTTGGCAGGCCCCCAGCAGAATGGCCACTTGGTCTTTCTTGGCAGAGAGACCCTGAATACATTTCTACCTATTTGTTCCCACAGAGAATTGTTTTCAAAACTGCTCTGTGCCCTGTTTTCCCTCCAGCGCTGGAGTCAAAACATCTCTCTGCATGCTGGGCCCTTTCTGGGTTCTGGGGGTCCCATGGAAAGGTGGGCACAGTGGCGTGCCCAGCCTTCCCTCCTGCAGAACCCGAGGCATGTTTGTGGTCACCTGGCCCTGTTTGGGGTGGAGGAGGGAAGTAGAGTAAGATCACATTCTGTCAGCCATTTCCTGTGATAATTTGGGTGGGGTTCACCTGAAATTTATCTTTACCCACTGAAGCAAGGATTTGATCCTGACAGATTATTGCGACCCCTCCCCCAGGGCACACTCTGGCTTTAGAGACTTGTTTCCAAGCACACCGCCCCTTGGGCTCCCTGCAGGTCCTCCCTGATGCTGCTGCCTGGGAAAGCAGAGCAGAGGGCATCTGGCAGAGCAGAGGGCATCTGGGTGGGATCTCCTTTACCCAGGGCAAAGCCAGGCTTGTTGGTGGCCTGTGCTTTGTTCAGAGACACACACAGGCCAGTGGCTCAGCACGCCCACCCCTCCCTCTCGTACCCTCGCTGTCCCAGGCTGCCAGTGGCCCTAGTTGTGAAACTCCTCAAACAATGCAGAAATGTATGCAGCATGGGAGGTGCCAGCCTGCACCACCACCAAACCACTGTTACCCCGCGTTGGTGTTTTTCTTTACAGACCTTCTAGATGGATTTGCACATATGCATATGTGTGTGTCCACGTAGACATTTTGAAACATACTTAAATAGGATCCTAGCAAGTATCTCACTGCTGGCATTTTGTTCCGTGTGTTTGCTTAAATGAGGCATCTTCATTCTTTTTCACAGCCGCATGGTATTCCAAGATGTGGTTATATGGCTGCATTGTAACTTATTTACCCTTCACTTATGGAAAGGACAGCTACATTGCCTTTTTTTTGTTTTTTCTGCTATTACAAGTTGTGTAGTAGTGGACTCTGGTGTGTGTGTGTCTTGGTGCAGAGGAGCTGGCATTTCTGTAGGATTGAGACCTAGTGGTGGTATTGACAGGGTTGATAAGTGTTGGTTAAATGTGTTGTGGAGTTACTGTGTTATGTTTTTCAAGGAAAGAGACCACACTTGTTAGTCCCCGCTCTGAGGGAGAGACCTATTGTGTCACGACTCCACCTTCTTGAAAATGTTTCCTTCTCCCAATTCTCCTTTTGCATGTGTGAGAACATTGAGAACGTTTAAAACAGTACCAGCAAAACCACTGTCACTCCCGCACGCCTGGTGGCTGGCTCTCTTGGCCATCTTCAGTTCTGGTTTTACAGAGATTGGAAAGTGTGTGGTGGGCGCTCAGCCCTGGAGCAGTAGGATGGGGGCTGGTGTGGCGCCATCTCCACTCCCCCCTTCCCCCTCGCTGAAAGAAGGCTGGAAGCTGTGCTGCCTGAGCAAACTGATAGGACGCAGTTCATTAAACCAGTAGCCTGTGTCTGGGGCTTCACATGTCTGGAACACAGCAGAGATGGGGGCCTGATCCTTCTGAGTAGGTGCCCTGAAGCCCAATTCTCAAGCTTCTGACAGCCTCCTGCCCTTAGATCCTGTGTGCTCCCACTTTACACATAGCTTTAATCTGATTGGTTACTGGGGAAGGGCAAAAGACATGGATGGCAGCTAAAGGCAGGGGAAGAAACAAACCAGCAGGTTGTTAACATATGCATGTGTAAGTGTGTGTGTTTAAATGGGTCATGAAGAAGCCCTACAGTCAACCAGCACTGGAACAAGCATGGGGCCATTTGTGGAGAGGCACATGTTTCTCCGCAGCAATCCCTGAGGTCTGCATGAGAGACCCTGGAATAATGAACACTCTAGCAGGGATCTTGAGATACCATGGCACTGTGAAGTGTGTTCAGTTTGTGCTTTCAGGAAGCAATTAAAATAGTTTTAAAAATAAAAACTTCTAGAATAGTACACTCAACTTTCACAATCCTAAGACTTCCAGACTGTTTGCTCTAGGGGCCAGGCATCATTCTGTTTGTGTTAGTTTACATCAAGCTATCTAATCTTCACAAGGACCCTATGAAGTAGGCTCTATTATTAATACTAAATTTCAAATAAGGAAGCTAAGGCTCCAGTGCCTTAGGAATCATGCCCAAGGTCACACAGTAAGTGAGGGTGGAACAGGGATTGGAGCTGGGGCTTGAGCCTGGGCAGCCGCCCCCGAGGTGGGTGTACCTGCTGTGTCCTACTGCCACTCCTGTCTGGACCAGTGTTTCAGGTCACTGCAGGTGAGCAGGGCCCTGTGGTAGTAGAAATCTGGATGTCCCCAGCACACGGCTTCCCGCACAGATTTTTGCTGCTTCTTAAAGGTTGAGGGAGTAGTATAGTGAACACTCCTATACTCTTCCCATAGGGTCATTGGGTAATATTTTGCCACATTTTTCTCCTTTCCTCCTTCTCTTTTTCTTTCTAAAGAAAGAAAAATTAATTTTTTGTCTATATTTTTCTCCCTTTTCCATCTCGCCTCTCTCTTTAAATATTATATATTATCTGATACGCAGTCCATATTCAGTTCCCCTAGTGATTCCTAAAATGTCCAGTATAGGATTCAGGATCCAGTTAATCACACATTGCATTTGGTTGTCCTCTCTAGTTTCCCTTAGTTTAGGATAGTTTCCCATCTTTTGGTCCTTTATTATGTTACGCTGGCATTTGAAGGCCCAAAGCCAGTTGTCTTGTAGAACAACTCACAATGTGGATTGGTCTGATTGTTTCCCGTGATCAGGTCTGGTTTAAACAAATTTTGGTCCAAAATATGGCACAGGTGATACTGGGCACTTCCATCGCCTCATGGGGGGGGGAGGGCATGGGATATTAGCCTGTCCTACTGCAGGATCACATGGTTAAGGTGGGCGGCCAGGCTCAGCCCCTTCTGTCCACCTGGTTGGTTTCTACTCCATCTTCCAGCTTCCTTGACTGGAGAGATGTTGGGGGTTGGGTTCAGCTTTGGAAGGCTTTTGAAGTCAAAGGACCACCTGGAGGAGGCCTAGGTGCTCCTTTCCCCAAACAGACAAGACACCCTGATTTTCTTTTGAATGAAAATGGCTCCAGATGGTATTAATAGCCAGCTCAAGGGTAACTGTGAGTGTGTTCTTGGTCAGCCCACCTGAATGCCGGCCCTGTGGCCACAGGCAGCCTGTCTCCTAGGGCTGGGGAGGGCCTACGGCGGGTGACACTCTCTAAGTCCTGGTGAGTCTTTATGTGCTTTCAAGAAATAAACAAAAATTGTCCTAAGTCCACACACCTGAACCTGTTTTTCTTTTCTTTCTTTCTTTTTTTTTTTTGAGACGAAGTCTTGCTCTTGTCCCCCAGGCTGGAGTGCAATGGCACAATCTCGGCTCACTGCAACCTCCGCCTCCCGGGTTCAAGTGATTCTCCTGCCTCAGCCTCCCAAGTAGCTGGGATTACAGGCGCCTGCCACCGTGCCCAGCTAATTTTTGTATTTTTAGTAGAGACGGGGTTTCACCATGTTGGCCAGGCTGGTTTCGAACTCCTGACCTCAGGTGATCTGCCCACCTCGGCCTCCCAAAGTGCTGGGATTACAGGCATGAGCCACCACACCCGACCTTTTCTTTCCTTTCAAAGCCCCAAATGGGATTATTTTCTTGAGAAGTCAACTTCCTGTCGAGATGGGAATAAACTTTTCTCCAGCTTGGCAATTCAGAAGCAGCCACTGTGCTGTGTGGCTGAGGTTGGGGTCATGGAGACAGCCACCAGTGCAGTCCTCGGGGTGGGAGATACTGAGTTCAGAAGGCTTTGGACACTCTTCTGGGCCAAAATAACAGAAACTCGAACTTGTTTTACTCTTGGCATCAATCGGGCACTGGGCACAGAAGAAATCCTCACCCAACCAAAAGCTCTGCCATTTGGCCATAAACACGTATGCCTCCATAGCCACGTACATGTGTAGAAACACATATGGGTGTGTGTGTGAGTGGACGTGGCACCCTGCTCATGCTTGCTGAATGGGGGAGCATCCACACCTGGAACATAGTGGCTATGTGGAACTTCTGATTTCTAGTTCAGTTTTAGATCTTAGGTCCGTCTTCATCCCCAGCAAATGTTACCAGCTGTTTGTGAGGCAGGCTTTTGGGGGAGACATGAAGTTTGTTCAGTTGAAACTAGGGCTGTGGTGAAGGGGCTATGCCTTCACACCCTGCTGCCCTGCCCAGCAGAGTGACCGGCTCCTGTGTCCTCCACACTGCTTCAGTTCCCCTCCTGATGCAGGGCCAGGCTGTGATCGCCATTTGCTGTTGGGCATTGTGTGTGTGTGTATGTGTGTGTGTGTGTGTGTGTGTGTGTGTGTGTGTGTGGTGGCGGGGCAGGGGGCGGGGGGAGGGCACAGCATGGCACCGAGCACCAGAAACACAGCCTTGACCAGTCCCTGGTTTTTACCAACATCTTTCTGGACAAACAAGACAGCACACTTGGCAGGGGGAGTATTCTGTTTATTGTTCTCCATTTTTGAAGTTCATCACACAAAAACACTTGCTAACCAGAAACTTGGCTGCACTCCGTGGCCATTGGCCAGTCTGTCCCAAGGTGACTTGTTTGGGGAAGCACTGAAGCTTGATGTCTCAGATTAAATGTCCTTATGCTGGTGCCACAGGGGTGTGGCCTACTCTGCATGGATGGGTGACCCTGGGTCCCCAGGCACAGGGCACAGGCTCGTCTCCTTGAAGCTGGAGCCCACGCTGCATCATGAAAGAGCTCTGCAAGAATTGAAGGCCCAGAGCAAAAATCGCTTACCAAAGAGCATGTGGCTCAGAGCCTACCTTGGCCTCCTGTCTCAGGAGAAGCTTCTAAAGGTGGAGTTGTGTCACGTGCTTGTCTCCTGTGAGCACAGGCCAGGTGGGAGGAAGCTTGGGAGTGGGGAGAGGATGACGTGGGCTCAGAGGAGCCACGAGCTTCTCCCCCGACCCCAGCGTACACTGGACACACATGGGAGGTGAGGTGATGCCTGAGCAGCCTGGCGAGTGGTCAGGGCCCTGGGTGGGGCCTCCTCATTCCCTTTTGGAGCACTGGCAGCTAATGCTTGGGGGGGCCACCATCCTTTCCCGGTCTGGCCTCGTTGGGGGACACATCTGTCTTCCTCCTGGAGTAAGGAGAGCCTGTGAACAAAGCAGTGACCCCAAGACCTATGGCCACTGGGGATGGCAGGAGCCTTGTGCTTCCATATGTGGGTCCAAGCTGTGGATGGGGAGGCCAAGTGTCCTGGCATGTGGGAGGTGGTCAGGTGCTCCCTGGAGATCTAACAGGTATGCATGGGTTAGCGAGACCTGAGAGTCCTTCTTGGGCCACACCTAAGTATGTGCAGGGCCTGTGATACAGCCAGAATTTCCTCCTCTGATAAACTTCTCTGAGCCTTTCTACTTGTCTTTAACCCTTTTATTGTCTAAATGCTCACTAAACAAGAAAAATAATACAGGGAACTTGGTTTAGGGGTATTGGTAGAAGTTAAAGTTGATGGCAGAGCATGAATAGGGGTGTCTGCAAGGAATTGTTGGAAAAGAGATTGGAAATAGAGCGAAGGCGTATGTGAGTCTCAGAACCTGACTCCTTTGTTGACTGGGAGTGGGGCAGAGGGCATGGGTCCAGCAGGTCATTGGTCTCGGGTTACCAAAAAGGTTAAGGCTATTCACCTGGGCCACTGGCTGGGGTGCTGCTCAAAGCCAGGATCTGGGAGCCGGGGTCAGCACCTTGGGTGCACCTGGGCATCATAGCAACAACAAACCCCAACACATTTTCAGGGACCAGGGCGGATAAATGGGAGTTAATGACATGGTTCCCACACATCCGAATCTGGGATATGTAAATGTGACACACAGTCTGAGCATTTGGCAGGCTCTCCATGGTCTTGCTTTGCATAGTTTGGCCTATCTGCTCTCCAGACTTACTGCCCCGTTGTCCTCACCTGCATGACTGTCCATGTCTGGTTTGTTTACTCGTCATTGAAGGCATCCACAGGGGTGCCATCTGCCCCCATGTCCCTCTCCCACTAGGCATGCTAAGTGGCGTGCGGCAGGGCAGGCAGGGACTCAGATTCCCTCCATCCCATCGCTGAGGTCTTACTTCCTTCTTCCGCCCGCCTTACACGTGGAAGGTTTCTCCTGTGCTTGTCCACCAGTTGTTGTTTTTGTCTTCTAGCACGGATGGTGTGGCAGAAGGAGGCCTTGGACAGCAGCACGTTAGGACCCACAGGGGCTCTGGCCCCTTGCAGCTGTGTGTTCTGAGGGAAGATGCCCAAGGTTTTATTATCTTTTCCAGAGCGCCCTTTTTTTCTGCTTGCATGGCAGGCCCTTTCTAAAATTACAGTCATAGGTTGCTTAATGACGGGTGCGTTCTGAGAAGTGTGTTGTTAGGCAGTTTCGTCCTTATGTGAACATCATAGAATGCACTTACTATGCACACCTAAATGGCATAGCCTACTGCACACCTAGGCTGTATGGTGTAGCCTCTTGCTTCTAGGCTGCAAGCCGGTACAGTATAGTACTGTCCTGAATACTGTAGGCAACTGTAACACAATGGTAAGCATTTTGTATCTAAATATAGAAAAAGGTACAATTAAAATGGGGTGTCGTCTTATGGGACCAGCCTCTCGTCCCACGTGGACTGTCATTGTTTGAAACGTCATTATGTGGTGCATGACTGTACTTTGCTGCTTGGCCTAAGGTGCCAGGGCATTCTCTGGGTAAGCCTGAGGGGCTTTGCAGGATACCATCTTTTATCAAGGTTGAAATTAGTTTTAGCACTTTATTCTGTGTCCCCTTTGCGGCTGACAGAGCAGGAGCCTGTCAGTGTCTACTGTCACAGGTGTAGAGCTGCTGTGTTGGCGAGCAGGTAGGTGGTTTTCCTGAATTACTGTCAGGCTTTAGAGTCTTACAGGAAATACAGCCTTGGCTACTTATAGCTTGTGATTTGAAGTTTCCCTAATGATGGGCTGGGTAGTACACTTCAGCAGTTTGCTTTGGACAAATTGTATCATTCTTAAGTTCACTCACTTTAGCCTTTGAGAAATTTCAAAGTTTGTTTCCCTGATCTTCCTAGTTGCCCTGGATTATGAGCCAAGCGTTTGAATTCCTTTGCACATCTAGCACTGCACATGGCCTTGGAAGATGGACATTTATGTGAGTGTGTGCACGTGTATGTGTATGTGTGTGTGTATATATGCCCGTATTTGCAGCATGTGTGTATGTGCTTGTATATGCGCATGCACACGTGGTCAGCCATGCAGCCAAGTCTCAGAACAATCGTTCCACTGGAAGTAACCCAGTCTTGAGGCATCTGGCCAGGTGGTGCGGGCTGCAGCACAATGTTTGTTTCTCCCAGCCCTATGAACCCCAGTGGGGCTGCATCACTTAAAGGCCGGTCTCTACAAGAGCAGGGTAGGAAGCAGCAGTGCGTGCCCAGCCGTGGCTGTGTAGGCAGAACCAGCCTTCAGGATGGAGGGTGGGACCCTGGAGCCAAGCCAGAGGGTGTGTACCCTTGGTCCCTGATGAGGTACTCCATCTTGGGCCATTCTGCCCCCTGGTCTCTCTGCTCCTCCTCTGCAAACCAGGGGGGCCAGCAGCCTGCTGGGATCCTGGCCCTGGCCGGGTTAATGGATGGGAACTGAGCTCCTTGGCTGCCAAGCTGAGGTTCAGTCTGGCCCCATTCTCACTTCCTCTACTCCCCCTTGTACTGTGGGATCTGAGCATTTCTTTAACAGCCTTCAGGGGTTTCCAGCCCTTAGGACAAGCAGCAGGTGGGTATACAGGGGAGCAGACCCCAGGGGGGCCTGAGGAGGGAGGGTGAAGGCACCCCTTCTTTGTGCTGTCTGTAGCTGCTCATCCTGGGAGACACTGTGGGGGAGGCTGTGGCTTCCTTCTTCCGCCCTCTGGGGATGCCCTGGCGGCCTGTACCTTGGGTGTTGGGAGGAGGTGGCTTGGCTGACTGTCCCTGCTCATGGTCAGGGTCCTCCTACACAGCAGAACTGGAGGTAAACACTGGGTTGCCTTGGCAACTGGGCTGTGCCATGGCTCCAAGTGCTCCTGGCTAGAGAAGTTCCCATTGTCTCAAGTTTCTAGGATGGGTTTCTATTTTGATTTTTTTTTTTTTAAATTAGCAAGAATGACTAAGATACCAAAATGTCTGACCTGGTTTCTATAATTTCTTAATAAACATTTGTCTTCCCTTTATAGGAGGAATGTTTTAGTGATTCATTGACTTTTCTTTTAGACGGTGGCAAGGCCCTGGTGAGGCAGTGCGGGGGCAGCACAGAGGACCCCCCACTGCCGACAGCTGGCACGGGAGGCTGGGAGAGCACTGGCCACGATCCAGGGACCAGGCATGCTTACGTAGACACCACACGAGGATTTTATTGGCTTTGAGGCTAATTAAGTTCCATGGAAAATTTTGGGGAGATGCCTCTCCCCTGTGGGGGGTTCAGATACCCACAACTGGTGCTTCCAGAAGCTGTCTGAAGGCTGATGCGTCTGACTGAGCCCGAGGAGCGCCCTCCCACCCAGTGCTGCACTCTCCCGCCAGAGGCCTGGCCCCCTCCCTGCAGGTCAGGGCATGTGCTTGTTTATACCTTGTTGGTGTTTGCTGTTAAATTCTAACTGCTCACCTAGGTAGCCTGGGCTGGCTGCGCCCAGTGGATGTCCTCCCGCCCCCCGCCTGCTGTCTCGTGGGAGTGCCCCAGGTGGCACTTTGCTGTGGGAGATGCAGCAGCGGGCTCTCGTGCAGGCCTGACCCTTCACCTTGGATTTCACTGGGCTTCCCTGCTCTGCCCACCCATGGATTATCTTGTAAAGAGTCACCTGCCCCATGGAGGAGCCAGGTGAGGATCCAGGGAAGTGGCTTTGTTTATTTTACTGTCAGTAGGGCTGACCCAGGTTGCCCTGGTGGGTGGTGTGTCCTGTGAGCCTCTCTGCCTCTAGGCCTGTTTCCAGGGTCTCGTCTTCGTTGTAGGCCTGCAGGTCTATTTGGGTCCCTTCTCACGACTGAGGCAGGCTGAGGATGTACCCAGTTGGGCTGGGCTGCCTTGTGGGTCCTCTCTCCACTGCCCTCATGGCCAACCTCAGGCGTGAACCTGCCTACAAAGCCTCTCTGTGCAGCAGCAGCTGTGGCAGTTGCCAAGGGAGCTCAGCACCAAAAAAGATGTTCAGATTTGCTGCATTTGTTTTGGAATGAGTGCCTGGTGTTGCTTGTGCACACCCCAAGCCTCCTGGCCTTTCCAGGTTTCCCTGTTGAACAGGCAGCTCTCCTGCGGTTGGGTGGCACAGGGCTGTGGTGAGGGCCCCAGCATCCCTCCTCACCTGGGTGCTCAGTTCCTTTCTTGTCATCCTTTCTCTGTTTGTAAAGCAGAAACAGTCCTGCTAACATCACCCCCTTCAAAGATGTATGCAGAATTTGATTTTTTTTCCTGGAAAATATACTTTTTTAGTGTTTAAGAAAAAACTCGTGCTGGGCATGGTAGCTCATGCCTGTAATCCCAGCACTTTGGGAGGCTGAGGCAGGAGAATTGCTTGAGCCCAGAAGTTCGAGACCAGCTTGGGCAACATAGTGAGACTCCACTGGGCATGGTGGTGCACACACCTGTACCAGCTGCTCAGGAGCCTGCAGGCAGGAGGATCACTTGAGCCCAGGAGGTGGCAGCTGCAGTGAGCCACGATCTTGCCACTACACTCAAACCTGGGCGACACGGGGAGATCCTATCTTAAAAACAAAAGAAAAAAATCTCAAGTCAAAGGTATTGAAATAGTATTGGAAAGTGTTAAAGGAGTCCAAAACATGAGCACACTTGGGAGTTTCACGGGAGACCCAGCGCCCCTGTGCCCTGTGTTCATCCTGACAATTTGGGCTCTGGACCTGGAGCCCCGAGACATTGCTGTGTCTCTCTTATTGGATCGCCTCATGGAAGCTTGACTCCACAAATGTTGTATTTGCATGACCTTCCTTGGGAGGCTCTCAGTGTTTTATTTTTCATCAGAGAAAGGCCTTCTTGTCTGTTGGTTCTTTGTTATCTAAACAGAGGCACTGTGGTGTAGTGATGAGGAGCCCTGGCCTCAGAGTGGGACAGGCTGAGCCCATCTCTGGGTTTTCACTGTGAAGTGGGTCTGGTCATGCTGCCTCTAGGAGCAGAGGGGTAGAATGTGGGTGAGGCACCCAGTAGGAGGGGTGTGTGTGCGTGTGTGTTCACGTGTGTGTACGTGTGTGTGTCGGGTAAGTGGTGATTAACTTGCAAGAGCAAAATTTCACCCCCTGCAGTATTGTTCATGGGTACCTAAATGAACAGACAGGTTTGCTGTCTTCTCTTTTGAAAAGAAACAGACACATAGACAATTCAGAATCTTTTTTTTTTTTTTTGAGGCTGGGACAATTCAGAACTTTTTTTTTTTTTTTTTGAGGCTGGGTCTCAGTCTGTCACCCAGGCTGGAGTGCAGTGGTGCGATCATGGCTCACCACAGCCTCAAACTCCTGGGCTCACACTATCTTCACAGCTCAGCCTGCCAAAGTGCTGGGACTCCAGGTGTGAGCCACCACACCCAGCCCAGAACTACTGTTTTAAAGCAGGTGCTGGGTCACTTTCCAGGATCCTCACAGCCTGACCTGAGCCCCCCTTCCCAGAGTCACCCTGTGACACAGCATGTGGGGTGATGCTCCTGGCATCCCAGCCCCAGGCGCATCCAGCCTCAGCTTCTGCGTCTGTATCCTCCTGGATAAACCCAGACTGGCTGCAGAAAAGTGGTACAGCCTGTGAGCTTCTGTGAGCATCCTGTTGTTGCTATGGAGACCCTGTTGCTAGACATCAGGCATGCTCAGACTAGGGAGTGGTGACCCTGTCTCAGGTGAGCCTCACGTGTTACCAGGTAACCAACCCCTCTCAGGTACCAACAGGCTGTACCTGGCTAGACTCTTTAATTAGCAGAAGTAGATGAACTGAAACCTCAACCTCAAGGTGAAAGACTCAGTCACCAGTCATCAGAACAGTTCTGGACAAGTCCACCTCTCTGAGGTGGGCTTGAAAGTTGCCCTGCACCCTGTGTCAGTAGTCTTGGGCAGTCTTACAGGGACAGGAGAGATTGTGCCTGCAGGTGGCCATGCTAGTCCTGCCGAGTGACCCCACCCCAAGGAAAGGACTTTCGGAGACCAGGCATTCTCTGGGTGAGACTCCCCACACTGGGCAGTCTTGGGTGAGGATGCCGGCTGCCCTCCCAGGGACGCAGTGCCCTGCTGGGTGCCCCGCCTTCCCTCCTGAGACCCAGGCACCATGACAGGTTTCTTAACTGACAGCTCTTTAGTAGAGAACAGAAATCCTGTTTGCAGCAAAACTTGCCTCACTGGATCGCTTCATAACAGCTCCTTCAAGTGGGGCGAGCTCATCGCTGCGGTCGGCATCTCAGCCATCAGCAGCCCGGAGAATCCCACTCAGGACTTAGGTTTGCTATTTTTGTGTCTCGCCTGGGCTTCGCTCGTTTCCACAGGCATTCCACTTCTTGTTTACAGGAGTAATTGCCTTCATGAGCTTTGGGCCATCTGCGGATATATGTATTTTTTTCTTTATTTTCTTTCTTTTTTGGGGCAGCAGTTCTATGTTTGCAAATATGAGGATTGTTTCCTAAAGGGAAGCATGAGGCCTTCTTGAGGCTGGCCTCTTGGCTGCTGAGCTGGGCCTTCGCACCCCTTTCCTGCTTTATTTCCGTCTTCCTGTGAGTGTATTTTGTTGTATAGAGGCGCTTCCTGTGGTCGGAGGTGAACATTTGGAGTGACTAAGGAGAGCATGGCCTTCCTCGCTCTCCCGGCGTCTGATTGCTCCGTGGACACTTGTGCCTGTTCCCCAGGCAGGGCCTGCTTGCTGGAGGGGGTCGGGGCCACTCCTGGCCATGGAGTTTCCGCATCCCCCTGCTGGCCAGGCTCCTGTGCTTGGGGAGAGGAGGACGCCGAGGCACATACTGTCTCCGTGCTCTGCTCTTGTGGTCATGAGTGGCCTCTTCTCTCTTCTGCTTTGAGTGACTGGGTGTAGAGTGGCGCCTGAGCTGGGGACTGTCTTGCACCCTTGCACAGGGCCCGCCGGCTCAGGTGTGCAGCAGACACCATCCTGGGAGAAACAGCAGCAAGGTCTGGGGTGGCCACATTTGCATGTTCTGCAGAGGCAGTTGCCTTCGGGATTTCAGACTTGCCCCCAGCCGTAAGGCGGGATGCAGTGCCCACAGACAAGGCTGGGTGCACACAGCCTCCCAAACAGCATCCTGCAGTCTTAAGTCTGCACACCTCCCACCAGGTGTCGGCCCCCAGCAGTGGGAAGGAGACCAGCCTTCAGGCTGCTCACCTGAAGGGAGAAGGCAAGGAGGCATGAGGGGTGCATCCAGCCTCCAGTGGGGACCCACAGGTGGCCTGGGTGCTGATGGGCCCTGGCAGAGTCTGTGTGCCCACCCATGCCGTCAGTCTCCTGAACCGCAGGAGCAAGAACTGGATTTCATGTTAGGAGATGATTTCCAACTTCAAGAAATGACCTGGAAAAGTTTTCTACTTAAACTGCCTGTTGTTGTTAAGAGCTGGCCAGCTCTGGCTTTCCAACAGCACGCACAGCCCTCGGGCCAGGCTGAGTCCTGATGTGGGGATGTGCCCACTGACTGCGGGTCACCATGACTCCATGGGGAAGGTCTCCTTGGAGAGGTCTGAGGCTCTGGTGCACGAATTAACCTGCTCCTTAGTCTTCCCTGGGAGACCTCTTGATCTCCTGTCCCCACCCATACTTCTGGTCACTTGTCAGTCTTTGTATAATGTGTTCAGTGTCCCTCCCTCTGAGACGGCAGCAGAGACAGGAGAGCCACGCATTGCAAGTGGCCCATGCCTGGTTGCTGCCCTAAATACTTGCTGTGCACAAATGGCCTGGCTGTCAGGGGTGACTTTGGCCCTGGGGGATGTTTTCCAACCCCCTGGGACAAACACCTGCCAATACTTAGCAGCTACCTCCTGCTAGCGCTGCGCACCCACACCACCCTGAGCCTGTCACTCCAGCTCCAGAGGTGGGGCTCTCCCCACACCCATACCCATCTCTGTGCAGATGCAGACATCCCAGATCCACCCCTCCAGCCTGTGTCAGGAGGGGAGTGGGCACCTAGGCTTTCCCCTCTTTGTGGCAGGACTGGAGGAGTGTCAGCAGAGTGGCCTCCTTCACCTGCCTTTTAAGCCAGGGCGTGCTCTGAAAACACGCCATGGCTGGACGTTTTCATGTGTCTGGCTGGCAAGGGCTCCAGGGGAGGTGGCAGGGGTGCCAGGAATCCCCAGCCACCCAGACATTTGCCAAGCTTGGCTCCTCAGTGCCTTGGCTGGTGGCCTTTGGGGGTGACTTCACCCTACTGTCATGGCTGGCCCATGGCGAAAGGGTTCACCTGCTGCTTAGGAGCTGAGACTGGGCTGGGCCAGGCCAGGGGCCCTGTTTCTCTTCTGGACTGTGGGGGTTTGGGCCAGTGGGGAGGGAGAGCTTCCCCAAGGGACCATTACAGAATTTGCTGTAAGAATGTGGAGAAGGAGTTCTGGTCCTTGGGTTTACAGATTTTTATTCTAAACCTAATGGAACCTTTCTTTTAACAAAATCTCCTGGAATCCAGTGCAGAAAAGAGCTGGGAGGATTGCTGGGTGGGGCAGGATGAGGGTGGGAGGGGTTTTGACTTTGTCCTGAGGCTGTGCGGGATCCTCCCTGGGTCCCCCAAGGAAGCCGCCTGAGTGGGGAGGGAGGGGCCGCAAGTAACCAGGAGCAGGCCAAGGTTCCAGGGTTCAGCCCAGGACAGCCAGTCTAGGTGCAAGCCAACCCTGGGGGCTGGCCAGGGAGTGTGAGCTGTTGCAGTTTGGGGCAGGTGCCTTCCAGGCTCTGTGGGTCAGGGTTCTCTCCTGGCCCTTCTGAGGGTGCCACCCTGGCCTCCCCGCCTTTGAGCAGGTGGGGGTTGGGTCTGGGTTCCATAGGGCTGGGCAGGAGGAGGCAGCTGTGAGATCCCAGGCAGAGCCAGGAGAGGAGCAGGACAGATGGCATGCAGGCGTGCTGCATCGGGCTGGGATTGTGGGGTGCCAGCAGACAGGGGTGGAGTGGGGACTTGGGCATTCCTCACTCATTGCCTGAGTGTCATGAGGGGCCTGGCTTTGGCTGGTGTTTCTGTCCCTTGAGGGCGTGGTGTCTGAGGGCAGGGCCTGTGGCTCCACCCTGTGTGCTGCTCTGGGGGCCTGGAGGCCTGTGCCCCCGCCTCAGCCTGCCTTTGCCCTGCTGCACCGCTGGCCTGCCTCTTTCCCATTCGGGCACCTGCCTGGAGAGCACTGGGGTGCGGGCAGATCCTGCCTTGAGTGAGCACCGCGTGCCTAGCAGCAAGCAGCAGGGGATCTCCAGGAGCGTGGCAGGGTCCCATCCTGAAACTGACAGGAAATCTGTGAGTATGAGGGTGGGACGGAGAAAGCCCGGGAGGTGTACCGTTCCTTTGGCCCCCATCCCCCTCACCAGGGGACCCTGCCCTACTCACTGTCTTCCAGTGGCCCTACATGGGCAGCATCCTGCCTGGCTGTTGTGGTTGTGAGGCCGCAGCCTGAGACTGACCACACCAGGGCTTAGTGTGCTTAGTTCTGACCCGGGTGTCTGCCCTGCCAGCCTGGTGTAAAGTCGTCAGATGCTGTGGGCCACACGAGGTCATATTTGCACCGTCAGTTTACCGGGGGCAAATGACCTTCTGGGGAGGGCTGCAACTGCTCCCCACCTCTCACCCCTGGTTGTCTCTGTTTCCCGGAGGGTTCCGTTTGTAGGCACTGATGGGGGTTCTGGTTCTAGAGGAAGAGTATCTGAGCTCAGAGGGAGTGCAGCTCCACAAGTGTGCCCCTCTGTGCCGGCATCTGGCTCAGGCATGCGTGAGCCCCTCTGTACAGATGCCTGCCTCACGCTGAGATGCCCACGGCCCAGGCATATCTCTCAGGAGCCCCCGAGAACCCTGACGGGAACCCAGAGCTGTTCCGCACAGAACACCAGGTCAATGATCTTGACTCTGTTTCTGGGAAGATTACCCATCTGTGGCTTCCAGAAAGCACCTCTTCGTTTTTCTGAAACTCACAGCCTTCTCCCCCGACCTCCTGTCCTCTGCTTTTCTCTGAGGCCAGAAGGAGAGATTTCCACACCGGCCCTTTGCCCTGGCCACAGGCCTGAGCTCCTGCATAGCAGCTGCTGTCCTTCCCCTTCTGGACTAGTCCACTCTAACCTGACCCTTTGGTAAAGAGTATGATGGACCCCCCACCGCTGTTACCAGTATTCAGCCACCCTGGAGCTGCGGCCACCCACACAGCTGTGGAAAGCCCCCAGGCCACAGCCAGGCAGGATCTCCTCCCCGGGTTCTCTTCTTCCTCTGCAGGAGCTTCCAGGCCAGAGCCCCAAGGCCTCATGCTGCCCCCTGCCCCAGCTTTCTCAGGACATGAGGCGTCCCCTCCTTGCAGGCCCCCCAGGCTGACTTCTGTGTCACACAGCAGCCTTCACTTCCGTATCTTTCTTTCTCTTTTAAAGGCATCACCTTCAACTGGAAGAAGAAATGAAAATACCACCTGTGCCTCGAAATCTTTCAGTTTCTAGCGAGGGACATCCCAGGCACTTGGTGGTGGGGCCAGGGCTCCTGCCGGCCATAGGTGGGCTATTGGCCTGCAGGCCAGGTTCCTGCCTGCCACCACTCTGCACCCCTCTGTGCTGGCGGCATCAGGGAGGGTCTGGGGAGATGCAGACTGGACGTGTGGGTTGGGTGGGCCAGCAGGGGAGAGGGGCAGCGTAGGGTCCTGAGTCTGGGGGCAGGAGCAGACTGTGGTAGCAAGCATGGGTGAGGACCTCAGTTCCCCTACCTGCTGGCTCTCATCGGGGCTGGGACAAGGTCAGGTCTGTGACAGGGCACGACACCGAGCCCAGCAGGTAGGAGGATTTGAGGACCTGTGAAGCTAGAAGGTCAAGCAGGGAATTCAGGATTTGGACACCCTCCTGGGATCAGCAGGCGTTCCCCCCTCCATTGCTCTGCTGGTAGCACCAGCCTTCCCAGAAAAAGGCTTCTTTGGCAGGGCCTGGGAACCTCCTGGAGGGAGCTGGGTGACCAGCTTCTCTGCTGAGCCCCACTGGGACAGCACACCTCAGGAAGAGGCCGTCCTTGGTGCTCGTGGTGGGGAAGGGGAGCTGTGAACAAGGCTTCCCCCTGAGGCAGGGCTGGGGATGGGCAGTGGAGACTGGAGGCAGGGAAGAGCTACCCAGGCTTTGCCGCACGTGGGTGGCAAGCCCGCTAGAACCTGTGTGTGCTAGCGTCAAAGGGCACCCTCAGGGGGCTGGGCTGGGGAGGGGCCCCACCTTGACTGTGGTGATGAGAGAGGCAGGATGTGGGGCCCAGGAGGTGACTCTGCCTTGGAGGTGCTGCTCATGAGGGACGAGGGCATCCTATGGCAGGCCCTAAGCCAGCGGAGCCTCAGAGTAGGGGAGAGAGGCGGGGCAGTGTGACTTGGGAAGCCAAGGCAAGAAATGGCTAAAGGAAAAGTGGGTGTCACAGTGGCTGGGCCCAAAGGCTCCCATCCTGCCATCCTGTGGCAGCAGCTTGAGGGGGCCCCAACCTCTTCTGTCTGCCCTTCCACCCCCTCCAGCCTCTGGGGCCCTGGGGCAGCATATAGGCTGCAGGGGTTGGGGGCTGCCTCTGTTGTAGTGGCTGCAGCGCTGGTGGAACAGGAAGGTGTGTTGTTGGCTTCTCCTGGACCACACCCCCTGAAGGTGACACCCTCCTAACACGAGGAAGAGAGCTGCGCTTCTCAGTGCGTTCCAGATCTCAGGCTTCAGTGTCTCCAGCCTGGCCTTCTTGGCCACTCCACATGAGTCTGCCTCAGTGTGGAGGCTTCTTCCTGCACTTTCAGGGGGGTTTATTTCTGAAGGCGGAAGGCAGGCCTCGAACCCCAGGTGTTCTTGCTGGTGGAGGAAAGTGGAAAACACGCAGGCTTTGTGGGAAGAAAGGACGCCACTCCTCCTCCCGTGGATTGCCTGTGGAGCTGGGACAGGCAGCTTGCCACTCTTGTCAGGATGACTGTGGAAGGTGATGTCTAGAAGAGAGAGCAGGAGCACAGGCGCCCCTCTTCAGCTTGGTTTTGCACTAAAGGGACAGCAGAACCCAGAGGGCCTGGCTCTGTCAGCCCAGCCTCCAGTGCCTTCCGAAAGGAAAAACCACGCGTGGTACGTAGGCACACACGCACGCCGCACCACATGCTTTTTATTGAAGTATACGTGTGCTACAGACCATTTAAGTACAGAAAAGCTAAAAGAAGAAATTAAGTGGCACCCACAGTTTTACCTCCCAGACAGGACTGTTGCTTGGCCTGGTTCTCACTGAAAAGCTGCCAGCATAGAGCCCAGGAAGCCCCTCCTGGCAGCCAAGGGTGTGACCCTGCAGTCACGGCAGCCTGCCTGCTCTGGCCACTGATGTCCGCATTTTTTAGACCCTGGGGTCCTGACTGCATCTCAGGCCGCAGTGCCTTGGGCTCCAGTGGGGTGTCTCGGTGCTGGCATTGTAGAGTTTAAGCACCGCCCCAGAGCTGTGGTGGAGGCTCAGTGTGCTGCTGTAACAGAAATACTGGAGATGGGTGGCAAATAAACAACAAGTTTATTTTCATAGTTCTGGAGGCTGGAAGTCCAAGATTAAGGCGCTGGCAGATTATTCTGTATCTGGTGAGGACCCTCTTCCTGGTTCGTAGACAGCTGTCTTCTTACTATAATGTCACATAGTAGAGGGAGCAAAGGGATTTTCTGGGGTCTCCTTTCTAAGGGTACTAATCCCATAAGGAGGGCCCTACAGCCTCATGACATTATCACCTTCCAGAGGCCCCAATTCCTAAGACCATCCATCAAGCTGGGAGTTAGGGCTTCAGGGTATGGGTTTTCAGGAGGCACAAACATTCAGCCTATAGTGCCCAGCGTTCTTGCCTAACCACGGAAGGCAGATGGCGAGGTAGGGTGGGGTACTGTATCCTCTGCAGGCCTACTCCCCCAACTCATGGCAGCTTTTTTGCCCCTTAACTTTGTAGGGCCGAAGCCTGTGACTGTCATTCCATCTGGGGGAATCCCAGGACCCAGGGCAATGCTGCTGCTGCCCATTTAGGGAGGGGAGGCTGACACTGCTTTCCCCATGAGCCGCCACCTGTGCAGATTATGACATGTTTCCCCAGAGTGTGGGATGGACCAATGCCCGCTGGGCCACATGGGAGGCGGGTGCCCTGTCAGGCAGTAGTGGTACAGCAGCGCTGTCTTCGATGGAACAGCCACCATGCCGAGGACCTGGGGATCTGGAGGGCACTTGCCTCGTTCTGCACTGACCCTTAACATGAGTCTCTGGGACCCAGTCTGCTCCAGCTGGTGCCAGCCTGTGGTTAGTCAGCTTGCCTCTGATACTTCACTGCCCTGGCTGCATGAGTGCAAGGGCAGTGCTGTGTTCTTAGTGCCTAGCATGCAGTGGGGAGGAATTAGGCTGGTGTCTGCAGGAGAAGTCCTCCGGGCCCATGTGAGGCGAGTATGGGCCAAGCCTGTGCCCCTGTGCCTGTGACCCAGGCTGGGAGCAGGGGGCTTCAGGTCCTCAGGCTGCTTTAAGCCTG
The DNA here is from genome assembly GCF_000001405.40 of Homo sapiens. Classification (NCBI taxonomy): domain Eukaryota; kingdom Metazoa; phylum Chordata; class Mammalia; order Primates; family Hominidae; genus Homo; species Homo sapiens. The sequence goes on from NW_011332701.1 coordinate 3,523,142, forward strand.
TTTCTCCTGGGCCTGGAGGGCTTCCTGGGGAGGGGGTTCACAGCTTCCAGGTCCCCTCCTGCCACTTTGAACTTGGGTGTGAATTAATGAAAAGCAGATGAGCTCAGATGTCCCTGGAATTCCACATGAAGTTGAATGGTATAAAGTAACCAGCCATGTGTTCTTGGCGGAACCAAAAGTACTCAGAGTGTTGCTGAAGCTGCCAAGTCCTCAGAGTAGCCTAGCCTTTGCCGAATTTGTGCTTCATGGGATGAATCCCATTTCATGAGATGATGTGCTTTTCTCCATTGAGTGAAGCCCTAGAGAAAATGGCCCCTAACCCTCGGCCATTCCAGACATGGAGAGTAGTACAGCATGCGGCCCCTGCTTTTAAGCCAATATGCCCATTACAGGGCAGGAAGCAGCCAGGGTCTGCCGCAGTTATGGTAGGATATTGGGCATCCTGGACCCACGGATCCTGGACAGAAGGATGAAGCTTTGGGATTGGGGAGGGAGGGGATGAGCCGAGCAGGCCCCCCAGCGTGCAGGGCACCTGGATGCCGACCACATTGGTCCGTTGTTCGGAACCTCGCCTTAGCTCTCTTCTGCCAGGGCCTAATGAGAACAATGGTCTCTCAGCTGAGCAGGTGGACACCTGTGAACTTCATCTCATTACAGATCTCAAAGGAGGGAGTCTATGTGGTTCTGGGCAAGGATGCTCCACTTTGCTTCCGTCTTCACCAAACTCTTAAAATATGAAGTGTAGGAAATTATGCCCCTGCAGGGTTCAGGATAAAGGAAATGACACCCAAGCCTTGGTTCTTTGTACCTGTTCCATCCACTGGGTATTTAGAGAAAGTAGCTTGGCGTGTAAGGTGGTCTCTGGCCCAACTTCACCCCCTTTTTTGGTGAAGTCTGGGACTTGCACAAGCACTGGCTCTTTGGCTCAGCTTTCAGACCTTGAAGGATCCGCAAGGAAGCTTTGGTCTGGGTACAGCCCTTGAGAAGGGCCTTAGAGGTGGCCATGCCAGTGGAGAAGGTGAGGCTAAGCAGGCTCTTGAGGTGCGCCCATGGCCAGGCCAGAATGCAGGCCTGGCACTCTTCGCCCAGGCGCCTTCTGGGCAGCAGCAGTTTTGAGTAAGTAAGGAGCCTAATGTTTAATGGCCTTTGTGTAAGAACATGATGATGACAGCGAGAGCAGGGAGGCTGGGAGGGAGTGTGTGGATGGACATCCGAGTAAGAGTTCCCCAGTGTCTCCAGGAACCACTTGCTTTGTAAAATGACCCAAATCCACCATCCCTGGACCTGGCGCAGATTCTGAGTTGGGCCAAGGCCTGGGAAACCTGAGTTGGAAAGTCTTTTCTCAGCCCGTATCATGGACTTGCTTTTGGTGCTCTGGGCTGGGGTCAGATTTGTAAGTGTGTTCCTGTTGTAAGAAGTTGCCTTGCCAAAAGATCATCATTTGAGTGCCTGGCATTTGTTTTTATTTCTATTTGTGAAAGTCAAGCATGTTAATTAAGGATGATTTGAGAAACAGGAAAGTATCAAGAAAAATTAATGAAGAGGAAAATCAATAACTTTAATCCCACCACTCACAAGTCACCACTGTTAAAACGTGGGATCATTCCATACAAGTCATTTTCTGTTCTACATTTTCCTGCTTTAACATCCTGTTAGGCTCATAACCCCAAGGCACTGACTGGTTTCTAACCTGGTCTGAGTGGTTGCCCCGTGTGCGCTTGTCTTGCACTGAGAGCTCCAGTGATTGGCTGTCCTGGGACAGCCGTCCACCTCATTATTTTCAGGGGGAGTTCCCAGGAGCCTGCAAAGGAATGTGCATTTTCAGGGCAGGTTGCTTCTTTTCAGAAAGGAAGGATGAGTGTGCTACCCGCAAGCAAGGCATGAGAGCGCCCAGGTATGCACCCTGGCAGGGAGAGTGGGCGGGTGGCTGTTGGATGTCTAAAAGGGTTTTGCACACCGGGCGCGGTGGCTCATGCCTATAATCCCAGCACTTTGGGAGGCTGAGGTGGGCAGATCTTGAGGTCAGGAGTTCAAGACTACTGGCCTGGCCAACATGGTGAAACACTGTCTCTACTAAAAATACAAAAATTAGCTGGGTGTGGTGGCGGACGCCTGTAATCCCAGCTACTGAGGAGGCTGAGGCAGAGAATTGCTTGAACCCAGGAGGTGGAGGTTGCAGTGAGCTGAGATCACGCCACTGCACTCCAGCCTGAGCAACAGAGTGAGACTCCGTGTCAAAAAAAAAAAAGGGAGGCGGGGGGAGTTTTGCAGTGAACAGAAGTCACTGTTTAAGTAGAGTTTACACACAACAACAAAAAAAGGGTTTTGCAGTGAACAAAAGTCACTGTTGGAGTTTACACAACAGAGGGGTCGCCACGCTGCCCCGTACCTGGGAGCTTCAGACTGTTCCGAATAGGCCTCCCCTGGACACTGAGATCTTGGAGGCTTTGTGATCCAGCCTTGGATGCCGGGTCCTGAGATCTTGCAGTCCAGGGAAAGGTGAGATTGTCTCACAGCAGAGGCTTGCCTGCTGCAGGCCACGCTCAGGGGTTTCTACCTCCCTCAGTCCCAGTGTCTGCCCTACAGGCTCCCTTGGTCCCGCTCAGAATGCACAGACCTGACCGTACCAGTGAGAAAGGACAGGCTGTGTGAGCTCTGCCTGGCCCAGGTGTGGGCTGGCCACGGGCTCCATGCCTGCCTTCTCCATGGGCCATGACGTCGGCCAGCAGCCTCAGCAGCTGCTGAGATTAGCGTCTGTATGTGGTGCCACTTGGTGTGCCTCTGGCTCCTGGCCCTGTGCTGGCCCCGTGGAAGGGCCTGTCAGCATGTACTCTCTCCTGGGGACAGGAGCAGTATCTTCAGGGCTGGGTCTACCAACCCGGTCTGTGCATTTCCAGCCTCCTGTGTGCTTCCCAGCTCTGAATTATGACCACTGGGCTGATTTATTTCTTCTGACATTTGCAAGCTGTTAGGTGGCAGAGATCAGTGAATAAAAACTTAATAAAAGGCTGTATTTAATCCCATGCATCCTAGGCTGAGCCAAGTTCCCTTAGGATTGAGCATCACCAGATAGAACCCAGAGCCCACTGGCATTGGGACCTCCAGGGTGGCTACTTGGAGTTTTTGTGGGGAGGGCAGTTTCTTGACCGTGGAGCATGACGAGGCTGGACCCACCTCTCCGTCTGTATGCAGCCACCATGCAGCCCACCTAGGCTGTGGGCTCTGTTGATGCCGCCTTGGAGTGTGCGGCTTGCTCTGGGTGGGCCTTCCAGGGGAGGAGGGACTGCAGAGGTAGTGACAGGGAAGGGACCCTGGGCCAGGGGGCTGGGCTCAAGGGTGGCTCCACATCTGACTTTGTGGCCTCATTTCCTGGTCTGTCACTTAGGGAGTTTTGCTGGGGCCTGTTAAAGGGGGAGTGCCTGGAGGTATCAAAGCAGGGGCTTGTGGCCCTGGTCATCCAGTAGTTACTGGGGGTGTTTACAGCCGCCTGTGCTGGGCCTCCCCTGGAGAGGAAGTCACGCCCACGTTAAGTGCGTGGGAAACCTGTCCCAGGCGTTCTGTAACCGTAGCTGCAGGTGCTCTGGGTGTTGCCTCCTGGCTGTAGAGGGCCCCCTTGTGAAGAGGGGAGCCCCAGGTTGGGGGGCCTGGGCTGGCAAAGTCCCTGCCATCTGGCCTGCCCACTTGGGGCTGGCTGTGTTGGGCCTGGTCCCACCAGGGCTTGGGCTGCTTCCAGATCTGTTTTCATTTTCAATTCCCTTTATTGCTATAAAACCACTTCGGGGCTGCAGAGAACAAGCTGTTGTCCTCAGCTGACCTCAGATTCCTGGCCTCAATTGTTTGCCTCTTGCTAATTTTAGCTTCTGATAATTTCCACTCTTATCCTCCCCCCAAAGGGAGACACAGACCAAGAATAGCTGCTGGGAAGGGGGGCTGTGGTGGCTGTGGCCAGAGTTCCAACAGTGAGCTGGCAGGGCTGTGGAGTGGCTCGCTGTGGCCAAGCCTGGGGCAGGGGGCTCTCGGCAGGCAACCCCCACACCCTTCCCCTCTCTCACCGAGGACTCTATACTGCAGGCATGGGCCTCAGAGGAGAAGAGGACTTCACTGTTCCTTCTTTTAAACAGAAACCAGGCTGCTTCTGGGGAAAAAGTACACCCCCACAGCCCTGCCTAGCTTGAAGACCCCTGAGAGTCCCTAACTCCCCTGAGCCCTTCAGACTCCAGGACCCAGGTTGTAGTGTGGGGTCAGACGTGGCACTTGACTACAGCCAGGCCCTGGATACAGCGTCAGTGTGGAGGCCTCAGGCCTATCCAATCCCTACCCAGCTTGGCCCCAGAGCCTGGCACAGCTCTGCCCTCCCAGTGAGTGTCAGGCTGCAGTTGACTGACAGCAATGTCCAGTCCAGGACATCAGCCCAGGCCTGCAGGATGGGACTTTGCCTGCCTGGGGCAGGGAGAGAAGCAGCTGACCAAACCCCAAACCGTGGTGTGCTGGTGAGCAGGCCTGGGGAGAGCCAGAGGAGGGATGGGCTGAAATCCAGCGAGGAGGAATGGCCTCCAGGCAGGGCCTAGGGTTGCAATCCTTGTCCATATATTAATAGTTTTGTAATTTTTGTTTTTGTTTTTGAGACAGAGTTACACTCCTGTTGCCCAGGCTGGAGTGCAATGGCGCGATCTCAGCTCACTGCAACCTCTGCCTCCCGCGTTCAAGCAATTCTCCTGCCTCAGCCTCTCAAGTAGCTGGGATTACAGGCACCCACCACCACACCCAGCTAATTTTTTGTATTTTTAGTAGAGATGGGGTTTCACCGAAATGTTGGCCGGGCTGGTCTTGAACTCTTGACTTCAAGTGATCTGCCCACCTTGGCCTCCCAAAGTGCTGGGATTACAGGCGTGAGCCACTGCACCTGGTCATATTAATAGTTTTTAAACTTCTGTTTGGAGAACTTCAGACAGATGCCCACATCTTCAGGACACCCACATTTTCAGCACCTGCTAGCCCCCTGCAGTCTTATCTCTGCCCCTCCCCCACCACCGTCCTCTCCAGTTGTTTTGAAGGAAATCCCAGATGCAATATCAATTTGTCCATAAATATTTCAGTGCCTTACATCTTCAAATGAAAGCCTGATACGTCTAATTTTCATACTGGGCTAACAGTAAGTGTGAAGCAAAAAATCCAAAGCCTGAAGTCACCCCACATGACTTGGTATTGGGAATTGTGTGGATCCAGCCCTAAAACCCCCGGGCTTGGGGTTGGAGCCACCATTTAAAGAAGTGTTGGAGCCCATCTCGCCATCCCTCAGCCTCGAGTTATAACTAGTCATAGGTAAAAAGAAGGCAACCAGGACACAGGTGTTTATGAGATCAAAAGCAACAACAACCGAAACAATCAACAGTGCTACTAAGGTAACACAGATAGGTGAGGAAGAGGCCAGGTGCTCAGTAAGTGTCTCCTGTGGACGGTCCCTCACCTCCCCTGAGCAGAAGGGCAGGGTGTCATCTCCACATGCCTTGGGGAGATGGCAGGGCCAGCACTCTCCAATGGCTTCTGAAGAGGAGCTACTAGGAGAAGAAAGTGATGCTCTAAGGAAAGGCTGGACTGCCGAGAGCAGTATACCCATCCCATTTTGTAAATTATGTTAAAAATTGTGTTAGAGTAGTGCATGTGGTAATACACATAGCTTAAGGATCCTGTCTTTCTGTACGTTCATTGTGATAAGCAGGTCACCCCCACCATCTGCCAGCTTCTTCAGCTACTGCCTTTGGTATTTACCTTTCCCAGCTCGATAACGTGCTCATAGGGGCTCTTCTTGATGGTAGAAGAGTGTTAGGCATTATCTCCTGACTTCCCATGATGGCACATGAGCGCCTGCAGGCACCCTTCTCCCACCCATGTGATAATTGGATATTTAGGATGGAGCCAGCATGCGGTATTTTGGGGGATCATGACAGTAAATGCTAGTTGCAGGTGACCCATACATTACACGTGTTTCTTTCCCTTAGACTCAATAGTTGCCATTTCTGCTTGGTTTTCCCAGTGCTGTTGTCCCCACACCCCCAGCCCCCCATTTGTCCCCACACACCCAGTGTGGCCTGCTCCGTGTGGCCTGGATAACATCTCTGTGGGGGTTGGCTGTCATCCTGGGACCCCTCCCCTACCATCCAGGCCCCACTTCCTGGAGCCCCTGCCATCTGCTTCTTGGCAGAGCTCCTGCTGCATAGCCTCCTGGAAGGGGTGCACTGGAGGCCATTTTTCCTTTCCTTCTGACTTTTATTTTAGGGTTGGGGGTACATGTGCAGGTTTGTTACATGGGTAAATTGCATGTCACGGGGTTTGATGTTCTTATTTCATCACCCAGGTGATAAACATAGTACCCGATAGGTAGTTTTTCAGTCTTTCACCCTCCTCCCTCCCCGCTCAAGTAGGACCTGGTGTCTGCTGTTCCCTCTTTTGTGTCCCTGTGTACTCAGTGTGTAGCTCCCACTTATAAGTGAGAACTGGCCGGGCGCGGTGGCTCACACCTATAATCCCAGCACTTTGGGAGGCCAAGGTGAATGGATCACCTGAGGTCAGGAGTTTCAGACCAGCCTGACCAACATGGTGAAACCCTGTCTCTACTAAAATACAAAATTAGCTGGGCGTGGTGGCGGGCGCCTGTAATCCCAGCTACTCAGGAGACTGAGGCAGGAGACTCGCTTGAACCCGGGAGACAGAGGTTTCAATGAGCCAAGATCGCGCCACTGCACTCCAGCCTGGGCGACAGAGCGAGACTCCGTCTCAAAAAATAAGTGAGAACATGCAGTGTTTGGTTTTCTGTTCCTGCGTTAATTCACTTAGGAGAATGGGAGGCCATTGTTTTAAGGCTTATATGTCTGGAAATGTCTTGATCCTGGTCTGAGGTTGATTCACGTTTCTCTGGGTTGAATCATAGGTGGGAATGGTTTACTCGTGCGGTTTGGAGCTCTGATGTTGCTGTGGAGAAGACTGAAGCTTTTCTGATTCTGGCTGTGTGCACCTCCCGGTCTCTTTGCCTCTCAGGGCCTTTTGGGCTTGTGCCTTTACCAGGGCTTGGAGGTGTGCACGTGTGTGGAGGTGCTTGGCCAAGCTCTGTCCTCTGCAGCGGGCCCGTCGGGTGGCATCTGGAAAACATTCTTGCCACTTTCTTCACGATCACCTCACCTCCTGTGTTCTCAGGGCTGCCTGCAGTTCCTTTTATTTGGAGCTGTTGGTCTGATCCTTACATTTTCATATTTTTTCCCTCTTACCCATCCATTTGTATTTTTGCTCTGTTTTCTGTGAAATTCTCTCAGTGTTCTCTCCCAACCCTGCTATTGGGATTTTTATTTCTGCCACATTTTTCCTTCTGTATCTTTACTTTCAGACTCAGGTTTCTAAGCCTTTGCTTTCAAACTCAGGTTTCTAAGCTTCCCTTTTAAAGGCGCATGCGGTTCTTGTTTCCGCCAGGCCGTCTATGCGGTGAGGATGTTAGTGACAGCTCTGGAAGTCTTCTCGTTGCGTGGCCTCTGCTCCCTCCACATCACCTGTCTCTGCTCCTTGGTCTGGGTCTCTTGCCCACCCACGTCAGGCTCTTCTGCATTGTCTGCTGATCCTTGATGTCTGGTGACACGGCCCAGAGAGCCTCGAGCTGCGTGGGGGCTTCTGGGTGCCCATCAGGCTCAGCGACGGTGGCCTCCTGTGGGTGGTCTACTGGGCCATCTCCTTCCGGGTTTTCCCCCAAGAGGAGTGTTCTGCTCCTGCCTGGGGGAGGGAGGGTGGTCCTGCTGCACACTGGGAGAGAAGCTGGGAGGCAGCACTCTGTGAGTGGGCTGTTCCCCACACCCCTGTTCTGGAGGCTGCCCTACTCTGAGCTGGGTCTGGAGTCGTCAGTCCAGAGCTCCCTCCTGTGTAGACCCTCCCAGAAAGTCAGCCTCTGGTTCCTGGCAGGTGCAGGAAGGGCAAGCAGCCATCTGTAAGGTGAGGAAAGACCTTGTGTCCACAGCTGCTTTATCTGATGTTCAGGTGCCCCCCACCAACTGCACCCCCACCCCCGCCAGAGACTCCCGAGCCTTTGTGGGGAAACGTGGATTGCTTCCTTGCCTTCTCTGCTGTCTTTCTAATTTCTTGCTTCCAGATTATTTTTGTTACTCTCTTTCCCTTTTGCTTTGTCTGTTAAAATCCACTTTCTTTCATTGTAGTGGGATCTGGGGCTGGAAGGGTGGTGGGTGCCTGTGCCTGACCTGCCAGCTTTATCCAGAGTTCCTGTTAGGCCTTTGGTCCAGTGCAGGAGGCGTGGGGAGAGATGAGGGTAAGGTAAGCACTAGGTAGGGGGCGGCTGAGAGTTGTCCAGCTCTTGGGCAGCCAGCATCTCCTTTGTTCTTGCCCAACAATGTTATCCAGGAGTTTGCCAGAGATACATCCAGCAATATCCTGGAAGCAACTGAAGGCAGCTCACAAGAAGACAGTTGTGCAGTGGAAGGAGGGGGTCCAAACCTAAGGTTGGCAGGTTGACTATAGTACAGTTGCGATTGTCTGCATTCTTACAGTTTCTGTCAAAACATCGTTTTCCCAAGTGGCTGGTCAGCTCCCCTGTGGTTAACATGCTTGCAGCAATGGATGAGAGCTCCAGTTGCTCCACCAGCATTTAGTATTGTCAGTGTTTTGGATTTTAACCATTCTCATAAATATGTATAGTGATATCTCGTTGTAATTTGAATTTTCATAATAACAAATGACACTGAACACCTTTTCACACAGTTGTTTACCATCTCTCTATCTTCTTTGGTAAGAGTGTTCAGATCTTTTGTTCATTTTTTAAATTGGCATTTGCTTATTGTTGAGATTGAGTTCTTTATGTATTTTAGATACAAATTGCCTTTACTTTTGATCAGCCTCAAATGAAGAGCATTTTTATCAGCTAAATAAACCTGGCTCTGTAATTGTGGATTCCAACCTCATATTCCTGTCTTGCCTTGTGTTTCAGAAAATATCTGAAGAGGTGCATAGGAATGTCATCCCTGGGCTATCACCAGCCATCAGGGCTGTGTTGGTACGCAAGCAGTCACATTGCCTCCCGATGCCCAGAACAAGGATGTTAACCGCACACTGGCTCCTGAAGCCAGGGAACATTCCCTTCAAGATGGCAGAGGAAAGGCGGGGGCAGTGGGGTCAGCTGGACATGCGTCACCCTACCGTGCTCAGGGAAGATGCTTCTGGCTTCCCCTGGGAGGCAGCTAGTGATGAGGGTCTCACAATGGAAAGGAAATGGAAATGTCTGTTCTTTGGGTTCAGCTCTCATGAGTCCACAGGTAGCACCGTTCATCTGGAGAAGGCCTTCACTTGCACAATCCATGATCTGGAAGCTTCTGTGGCAAGGGGCCGATATACGTCTCCCTACTTATCCATTGAGGAGCAATAAGGGTTGTGACTCGGGTGTGCGTGAAGGAGAGAAGCTCCAGAGCCCTTGTCTCAGGTGGCTTCTGGCCTTCTGTTGGCAGAAACCATTGGTATTCTATTATTTCTGTTTTTAAAAGGGACCTTGAGAACGGAAATTTTCAAGTGTGTTTTGTAACCCTTAGCAAAAGGAGAGCAAACACCTTTATGAAATTCTGGCATGTGGTCCTTTTAACCTTTCCAGGCAGTGTACTGGTTCATGCAAACTAGTGCTATTCCCTTCTTAGGGATTGGGGTGCTGGGTTCTGTGGAAGCAGTCCCAGTGGTGAGCTGGAGCTTGGGTGAAAGGTACGTGTGTGTACATACACCACTTTGTTACATAGTGTTATTGCATTAATTCTGACTGTCCAAAGTGATTCATTTGATGAAGGCAGAAATGCAGAAAGGACAGTCACACACAAATCCCATCTTCCTGAGGTAACCTCTGTTTCCTTCCTGCAATTAGAGCTCTGGCATATGCATTTCATGTGTGCATTTGAGGGTGGGGCTCAGCCACTTGGTAGTCTGTTTTCTTCCCTGTCCACGTTCCCAGGGGCTGTTTATCAGCAGCTCACATTGGTGGTTCAGAAGAACATTCGAGAGAGACAGCTGGGCTGGCTCCGTGTGCTTACTCTCCCTCGTCTACCCCATCCAACAGATTGTGAAGCCTGGTTCCAGTAACCTTGGGGATGACACCAAGGAGCGCTGAGCCCTCCACCCCGCATGTTGTGGTCTTGGGGGAGGGAGGCAGGTAGGACACAGAACAGGGTTCCTGCCCCAGTGGCTCCTCCCAGCTCTTGCTAGCCCTCCCTTGGCATCAGGCAGACCTAGGTAGCCTCAGGTCTTGGAGTCCCGTACAGAGCTGTTGCAGAGGGGGTCACTCCAACCTTGAAGCTTCTGGGGGCCTGGCCGTGGGATAGTGCAGAGTGTGGCACTGCTTTTCTTCCCGGCTGGTGTCCCTGGGGTCAGCTGCCTTAAGGTTAGGGCCCTGTTCTAGGTTAGGACAGGGAAGGGCTTAGGAAACAGGGCCAGCAGGATACAGGGAGGAAGGTGTGGGCACGGACATGCAGCGGGCAGGCCTGTGCCGGGAAGAGGGTGGGCTTTGTCTCCTGAGAAGAGGTGGCCCCCCAGAGCACTGGTCTCCCCACATGGCAGGCAGTGGGGCTCTGTTTCAGGCCCTCTCCAACGCACTTAGGCTGCGACAAGCCTGAGCAGGATGTAGGGGGCTACTAGACCTGCGGGCAGGGCTGAGGGACAGGGCCCGGGGCTGCCAGGTCACCTGTTCTCTGCAAGAGGGTTTTTGAACACAAGGGCTTTCCCAAAGGGTAGGGGTAACTTGCTCCTAGTGGGCAAGACCGAGAGCCCCTGGTGGCTCCATCGGCCTGGGCTGCTGCAGGAGAGGTCTGGGGGCTTTCTAGCTCCTCCCTGGGGGTCTGGAGGTTCCTAGCAGAAGCCCCGGCACTGTTCACCTGTTTCAGAAAAAACAGACCGTTGTCTAATTTGTTGTTGTTGTTGTTTTGTCTCGGCTCCCTCAAAAACCAAAGGCGTTTTTTAGGCCCGTCGTCCAAATTACAAGCTCATTTTAATTCGGATGTATTTACTTTGTGAAACCAACCCTGAAGAATACATTGTTTCGTTATATTCTGCTGGAAACCTTGCCACATTTTTCCTGAGAAAACTGAGCCTGCTGTGCACCTGGAGCCGGCCAGGTGGCAGGTGCTGGGCCTGGAAGAGGAGCCTGCCGAGGCTCCTCCAGGGCTTCTGAGTGCCATTGTTTTGAGTGCGCTGCCTGGTAGCGCTGGGCCCTTCCAGGGAACTGCCTGGCTCCTTCCTCAGCTGCAGCCTCCTGCTGCAGGGGAGCTGGGGACCGTGGAGGTCCCCCACAGGTCCTCAGGCCCACATGCCCCCAGCCTGGGCAAGCCTGCCGTGAAATAGGCCTCGTAGAGCCTGGCTGTGGGGGCAGCAGGGGCCCCTGGGTGCAGAGGGTAGCCTCGCCGCACTGTGGGTGGGTGCCCCTGCTTGCTCCTCCTGGAACGTGAACGTGGGCAGCAGTGTTCCTGTTCCATGCTGGGGAGGGGCTGTGAGAATGTCTTTCTTCCCGGTGTAGCCTAGCCTCAGGCCCACCCTTCTGGGTGTGTTACCTTGGTGAGGTCACTTGGTTTCTCACCTCTGACAAGGGTTTCACATCAACACTTTCCTGTCTTCCGGGTTGGTAGAGTCAGATGAGCCCAGTGCAGGCCAAAAGTAAAAGCTGCACCCCTGTAAAGAGTGTACATGCAGCTGTTTGTGCCATTGAGTGTCTGTAGCAGAGCTTAGCAGGGTGGGGTCCCTGCAGGCAAGGTCCCCCCCAGGAGACACAGAAGGAGAGGGCAGGGGGAGGAAATGAAGGCTGGGGGAGGGGAGACACAGGAAGAGGAAGTGGGCCACGATGGTTGCCAAAGGCTCTGCAGACAGGGGCCCCTCCCTCAGTTGCCTAGAGAGCCGGCTGGGAGCACGGGCACCTGGGGTGCAGAGCTGGGGCTGGCTGTGCAGGTGCTTGTTCGTGTCAAGAAGCAGTTGGACTTCTCTGTGAGATTCTGCAGATCTCCCCTGTGACTGTCAAGGCTGGTGCCCCCCACCCCCCACCCCAGACGTCACAGCCAGAGGCAGGCCCAAGAGGCCTTTCCATACTGTGTCCCTTTCCCTACCCACCACGTGCTCTGCCCTCTTTCTTCCCTCCCTCCCTCCTTCCTTTTCTCTTGGTGCAAGAGAAAACCCTTTCCCAGTAGTCCACAGATTCCCTGGTTCCTACTCCTCATGAGCCCCTACAGTGGCACTTGGGATCTGCATCCTAGTGGCTGGATGGACTTGGCTCTCCTAGCTGCCATCCACCTGGGCTAATTTTCAGCCCACAGTGGTGTCACAAAGTGGTCTTATGGCAGGAGTGTGGTATTCAGGAGCCTGAAGGGGGCTTCTGACGTGGAATTACAACTCTGGAACTGCTTCTGTTTAAATCCTTTGCTGAATATTTGTCACCCATAGCCTTTTAGGTCTGACCCGTTCTAAACTGCTGGGCCTATCAAACAATTTATCAGGGAGGGCCCTTCTCCAATAGGACAGTTTGCAGCGTGACCCAGGGGCTCTAAAGCCCTGGAGCCCTGCCCTGGGAGCATCTCCTACAAAGCTAGATTGGACTTTATTGCTATTTTTGAGTTTCTCATCCTGGAAGCCACTGCCCAGCACATTCTGAGGAGAATCTGCCTGGGCGACCATTGTTATTTTAAGAGAGCTCTTGGGGTAATATGAGGAACTGTGCTTTGAAATAGGGAATACAGAATGGGGCCAGTAATGTGCCCAGAGTGTTGAATGTCTGATTTTTAAATTGGCATTATTGATGGCTAGCATTTTCTAGTTTGCTATGGATTTTTTGTTTTGAATTTAACTTTTTGAATAGGAAATGCATTTGTGTGTTTCAGAATCTAAAAGATTTAAGTAGTTTCCCCAGGGAAAATTCTGTCAACCTTCCCTGTTCTCCATCTGCTCAGTGTTCCCCTGGGTGATCTCTGTTCCTACTTTCCTAGGGACCCTCTCTCTGCACATACAGGCCAAGGCGCACGTAGATCCTTGCTGGTCATCTCTCCTCAACCTTGTTTTCCTCACTCAGCTTGGAGATCTTTCCATATCAGTTTGTAAAGAACTCATTCTACTTCTTTGCGATAGTGTTCTGTTATATGTGCGTTCCATAATTTATTTGACAGGCCCCAGTGGAAGGACATGAGTTGTTTTCAGGTTCCTGCTGCATTGACTAATCAGGAGCATATCCCGTTTTGTAGGTGTGCAAATGCGTTTGTAGGCTAGGATGTCAAAAGTTCAGATGTGGGTAAAAGGGTGTGCACATTTCTAATTTTAATAGGTATTGCCAAATCGCCCTCCATGGAGGTTGTAGCAGTTTGTACTCCCATCAGCAAAGAATGCCTGCTTACCTGCAGCCTCACCAAGGTGATAAGCTACCAAGCTGCATTTCAGTGTGTCTCATCTGCCATTAGCTCCTGATGGATGAGGTGGAGCATCTTTTCATGCATTTGAGAGCCATTTGTAGTTCCTTTTTTATGAATGGGCTTTGCCCATTTTTCTGTTGGATATTTTTCTTTTTAAAATTCCTGTGAGCTCTTTCTGTATTGGAGATTAGCCGTTTGTGATAGGAGCTGCAAATATTTTTTCTCTCAGTTTTGTCAGTTATCTCTTGCCTTTGTTTATGGTGACTTTGTTCATGGAGAAGTATAGTATACTGTTTTGTGCAGTCAAATAGATTGATTGATTGATTGAGACTGAGTCTCACTCTGTCACCCAGGCTGGAGTTCAGTGGTGTGATCTCAGCTCACTGCAACCTCTGCCTCCCACGCTCAAGTGATTCTCCTGTCTCAGCCTCCTGAGTAGCTGGGATTACAGGCGCTCGCCACCACGCCCGGCTGATTTTGTATTTTTAGTAGAGACGGGGTTTCACCATGTTGGCCAGGTTGGTCTTGAACTCCTGACCTCAGGTGATCCTCCTGCCTCAGCCTCCCAAAGTGCTGGGATTACAGGCATGAGCCACCATGCCCAGCCTTTAGTCTTTTCTTTTATGGTTTGTGGACTTTGATTCATAGAAGGAACTTCTGTCTTACAGTTTTCTCCTAGAATGTTTGTGGTTTTATTTTTCACATTAGAATCTTTGACCCATTTAGAATTTATCCTGGTGTAGGGTGGGAAGTATGAACCCAGCCTTTCCAGATGCTACCGAAGTGTCCTCATAACATGTATTGACTGCTCCCTGCCCTAGGGGTTCGAGATGTCACTCTGTCCTTTGCACAGTTACCACTACCTTTCGTTCTAATTCTGCCATTTCTGCTGGGCTTCACTGGCCAGTGATCAGCTTACGAAACTGTGTTGAATCCTGGTGGTCTCGTTTCCCCCACGTCATTGTTTTGCAGGATTTTTTTCTGGCTATTACTGTGTGTTTTTCTGTATGAATTTTTAGGATCAAGTTATCCTATTCGAAAACAAAGCAAAGCAACAAGAAAAATGCCTACTTTAAAAAATATCTTCGCAAGCATTGTAGAAATGTGGAGCCACACATTTGCCCAAGGAGGATTCTCTCACTGAAGCAGTGTTGCCTCCGACACTGTGGCAGTCTCCAGCCAGGCTTCAGCACCCTGCCAGCTCTTGCATGTGAAGAGTGGATAGTAGTGTGTGATCAGCGGCACTAGACCAGAGCGCCTGGGACAGGGCACACCTGCCCCCCATGTCTCTTTCACTACTGGGCGGCTCACAAACATGCTTCCCGGGGCCCCTTGGCCCATAGGTGATAACATTGTTATCTCCTCCAAGCACCACTGTGCAGCAGGCATGTGCCCCACGTATTCTCCCACTTAACCCTCACAGTGACTGAGAAACAGGCTGGATGACAATCCCTGAGGCATCAACAAAGGAGTGGAGGTAGAGCAGGCTGCTTCCTTGCCCCAGGCAGGTTCCAGCTGCGGCTCTAGCTCTGGCGCCAGCCAGCTGAATGACAGCTCACTCTCTCCTCCTGGGCCTCACTTCCCTTACCTGCTCAGTGGGTGGGTAAGAGCTTCCAACCTGGACTTCCTGCGAAGCCATGTGCATGTCAGCTCCATGTGGCTTAATAAACCACTAACATTTCTAGAGACGAGCAGGACAGTCAAATGGCCTCCTAAGGAGTTAGGAAGTCCACCCCCCACCACAGAGGCCAGGCCTTTCTGCTACCCCTGAGGCTGTATGCCTGAGTTTCATTGGAGGCCAGCAGTTGATCAGCCCCTGTGTTTGGCCATGCTGACCTGCTCCAGAACAGGAGGGTGAACAGTCTTCCTGGAGTGAAAAACATTGCAGTCTTGAGGTTGGGAGCTAGAAGTGGCCCCAAACCAGTGCCCACAGGGCAGAGCTGTCCATCAGTGAATGACAGCCCACTCACTGGTGGGGAATACCTGGAGACTGGGGACAGTGGCCTGGGAGCCTGAGGGCAAGCAATTTCTCTTTGGAAGCCTCTCCCTGTGCCTCCCTTTGAGTCTGACCAGCGCTGCCCCTGCCATTGCCTCCAGATACACACCCACATGGACCCTTGCGCTCCAGAGGTCTGTTGTATCCAAGACATCCCTGTGAGGGTGATGGCTCATTTGCCTTTCCAGGACCTCCCGGTAGGAGTTGCATTTCTTCCCTTCTCCCTTCCATGAAGGGGAGCTCAGCGAGGCTTCCTAGAGAAGACCCAGCAGGAGGCCGGCAGAAGAGGCCCTTGCGGCAGACGCTGCTCTGGCCCCAGCTTGGTACCGGGCATTGGAAACATTGCAAAAATGACCACTCAACAGGCTTCCCACAGGAGGTTCGCAGACAGAAAGATCTGCAGTGTGGTTTATACAGGTGCAGCTGGAGCCGGGTGGGGTGGGGGGGCCCACTCACCTGTGGGGGGTTGGGGGGGAGTTTGGCTAAGGCTGGATTGCAGGAGATAACTTGGAGCGTGCCCTTTGCGCAGGAGGGCAGAGCAGAGTGGAGTCCATGCCACAGCCCGAGTCTGAGCTCAGGCTTTGAGCTGGAGCACGCACACTCCTGAGCTGGCTGCATTTGCATGTGGCTGCTGTGGGGGAGAGGGGAGGGCCTGGGACTTGGGTGTTGAGGCGGATTGGGGGCTCAGCTGAAGGAGAGAGAGCCCCTGCGCCCCCCTTCCGGCTGGCTCTCTGAGAGAACACGTTGTCCCCGCCTGGGCCTGCGGCTTGGGCAAGAGCAGCATGTGGGACGCTGTGTTCCCTGATAAGATGAGGCAATTGCTCTCACTCGGGGCGCTGCTCCGCTCGCGGCCTCGCTGTGGCGCCAGGGAACATTTATGTAACGCGCAGCCCTGAGCAGCTGCCCCGCCCAACCATACTCCAATCCCCACCCACCCCACTCTCCCCGCAACTGCATGCGGTCCCCTACCCTGCATCACCCGGCCATGCAGCCTGGTACCCGAAGAGTCCCCCCTCTGCTTGGCACCTGTAGGACCCCCAAACCCCAGCATGGCTTAGCCCCTCTCCCAGCTCCCCACAGTTCCCCCAACCCTCCTACAGCCTCCCTTCAGGGCTCCAGGGCACCTAGTGCCCCTCCAGGCTTGACCCCAGCCCCCTTCCTCTCACCAAGTCTTCTCACAAGGCCTAACCCCGCCTTGTCCCACGGCCCCCACCCCATGCACAGGCACAGGCACACATAGCCAGAACCCCTGGGGCCCTCCCACCTGGGGAGCTGGAGTGACTCTGAGATCCGGCAGGAAGGCTAGGAGCTCCTCTGCAGGAGTCTGGAATCTCCTACTGGTTCTCTTGTCATTTTGGAGCTAGAGGGAGCTCCTGTCCTGGTGAGTCCCTGTCTTGCTGTTGCTGTCTGTGTACCCCATGCCCGGGTGGAGGCAGATGCAGGGTTTGAGCCCAGCAAGGAGGGTGCTTGGATTTGTTTAGGCCATTGGGCTCCCTTTGCCTTAGAATGGGAGGCGGGCTCACTCCCTGAAGGGCCGGGCCTGGCTGGCCCCTCACCTCACTGTGTGCCCCCCTGTGCTCACTGTGTGCCCCCCTGTGCTCACTGTACTCGGCTGCACGCAGCCCCGCCTGGAGTCTGTCCCCATAACAGCAGTTTTTAGAGTGAAGCTTGAGGACACTCGCAGGTGCCTCAGACCCTTCAGAGGGGCCATGAGATCAAAACTGTTTTCATAACAATAGCACTGTTTGCCTCATTCTCCCAAAAGAGTACAGTAGGCTATTGCAGATGCTACAGGATGTGTGACAGCACCACGACGACTGGAATGCGTGCTTGGGTTGAAGACCTTTTTTCCATTTTAATTTGTAATTTCTAATACGATGAAAGCAGTGGCTCCCGCCCACATACAGGAAAGCTCCTGGGGCTCCCTGCGGATCATGTGGGTGAAAGTGGCCTGGGGCATGTTGCTCCCTGTTCCCGCCTCCACCCGTTCTCCCTTCTCTGGGCTGCTCCTTGTCAGCCTCCTGGGTGCTGCCTGAGTGTCACTACCAGGGGACCCAGCCAGACCCAGTGTTGCTCCTTGCTAGCCTGAGCCATAACTCCTGTTGTGGGCCAGTTCATTGGCCGTCACCTCTCTGCAGCAGGCTGAGGGAGGAGCAGAGAATGGAGCCGTGGGGGCCGCGTCTGCCTGGGTCAGGACCATGTCTCTGGGCCAGGCACCCAGTATGTGCCCTGTCAAAGCATAAAGCTCCTGATATATAGGGAGGCCAAGAGCTGTGCTGGTGGAGTGGCTGCACCCAACACCCACCTTCCTCCACTCCAGGCTGCCTGGCACCAACGTCCCATCCATTGGATGCTGCATTTCTCTGCGGCCCCAACACCATGTGGTCCACCTGTAGCTCTGTGTACCTCACATGCTTCCCCAGCCTGCAGGCAGAAGAAGCTAAAGGACAAGGCTCCTCACAAGGGCTATTAGGAAGCAAGGCTGAGTCTGAATTTGGGTTGGCTTCCCCCCACACCAACAGGCCCAAATCAGAGGAGACCCAGTTGACAGGGCTAATGACTAAGAGCAACAATAACAGCTGAGATTTCAGGAGTGGACCTTTGGAACGTGCCAGGCGCTGTGCTGAGGCCGGTCGTGCGCAGCCCCATGGGATCACTGTATGGACCCCCCGCATGAGGACGGGGCAGTGTGCTCACTTCCTGTGGCTGCTGTCACACATTACCGCAAACTGGGTGGCTGAAAAGCAACCGAAACTTACTCTCTCACAGTTCCAGAAATCAAGGTGTTGGCAGGGTTAATTCCTTCCAGAGGCTCTGAGGGAGAATCCACTCCATACCTCCCCTTCCTTCCCCTGCCCCCTTTCTCCCCCTTCTCACTTGCTGCCTTCCCCGTCTCCCTCACTCCCCTCCCCTCTTCTCCATGCTCCACACTTGGGAGCTCATCTCCAGATCCTGACCTGATTACATCTGCAAAGACCCTTTTTCCAGATAAGATCACATGCACAGGTTCTGGAGGGTTATCACTTGGCTATATCTTTTGGGGGACCATTATCTGCCCTACTGCTGGCAGCACGGAGCTTTTTCGAGGCCATAGCGTCACAACTCAGGGCAAACAGGGTCTGAACCTCATCTGTCAGACCTGACATGGTTAATGCTAAACCATTTAATGCTGGACTTTCCCAAGCTTTTAATGACTAGTGTGCGTTGTGAATCTCCAAGAGTGGAATTATCATGCAACATTTTCACTCTTTAGTTGACAAAATTTTTTTTCTGGAAACGATAAACAGTTTTATACAATGATAACATTTCTTTGAACATGTTTTGGGAAATATTGGACTAGATATTTAAGGAACTATATTTAAACACTTCTTCTTCTTGTTATGGAAGAAACAAATACATAGGATTTTTTTAAAAGGCCCAAGCCAGGCGTGTGGCTCATACCTGTAATCCCAGCACTTTGGGAGGCTGAGGAAGACAGATCACTTGAGGTCAGGAGTTCAAGACCAGCCTAGCCAACATGGTGAAACTCTGTCTCTACTAAAAATATAAAAACTAGCCGAGCGTGGGTAGGCGCCTGTAATCCCAGCTAGTCGAGAGGCTGAGGCAGAAGAATCACTTGAACCTGGGAGGTGGAGGCTGCAGTGACAGAGCAAGACTCTATCTCAGATTAGATAGATAGATAGATAGATAGATAGGTAGATAGATAGATACCCATAACACAGAGGAGCTTGCAACAAAAAAAATCCTCTCACCAGTCCAGCCCCACTCCCTAGACAGCAACACTTCTTTTCTGATTTTAGTTGTCTTGATGGTTACTGCCATAAATGAACTGTATTTTACTGCTGTTTCTTGATTTATCAAATTTAGATATTTTCTGTTATCCTCCTGCCATGAAATTTAAGGATTTACCTGACTCCTATCCCTCCCCTCCAACTCTTCCTAAATTGATGGATGTATTATTTTACTTATTTTGTTGACTATCTTTGTAATTTTAAATCTCTGTGTTTCATTTAGATACGTTCTTTGCACACTGTGTGCATTCCAACTTTTCCCTTAAATCCATGTTCTCTGCTGGGCCCACAGGTCAGTTGTATGGCCTTTGTTTATAGGATTGGTTCTGAAACATTGACAACTAGTGCTAAGGTTAGCATGACCACAACTGTGTAAAGTTTGCTTCCATCAGCAGGGCCTGTGCTGGGATTACATTTCCTGCCACCACCTCATGGAGTTGTTGTGAAGAATAAATAATAGAGCATAGGAAAAACCCCTAGAACCGAGCTTGGCTCGGAGCTCTTGACCCATAATCATGAGGCATTTTCGTTTACATCTAATTTGAACCACAATTTTTTTGTATGTCTTTTATTTTTCCTGGAGTTTCTAATTGCCTCTTTTTTCTTTTAAACAAAGAAGAGTGGTGTGTCTTTACTGGGTCCTGAAGTTTACCCAGCCTTTTGATGGTACTCTCTGGTGCACAAAACTCACTTTCCTCCTGGAATTTTCCCCCGTGAGTCTTGGTCCTGTGCTCCAGTGACCTCCCGGGGTCTCTGCCTCACTCTTGTCATGCAATGGCCCTTTACTATTCAGTCATGTCTCTAGCTCCTTGGTTTTATCTCATTTTAGCTGGAGTGTGTGAGACATTAACTTGGAAGGCCCTGTTCCTTTGTCTTCAGGATCCAGTGTGACTTAGGAAAAGTCTGATGTCTATCCCAGCCTTGTTCCTTTGTGGATGACCTGGTGTTTGTTTCTTCCCCCTCTCTCTATTAAGCTGTGAGAGCTCCTGTTTTTACTCAGTGTTCTGACATTGCAGAGCTTCTCGCAGCAGAGGTCTTAACTCATTTACCTGGTCCACCTCTGTGCAGCCTGTCTCATGTTAGTTTCCTGTCTCCTTTTTCTTTTTTTTTTTTTTTTTTTTTTACTCTTTGACAGAGACTGTTCTATTATTTCTTTTGTAATTTCTTCTCCATGTTTTCTGTTTTCTCACTTGATTGTAATTGTCGTGTATTTGGGAAATCGTGGTGGCTACTTGATTTTGAATCCCCCCAACACCCTTTCCCCCAACATGTAAAATCAATAAAGAGAGCAAGTGTACCCACACACGGCCCCTGCTTCAGCAGTACCAGGAGACGGAACATCGTGACATCCACATATTTTCCAGAACTGTTTTTTGGTTCTTTTTTTCTCATATATTTGCTTTGAGTATATTTCCAGCTTTTATATGAAAGTTTTATATGCACACAATGCTGTTTTCAATTCCTAAATGCTGTTGTTTTTGCTTTTTTTTTTTGAGACAGACCCTTGCTCTCTTGCCCAGGCTGGAGTGCAGTGACACAATCTTGACTCACTGCAACCTCCACCTCCCAGGTTCAAGTGATTCTCCTGCT
This sequence comes from Homo sapiens, assembly GCF_000001405.40. Classification (NCBI taxonomy): domain Eukaryota; kingdom Metazoa; phylum Chordata; class Mammalia; order Primates; family Hominidae; genus Homo; species Homo sapiens. The sequence continues at coordinate 3,543,922 of NW_011332701.1, forward strand.
TCAGCCTGCCGAGTAGCTGGGATTGCAGGTGCACACCACCACACCTGGCTAATTTTTGTATTTTTAGTAGAGACGGGGTTTCACCATGTTGGCCAGGCTGGTCTCAAACCCCTGATCTCAAGTGATCCACCCGCCTCAGCCTCCCAAAGTGCTGAGATTATAGGCATGAGCCACCGCGCCTGGCCGTTTTTGCTCTCTGAACTTCTTTGTATGGTATCCTCTTTGCTTTTGCATCAAATTTCATCTCAAATTCCTCAGAGAATACTAATCAGAAATTTCAAGTTAAAATTTTCTTCTCTTTCCTGGCTTCACTCTTTTCCTCTAGAGTTGGTGGTTGCATTGCGCTTGGCCTTTCTTTTCCATGCTGCTGGTTCTCCCTGGCTGTCTGGCCATCCCTGGGTATCTGCTTGTGTTTAAGGTGGGTGGGTGAGTGGGTTTCCTCTGTTGAACATGGGTAGACCAGCTTCAGTGACTGGCAGTCACTTTAGGGTCTGTATGGGGGTGAGAGGGGATGAGACCGTGTAGGAAGGGCAGCCCTGCGGCCACCCCTAATACAAGAAGGGCTCGTTTCTGGGGTGCCAGAGCCCCCCACCCTGGTTCTTCCTGAGCAGTTGATGTCATTTTTGTGATTCAGAGTTTTGTGTGTTGAGTTTGCCTGGGTAAATGCTGGCCTGTCTCCCGCTCCGAGTGAGGGATGGGAAGGAGGGAGCAGCATCCTGACCGTAGCCAACCTTCATTACCTCCCACCCCACTGTGTTCTGCCTCCTCCCTACCGGCACAGGCCCCTATAATGGGGTGCTCTGGGTTGCTGCCCTTGTCTGTCACCACACTTGGGTCTGCAAGAGGCTGTTTCATTCTCCTGCTCTGCCAGCCGTCCCTGGTTGGTCACTTTGGGACTTTTGTGAGAGAAGGAGCAGCAGACTGGTTGTAGAATTCCAGGCCCCGGAACTCACCTACGCTGACCCTCTCATGTGACAGACTAGACTGAGGAGGGTCAGAATGGGAATTGCCTTCCTGCCCTGCAGGGGTGCAGAGTGTGGCTCCCATGGAGCAGCATGGGCGGCTGGACTCCGGGAGGCCTGTGAAGCCAGGGCATGGGCCTGCAACCCCCAGGCGTTGGAGACCACTGGCCCGGCATGGGTGTGTAGTGCAGCCTGCTTTGTGGTGTACTTAGGGGGTCCACTGCCAGGAGCCTGGGGCCCTGACCTGTACCTACCCATGGGCCCTGCAGCTTCAGCACCTGAAATGCTGTTTTATCCTAGGCCGTGTCCTCTGCCTCCATCCCAGGCGTGGGCGGGAGGGCAGGGGCCCACCTTCATCTCTGCCTTGATGGATTTGTCACAGAAGCTCTTGGAGGTGGGGCATGTGGGAGGGGTGTTGAGAGACCAGGGTGTTGGGTGTTGCGGGCCCTTCCCCAGAGAGGGTGTGAAGGCGGGGCCAGGTGCGGATACTGATGCTCTGCCCCTGTGCCCACAGGTGAGAGGCCCTTCGCCTGCAGCTGGCAGGACTGCAACAAGAAGTTCGCGCGCTCCGACGAGCTGGCGCGGCACTACCGCACACACACGGGCGAGAAGAAGTTCAGCTGCCCCATCTGCGAGAAGCGCTTCATGCGCAGCGACCACCTGACCAAGCACGCGCGCCGCCACGCCAACTTCCACCCGGGAATGCTGCAGCGGCGCGGCGGGGGCTCGCGGACCGGCTCCCTCAGCGACTACAGCCGCTCCGACGCCAGCAGCCCCACCATCAGCCCGGCCAGCTCGCCCTGAGCCCGCCACAGCCATGAGCAGCCGCTCCCACCCCCTCGTGAGTCCCTGGCCTTTCCTTTTGTAATAAGAAAGAAGAGAGAGAACTTGATGCAAAGTCCACGAAAAAACAATTTTTTTCACCTCAGGTGTCAAAGTAAATTTGTTAAAAAAACAAAAAAAACACAAAAATTTCAAAAAACACCACCCACCAAATTGCACAATAGATACACCCACAAAGTTGAGATTCAGCGTTGTTGAACCCCCTTTCTCAGGGATGGACACGTTTCACGAGGTCAGTGAGGACACCCCTTCCTGCCGCCTTACTCTGTACATAGATTTGCACTCTGGAGTTTTCTGTTAGGTTCGGGAACACGCTGGGGACAGAGCAGGCCAGCCAGTCTGGTGGAGCTCAGCGTCTGGCTGGCTGGCCAGCCTGTGGGTCTGTTGGGAGCAGATGTGCTCACTGACGTTTGTGCCTCCAGGGCAGATTCCTAAGCAGCTGGCCTGACCTCTTCCTGCCCAGCCCCCAACCCAGTCTCTGGCCTCTGCCCAACGAGCCTGGCTGGGCTTGCAACGCAGCTGATTCTGAGACAGGCCCCTGCAGAGGGATGCCTTAAAGCTGTCCCTGGCTGGAGGAGCACTCCACCTTGGGGATAGTGGAGGGGGCCTTCAGCCCTCTGCACCCTGCCTGCCTCACACCCCGCCTTCAGGAGCCCTCTCCTACGGCGCTAGGGAGCACTGGAAGCAGAGATGCCAGCCCTGGCTGAGCGTAGCACTGCACCGTCCGACCTCCGAGGCAGGGGCCGGGGTCACACCTGCCAGGACTCCGCTTCTCCGTGTCCCAGCAGAAGGCATGCAGGACCCTGTCACTACTATACCTGGGCCTCTGATGGGGAATTCTGGTCTTCTAAAAAGATGTTAGAAATTCCTGGTGGCACATCCAGTTCCGAGTTTGCCCGCATGGGCACTTTTGTTGGAAACAGTGGGCAGGTCATGGGGCCTCCTCATCAGAGGGTCTGTGTGAGCGGCTGTGCATGTGGCAGCGCACCATGCTTCACAGAGACCATTCTGTAGCAAGAGACCGGAACATTGTGACTTGGACCTTTTCAGGAGTGGCGCGGATGTTACAGGAAATGCTGTCGGAGAGCGCGCATTCTATTTCCTCCGCAGGGAATGCCAGATAGAAAGTTGCGGGCAACACTTTTCTCAGACCCACCATGTCCCCAACTCAGACTTAGCAAACCTCCAGCCTCTCCGTTTCCCCTGGACTCCTCCTCCCTTTTCCTCCTGCTTCTCCTTGTCCTGCCTGGAGGCTCCAGGCCACACCCAGCTGGTGGGGCTGCTCCAGTGCCCCATCACCGGCCTTCTCCTGGCAGGAGAGGAGGAGCAGAGAGCTGGGTCCTGGGCTGGGATTCGAGCCCTGGGCGGGGGTCAGTCAAGCCGTGGTCCAGCAAACTCCTCTGCAGATGGCTGGAGTGTTGACCCAGGCTTGTGGCCCAGGTATCACCTTCCCTTCCTCCTGAGAGTTGAGGCCTGTAAATACAAGGGCCCAGGACAGAGTGTGTGCGTGCGTGTGGGTGTGTGCGCGCGTGAGCACACACGCGTGTGTTGGGGGGGGTGGGGGGATTGGGGTGGACTCAGGGTATCTTGCCAGAGATACCTGTTTTGATGAGTACCTATTTTGATGCAAAGGAACGGCCCTGGGACCTCAGAGGGCCACAGATGGGCTTCCTGGGCCTAGCGTGCCTTGGTTGTGGCCATCCTGCTTCTACTCAGCCCTGCCATGCTATGGGGTGCAGCACAAACCCAGGACCCAGGCCTAGCCACTGCCCACAGCTGATGGTCACTGTTTTGGCTGGCTCCAGAGTGGACAGGTACGCTCTGTCCACAGCAGCTGCTCAGGCACAGTATGCCGTCAGGTGCCCGCTTCTTACCACTGTGTGTCAGCTGGGATTGGCCGACAGCGTGGTGGTGACTTCTAGGTAGACCGATGGACCCTAAATTGGGCAGTGGCATTGTTTCTGCTGTGGTGGGAACTGGCAGGGAGAGGGTCACCTCCACTCTGGTTGGATGCGGAGCTGGTCCCTCTGGCTGCCATGCTGTGTTGGGGCTCTCTGACCTCCCTGCTTGCATTGGGTCTGGGAGAGAGAGTGGAATATTTGGTAGGGACCTTGACAGAAGAGAGCCCTGGGTGCTTGTGGTGCAAAGATCTTCATGCCCAGTTCCAAAGTGAGGTCCCTCCCAAAGTTGTTTTCGTGTGAGGCAGAGAAAGCCACACTCTGAATACATTTTATGTCTCAGGAATTCACATTCCAGGTTCAGGAATTTTATTCCAAAGTCCTTTGGTGCACTCACCGTCCACCGTTCCCCAAGGCAGGGAGAGGGAGTGGCCCGTCCCTGGGAGGCTGGCAAAGTGCTCTCCAGGGAGGGGTCAGACGTCCTTGTGATCTGCCCAGGGTGTCACGGAAGGAGATTTTCTAGCTCCACATCTGTCTGCACATAGGAAGGAAAAGATAGGACTCTAAACCTAGTCATCTTGGAATAAAAAGAAGAGCTGGTTTGTTTTAGAGCAGGGCGGGGGGTGGGGGAGGGAAGCGGGTGTTGGCTGTTTCCAAAGAGAGCACTTAATTTAATTTTTCCTTTAAATGACCCAGGGCTGTTCCGTCTGATAGATGGAAGGGTAACATTGCCTTAAAACAGAAATATGCAGGCGTTGGCTATTTTTGGCATAAGAGCGTGTCTTCATTCCCAAAGTGGTTCTCGTTTAATGGCAGGGTGCGGTCCTTAGGCCCCGGCCTGGACTGGGAAATGGGGGTAGGGCACCAGGAGAGAAATCCTCCTGGGTACTCCTGGCCAGACCCTCCTGAATCATCTGCGGCTTAAACTCATCTCGCTTGAAGGGCAGGGAGAAACCCATGAATCTCAGGCACGGTTCACAGGGGTCCTCAAGGGCAGGTTTCCATTTCATCATGAAGTGAGGGACTCCTGTGGAAGAGGGTGGTGGGCCTTGGAACGCTGCCTCCACTGAGGCGGGCACACAAGGCGGACCCTCCTGAAACAGCCTCCATTTTCTTCAAACATGCAGAATGTTTTCCCAGACTGCGTCTATTTCAGGGTCTTCCATTTTTGTGGTTTATGGCCATGCTTGCCAGTTTTGGTGGGGTTGAGGAACCCATAGGACTCATAGAAATAATAGTGAAAACTCAAACCCTTATTTTGGGACTTCAGTTCTCGTGGTCCATAGGGGCAGAGATGTCAAAGTGAAGGTTGCCTGAGTGAAGGGAGAGTTCCCCTATAAAAGGCCTAAAATTGATTTGGGGCTCAGCCATCAAGGGGCTGGTGTTGCTCCTGTCCCAGACAAGGAAGCCCCTCTTTACATCAGCCATATTAGGGGAACGGTTGTCAGCTCCCCAAATGCCTACTGGATCCTACAGCCATACAGGAAAACAGACGGACACAGCCCTTTCCTTAAAGAGCCCTGGGGTCCTGTCCTGCAGGATGCTGCATAGGAATGGGCAGAGATGTCCTGGATGGGAACATGGTCCTGGAGGTGCCCTACCTGCATCCTGCTGCACCCCCACCCACGACACTCGAGTGCAAGATCGCCTCACTCCTAACCCTGACTTTATTCCCAGGCCCCACACCGAGGCAGGTGCAGGATTCGCCATGGTGCAGCCTCCGGGTACAAACATCTGAGGCACTGGCGATCCCAGTCCTTGCAGCACCCTGAACACAGCTCAGACCAGTGAGGGGTGATTCAGAGGTGGGGATGGGCAGAGAGGGCTGGCCACTCTGCCTCAGGACTTGACCTCAAGTGTTCTGTCTCCCCACCCGGTGTGTCCAGAAGACCAGCCTCTTTCTTGCCAGAAGCAGGTGCTAAGATGGACTGCACAGGGTCCCGGCACTCCCTCGGGACCCATTCAGGATCTCAGCTGGGCAGGGGTGCCACCCAACAGGAAGATGTGATCTGAGCAATAGTGTGGCCTTGTTTCTCCGCTTCTGGTTGTGGCTGTGTGTACAGGGCTACCTGACTATTTTGACTTCTGACAGGTGTCACTGATTTTCTTTCCCCCATTTAAAAAAGGTCATTTAGTCAAAGACACAGTGCTAGAGGTTTAAAGGGTGTAATGTGTTGGTCACATCACAACCAGTAAGAAACGCTTGGTAGGTTATCCACATCTTTTGCTGACTGTTTCCATATACAATTCTGGTCACCATATTTTCCAAAACTAAAATCTGAGGCGTGGGCTGATGGTTTTTGAAATCAGGATTACCCCAGGAAGAACCAGGTCCTATTACTAATTTTCCTGATTCTGAGGCTCTGAAGGCTTGTCTGAGACACATTCCGGAGACCTTTGTACCAGAACTTGGATGCATAGTCCACCTTACTACTGATACACGCCTGAGCACCCTTTAGGGCGAGGCGCCGCCTCCTGCCTGCTGTCCTGTCCCTCAGCATCAGAAGAGTTGAATTCAGCAGGAGACGGGAGCCCGGTGTCCATGAGGGAAGAGGGGTCGCGCTTGGTTTCTACTGACCCCCATGAAGATTTCAGACTTGCAGTGCGGCCACCTGGCCCTGCCCTGCCTCTCTCTTTCTCATACAGCTTTAAAACTTTACTACTTTTATTTAAAAATGAACTGGATGGGAGAGAAGTAGCGTCCCCTACCCTACAAGTCACACATTCCGGGGAGGGGGGTGGGGGGTGGAGGCAGGAAGTCATGGGGGTGGGGGTGGGAGCACGGGAACAGCTTTCTTAAGGCCTCAGGGTCCTGTTTTCCCTGGCCTCTTCTAGAGGGCCCGTGGACAGGTCGCAGTGCGTGCTTATTTGGAAACCAGGTGTGTGAGCCGAATGCCTGCCAGGCCATGCACTCAGCAGAGGAGCCCTTGTACCTGGCTGCCCTGAGAGGAGCAAGAGGCCACCTCCCATGTGGCTCTAGACACCACGTGGGCTCATTAGCCCCAGCGTCTGTGCCGGCTCCAGGTGCCTGCCTCTGGGTGTGTGAGTGGGAGACTTTGCTCCCTGGCCTCATCCTAGAGAGGCCCCTGGTGCCTAGTGCTGAGGCCTCTGGGGCTGGAAAGCCTCAGCAGAAAGGAGGCACTACTGAGCAACTATGCATTGTCATTGTCGGGTTTGGGGCTTTCGGTGGTTCCTTGGTGACTGGGAATTGCTTGTGTGCATGTGTTGGGTGCATGCTTCCGGGTCTCAGCTGCCCCAGGCCCGCACAGGCAACCCCTTCCCATCCAAAGCCATTGGTGGAGCTTCTCTGGAATCATTTGCCAAAAGCCCAAGGCAGAATCCAAGGGTCCAAGACCATTTCCATGGAGCTCATGTTTTTCTTTTCTGTAGGAACTTTTTTTTAACCAGCACCCACCATAATTCCGAAGGCCACGTTTCATCTTTCCTGGATCACTACAGTGAAGTATTACAGTTGTACAGTTCCCAGTCTGGCCTTGGCTTGCTCGGATAAAACTTTGTATGTATTTTGTATGGCATAGATTCTATATTGTAATGATGTCCTATGCAAAAAGAAAAATTAACGAAATTGTAAATTTTATTGTTTTAACGTGTATGCATGTTTAGTGACGTTTACATTTTGAAATAAAATTTATGATTCATTATTTTATTTGCTGGAGCTAGTTTCTTTGAAGAGCATGTCTTGCAGAGGCTCCGGGAGGGGAGGGGAACTGAAATGCACAAACTCAAGCAGTTGCAATTGACTGAGGGACTGAAGCTTGCCTGGAACTTGGCGGGTCCTATTTTGGAAGGAAGGCTTTGCAGAAGAGCTCTTGCACACAGTGGGTGCTCTTCTGGCTTCCCCTCCTGCCCATGGGAAGCTATTTCAGCTCTTCACATTCCCACCCCTCCGTCCATCCGAAAGAGCACGGAGGAGAACGGGATGTGGTGATGGCAGATTCCCTCAAAGGGCACAGCACCTTTCCCTCAAAGTCCCCCCAAAACACCTGGACTTCCTTTTCCTGGGCAGCAGCCACCGCTTCTTTCAACCCCAGATGCGCTGCTTGCCTCACCCCTCAGCCTAGAGTCTAGAAAACTCCCCTGTTTCTAGCTACCAAAGTTCCTACAACCTACCACGGGCACTGACCCCAAAGTGTGCTCCAGCGAGGACGAGTCCCAGGACACTGGGAGTCTGGGGAGTAGGAAGGCAGGTGTTGATAGCAGAGCCCGTTTAAGTCCCCAATGAACACTAACTGCCCCTGGCTGTCCCCAGGGCAGATGATGTCCTCATCAGAGGCAGTGGGAAGCTGGCAGCTAGTGGAGGAGGTGGCTGCTGGGGTGGAGGTCTGGCCCGAACCCTGTTCTAGCCACAGCATGTAGAAGGGAGGTGCTGGTGCAGCCACATCTCAGCCTCACCCAGGGGTAGACCAGCGCTGCATCTGGGCTGTACACTGTTCATACATGACTACCTGTTCTTTTTCTTTTTTTTGAGACACAGTCTCGCTGTGTAGCCCCACTCGTTGCTGTCGCCGAGGCTGGAGTGCAATGGTGGCAATCTCAGCTCACTGCAACCTCTGCCTCTCAGGTTCGAACGATTCTTCTGCCTCAGCTTCCTGAGTAGCTGGGATTACAGATGTCTGCCACCACGCCCAGGTAATTTTTGTATTTTTAGTAGAGACGAGGTTTCACCATATTGGCCAGGCTGGTCTCAAACCCTTGACCTCAGGTGATCCACTGGCTCAGCCTCCCAAAGTGCTGGGGATTACAGGATTGAGCCACCATACCAGGCCTGTGATTACCTGTTCATAGGGTAAATGAAAACCACCACAAAATGTGAAGTGTTACTAACAAATACAGGCATCGCAGTTGATTAGACATGGTTTTTCCTGAAGCTACCCTGACACCAGCTGGCATTGCCTGATGAACGTTTGTTTTCTGTATCATAGACTGGGGGGAGGGAGGCGTGAAATGAATGCACCCAGGCACATACTGAACAGTCATAAAAACAAGCACACATTTTTCAAACAAAGTCATTTTGGTACTGAGACGTTTGGAGCCCATTCTTGGTTGGAGTATTTTCCCAGGACAGCCACTGCTCCGCCTTCTCAGAGCCATTTATTGCTCAGTAACTTCCCCAGATAGCAGCAACTGCAGGGTGGATCCGCTTCCATAAATAGTTGTCAGAGGATCCCAGATGCTTAAAAAATATTGACAGGAAAAAAAAAAAGCCTGTCAGTTATGTCACTGCTGAGATTTGAAACCCCTCCTGGTATTTCTTTCCAGAAGACTGGGGGACCCACCATTCATGGAGCCCCCATCCCAGGAATGAGGGGTCTCCTAAGGCCTTCAGAGGCCCCCGGTAATGGAGAAAAAAAGCAAGCAATAGATTTTCCCGGCTTTTGAAGAACAAATGTATGAGTGTCTCTGGCATGCGTGTAGCACATTTTCTTCTCACGCTTTCTTTTTGGACCAGGTCACAAAGCAGTTTCGGGTGGCGGAGAGGGTCTGTGGCTGACAGGTCCTCTGTGCTGAGCAGAGATGACAGTGTCCTGGAGGCAGGCCTGAGAGGCCAGCCTCAGGACACTCCTGGACCTGACCCTTTTTCCATATTTCTCAGGACTTGGATTAGAAGTCAGGTTTGTGGCAGTTAGGCGAAGTGCTGTGTCTGGCTGCATAGTGACCCAGGTGAGGGGAAACATCTGGTGGAGGGCGGAGGTGCACTCCCTAAGAGGGCCAAGCCTGGCAAAGGCTCACAGTGACATCTGCCCCTCTAAAGAAGGACTTCTGGCCGCGCGCAGTGGTTCACGCCTGTAATCCCAGCACTCTGGGGGGCCAAGGAAGGCAGATCACCTAAGGTCAGGATTTCGAGTTCAAGACTAGCCTGACCAACATGGAGAAACCCTGTCTCTACTAAAAATTCAAAAATGTGGCTTGTGCCTGTAGTCCCAGCTACTTGGGAGGCTGAGGCAGGAGAATCGTTTGAACCCGGGAGGCAGAGGTTGCAGTGAGCCGAGATCACGCAACTGCACTTCATCATGGACAACAAGAGCGAAACTCTGTCTCAAAAACAAATAAATTAATAAAGAAGGACTTCCCATTCCTTGGTGCTGGCCTGTAGGCAGTGAGCACCCTGTCGCTGGAGGCATTCAAGCAGGGGCTGAAACACTGCTTGCCAGGAATTCCATGAAGGGACTGGTGTTCTGGAAGGGGGCCCAGTTAGCGTTCAGAGGAAGGGCCACAGTGTTTTCCAAGTGGACTCACTGGGGTGTAATCATCAAGACCCTCTGACACTTTCTCCTAGCCTTGTTGGTCATGTTGGGGTGTGGACTGGCCTTTTCTGGGTTGGGTTTGGCTGCAGAAGGTCTTGAATAACAGACTAGGCGATGTGTAGCTTATTCTGGGGACATGGGTGGCTCAATTACCCCCAATCAAACCTCATCTAGGCCATGCTAAAATTCCTGCCATTGGCACCACTCCTAAAAAGTCTCCTACGTGGAAAGCAGTAAAGACATGCAGCTACTCCTGGCAGGGCTGCTATCTCTGCACCAACTTTCCTCCACCGTTACGCATCAGAGACCAGCATTCCAATGGTACATAGGACAGGCAGGTTTGTACAGAAGACAGTGTTGGAAACACAAGGCCTGTATTAATTGCCAGTTGCTGGCTGGGCACAGTGGCTTATGCCTGTAATCCCAGCATTCTGGAAGGCCAAGGCAGGCAGATCACGAGGTCAGGAGTTTGAGACCAGCCTGGCTAACATCATGAAACCCCATCCCCACTAAAAATACAAAAATTAGCCGGGCATGGTGGCGGGTGCCTGTAATCCCAGCTACTCGGGAGGCTGAGGCAGGAGAACGGCTTGAACCCGGGAGCTGGAAGTTGCAGTGAGCGAAGATCGCGCCATTGCACTCCTGCCTGGGCGACAGTGCAAGACTCTGTCTCAAAAAAAAAAAAAAAATAGAATGCCTATTCCTGCTGTAACAAATTACCATAAGCAGTGGCTTAAAGCAACACAAATTTATTCTTTTATTCTCTTGCAGCTCTGGAGGTCAGAAGTGCAAAACAAGTCTTACAGGGCTAAAATCCAGGTGTCATCAGGGCTGCTTCCTTCTGGAGTCTTGTTTTCCTTCCCAGCTTGTAGAGGCCACCTACGTTCCTTGGCTTGTGGCCTCCTCCACTGTCTTCAAATCCATCAGAGTAGCGTCTCCTCTCTGACCTCCTAATCTCCCTCTTATAAGGACCTCTGTGATTACCCTGTGCGGCTGAGATGTGGCTGCACATCAGGCTGCCCCCAACCCTGAACTAGTCCAGGATGAGCCCCCCATCCACCCCAGCCTTCATGTCCTTCCTGCACTCCCCTGAGCTGCAGGGAGCAAAGTGGCAGCTTAGGCTGCAGGGCTTGATGAACTCCTGCCTAGTGGAAGGAGCCTGCATCCCACTCTCCATGACCCAAGCAAATTCACAAAACATAGTTGAATTAAACTGGACTGAGCATCTCTTCCACCTGTGTTTTGTCATCCTTCATAGTATTCCCTATCAACTATTCAGCTTTAAAAAGTAGGAGTAATAGTAAAAATAATTGTCACTTCACTACAGTTCTTAAAAGCCGATCAGTTCTTGAAGACCTGCACCCCAGTTCACCTGCTGCTGCCTGCACAGCCGTTGCTCAGGGCGGAGAAAGGTCTGGTGTCTCCGTGCCAGACGCAGCTGGGCCTTCAGCTCTGAGCAGCCTGCCACGCAGCTGTGGAAAGAAGTCTTTTCCTGAGCCTTGCCTTCACCTGGGAAGCAAGCTTGGCATGGTCTGTGTGGGGTCATGGTGAAGTTCCCAGTGGTGTGCGAGATGTCAGATGCTGGGAACTGTACCCATGCCAGATACTCAGGCCCCCAGGCCAGGCCTCCACTCTCACATGCCACTGGGAAATGATCCCTGTGGACAGAGACTGGGACTGACCTGGGACACAGAGGAAGGCTGTCCCACATTGCACTCCCTGTCCCAGAGGCCTGCCGGGCAGCAGCCACTTGCCCAGATCCTGGGCCAGAGGGTTGCTTGCTGAGCTGTACCCTCTGAGCACTCTCAGAGGGAGGGAGGTGTGAGTAGTCCCAACTTAGGGCTGCAGAGGGTACGAGGCTCAGAGGGTTGAAGTGGCCTTCTCAAGGTCACACAGCTGGCAAAAGTCACGGAGGGACCCTGGTCTGATTGGACCACTGGCCACAGCTGCCTTTTAAGCTCTGAGTTCTAAAGGCTTCTAACCTGTCTAGGGGTACCTTTGTCTATTCTCTGGCATTGTGGGACAGGCCCAGAAGAGTGACAGGCCCCATGACACAGGGCTGGTGACTTAGCATTTTTCTGGCTGCTGCATTTCTGGGGCCTGAACACTGGCCAGTGTGGGCCTGCACCTGGCAGCTCAGTGTGTCCAATGCAATGTCCTCTAAAAAGATGAGCAAGCTGCCCTCAGGGGGGCCCAGTCCCAGGCACTGTGAGGTTCAGACCTCCCTTCAGGGCCCACCAAGCAACCAGGCAAAGCCCTTTCCCCTGCATAGCTGTGACTCCCTGTGCCCAGGCTGCCAATGTGTCTAGGTACCGCGTCCACTCACTCAGACCTCTTGGAACTCAGAGACAGACAGTACAAAGTCGTGACGGGCGTTGCCCTCATTTACAAGCACATGATAGGCCCAAGGAGCTCAGTCTGGGTGTCCTGACCCCAGCTCCAGGGCTCATTCTTGACCCCTGCCCCATCATAATGTCTTCCATTCCCAACCTCACAATTAGGTAATCATTTACTTATGAATGGGCCAGGGGACCAGGGAGAATCAACAGTAAATATCAAGATGGCCTGCATAATCAGCAGACTTCCTCTGCACCTCCTAAGAGGGGTCCTCATCTCAACACCAGCAACACAAGGTGTTTTGGGAAAGTGGTTATTGCATGCTTACCCTGATGAACACAGCTGCTCCCTGTCTCTTGTCTGTCTCCTGCTCTTTTAACCATAAACACACTCCAGTGGGTTTTCTGAGATCGACTGTTGGCCTGTGGGGGCGGAACATGCTCAGAGCAGGGAGGATGGCCTCCTTCCCGGGCTCTGCAGTGCTCTCCCACCGTGGCCCAGTGGACTTTGTACATGAACCTTCCACTTTGGGAAGACCAGCTACTAGTTTGTGGAACCTGGATTACAATGGAAACACAAACTCTAAATCCAAGAGAACAGGTGCCTCTGCAGTGAGGGTCACAGGGCCAGGAGAGGCACACATAGGAGTGTCAGCGATGATGACAGCCTAGTGCTGAGGACAGGGTCGCACTCACACTTTCATTACATATGTTCTTGTGAATGCAGCGAATGTCACATAAGAACAACATTAAAAGAAAGTTATCTGTTAAAAATATCAAGATGGGCCGGGCGCGGTGGCTCACGCCTATAATCTCAGCACTTTGGGAGGCCAAGGCGGGCAGATCACGAGGTCAGGAGATTGAGACCATCCTGGCTAACACGGTGAAACCCCGTTTCTACTAAAAATGCAAAAAAAATTAGCTGGGCGTGGTGGTGGGCGCCTGTAGTCCCAGCTACTCAGGAGGCTGAGGCAGGAGAATGGTGTGAACCTGGGAGGCAGAGCTTGCAGTGAGCCAAGATCACGCCACTGCACTCCAGCCTGGGCAACAGAGCGAGACTCCGTCTCAAAAAATAAATAAATAAATAAATAAAATAAAAATATCAAGATGTTTCGAATAGCTTAAATGTCCAGGAATAGGAGATTAATTCAATGAACCACATAACCTCCATTATGACTAATACCCAATCTATTATTAAGTGAAAGAGGTGAGGTAGGTTGCAAAACAGTACAGAAGTATGATCATGATTTATTAAAACACTTTTCTCTATAGCTATATTGTGTTTACATGTTTAAATGCATAGAAAAAGGGTAGGTAGGCCAGGTGAGGTGGCTCATGCCTGTAATCCCAGCACTTTGGAAGGCTGAGGCGGGCAGATCACCTGAGCTCAGGAGTTCAAGACCAGCCTGACCAACATGGTGAAACCTCGTCTCTACTAAAAATACAAAAATTAGCCGGGTGTGGTGCCTGTAATCCCAGCTACTCAGGAGGCTGAGGCAGGAGAATGGCTTAAACCCTGGAGGTGGAGGTTGCAGTGAGCCGAGATCACACCACTGCACTCCAACCTGGGTGAGAGTGAGGCTCCTTCTCAAAAACATAAGGACAGGTAAGAGACAGAACCAACTCAAGCAATTGTTACCTTTAGGTAGAGGACAACAGATGACTTTTATTTACTTATTTTTGTATGCTCTCTAAATTCTCAAAACTACTCAGGTATCACTTTTGTCATTAAAACTCACAATAGCACTTTTGTGAGGCTAAGAGCTTGCCAAAGGTAAGCTGGCACAGTGTGTCCCCACTTCATCCCCCAAAAGATGTCCACCAACATTCATGAGCGTACTTTTGGACATACCCCAAATGCCCTCAACATGTCCACACAAGGACAGACACGCCCAAAGGCTGTCCACACGTTGGTGCAAAGGGATGACATAGAGCTGAGTGTGTCATCCCAAAGTCACCCAAAAACCATGCTGCACCACAAAAGCAAGCTGCTAAAGGAGCACCAAACACACCAAGCAATGCCATGTGCTACTCATGCATCCATACCTGCTATGGACTGAATGTTTGTGTCCCTGCCAAACTCACGTGTTGAACTCTAACCCTCAATAGGATGGCATTAAGGAGGTAAGGCCTTGGGGAGGTGATTAGACCATGAGGGTGGATCTCATGATTTCATAATCCTCATGAATGGGATTGATCCCTTCACAAGAAGAGATGTGAGAGGGATGATCTCTCTCTCATCCACATGAGGATATAAGAAGGTGGTGGCCATCTGCAAACAAGGAGGAGAGCCCCCACCAGACGCTGGATCTGTCCGCACCTTGATATTGGACTTCCCTGCCTCTAGAACTGTGAAAAGTAAATGTTTGTTGTTTAAGTCATCCAGTCTATAGTAATTAGTTTTAGCAGCCTGAACTGATGAGTATCTATAGACCAAGAGCATGAAACCTACATGATGAAGGTTAATCCCAAAGTCAGGACAAGGTGACTGAGAGGGGCCCAAGGGGGTTGCAACATTAGATTTATTTAGGATTTACAGGTATACCTTGTTCTAGTGCACATGATTTTATTGCACTTTGCAAATATTGTGTTTTTTAGAAATTGAAGATTTGTGGCAAATCCACCTTGAACAAGTCTATTGGTGCCATTTTTCCAACAGCACATGCTCACTTTGTGTCTTGGTCACATTTTGGTATTTCTCAAAATATTTCAAACATTTTTACTATTATTACATCTATTATGGTGATCTGTGATCAGTGATCTTTGATGTTACTCTTGTAATTGGAGTGCCATGAACCACTTCCATATAAGATGGCAAATTTAATTGATAAATGTGTGTGTTCTCACTGCTCCACCAACCTGCCTTTCCCTGTCTTTCTCCCTCTCCTCAGGCCTCCCTATTCCCTAAGACACAATATCGAAATTAGGCCAATTAATAACCCTACAATTGCCTCTAAGTGTTCAAGTGAAGGGAAGAGTCACAGGTCTCTCACTTTAAATCAAAAGCTAGAAATAGTTAAGCTAGTGAGGAAGCCATGTGAGGAAGTCTCAAAAGGTGAGGTAGGCTGTGCCAAGTAGTTAGCCACATTGTGAATGCAAAGGAAATGTTCTCGAAGGAACTTAAAAGTGTTAACTCCAGTGAATGCATGAATGATACGAAAGTGAAATGGGCTTATTGCTGATATGGAGAAAGTTTCAGTGGCTTGGATAGAAGATCAAACCAGCCACAACATTCCCTTTAGTCAAAGCCTAATTCAGAGCAAGGTCCCTAACTTTCTTTCAATTCTACAAAGGCTAAGAGAAGCTACAAAGCTAGAAAAGAAAAGTTGGAAGCTAGCAGAGGTTTATTCATGAGGTTTAAAGAAAGAAAGTATTAGGCTGGGCGCAGTGGCTCATGCCTGTAATCCTAGCATTTTGGGAGACCAAGGCAGGAGGATCACCTGAGGTCAGGAGTTTGAGACCAGCCTAGCTAACACGGTGAAACCCTGTTTCTACTAAAAGTACAAAAAATTAGCTGGGCGTGGTGGCGTGCACCTGTAATCCTAGCTACTTGAAAGGCTGAAGCAGGAGAATCACTTGAATCTGGGAGGCGGAGGTTGCAGTGAGCTGAGATCGTGCCATTGCACTCCACCTTGGGCAACAAGAATGAAACTCCATCTTAAAAAAAAAGAAAAGAAAAAAGAAAGAAGGCATCTCCACAACATAAAAGTGCAAGATGAAGCAGCAAGTGCTGCTATAGAAGCTGCAGCAAGTTATCCAGAAGATCTAGCCAAGATCATTGATGAAGGTGGCTTTACTACACAACAGATTTTCAATGTAAATGAAACTGACTCTATTTGAGGAAGATCCCATCTAGGACTTTCAAAGCTAGAGATAAGTCAATGGCTGGCTTTAAAGGACAGGCTGGCTCTCTTGTTAAAGGCTAACACAGTTGATGACTTTAAGTTAAAGCCAGTGCTAATTTACCATTCGGAAAATCCTGGGACCATTAAAAATACACTAAATCTACTCTGCCTATGCTCTAGAAATGGAAGAACAAAGCCTGGATGACAGCACGTCTATTTACAGCATGGTTTACTGAATATTTTTAAGCCCACTTTGAGATCTACTGCTCAGGAAAAAAGACTCCTTTCCGATGAAACTTGAATGAATGAGGAGTTGCTTCTTATGGATGAGCAAAAACAGTGGTTTCTTGAGATGGAATCTACTCCTTGTGAAGATGCTGTGAACATTGTTGAAATGACAGCAAAGGATTTAGAATATTCCATAAACTTAGTTGATAAAGCAGTGCCAGGGTTTGAGAGGACCGACTCCAATTTTGGAGGAAGTTTTACCGTGGGTAAAATGCTATCAGCATTGCACACTACAGAGAAGTCCATCACTAAAAGACTAGTCAATTGGGTGTGGCAAACTTCATTGTTGTCTTAATTGAAGAAATTGCCACAGCCACCCAAACCTCAGCAACCACCACCCTGATCAGTCTGCAACCATCAACATTGAATCAAGACCTTCCAGCAGGAAAAAGACCAAAACTTGCTGAAGGCTTAGATGATTGTTAGCATTTGTTAGCAAAAAAAGTATTTTTAAATTAAGGTATGTACATTATTTTTATAGACAGAATGCTATTGCACACTTAATAGGCTACAGTATAGTTTAAACATAACTTTTATATGCACTGGGAAACCAAAAAATGTGTGTGACTCACTTTATTGTGATATTTGCTTTATTGCAGTGGTCTGGAACCAAACCCACAATATCTTTGAGGTCTGCCTGTACGAGAACTGGGTGGTGGGAAAAGTGGGGCTTGTTTTTCCTTTCTTTGTATTCACTGTAGGTGTGAAATGTTTGACAATTTGACAGTCTGTGACATGGTTCACAGATGTGGTTCCTGCATGTTATCAGGGCTTGGCCAGGTTCAGGCAGGCCTGCAGGCTGTCCCTACAACGGGCAGATTGAAGTGTGCACAGATGTCCATGACAGGGCTGTGACCAGCCTGTGATCAGGCTGTGACCAGGTTGCTGCCTGGACCAGGCAGAGCTTTGTCCCATAATAGGGGTGCTGCCAGGGAGTCTGGCACCTGGAGCACAGCCACTGGCTTGGACATGAGCCATCAAACAGCATGGAATAAAAATAGAACTGCTTCAGCCGGAGAGGAGACAGGCTGAGCTCCTTGCTGGGAGGCCTTTAAAACAAGAACAGGTTTCATTGATCTGAGACTAGGTAAGGATGCTGCCACGAGTCAGGAAGGAGTCGAAGTCATCTGTCCTGGTACCTGGAAGTGCCTGAACATGATGGGCCTGGGTGGTTATTATTCTTCTCATCAGCTGGCACTGTAACTTTAGGTAAGCATTAGAAACTGTTTGTTTGTTTGATTGTTTGTTTGTTTTCCCTTCATGTCTAGGGTATAGAATGCATGCTCTGTGTACAGTTGGTGACAGTTGTAAAACTGAGAAAGTGCCAGTGAAAATGATTTTAAAAATGAAACAGAAAGGCTGGGTGTGGTGGCTCACGCCTGTAATCCCAGCACTTTGGGAGGCTGAGGAGGGCAGATCACCTGAGGTCAGGAGTTCAAGACCAGCCTGACCAACATGGAGAAACCCTGTCTCTCCATGTAAAAATACAAAATTAGCCGGGTGCGGTGGTGCGTGCCTATAATCCCTCTCAGCTACTCAGGAGGCTGAGGCAGGAGAATCGCTTGAACCCAGGAGGTGGAGGTTGCGGTGAGCCAAGATTTCAGCCTGAGTGACAAGAGCGAAACTCTGTCTCAAAAAAAAAAAAAAAAGAAAAAGAAAACCAGTAAAATATGTTTATTTTATGGAGTATTGAGTCATGATGTTCAAGGACTTTGGAAGTAATTTGATTGTTGGTTTTATTTTTAAAATTCAGGAATTCTAATCATACATACGAACAAGGTTAAAAAATACCAAAAAAAAAAAAAAAAAAAAACTAATGATAAGAATGTCTCTTTACCCATTCCCCCCACACACACCAGTTCTACCACCTTGGGATTAAACTTTTTTTTTTTTTTTAGGGGACTAAACTTTTTATCGCTTCTGTTTTTAATTTGTTTTTGTCGTTATTCCCTTCAGTGTTAATAAAATACTTGTCCTCCTACTTTGTGATTTATGAGTATTTGACAAAATACACTGGCTTCCTAATATGAAAGATGAATACCGTTGACCATTGAACAACATGGGTTTGAACTGCGTGGGTCCACTTCCATGTAAATTTTCTCTTGCCTCTGCCACCCCTGAGACAGCAAGACCAGCTTCTCCTCTTTCTTCTCCTCCTCAGCCTACTCAACATGAAGACAATGAGAATGAACGAACACCTTTATAATGATCCACTTCTACTTAATGAATACTAAATATATTCTTTCTTATAATTATTTTCTTAATAACATTTTCTTTTCTCTAGCTTACCATATTGTAAGAATGCAGAATATATCTCACATACAAAAGATGTGTTAATTATCTGTTCATGTGATCAGCAAGGCTTCTTCTCGTCAACAGGCTATCAGTAGTTAAATTTTTGAGGAGTCAAAAGTTTTATGTGGATTCTTGACTCAATGGGGGAGGGGATCAACGGTCCCAACCCCTATGTTGTTCAAGCATCAACTGTAATTACCTCCAGTCCCCTCTACCCTCTGCACCTTCTCCCTCCTCCCCCTGTGTTTACATTAGAGGAGTGTTTTAACTCTTCTGCAGATTCTCTCTGAAACTTTACATTAGCTCTTACTCCCCTATATTTACTACCATACCTTTGGTCTGCATCTTGACTCCCCTTCATGGAAGGTGGGAGTAGGATGGCCTCTGCTATCCACTCTCTCTAGGTCCCACAACACCATCCTCCTCAGCCTTTACTTTTGCAGCTTAGTCTATAGTAAAAGTGGAGCCCAGTGGATTCGAACTGCAACAGTGGGAGCCTCTACACCCCTAGGCAGTTGGGCATGTCACTGTTACATGTTACTCACTGCACAGCTAACCGCTGGGCCAGGGGCACATTTCTTTCTCTATGGGCCTAAAGTCATCAACACCACCACCACCGTCTCCAACCACACAAGGAAGATATTCTTAGCATCCAGAGCAAATGGGGCGAACTCATTTTGCCTTCCCTCAGGAACTGAAAATCCTATCCTATGTTAGTTTGCTTTACAGTGGAAGTTGAATTTTGTTATATACATTTTCCCTATAGCTTTTATTTGCCTTGCTTCCTTTTTATTAACAGAATAATATTAATAACAGAATAATAATGTGCCTTTGATGTGGCCTCAGTTTTGCCACCCTTTTATTCTCAAGACCTCCCCTGCCCTCTCCTACCCCATGGATCCGCACCCCCACTCCTTGTCCCTGAGTGGGAGCACAGCCCCGGACTCCCTTTACCACCCTCTGGTGGATCACTCAAGAGTCAATCCCAGGTCTTTCTCTTAGCTTTCTTTCTCACTTTGCTGGAATACATCCTCAAGTAACTATCCAAGAAAGGATGCATGGGACGATGGGTTTCTGCTTTTTTGAGTCCTTGGAGGTCTAACAGTATCTTTTTTCTACCCCATGCTTGATTCATAATTTGGCCTAGTATAGAAAACAAGGTTCAAAATTACTTGCCAATCATCTTCTTACAACCATTGCTACTGATGGGGATCTGATGCACTGCAGTTCTCAGCCTTTGCCGTGAACATTTTATTTTTACCATCTTCGAAATCTGTCAACCAATCTTACTCCCTGTTGCTCTGCACTTTTGTTCAGATATTTTTAGAGGCAGGTCATTTTTTCCTTGATCCTGCATTCCACGGAGCACTCCATCTGCAGACCCATGTCTCCTTAGGTCTGTTCCTTAGGTCTGCAACGCTTTCCTCTAATCTTGTATTGTTAATTGCCCTCCCTCTACATTCTTTTCTTTTGGAATTCCTATTAGTTGAAGGTGGATTTACTGAATCAGGCTTCTGTGTCCCTTATCTCTGTGTTCGGCATTATCCCTGTGTTTATTTTCCTTCTTTTCTTCTGGTCTGCTCCCTGAGCTGAAACAGGCTTCCTTACTCAAATCTCATTCATCCCCTAAGACCCAGACCACAGGTCATGTCTGGTGGGAGCCTTTCTGGCCATCCCTGTCCCCAAACAGTGTTCATGGCACTCTTGGCCATGGCATTTTGTCCTGACCCTTACTAGGCTGTTGAGTCAGGAAAGGATGTACATTCTCAACTGCATGGGGCTTCTCTATGGGGTGGAGGGCTGTGGGGACTATGGCGGGGGTGGATAATGTGGGGGAGTGTGGGGGGGCTGTGTGGGGCTGAGGGGGCTGTGAGGGTCTCTGGGGAACTCTGTAGGGCTGAGGGGGTTGTGTGGGCCTCTGGGGGTGCTCTGTGGTCCTGTGGGGGGGCTGGGTATAGGGCTGAGGAGGCTGTGGGGGTGGGTGCTGGGTGTTGGGCTGTGGGGGGCTGAAGGGGGCTGGGTGTGGAACTGTGTAGGCTGTGTGGGGCTGTGGGTGTCGGGGTTGTGGGGCTGTGCGGGGCTGAGTGCGGGGACCTGGGTGTGGGGTCTGTGGGGGCTGGGTTTGTGGGGCTGTAGGGCTGTGGAGGGGGGAGCTCTGTTGGGGGGCTGTGCTCCAAATTTCCAAAACTCCACGTTTTGGAAATTCAGTGGAGTCTGCTCGCCGCATTTTAACAATGGGGGCCCTGCACCGGCCCAAGACAAGGGTCAGCTCGGGGCTGGGCCAGGAGCCCCATCTGGGGCCCCACACCCATTTCTGGGATTGCCCCCCACCCCGCCCCCGCCCCCGCCCCCGACGCTTCCGGGAGGTCTAGGCGGCTGCCGTGGGCCGGTCCGAAACGGCTCTAGGTGCACTGTTGGGGGGCTGTGTGGGGGCTCTGTAGGGGGGCTGTGGGGGGCTGTGTGGGGCTGTGTGGGCTGGGTGTTACTGCGCTCCTCAGGCAGTCAGGAGCCCTCGAGGAGTCCGCGGAGTTGGGTTGGGGGAGGCGGAGCCCGGCGGGAGGCGCTTCCCGGGCTTCCCAGGCTCTAGTAAGTTCCTGGAATTCGTGAACTGCCGGCCCGGGGGAGGATCTGTGAAGGCCCCGGGAAGGCAGAGGATTCCTGCGCGGACTGCCGCGTTCGGAGGGCAGCCGGGACGGCTGGGCCGGAGGCGGGGGAGCCCTCGGCTGGGCGGGCGCCGAGCCCGGCCGGGCCATTCACTGCCTCCGAAGCGAGCGGCCAGACCCGCCAGCTGCCCACTCGCCCCCGACCCCCGGGTCGCGGTCTCCATCCCCCTCGGACCCCGGCCAGCCCCAGGCCCTCGCGGCCGCCGCAGTACGTCGTCTCCACTTCGCAGCGCCCTCTGCCCACTGCGATTCCCCCAGCCCACGGCGAGCTCAGATGACACAAGGATGATGCTGTGGTCCGGGAGAGAACGATAAGGATTGTCACTGTGCTTTGCACTCTGTCATTCTAAGTTTCTTCTCCTCACGTGAGCTCATGTACCGCGGGCAGCGACTATCAGTGAGACTGGGGTAGACGCCACCTCTTTGGCCGCGGGCTGGGGCGCCGAGTCACGGGTCGCGGGGACGGGGCGGCGGTGCTGAGCCTCGAGCCGCCCAGGCCACGCCCCTCCTGATGTGGCCCCGCCCTGCTCTCCCAGCTCTCACCCGCGTCCTTTTCCCCGGGTCCCCTGCGCTCCTCAGGACCCTGACGGCGCATCCTGGGTCCTCTACGCGCGCGACTGTCCCGCCCCTGAAGGGGCCTGCAGGGTGTCCACGGGACTCGGCTCTTCCTCCCTGACCCCTCAGGCCTGTCCTGGGGGTCCGCCCTAGAAATAGCTCGGAGGAAGGAGCCAGTGACTTGGGTGACGTTTTGGAAATTCAGTAGAGTCTGCTCGCGGTATTTTAACAATGGGGGTCCTGCACCGGCCCAAGACAAGGGTCAGCTCGGGGCTGGGCCAGGAGCCCCATCTGGGGCCCCACACCCATTTCTGTGATTGCCCCCCACCCCGCCCCCGCCCCCGCCCGCGACGCTTCCGGGAGGTCTAGGCGGCTGCCGTGAGCCGGTCCGAAACGGCTCTAGGTGCACTGTCCGGCTCCAGCCAGGTCCGCTACGCCTGGAGAGCATGGAGGCAAGTTCTGCCGGCTCCACCTGCAAAGCAGAGCCCCTTTCCACGACTGTGCAGCACCGCTCGCTCCAGCCCCACCATACCCGCCTGGACGGAGACCGACCGCAGCCTGGGAGAGCCTCCAAGCCTGGAGGCGGGCGCGCGAGCCCTTTCCAAGGAGAACCCACAGCGGCTTCCCCTCTTGCTCCAGGGGCCTCTAGATCCCACCCCACCTGGCACCTGCGTCTCTCCCAGAACTCGGCCTGCCCCTACCTTCCTGCCAGCCCCCACCCTGCTGGGGCTACTGGGACCTCCTAGCGGCATGCAGCGTTCAGTAAGCAGCCGCCGGGCCCGGCCTTCGGCCTTTGCATTTCCCGGTCCAGATATGGAGGTGACGGAGGTGTGCTGCGCACTCCCTGCACGCCTCTCCTCCACTGCTCCCCCATGAGAGGCCTTCCCTAAACCCGGCTAAAGAGTACCTACCCCGTCACCCCCGGCCCGTCCCCCCCCCGTCCCCCTCAGACCTAGGATGCACCCACCCGCCAGGGGGTTTCAGAGCCAGGGCAGGGTGCCGGCCATCCAGCCCCATCCCAGCACCCTTGTCCCTCGGTCCTCCCACTACTCGTCTAGTACTCCCTACACGCCACTCCGCAGGGCTCAACCCCCGCTGTGCTCTGCGGTCGCAGCTGCAGCCGCTTCGGTGCTCCAAGACCAGAGAGGAAGCAAAGACAGAGCTTTCCCAGCCAGGCATCGCTGCTTTGGCCTTGAAGGTGAGGTGGGTGATGATGAGAGTTCCCACTGAGATCATGTTCATTATGGCCCAGGCATCGTTCTGAGTGCTGGACCTGTATCCATCCTCCCGTCTCATTACTACCACAGCCCTGTTCACAGAGCAAACAGAGGCCTCTATGGAGAGTCAAGGACATGCTGCCTGGCTGGAGGGCACCGGGTCGGGCTTCTGTCTGCGAGGGTGGTGGGTGGAGAGGTGGGGGGACAGGCAGCCGCATCTGCCAAGCCTGGACTGCCTTTGCCCTTGCATCTCAGGGGGCTCCCACAGGGATCACCTGGACAGACAGGAAGCAACTTGCAGGCAAGGTTGTTCCTGGGGGCGCGGTCCATGAGGCTAACATCTCCACAGAGAAGCGCTGTGCACTGGCCAAAGAGAGATGCTGACAGCGCTGGGGTGCAATGTTAAGTTAAAGGAAAAAAAGGAAGGTGCCAAGCAGTACATGGAAGACAATCCTACCTGAGTAAGAATGTAGGGAGTATTTTGGCCGGGCGCGGTGGCTCACGCCTGAAATCCTAACACTTTGGGAGGCTGAGGCAGGCGGATCACGAGGTCAGGAGATCGAGACCATCCTGGCTAACACGGTGAAACCCCGTCTCTACTAAAAAAAAAATACAAAAACAAAAAATTAGCCTGGCGTGGTGGCGGGCACCTGTAGTCCCAGCTACTCGGGAGGCTGAGGCGACAGAATGGCCTGAACCCGGGAGGCGGAGCTTGCAGTGAGCCGAGATTGGGCCACTGCCCTCCAGCCTGGGTGACAGAGCGAGACTCCGTCTCAAGAAAAAAAAAAAAAAGAAAAGAAAGAAAGTAGGGAGTATTTTAAAGAGTGTGGGTGTGTATTTTATATAGATTTTGCTTATTTTTTCAAAAAGAAGTCCTGTGGATATGGGCAGAGAGGATGGAGGTGGAAGTGAGACTTCTCTAGGTGCATTTTTTCTATAACTTTTTTGAGATATAATTCACATATATAATTCACCCATTTACTGTATGTAATCCATTGGCCTTTAGTATATTCACAGACGTGCAACCATTACCACAGTTAATTATAGAATATTGTCTCAAAATAAAACCCTGTACCCTTTAGCTATCACCCCGATATTCCCCCATTTTCCCTGGCCCTAGGAGCCACTCATCTACTTGCCTCTTCTGAATATCTCATATAAATGTAATCAAACAATATGTGGCTTTTTTGTGTCTGTCTCATTTCACTTAGCATAAATTTTTAAGTTTCATCCATGTTGTATCATGTGTTAGTACTCCACTCCCTTTGTTTTGTTTTGTTTTGTTTTAGAGGGAGTCTCCCTCTGTTGCCCAGGCTGGAGTGCAGTGAGGCAATCTCGGCTCACTGCAACCTCCACCTCCTGGATTCAAGCGATTCTCCTGTCTCAGCCTCCTGAGTAGCTGGGATTGCAGATGCCCGCCACCACGCCCGGCTAATTTTTGTATTTTTAGTAGAGATGGCGTTTCACCACGTTGGCCAGTCTGGTCTCGAACTCCTGACCTCAAGTGATTTGCCCACTTCTGCCTCCCAAAGTGCTGAGATTACAGGCGTGAGCCACTGTGCCCGGCCCCTACTCACTATTATGGCTTGATAATACTCTGTCGTATGGATATACTATTTTTTTAAAGTCCATTCATCCACTGATGGATGTTTGGGTTATTTCTACTCCTTAGCTGCTATGAATGCTGCTGCTATGAACATGTGTGTACAAGCTTCTGTGTAGACATAAGTTTTCTTTTTTCCTTATTTATTTATTTATTTATTTTTGGACATAAGTTTTCATTTCTCTCGGGTATACACCTAGGAGTGGGATTACTGGGTCATGTAGCAACATTATGTTTAGTTTTGAGGAACTGCCAGACTGTTTCCATCTGCACTATTTTACATTCCCACTGGCAATCCATGAGAGGTCCAGCTTCTCCACATGCCCCAACACTTGTTACTGTCCTCCTTTTTGTTCATAGCCATCGTCACGGATGTGAAGTGGTACCTTATTGTGGTTTTGATTTGCATTTCCCCGATGGCAACATTTCATCTACAGTTTTGACATTTAATTTCACTTAATAATATCACATCAAAATTAATTTGATAAAATAAAAATGGGGGAGGGAAACCCCCAAAGTATGTGGAATTGAGTTTCCCAAGTCATGCTGCTGCTTGGTGGTGGAGCTGAGATTCCGGCCCAAGAAGTCTGCCTCAGAGTCCCTGATCCTCCATCCTCTGCCTACTGGACATTCACCAGCTTTTCTGGCTGTTGTCCCCTCAGGGCCTGTGATACACGTGCCCTGGGAGGGTTGGTTTTTTTGTTTTTCTTTCTTTCTTTCTTTTTTTTGAGACGGAGTTTCGCTCTTGTTTCCCATGCTGGAGTGCAATGGCGCGATCTTGGCTCAATGCAACCTCCGTCTCCTGGGTTCAAGAGATTCTCCTGCCTCAGCCTCTTGAGTAGCTGGGATTACAGGCATGCGCTACCACGCCCGGCTAATTTTGTATTTTTAGTAGACGGGGTTTCTCTGTGTTGGTCAGGTTGCTCTCAAACTCCCGACTTCAGGTGATCTGCCCACTTCGGCCTCCCAAAGTGCTGGGATTACAGGCATGAGCCACCGTGCCCGGCCTAATTTTTGCATTTTTAGTAGAGACAGGGTTTCACCATGTTGGCCAGGATGGTCTTGATCTCTTGACCTTGTGATCTGCCTGCCTCGGCCTCCCAAAGTGCTGGGATTACAGGCTTGAGCCACCGCGCCCGGCCTAGGGTTTTTAAGGATAATTTGGTGGTTGGGGGGCAGCCAGTGAGTTGGGAGTGCTGATTGGTCAGTGATGAAATCATAGGGAGTCGAAGCTGTCTTCTTGCATTGAGTCAGTTCCTGGTTTGGGGCCACAAGATCAGATGAGCCAGTTTATTGACCTGGGTGGTGCCAGCTGATCCATGGAGTACAGGGTCTGCAAAATATCTCAAGCACTGATTTTAGGGATCTTAGGCTTTACAATAGTGATGTTATCCCCAGAAGCAACTTGGGAAAGTCAGAATCTTGTAGCCTCCAGCTGCGTGACTCCTAAACCATAATTTCTAATTTTTTGGCTAATTTATTAGTCCTAGCTACAAAGGCAGTCTAGTCCCTAGGCAGGAAGGAGGTCTGCTTTGGGAAAGGGATGTTATAGTCTTTGTTTTAAACTATAAACTATAAACCAAGTTTTCTCCCAAAGTTAGTTCAGCTTACACCTAGGAATGAACAAGGACAGCTTGGAGGTTAGAAGCAAGATGGAGTTAGTTAAGTCAGATCTCGTTCACTGTCTGGGTTATAATTTTGCAGTGGTGGTTTCAACAGTGGCTCAGGGGCTGGTGCCTGTCCCTACCCTGAGCCCAGAGGACACTTTCCGTCCTCCAGTCCAGGTTTTTCGTTTGACTTTGCCACAGGAACATTTGCCAGGGGTCATTTCCCAGGCGGAAATGGGCAAAGGGGGGTTGGGAACAAGCCTGAGGCCCTGAGGCCAAGAGGGTGTCCAGGTTCAGGGTGGGGCGGGGTGGGGTGGGGTGGGGCGGGCAGGGCAGGGCAGGGCAGGGGTGCACGTGGCAGGGTGGGCAGGCTTCCCGGCGCTCCGCTCAGGCCACGCCCAGCGCCAGCATAATTACCAGGAGAATAATTACGAGCCCAGAGAGCCGCCGACCCCGCCCATTGCCGACCATTCTCAGGCCTGGGGCGGTGGCGCCCTCTCCTCCTCAGTGACGCGCACTTGCAAAGGCTGCAGGCCAAGAGGTCCAGACGCCTCGGAGTGGGAGGGGCCGTGGCCTGCCAACGTTGTCTGTCCTCAAGGGAGGGGCGCTGGGAAGTTCCTGGGCCTGTTTCCCCTTTGGGGTCAGGGCTGCCTCTTGCTTCCAGCTCTAGCAGCTGCTAGCAAGTCCTTTAACATCCCTGAGCCTCAGTTTCCCCATCTATAAAATGAAGATGGATTTGTTGAGGACTAAATGAGCTACTCTTTGTACAGTGTGAGGCTGATTTTGTAACATTATTATTATTATGTTATTTTCAACCATACCCAGTGGCCAGCAGCTCCTGGCACATCATAAATGTCAGAGGGATGAACTACACAGATGAGGACGTGGAGGGGGTCAGAGTTAGGAGCTGGATGTGGGGTCTGCAGACTTCTCTGGTCTTTGGGGGTGGCGGCGGGGGGGGGTGGTGATCCACTCTCCCTGGGGAATTCTTCAGTCTTTCTCTCCTGTGCCTCAGCCTGAGGGCCTCTGGCAAGTGCCTCTCCAGGAAAACACCACCTCCCAGCTGCTCTCCGGGTCGACCCTGAGTTTATCTTGGGTTTTACGCAGTCCGGGGCCAGTAATTAGCCTAATAAGGAGCCTGCTAGGCCTGCGTCTCTGCTCAGGCTCCGATAGTTACCCAGTAATTTACCTGATCTCTCGGATAAGGCCTTTGCCTGGACAGGTTCCCACCACAAAGCACAGGATGCTCCTGCTCGGGCGGGGCCTTAATTGGTGGTGTTTTCAGAGATTCTCCAACCCTAGTTGAAAGGAGCCCAGGCCTCAGAGGCACAACCATGGCCATCACAGCAAGGAAACAGCCCAGGTGTTAGGGGACAGGGCTGCACCAGGACACAACAGACCAGACACGGCAGCACTGACGAGTTTAGAAGGCGTATGGGGGTGGCAGCAGAAGCTGCCAAACCAAAACAGCTGCTGGCATTTCGTGTGTAGTGGCTGGGAGCAGAGCGTGGTGGGCAATGAGGGAGCCAACTTGGCCCTGGGGCCAACCCCGCAGCCTACACCCAGGCTCTGGCCAGCGCCTATTTCAGGGGCATGCTTGGTGCTGCTGCCTGGCCCCCAGGGTACTCCCAGAGCAAGAGCCCACTGGCTCCTGGACCCCAGTGGAGAAGCAGCGACCCCTTCCATCCCAGGGCTCAAGCTCAGGGCTCCGAGCCCTCCCAGCCACCTTTGTCCCCAGGCACAGTACCACATCAGGAGTGTCTGACTTTGGAGCAGGCCCCCAGGCCTTGGAAAGATCAAGCAGGAGGCCAAGGCTGTTGGAGCTGAGAAGCAGGAAGAGTCAACCATGCACGGTGCCCTCCTCCCTCTCCCCCAGGGCAGCTATAGGACTCTGTGGGTGGGAAGAGCCTGCAGCCAGGCCAAGAAGCCGTGGGCAAGCCCTACAGTCGCCTAGTGCTCGCCTACACAGCTCCCTTTGATCTGCCCCACTGGGCGGGGCTGTGTCATCTACTGGGTTTTCCCTGGAGCCTGTGCCCAGGGAAGCTCAGTGTCACACAGCCCCAAGCATCCTGTGTCTCCCTGGCAGAGTGCGAGCCCCTTATCCTGCCTCAGTGAAGAGGACGGTGCTGGCTGCCCTAGAGGATGTCAGCACCAGATGGAGAAGCAGAGCAGACTCCACTGGGCAAAGTTGCAATCACCCTCTGAGAGGAGCTGAGCTCCCTCTGAAAACAAGGGGCCCCTTAGCCCCACAAATGTGGGGGCAACCCACATGGCAGGGAATTGCATCCCTGAGTTTTCCCCCTGCGGCTGGAGTGCAATGGCGCAATCTTGGCTCACTGCAACCTCTGCCTCCCAGGATCAAGCGATTCTCCTGCCTCAGCCTCCTGAGTAGCTGGGATTAGCCCAGCTAATTTTTGTATTTTTAGTAGAGACGGGGTTTCATCATGTTGGGCAGGCTGGTCTCAAACTCCTGACCTCAGGTGATCCACCCACCTCGGCCTCCCAAAGTGCTGGGATTATAGGTGTGAGCCACCGTGCCCAGCCTATCTCTGAGTTTTTTGCAGTCAGCTGTGCCAAACCACCACACACTGCCCTTGGTTTCCCAGAGCCATCCTGCCCACACAGGGGATTCCTTGACACCCACTGCTCCAGGTCCAGGCCTAGGCCTGCCCCCTCTACTCCTAGATGAGGTCCAAGGGTGCTGAAACCTGCACTAACCTCCGCCTCGTGGCTGGGTGCGGGACAAGGGGTGTGGTCTCAGAGTCAGAGCTGGCTCAGCTTGGGTGGATGTGCCAGGGTGGGGTCGCTGTGGGGCAGAGGGGCACCAGCCACTGGGAGGGAGGGTCTTCTGGCTTAGGGCTTTTTTGTGCATGTGCACACCTGTCTTGCCCGATCTGCCAGGGCAGGCCACAGGGAGGGGCTGAGAGCCTGACTCTGGGCTCCGGGGCTTCTGCCATGCTGGGCCCACACCTTGGTGCCTTTTGCTTTCCTAGGCCCCTTTGCTCAGTGGCTCTTCAAAGCTTTAGCTGCCCCCTTTGAACTTGACTTCTGCTCTTCACCCAGGGGCTTCCCACTAGGGAGGGTGACTCAAACCCTCAGGCTGCCGTCAGCACTGCTTGGACCCACAGAGGCCACAGCACATAGTCTCAGGCCAAGCCAGACTGGAGCCTCCCCATGGGGTTCTTGACAGCCTGCCAGGAGACGAGTCCTACTCCTGTTCCACCCCGACTCTGCTCTCCCTCCACCTGGCCTTCCTCAAT
Organism: Homo sapiens; assembly: GCF_000001405.40. Lineage (NCBI taxonomy): Eukaryota > Metazoa > Chordata > Mammalia > Primates > Hominidae > Homo > Homo sapiens. The sequence goes on from NW_011332701.1 coordinate 3,573,560, forward strand.
GGGGAAAAGGTATTCCCAAATCCATTTTCTGCAGGGAATCCACGGAGCGAGAGCGGTGAAACTGATGACAGGAAAGCCCTGCCTTCATGTTCATGCTTGTATTTTAACTGGGGAGAGGCAAGAAACCATCCTCAGCATTGTGTCAGATGGCAACCACTAAATAGAAAACAGTGAAGGACAGAAGGGGACCCCACATGGAGGGGGTGGCGTGCAGTTTAATTAGGTTGCTCAGAGAGGTCTCCATGAGTGGATGACATTTAAATAAAGGCCTTAAAAAGTGAGTCAGCCAGCCTTACGAAGTGTGCCACAGGCAGGGAGAACTCAAATCCCAGGTCCAGAGCTGAAGGTGGCTGGTCCCAGAGCTGGGACAGCGGCAAGGCAGGGGGCTGGAGCAGAACAGGGAGGTCAGAGCTGGGGGTGAGGTGCCCTGCAGGGAAATGGGGAGCCTTGGGGCTTCTAGCAGAGGGGTGGCAGGCCCCAACTTGGGTTTTGGATTTTACTCAGATCACTCTGCTGTGTGGAAGGTGGAGGAGGGTGGAGGAGGGTCGAGGGAGGGGGTGGAAGCCGAGAGACCAGGCAGAGGGCAGATCCAAGAGAGAAGGGACAATGCCTCGGACCAGAGTCAGTTGTGCTGGTTGACTGCCTGTGAGGGTCTGGCTGGCTGGATGCGATGGCTGTGACATGTGGGAGAGAGGGGCAAGATAAGCTGACCCCGAGATTTGGGTTTGAGCACCTGGAAGCGTCGCATCGCTATCATCTTTTTGATGTCACCAGGTGACCTTCTGAGGCAGGTGCTGCAATGTGTCCCGTCGATAGATAAATAAACAATTTTTTTTTTTTTTGAGATGGGGTTTTGCTTTGTTGCCCAGGCTGGAGTGCAATGGCACAATCTTGGCTCACTGCAACCTCTGCCTCCCGGGAGCAAGCTATTCTGCCTCAGCCTACCAAGTAGCTGGGATTACAGGCATGCGCCACCACGCCCAGCTAACTTTATATTTTTAGTAGAGACCGGGTTTCACCATGTTGCCCAGGCTGGTCTCGAACTCCTGACCTCAGGTGATCCACCCACCTCAGCCTCCCAAAGTGCTGGGCCTACAGGTGTGAGCCACTGCACCCGGCTGAGACAAAATCTTCTAGACTGCAAAGTTACGCTCTTTTCACGAAGTCCTTGCCCACCTGCCCAGGGTCCCTTGGGCCTGCTTTTTGTCCCCCGGGTGGGGTGTAACATCCCAGCTGGCTTGAGTCAGGGCAAGGCACGGGTAGGGGTGAAGTGGGTAGTGGGCTGCCTGCTTTGAGGGGAGCAGGGGTCAAGGGTGTGCCTAAGGCTTGCATCCCGCCCTCTGGGCACAGGGCCTGTGCTTGGGGTGAGAGCCTGTGCTGTGGAGCAGGAACCAGCATTGAGTGGGGGCCACCTGGTGTGTGGGGCTGGGCTGGTCCCTTCATGTGGGAATTTGATCCTCTTAATAACACTCAGCGGGAAAGACTATATTGTGCCCATTTTACAAATGGGGAAACTGAGGTTCAGAGATGCGGTACTTGCCCAAGGCCACACTGGTGCAGGGACCTGAACGCAGCAGTGCAGCTCCAAGGTCTCTAGCTGTCCTCTGGCTGCATGGCCCACTTCAGCATGAGGGCTGAGTCTCCAAGGGCAGTCCCAAGAGAACCAGCAGACACTGTCTCACCATTTGTGACCCAGCCTCAGAAGCCACATAGCATCACTTACCTGGAGTGGCACGCAAGCCTGCCTAGAGTCAAGAGGAAGAAAGGAAACCCCAACTCTCAGCAGAATTGCCAGAATCTCCATGTCAGAAGAGCACGTTTGGAGGCAGATCCTGCTGCCATCCACTTCGCAGAATGCAGAGCGTGCCCGAGGAGAAGTGGGGTCTGGGTGAGCAGCACCAATGTCCACTCCAGTAGGGGAGACACTGCATGTCCAGGACACAACCTCTGATCGAGGCTGTCAGGGGGCCCAAAGAAGGGCTGTGGGGGCCGGGCATGGGAGCCACAGATGCGGGTTCAGCTCCAGGCTCTGCTGCTCCCTTGCCTACATGGATGGAGAGCCCTCTGGGAGAAGATGTGCCCCCGCCAGCCTCTGAAAGGAAGATGAGGTTTAGATGAGGAGGGGAGGTTGGAAGGAGCTCTTGGCTGGGGACCCTGCCCCACAGGGGCACCTCTAGGGGTGGGAGATGAAAGCAGTGTGCTTGGGGCACCTCAGATGCCGTGGAGATGAGGCTGGGCTGAGACTCAGTCAGAGGGTTCCCAAGTGGTCCCAGTGACAAAGGCCCAGAGAAACAGTTCCATTCAGGAAACATGTGATGGCTCAATGTGGAGAAGACACTCAGGAAGTCCACAGAGCCTGAATGTCCCCGCTCTGGTGCAGGGTCTCGTGCTCAGGTCCGACCTGGCTGTCAGCGGCACTGGGACCCAGGGCTGCCCCGCCATCCCACCGCCAGGAGCGGAGGAGCTGTCTCCAGCAGCAGCTGCTGCACAGAGCCCCAGGTGGAGCCTGGGGAGGCAGGCTCAGTGTTCTCAGCTTATCACCAGACACTCAGTTCTGCGGCTCATTAGTCTAGACTTGTTTCTGTCAGAGAAGGTCCTCTTTCCCCTGGGATGTGTAGGCTGTTCTGGCTCAGCCAACAGCAGTATATGGGTCTTATCGGAATATGAAATACTAAAATGTGGGAAAAAAAAAAACAACTTTTAAGTGTTTGCCTTGGAGGGATGGGCAATGGGACTCGTGAACTGTTTTCTTCTTTCGTAAGCAGCCTCGCTATCCCTTGCAGCCACAGAACTGACGCACAGGGCCAGGTCCCTTGGGGCCCAGCAGGAAAAATGGATGCCAGGAAGGGCATGCTAGTCCAGGCCTGGGGAACACAAGCTGCTTCCCATTTGCTCTCTCTCTACGGCTCGATTGCCAGTTCCAACTGTCAGTCTATCTTGATCCCCAAAATGTTTGAGTATAGATACGTCTGCTGATTCCCCTCATTCTTTTAGTGTCTTTTCTGCTGTGAAGCAGTTTTGGGGCAAGATCTTTTGCTCTGGTCCGGATAACTCTGGGCAATATACTCCAAGTCAAAGGCTACAGTGAAACTGGGTGACTGGCAAATAATCGATGAATCATGACTCCAGAATTCTTGTCTCTAGATGGGGGAGTAAAATCACAAACGAGATATGCTGTCGGCTGGGGATGCTTTAGAGGCCCCACCATACATGTTCCCATCTTTAATAATGAAACCCTTGATTTTTAGCTCAGCGTGTGGCTACCTGGACCAATTCTGTCTGATGGGGTGTGCAGTAGTGTCATGAACTACTTCTATCCCAGGAAGTAACTTGTAAATGAGTGGATGAGCCAATTCTCCTTCTTTCTCTTCCTGCTGGCTGAAGTGTGGACATGATGGCAGGAGCTGCAGCAGTCACATTGGACCATGGGTCATCGTGGGAATGGAAGTCACACAAGGGTATTTAAAGCCACACAAGGATAATGAGCACTGGATAGATGGAGCCCGAGTCCCCATCACAGTGTAGCCCCTGTAACAGATCTAGACTTCCTGCCTCCCACATTGAGTAAACTGCTCTCTTGCTTAAGCCACTATTATGTTAGGATTTTTTCAACCCATAGTCAGAGATAGTCCTAACTGATTCACCACCCTCAGAGAGTTTACAGCCAATTATGTTTCTCATGAAAAAGGTTAGCCAGTGGTTGTAAGTGATCCCGGACTGGAGCGCCAGCTGCACTAAGGCAGTTCGTCTGTGGGATGGCTCTGTCCTTGTCAGGGAGAGGACCCCTCCTACACACTGGCATGTTACCACAAGTACAGTGGTAACTAAGCAGGTCGGCATAGGTGCCCACAGAGCAGACTGAACACCCCGTTTGCTTCCCTCTCCTCTCCGAACTCCCTGGACATGGCCAAGTAGCATAAGCCAAGCAGAGGTGAGAAGGAGAGTGGGGCACAGGCAAGTTACCAGTGGGCCCGCGGCTATCATGGACTTCCAGAAAATAAAAAACAGGCATGATGGTGTTGGTTTATAAACCAAAGCAGAGGGCACTGGAGCCCCGTAAGTGTGCAGGAGTGAATGTATGTGGCAGGGAGAAGGGTAGAAGGGAGGAGGTTGGGTAGAAGGCTACCTCTACCAGCTGGAAATGAGTGGTGAAGTCAGCTGGACTTCTGGGTGGGGCGGGGACTTGGAGAACTTTTCTGTCTTACAAAGGGATTGTAAAATGCACAAATCAGCACTCTGTAGATAGGATTGTAAAACGCACCAATCAGCTCTCTGTGGCTAGCTAGAGGTTTCTAAAATGGACCAATCAGTGCTTTGTAAAGTGGACCAATCAGAACACTGTAAAATGGACCAATTAGTGCTCTGTAAAATGGACCAATCAGACCAATCAGCACTCTGTAAAATGGACCAATCAGCAGGACATGGGTGGGGACAAATAAGGGAATAAAAGCTGGCCACCCTCCAGTCAGCAGCAGGCAACCCACTGGGTCCCCATCCCTGTTGTGGTGTATTTGTTATTTTGCTCTTGGCAATAAATCTTGCTGCTGCTCACTTTTTGGGTCCGTGCCACCTTTAAGAGCTGTAACACTCACTGTGAAGGTCCAGGACTTCATTCTTGCGGTCAGCGAGACCACGAACCCACTGGAAAGAACCAACTCCCGACACGGAAAGGCTGCAAGGTTAGGGTCCACAGTTTGGGAAGAGTGGAGCCTAGGGTCTTCACTCAGGGGTATGGATGGAGAGAACAGTGGGGGGAGCTCTTTGCTCTAATCCCAGGCTCCACCCTGCCTCAAAGAGGCTACGAGTACTGTTTTGTAGTAGGATAAAACCAATGATATGCTTATGCTGTAGATGGAACCATGTGCCCCTGAAACTCATATGTTGAGTTTCACCCCACTGTGGTGGTATTAGGAGGAGGAAACTTTGGGAGGTGACTAGGTCATGCGAGCAGAGCTCTCATGAATGAGGTTAGTGCCTTAGAAAACAAGAGCCTGCGTAGTGGTGTGCGCCTGTAATTCCAGCTACTCTGGAGGCTGAGGCAGGAGAATTGCATGAAGCCGGGAGGCAGCGATTGCAGTGAGCCGAGATCGCACCACTGCACTCCAGTCTGGCCAACAAAACGAGACTCCGTCTCAAAAAAACAGAAGGAAAAAAAAAGAAAAGAGCTTGGAGAACCCCCTCTCCTCTTCTGCCAGGTGAGGCCACAGCAAGAAGACTGCGGTCTACGAACCAGGAAGAGGCCTTCACCAGTCACCAAATCTGCTGGCGCCTTAATTTTAGACTTTCCAGTTTCTGGAACTGTGAGAAATGAATTTCTGCTGTTTATAACCAACCCTGGCTGTGTGATTCTATTGTAACAACCTGAACTGATGAAAACATCTTGCTAGGAAATAGAAGTGAACTTAGGAGGAGGGTTAGTATATGCTGGAGTAAAGCCTTCGGTAGTTTGGTCTTTTTGTAAAGATGAGGAAGCTGGGTACCCTCTGGTGAGGGCTGCCAGGTGTGACTCACCCGACTAAGCAGAAGTCAAGCCAGCCTTCCCAGGAAGGGGAGAGGCCTGCTGAGTAAACAGACCCCGGAACCACAAAGGGGACCCTTGGCAGCTATCTGTATGCATAAGTCTTATCTTTCATCTGTGTACATGATAGGCAAACAAGGAAAACAGTCACAAGACAGAAGGACCAAGAGGAACAAAAGTAACAGTTGTCCCTGGAAGAAATAGATACTAAAGGCAATGAATAGAATAAGAGTCATAATTAACATCTCAAGAGATGTTTGAGGAGATGTTGCATCCACAAAACAAGAACAGGAAACTAGAGAAAGGACAAATCAGGGAATCAAAAAAGTTTAGAGACATTAAAAATGTGATGATAAAAATTAAAAACAAATCAGGAGGAGGATAGGAAAGTAAAGTTAAACTTCCCAGACTGTAGGGCAAGAAGACAAAAAGCTGAAGAGTCTGACAGGGCAGGTGAGAGATGCATAGCATCAATCCAGGGTGTCAAAATGTGTCTGATAGGCCCGGCACAGTGGCTTACACCTATAATAGCACTTTGGGAGGCCAAGGCAGGCGGATCACCTGAGGTCAGGAGTTTGAGACCAGCCGGGCCAACATGGCGAAACCCCATCTCTACTAAAAATACAAAAATTAACCAGGTGAGGCAGCAGGCACCTGTAATCCCAGCTACTTGGGAGGCTGAGGCAGGAGAATCGCTTGAACCCGGGAGGCAGAAACTGCCTTTCTGTTGTTTATAACCAACCCTGGCAAGATTACACCACTGTGCTTCAGCCTAGGTGACAGAGTGAGACGTAAAATGTGTCTGCTAGGAGTTCAGAAGGAATGAACAGAAAAAAAGAAAGAATGGAGGGAAGTGCAGTGTAACCAATAACCAATAACCAGTTGGTAACCAATAACCACACACTTAATGGCTTGCAACAATATAAATTTATTCTCTTACAGCTATAATGGTCAGAAGTCCTAAAATCAAGGTGTCAGCAGGACTGCATTCCTTCTGGAGGCTCTAAGGGACAATCTGTTTCCTTGTCTTTCCCAGCTTCTAGAGGCTGCCTGCATTCTTTGGTTTGTAGACCTATATATTTTCAAGGCCGTCAGTGTATCCTCTTTAGATCTCTCCCTCTGACTCTGACTCCTGCCTCCCTCATTGCACCACCATCTCCTCTGCTTCTGCTGTCACATCATCTTCTCTGACTTTGGCCCTCTCGCCTCCCTCTTATGAGGACTCTTGTGATTACATTGGGCTCCCTGGGATAATACAGAAAAATCTCCCCATTTCAAGATTTTAAATGACATCTGCAAAGTCCCTTTTTCCATGTGAGATAACATATTCGTAGGTTCCAGGGATTAGGATGTGACATCTTTGGTGCACCATTATTTTGTCTACTACATGGGGAAATAAAGAAATGTTGGGGGAATAATTTCCCAGAGCTAAACAAGGAGGAACAGTTTTTAAATTAAAACTTTCTCAAGTTATTTGATAGGATGATTGAGAAAAGATAGCTGGGTGTGGTAGCTCACACCTGTAATCCCATTATTTTGAGAGGCTGAGAGAGGAGGATCGCTTGAACCAAGGAGTTCAAGACCAGCCTGGGCAACACAGGGAGACCTCTTCTCTATAAAAAAGAAGTAAAAAGAAGAGAAAGGATCAATACCTGGGCATTTTGCCATGAACTACGAGAAAGATAAGGGGAGGGGGTGGCACAGGTCATGGGCAGAGAAACAAGCTCAGCAGGAGGATGTGCTAAGGAGAAATAGAAGGCTTCCTTCAAGGCTGGAGGGAAAACTGTCTTGTCTCAAAAATGATACAGTAAGCTGAACTATTAATCATGAAAGCAAAAATAATGTTTTATGTTTAAGAAAAGATTTTAAAAGTTAACCACCCATGAACTCATTCTGGGGAAATACATACACTTGAGAAATACTCTGGTCACGAGAAAGTAAAAATCAAGAAAAAGAAAAATAAAGACTTCCCCAAACTACAGAACTAAATCAATATTGCAGTGAAAAGCAAATCCATACCAGGAACTCAAAGATGATTCAATAATAAGAAATATACTATAAAATGAACCACATTAATAAGTTGAAGGAGAAAAAATTATTTGACTCTTTCTACAGAGACCAGTAAAGCCTTTGGAAACATTTTGCACCCATTTGTACTTACAGTCTTGAAAAAATGAATGGATATATCCTTATCATGATAAACCATGTATATACCTCATACTAAAATCACTGATTTATTTAATGAGGAAACACTAGAGACATTCCTACTAAGGTTAGGAACAAGGCAAACATTTTCTTAGCTCTATTATTACTTAATATATTAACCAATGCAATCATGTAAGAGGAAAGAACTGGAGGCATAAAACCTGAAAAAGAAGAACTATCTCTGTTTGCAGATGACAAAATGGTACATCTGGAAAACCCTAGAGAGCAAAATTGTAAAATAGTTGGTAAAACCACCACAAAAAATAAAAGAATTCTGCAAGACAGCAGGTTATAAAATTAATAGAGCAATTAATAGATTTCATATGTTGCATATAATATATAAATTGCACATATGAAGTTAAAAGATGAATTGTTTCTCACCAGGTAGTCACAGAGAAGACCGAGGAGACTCTTGAGAAAGCTTCCTGTTCCTGGTGGTATAGGTCACTTCTCCCCTATCCCTCCCTTGTCCCTCACCATCCATGGGAAAAAACTTAAAATGTGGGGATGGAGGAGTGCCAACAGTGTCATCCTTATGAGAAAGGGAAGTTAAAATTCTCGCAAAATAGCCCCCATTCTAAACACAAGGTAACACTAGAATTTGAAGTCTGTTATATAATGAGAATAACCATTGCAATGTTAAATCTCAAATCAAACTCAACTCCTGACTAGATTAATAGAACCCCCACATTAAAGACCTAGAAGGAAAGTTGTGCTCATTTCCAAGTATGAAAATTATTTACCTCTGTCACTACTGTTAAATGTTTGTTTTTAAACAAAAACTCTGAGCCATATGAGAAAGCAAGAGATGTTGGAACTATCGGACAGGGAACTTAAAATTGTAATGATTAGTGTGTTAAAGGCTCTAAAGGAAAAGCCGGTAACATACAAGATCAGGTGGATAATTCAGCAGAGAGGTGGAAACTGTATGAAAGAATCAACTGGTGATACTAGAAATGAAAAACACAGTGAGAGAGATGAAGAATGCCTTTGACTGGCTCATCAGTAGACTAGACACAGTGAAGATAAGAATCAACATGAAGTTGAACATAAGTCAATAGAAAAACAAAGAACAACAAACAGTTTTAAAAAAACAAACCAGCCAGGCATGGTGGCTCATGCTTGTAATCCCAGCACTTTGGGAGCCTGAGGTGTGTGGATCACCTGAGGTCAGGAGTTCCAGACCAGCCTGGCCAATGTGGCGAAAACCTGTCTCTACTAAAAATACAAAAATTTGCCAGGGGTGATGGTGCATGCCTGTAATCTCAGCTACTCGGGAGGCTGAGGTGGGAGAATTTCTTGATCCCAGGAGGCGGAGTTCACAGTGAGTCAAAATTGTGCCATTGCACTCCAGCCTGGGCAACAGAGCAGGACTCTAACTCAAAAAAACCCCAAAAAACAAACAAACAAAACAAACCAGTTCATCTAAGAGCTGTGGGACAATACCAAATGATGCAATATATGCATTATACAAATCCCAAGAGGAGAAGAGAAAGAGAATAAGGGGAAGAAATATTTGAGAAATGTTGGCTGGGAATTTTTCCAAAAATAATGACAGACACCAAGCCATAGATTCAAGAAGCTTAGATAACACCAAGCAGGAAAGAAAGAGAGAGAAAGGAGGAAGAAAAGGGAGGAAGAAGGAAAGAAGGAAGAGAGAAACCACACTTACGTATGTCATATTCAAGTTTCCAAAAACAAAAAACAAAGAAAAGACCCTGAAGACAGCCAGAGAAAAAGGACACGTTACATACAGAGAAACAAAGATGAGAATTGCAGTGCACTTCACCTCAGAAGCCATGCAAGCCAGATTACAATAAAGTGACATGTTTAAACTACAGAAAGACAAAACTGTCATCCCAGCATTCTATATTCAGCAAAATATCTTTAAAAAATGAAGAAGACATACTTTCTCAGATAAATAAAAACTGAGAAAATTTTCTACTAGCAGCCCTGCAATATAAGAAATGTTAAAGGAATTTCTTCTGGCAGAAAAAAATACGATACCAACAGAATCTTGAATTTACAGAAAAACATAAAGCATTCTGGAAATGAAGCAAATGTACATAAAATAAAGTCTATTTAAAAATTTTCTTAATTTTAATTGCTCTAAAAGACAACGGTCTCAAGCAAACTATAAGATCAGTGTATCATGTGTTTATAGCATATGGAAAAGTAAAATGTGTGACAATAGCAGAAAGGATGGAGGAAATAATTGAGAATATAACAATAAGCTCCTTATACTACATGTGAAATGGAATAATATTGGGAGGTAGACTCTGATTAATAAAAATATGTATATTATAAAACCCAGGAAAACCACCAAAAGTATAAAGAAGAGTTATAAATAATAAGGCAATAATGGGGATCAAATTGAACAATAAAAAGTCTTCAGCAACCCAAAAGACTGCATTAAAAAAAGGAAAGATAAAAAAGTACAGAGGGACCAAAAAGAAAACAGGTAGCAAGATGAAAGATTTTAATCAAAATCTATCAATAATCAATTTAAATTGAGAGGGACTAAACGCATCAATTAAAAAACAGAGACCAAGTGGCAGAATAAAAAGGCAATCCAAATTGTATGTTGTCAACAAGAAACTTGCTTTAAATATAAAGATATAAATGAGTTAAACTAAAAAGATGGAAAAAGATATACCATGCAGACAGTAAACACCAACCAACACACACACACACACACACACACACACACACACACACACCCCTATAACATCAAAGTAAAATTCAGAATGAGAAATATCATCAGAGATAAAGGAGGACATAATGTAATAATGAGTCAGTTTTCCAAAAAGCCACAACAATCCTAAACATGTATATGCCTAACAACAGAGTTCGAAATACATAAACTAAAAGTGAATCGAACTGAAGGGAAAAATGAACAAATACACAATTAGGCTGTAGATCTCCGGCCATACTGACCAGTATCAGGAATAAAAAAGTGGACATCATTACAGACCCCTATAGACACTGAAAAGATAATGTGAAAATGCTTCAAATAAGCAGAGTAAAATGGATCAATTCCTTAAAAGATATGATCAAAACTCACTGAAGAAAAAAACCAGTCTTCTATCTATAAAGAAATTAGAAATTGATTTTATGGTTAAAAGCTTTCTATATAGAGAATGCCATGCCCAGAAGTGTTTGCAGGTTAGTTCTAAAAACATTTAAGGCAGAAATAATACCAATTTTACACAATCTCTTCCAGAAAATAGAACTCATCTTATCAGTCCAGTATTCCAATGAGATGAAGAAAACTACAAGCTGTTATCCTTCACAATTATAGATGCAACAATCATCAATATAAATTAACATATTGAATCCAGCAATATATAAATCTTTTTTTTCTGTTTCAGTTGATGCTGCTATAAAGTCAACAATATATTACAATCTAGTGTGTGTATCCCATGAATGCAAGGCTCAATCAACATTCGAAATTCAATCAATGTAACTTACCATACCAACACATTTTTTTTTTCTTTTTTTTTTTTTTGAGATGGAGTCTCGCTCTGTCGCCCAGGCTGGAATGCAGTGGCGCGATCTTGGCTCACTGCAAGCTCTGCCTCTCAGGTTCACACCATTCTCCTGCCTCAGCCTCCTGAGTAGCTGGGACTACAGGCGCCTGCCACCACACCTGGCTAATTTTTTTTTTTTTTTTTGTATTTTTAGTAGAGACGGGGTTTCACCGTGTTAGCCAGGATGGTCTCCATGTCCTGATCTTGTGATCCACTCACCTTGGCCTCCCAAAGTGCTACGATTACAAGCATGAACCACTGTGCCTGGCCCAAACAAAAATTTTTTAAAAAAGAAAACCATATGATTATAGAAGTATAAAGAGTACTTTACAGTATTCACAATCTATTTATGATGAAAAAATAAACTCTCAATCCAATCTGTCAATCTATTTGAAATAAATAGGACATTTCTTTATATGAAAACAGGTAGGTACAAAAAACCAAAGCTAGCATCATATTTGGTTGTGAAAGACTCAATATGTCTACCCAAGGATCAGACACAAGTCAAGGATGTCCTCTTTTACTACTCCTATTCAACATTGTGCTGGAAATCATAGCTAGCTGCTATGGTCTAAATGTTAGTGTCTCCCAGGAAGTTATATATTGAAACTGAATTCCCCAATGTAATTATGTTAAGAGGTGGGCCTTTGGGAGGGGATTAGGTCATGAAGCTTTCTCCTCTCCTCAGTGGGATTAGCGCCCTTATAAAAAAGGCTCAAGGGAGCTTGTTTGCTTCTTTCACCATGTGAGAACACAGCTAGAAGCTGCCATCTTTGAAAAAAAGGAGCTTTTGCCAGACACCAAATGTGCTAGCACCTTGATCTTAGACTTTCTAATTACCAGAACTGTGAGCAATAATTTTGTGTTGTTTGTAAGTTATCTGGTCTATGGTAATTTGTTACTGCAGCCTGAATGGGCTAAAACACCAGTGTAACATGGCAAGACAAGACATAAAATATCGTAGTTTGTAAAGGAATAATTTGCCTCTAGTAACAGATGACATGATTGTACATGCGGAAAAGTCCAAAAAAAAACCACTATGAAAAAAAAACACTTCTAGAATTAATAAAAGAGTTTAGCTAGGATACAAGGATACAAGTTTAATAAACAAAAATTAATTGATTTGCTACTAGTCATGCACAACTGCAATTAAAAATTTTAAAATCACCACTTTAAAAAGCAAAGAGGAGGAGGAACTTCTACATGTTTAGGTGTCACTGAAAGAAAAACTTATCATGTTCCACACCTCCAGCTCGTGATTTCTTCTTAAAAATTTTGCCCGATTGGAGACGAAGGCCATAAAACAGATAGCTTCCAATCTCTTCTCATTGGAATTGACTTCTTGTGCAACAGAATGTGGAGAAGTTTAAACCCAAGGGCCTCTAGAGAACAGTGCAAGTTGTAGTGAAAGGCATCTGAAAGGAGATTCATGAATTTATGAAGAGAAAGCCTAAACCAGGCTGGATAGTTTTCAGGACAGAACTGAGGAACAAGACAGTTGGGAGGAGCACTTCTGAGTTCCTGGGGAAAAATATGAAGCTTAGACCTCAGAAACGGTTCCTTCAAAGGAATCACAATTTGATCGGATGTCTTTGCAGAGGCATCAATGCCCCAGGGCACTCTTGAAAACAAAAGAACAATCATTGAGCAATTAGTGGTTTCACATCTGGATGTGGCCAGAGACAGAAAGAGAGTGCTAACAATACCACAGTCAGCTCATTATTCAAGTTGAAGAACAGAGAGAAAATGAATAGACAAAAAAAAAACAAAAAAACAAACAAAAAAACCAGCCTCAGAGATATGCGGGACACCATTAAACATAACAACATATATATAACCATGTACCAGAAGGAGAGGAGAGAAAGGAGAAAAAAGTATTCAAAGAAATAATGGCAGAAAACTTCTCAAATTTATTGAAAACAACAACCTACTCATTCAGAAAGGTCAATCAACTCCAAACAGGATAAATTAGAAAAGATTTACGAACAAAAACATCATGGTGAAAACCAAAGACAAGCAAAAATCTTAAAGGCAGCAAGAGAAAAATGTCATATCCCTTAAAAGAGAACCCCAAATACATTAGCAGCTGACTTTTCATAACAAAACACAGGTCAGAAGGCAGTGAAATAACATATTTGAAGTGTTCAAAGAAAAAAATCATCAAGGAAGAATCCTATATACATCACAGCTATATTTGAAAAATGAAGGCAAAATAAAGAAATGCTTAGGTTAAAAAACAAAACAAAACAAAAACCCAGAGAATTTCTTGCTATTAGGCCTGCCTTCAAGAAATACTAAAAAAAATTCTTCAGGTTGAAAACAAGTTACCTTAAATGGTAATTTGAATCCACAGAATTTGTTCCACAGAAACAAAGAGTATCAGTGAAAGTTACTGTCTTTTAAAAAGACACTATAAATGCATATTTTCTCTTTTGTCTCATACTTATTTTAAAAGCAATTATACAGAATAATATGTATATCATGCATTGTTGAGCCTATAACATATATGTGAAATATATTTGCCAATAACGTCACAAAGGTGGTAAGTGGGAGTAAACATGTAATGGGCTAAGAAAATGATTATAACAATGTATCATTGAGTTTGTAAAATTAATAGATGTAATGCATATAAAAATAATACCACAGAAATGGGGGACATGGAACAGGGCTGTATAGGAATAGTGTTCTTAATAGATCACTGGAATTAAACTAGTTTAAGTCTCAAGGTGATTATGATCAGTTAAATATATATGGTAGGCCCTAGAGCAACCACTAAAAAATGACATAAAAATATAGTGGGAAAAATCCTAATGAAATTAAAATGCTACATTAGAAAATATTTACTTAATGCAGAAAAAGCAGTAAAGCAGCAATGGAAGAACAGAAAAAACACAGGACATATGTAAGACAAAAATAAAATAGACATAAATCTAATTATATCAATAATATCAAATGCGAGAGCGAATTAAACATTTCTCAAAAGGCAAAAATTGTCATACTGAATTACAAAAAACATGCTTCTACTTACTATATGTTGTCTGCAAGAAAGACACTTTTAATTCAAAGATACAAATAGATTGACAGTAAAAAGATGGAAAAAGATATGTCATGAAAACAGCAACCATAGGAAAGCTGGAGAGGCTACAGTAATAGACAAAATATACTTTAAAACAAAATATGTTGCTGGACATCAGTGGGAATACTTTATAACAGTAAAAGGATTAACCCATCAGGAAAATATACCAATTATAAATATATATTCAGCTAATAACAGAGCACCAATACATGGAAAAAACTGACAGAAATGAAGAAATAAATAGACATTTCAATATCCTCTCTCAATGATAGAATGATTAGACAGAAGATCAATAAAGAAGTAGAAGAAGACTTGAATGACACTATAAACCAACTACACCTAACAGACAACTATAGAACATGCTATGGTTTGGATATTTGGCCCCTCCAAATCTCATGTTGAAATTTGATCCACAATGTTGGAAGTAGGGACTAAATTGGAGGCATTTGGGTCATGGAGGTATATCCTTCATGAATGTCTTGGTGCTATCCTCATATTAATGACTGAGTTCTTATTCTATGAGTTCCCATGGGAGCTAGTTGTTTAAAATAATCTGGCACTTCCCTTCCTCCCCTCTCTGTTGCTTCCATTCTCTTGCCATGTGATCTCTGTACACGTCCGCTCCCCTTTGCCTTCTGCCGTGAGTCCATGAGTGAAAGCAGCCTATAGCTCTCACCAGAAGTAGATGTTGGTACCATGTTTCTTGTAAAGCCTGCAGAACCATGAGCTAAATAAAACTCCTTTCTTTATAAATCATCCAGCCTAAGGTATTCCTTTATAGCAACACAAATGAACTAAGACAGAACATTCCACTGAATTATGACAAAATGCATACTCTTCTCAAGTGTACATAAAACATTCTCCAGACCATATGCTAAACCATAAAGCATACCTCAATAAATTTAACAGAATTGAAATAATACAAAATATGTTCTCTGACCACAATGGAATGAAATTAGAAATTTATAGCAGGAAAATAATTTGGTAAACTCAGAGATATGTGGAAATTTTACAAAACACTCCTGAATAACCAATAGGACAAAGAAAAAATAAAAAGGGAAGTCAGAAAATAGATTGATGTGAGTGAAAACGAAGATACGACATCCCCAAAGTAAAGGAATGCGAGTAAAGCAGTGCTTAGAGGGAAATTTATAGCTGTAAATACCTATGTTAAAAAAGAAAAAAGATCTTAAATCAATACTCTAACCTTTCACCTTAAGAGACTGGAAACTAAACCCAAAGCAAGCCAAAGGAAGAAAATAATAAAGATTAGAATAGAAATCAATGAAATAGAGAATAAAAAACAATAGATGGACAATAAAAATAATAGAAAAAATTGATAAAACCAAAAGCTGGTTCTTTATAAACATCTACAAAATTGATAAATATTTAATTTTTAGGTTGAAATTTTCAGCTTCTAGGTTGAACAAGAAAAAAAAAGAGGGCTCAAATTACTAGAATCAGGAATAAAAGAGGAGACATTACTACCGACTTTACAGAAGTAAAAGGGATTTTAAAGAAATGCTATGAACAATTGTATGCCAACAAGTTATGTAACAACAAATTAGATAAAACTGACAAATTTCTAGAAAGATACAAACTACCAAAACTGATTACACAAGAAATAAACAATCCGAATATACCTATAAGAAGCAAAGTAATAAAAAACTACCCACTAAGAAAATCTTAGGCCCAGAATACTTCATCACTGAATTCTACCAAGCATTTAAAGGAGAATTAATGCTAATATCTCACATTAAAAAAGGGGTGGGAACACTCTCCAACTCATTATGAAGCCATTATTATCCTTATACAAATACCACAGAAGACATTACAAGAAAACTACAGAGCAATATCTGTTATGAATACAGATATAAAAAATTCTAAACAAAATAATAGCAAACCAAATTCAGCAATATATAAAAAGAATTATACACCATGACCAAGTGATATTTACAGCAGAGATGTAAGGTTGACTTAACATTTTAAAAATAATTAATGTAATACATCACACAATAGATTAAAAACCAAAAATTACATGAACATCTCAAAAATCATTTGAAAAACTCCAACACCTTTTCTTGAGAAAAACACTTACCAAACTAAAAACAAGGAAACTTCTTTAATTAGATAAAGGCATTTATAAAACACCCATATCAAATATCATACTTAATAGTGAAAGGAAAAATGGACCAAAATACTCTCAAAGGAATCAAGAAAAGAGAGAAAAATTAACATAGAACAAATGAGACAAATAGCATCATTGAGATGGTAGCTTTAAATTGAGATATATTAGAAATTTCATTAACTTGTGTGTTGCATGTTTGCTTTGTCATGAACTGTTAATATGTTTCCTAGAGTTCGAATGTGTCCCTCAAAGTTCATGTGTTGGAAACTTACTCCCCAATGTAAAGCATTGAGAGGTGGAGCCTTTAAGAGGTGATTAGGTTATGGAGTGCTCTGCCCTAATACATGAATTAATGGCAATGTTATGAGTAATTATCGTGATTAGTTATCATGAAAGTGGGTTCCTTACAAAAGGATGAGTTTGGTTTGCCCCCTTCTCCCTCTCTCATCCATGTGATGCCTTCTACCACATTATGAAGCAGCAAAAAGGCAATCACAAGATGCTGACCCCTTGATCTTGGACTTCCAAGCCTCCAGAACTATGAGAAATAAATTTCTTTTTAAAATAAATTATCTAGGCCGGGCACAGTGGCTCATGGCTGTAATCCCCAGCACTTTGGGAGGCCGAGATGGGAGGATCACTTGAGGTCAGGAGTTCAAGAACAGCCTGGCCAACATGGTGAAACCCCATCTCTACTAAAAATACAAAAATTAGCCAGGCATCATGGTGTGTGCCTGTAATCCCAGCTACTCAGAAGGCTGAGGCATGAGAATTGCTTGAACCCGGGAGGCAGAGGTTGCAGTGAGCTGAGATCATGCCACTGCACTTCAGCCTGGGTGACAGAGTGAGACTCTGTCTCAAATAAAATAAAATAAAATAAATTATCTAGTCTCTGGTATTCTGTCTTTTTTTTCCTTTTTTTTAAAACAGAGTTTTGGTTTTGTTGCCCAGGCTGGAGTGCAATGGTGCGATCTCGGCTCACTGCAACCTCCATCTCCCAGGTTCAAGGGATTCTCCTGTCTCAGCCTCCCGAGTAGCTGGGATTACAGGCGCATACCACCATGCTTTGCTAATTTTTGTATTTTTAGTAGAGACAGGGTTTCATCATATTATATGGTCCGGCTGGTCTGGAACTCCTGACCTTAGGTGATCTGCCTGCCTCAGCCTCCCAAAATGCTGGGATTACAGGCATGAGCCACTGCGCCCGGCTTTCTGGTATTCTGTTACAGCAGCACAAAATGGACTAAGACAATATTAAATGATCCAATTAAAGTAAAAAGTTTGTTAAAGTGTATTAAAAACCTAACAAACTTTACCTTTTTTTTAAATGACAAAGTGCACATTCAACACACAAGGATACAGGGAGCTTGTGAATAAGAGAACTAAAAAAGATTTACTGTGCAAACACTAACCAAAACCCACCTCTATATATAAAAAGACAAAATAGAGCCTATGACAGAGCTTTACTTCTAAGTAACTCAAGGTTTAAAGAAGAACTGTAATTAAAAATTTACACTTAATTACATAAAAGCTCTCCATATACTGTATATCAAATCTTGTTGGAAGCAGCTAAAGTTGTACTTTAGAGGATTTTTTTTAGCCTTCAAACATAAAAAGAGAGAATAAAGGCTGAAAGAGCGATTATCTATTTGAAGAAATTAGGAAAACAAAATATCCATTTGAAGAAATCAGAGAAAAAGTATATTAAATCTAAAGAAAGTAGAGTGAAAGACACAGGGATGACAAGAACAGAAATTAATGACATAGAAAACAAACATAAATAAAAGGAATTGACCAAACCAAAAGTTGCTTCTTTGCAAAAATTAATGAGATGATATACTTTAGTAACAGTGTTCAAGGACAAAAACAAAGAGTGCACAAATAACACTATCAAGAATGAAAGAGGACTATCACTATCAATCCCACAAATAATAATATGAAAAGTAGAGGACATACTGAACAACTCAACACCACAAAACTGTGAAAGATAGTTAACTGAAAAAATGCTAATTACAGAAACAAACACAGTAGAAATAGTACTAAATAAATTTAATCAGTAAGCAAAATTTTTTTCTACAAAAATTTTTATACAAAGCTACCATGGCTTTCCTAGCAGGATTTATGTATCAGTCCATTTTTGTGTTGCTATAAAGAAATACTCAAGAATGAGTAATTTATAATGAAAAAATATTTAGGTTTGGTGTGGTGGCTCACATCTGTGATCCTAGCACTTTGGGAGACCAAGGCTAGAAGATCCCTTGTGCTCAGGAGTCTGAGACCAGCCTGGGCAACATAGAGAGACCCTGTCTCTAAAAATACATACATATATACAAACATAAATAAGAAAGGAGATCTAATTGGCTCACAGTTCTGCAGCTGTACAGGAAGCTTGGTGCTGGCATCTGCTTCTGGTGAGGGCCTCAAGATGCATACAATCATGGTGGAAGGCAAATGAGGAGCTGGTGTATTTCATGGTGCATCCCCCCAGAAAAGGCTTGAGAGGCCCCCAGAATCCCTAGCTGGGTGACTAGTGAAGATCATTCCTTGTATAAAGCCAGGCCACAAAGACTGAAGAGTTGCCTGTTTTTCAAAAGCACAAATCCCAGTAAAAAATAATAAGGCATGTGAAGAAATAGGGAAAAATGGCCCAATCAAAGGAACAAAATAAATATCCAGGAACTGACCTTAAACAAAGAGATCAATTAATGACCTGAAAAAGAATTCAAAATAATTGTCTTAAAGAACTTCAATGTGATACAAGAGTACACAGATAGACAACTAAAAACAAATCCAGAAAACAATGCATTAACAAAGTGACAATATGATCAAAGAGACAAAAACTAAGGAAGAAAAAACAAATAGAAATTCCAGAGCCGAAGATTGCAATAACTGAATTATAAAATTCGCTAGAAGGGTTCAATAGACAACTTGATCAAGCAGAACAAAGAATCAGTGAAGTTGAAGACAGATAATTTGAAATGATCAAGTCACAGGAACAAAAAGAATAAAGGATTAGTAAAAGTGAAGAAAGCATAAGGGACTTATGAAAAATCATCAAGCCTATCAATATACATGTTATAGGAGTTAAAAAGAAGAAAGAGAGCAAAGGGCAGAGAGCTTATTTGAAGAAATAATGGCCCAAACTTCCAAATCTAAGGAAGAAAATGGACATCCAAATTCTAGAAGCTCGAAGGATGCTGACAAAGAAGAACCCAAAGATGCCCACACTGAGACATATTGTAATCAAACTATCAAGGACAGTTTGATGTATCAGAAGTCAAGGATAAAGAGAGAGTCTTGAAAATAGCAAGAGAAAAGCCACTTGTATGTACAAGGGAGCTACTGTAAGATTATCAGCTGATTTCTCAGAAGAAACATTATAGGCTGGAAAGGAGTGAGATGTTATATTCAAAGTGCTGGAAGAAAAAAACCTTTTGTCAACCAAGAATATTATAACCAACAAAACTGTTCTTCAAAAATGAAGGAGAAGGCAGCCAAGTGGTCTCCCAAGACCATAACCCAGCCGCCACTAGTGTCGTCGCCACCCATAAAAGAGCCGAGCTGAGTGGGGGTGCTGCCCAGAATCCTGTGGGCAAAAGACTACAGCAGGAGCTGATGACCCTCATGATATCTGGTGACAAAGGGATTTCTGCTTTCCTTGAATCAGACAACCTTTTCAAATGGGTAGGGACCATCCATGGAGCAGCTGGCACAGTGTATGAAGACCTGAGGTATAAGCTCTTGCTAGAGTTCCCCAGTGGCTACCCTTACAATGAGCCCACAGTGAAGTTCCTCACACCCTGCTACCACCCCAACATAGACACCCAGGGTAACATATGCCTGGATATCTGGAAAGACAAGTCGTCTGTACTGTATGGCATCAGGACCATTCTGGTCTCCATCCAGAGCCTGCTAGGAGAACCCAACATTGATAGCCCTTTGAACATGCATGCTGTTGAGTTCTGGAAAAACCCTACAGCTTTTACCTTCAAGAAACCTATTCAAAGCAGGTTACCAGCCAGGACCCCTGACCCAGGCTGCCCAGACTGTCCTTTTTTTTTCTTTCTTTTTTTTTTTTTTTGAGATGGAGTCTTGCTCTGTTGCCCAGGCTGGAGTGCAGTGGTGAGATCTCAGCTCACTGCAACCTCCACCTCCCAGGTTCAAACGATTCTCGTGCCTCAGCCTCCCGAGTAGCTGGGATTACAAGCACCTGCCACCATGCCCGGCTAATTTTGATATTTTTAGTAGAGACAAGGTTTCACCATGTTGGTCAGGCTGGTCACAAACTCCTGACCTCAGGTGATCTGCCCGCCTTGGCCTCCCAAAGTGTTGGGATTACAGGCATGAGCCACCATGCCTGGCTTCCCTGCCTATCTTTGTGTTGCCTTTTTAAGTTTTCCTTTGATGGTCTGTCCTGTCTGTGATTTCTGTATAGGACTCTGTATCTTCAGCTGTGGTATTATTTTTGTTTTGTTTTTGTCTTTTAAATTAAGCCTCGGTTGAGCCATTGTGATGTATATTAAATAAATACATTTTGGTTATTAAAAAAAAATGAAGGTGAAATAAAGACCTTCCCAGAAAAATAAAAGCTGAAGGTGTTTATCCACACTAAATCTACCTTACAAAAAAATGCTAAAGGGAGTTCTTCAAGTTGAAACAAAAGGACACTTGACAGCAACACAACGGCGTAAAAAATATAAAGCACTCAGTAAAGGGAGGTATATGGAAAAGTACAGAATTGTATAATATTCTAATGGTGGTACATAAATCACATTTAATCCTGGTATAAAATTTGAAAAAGTATAAATAGAACTATAATTATCAAACTTTGTTAATGAACATAAAATATAAAAATATGCAATTTGTGAAATAAATAACATAAAGTAGGGGAGATGTAAAATTTTTTATGTAATTGATATTAAGTTTTTGTCAGCTTAAAATAAATGGCTATAATGATAAGGTATTATACTTAATCCCCATGGTAATCACAAAGGAAATATCTGTAGAAGATATACAGAAGAAAATGAGAAAGGAATCAAACTTGTCACTAAAAAAAAATTAACAAAACCTAATGAAAGGCAGCAAGAAAGGAAAAGGGACAAAATAACTGCAAAGTATACAAAAAACAATCAACAAAATGGCAAAGTAAGTCCTTTCCTGTCAGTAATTTTTATATGTGTAAATAAAAAGAAATAGAGGGCTGGCCGAGCGCGGTGGCTCACACATGTATTGCCAGCATTTTGGGAGGCCAGGACGGGCAGATCACCTGAGGTCAGGAGTTCGAGACCAGCCTGGCCAACATGATGAAACCCCATCTCTACCAAAAATATAAAAAATTAGCAGGGCATGGTGGCGTGCACCTGTAATCCCAGCTACTCAGGAGGCTGAGGCAGGAGAATAGCTTGAACCTGGGAGGCGGAGGTTGCAGTGAGCTGAGACCATGCCACTGCACTCCAATCTGGGTGACAGAGCAAGACTCCATCTCAAAAACAAACAAACAAACAAACAAAAAAAAAGAAAAAAGAAATAGAGTGGTTCAATAGATTTTTCAGAACCTCAAGACCCACTCACCTTAGATACAAAGATACATATAGGCTGTGTATTAGTCCATTCTCACAGTGTTATGAAGAAATACCCAAGACTGGGTAATTTATAAAGGAAAGAGGTTTAATTGACTCATAGTTCTTCATAGCTGGAGAGACCTCGGGAAACTTACAATCACGGTGAAAGGCAAAGGAGAAGCAGGCACCTTCTTTTCAGGGTAGCAGGACAGAGTGAATGCAAGCAGGGGAAACGGTAGATGCTTATAAAACCATCAGATCTCCTAAGACTCACTCATTACCATGAGAATATGGGGGAAACCATCCCCATGATCAAATTACCTCCACCTGGTCCTGCCCTTGACATGTGGGGATTATTACAATTCAAGGTGAGATCTGGATGGGGACACAGAGCCAAACCATATCAGGCTGCAAGTGAAAGAATGGAAAAAGGTATTACATGCAAATTGCAACCAAAAGAGAGCAGTGCTGGCCAATTTATATCAGACAAAATAGACTCTAAGACAAAAACTGTCACAAGAGACAAAAATGAACATATAACAATAAAAGAATCAATTTTCAGCTGGGCGCAGTGGCTCAGGCCTATAATCTCAGCATTTTGGGAGGCTGAGGTGGGCTGATCACCTGTGGACAGGAGTTTGAGACCAGCCTGGCCAACATGGCAAAACCCTGTCTCTACAAAAATACAAAAAAAATTAGCTGGGCTTGGTGGTGGACACCTGTAGTCCCAGCTACTCAGGGGGCTGAGGCAGGAGAATCACTTGAACCTGGGAGACAGAGGTTGCAGTGAGCTGAGATCACGCCACTGCACTCCAGCCTGGGTGAGAGTGAGACTCCTTCTCAAATAAAAAAAAGCAAGAATCAATTTTCCAGTCATATAACAATTACATATATATACGTATATATACGTATACGTATACGTATATATACGTATATATACGTATACGTATACGTATATATACGTATATATATGTATATATATACATATATACGTATATATATATATCTGTAGCTCACTCAAATATATGAAGCAAATGTTGAAAGAATTGAAGGGACAAATAGGCAGTAACACAGTAATAGAAGGAGATTTTAATACCTTGCTTTCAATAATGCATAGAATAACCAGACAGAAGATTAATAAAGAAACAGATAACTTGGGCCGGGTGCTGTGGCTCACGTCTGTAATCCCAGCGCTTTGGGAGGCTGAGGTGGGTGGATCACGTGAGGTCAGGAGTTCGAGACCAGGCTGGCCAATATGGTGAAACCCCGTCTCTACTAAAAATACAAAAATTAGCCGGGTGTGGTGGTGGGTGCCTGTAATCCCAGCTACTCAGGAGGCTGAGGCAGGAGAATGGCTTGAACCCAGGAAGCGGAGGTTGCAGTGAGCCAAGATTGTGCCATTGCACTCCAGCCTGGGTGACAAGAGTGAGATTCCATCTCAAAAAAAAGGAACTTGAACAACATTATAGACCAGTTGGACCTACAGACATATACAGAATACTCTAAGAACTACAGAATAAATGTTCTCTCAAACTCACATGGAACATTCTTCAGGATAGATCACATGTTAGGCCACAAAACAAATCTTAAATTTAAGAAAATTGAAATCATACCAACTGTCTTTTCTGATTTTGTTGGAATAAAACTAGAAATCAATAGCAAAAGGAAAACGGGTAGATCACAAATATGGGGAAATTAAACAATACACTCTTGAACAACTAATAGATCAATGAAGAAATCACGAGAGAAATTGGGAAGTGTTTTGAGACAAATGCCAACAAATTTGATAGCCTAGAAGAAATAGAGAAATCTCTAGAAACATACAACCTACCAATATTGAATCGTGAAGAAATAAAAAATCTGAACAGATTTAAAGCTAGTAGAGAGATTAAATCACTAACCAAAAACTTTCCCACCTAGAAAAGCCCAGGACCAGGTGGCTTCACTGGAGAATTCTACCAAACACTTAAAAAAGAATTAATATAAATTATTTGCAAACTTTTTAAAAAATTGAAGAAAAAGGAATTTGATGAGACCAACATTACTCTGATTCCAAAATTAGACAAAGATACTACAGGTAAAGAAAACTACAAACTTCCCTGATTAATATTGATGCAAAAATCCTCAACAAAATACTAGCAAACCAAATTCGATGACACATTAAAAGGTTTATACACCATGACCAAGTGGGATTTATTCCTGGAATACAAGGATGGTTTAACATATGAAAATCAACAATGTAATATCACATTAAAAGAATGGAGGACACTATGTTCCAACTGTTCTATATATATGTAAGTAAAAAAAGAAAAAAGAATGAAGGACAAAAACCACATGATCATTTCAATTGATGCAGAAAAAGCCTTAGAAAAAAATTCTACACCCTTTCATGATAAAAACACCTGACAAACTATCAATAGAAAGATATTATCTGACCATATTAAAGTGTATACAAAAAGCCCACAGCCAACATCAAACTCAGTGGTGAAAAACTGAAAGCTTTATCTCTAAGGTTAGGGACAAGGCAAAGATGCCCATTCTTGCCACTTCTATTCAACATAGTAATGGAAGTTCAGCTAGAGGAATTAGACAAGAAGAAAGAAACTAAAGGCATCTAAATCTGAATAGAAGAAGTAAAAATACTTCTGTTTATAATATTATATGTAGAAAATTCTAGAGATTTCACACACACACACACACACACACACACACACACACACAAAGCTCTTAGAACTAAAGAACAAATTTAGCAAAGTTGCAGGGTACAAAAATCAACACATGAAATTAGTTTTATTTCTATATCTAACAATGAACAATTTAAAAAGAAAATTAGGAAAACATCCCATTTACAAGAGCATTGAAAAAAATAATATACTCAGGAATAAGCTTAATCAAGGAGGTGAAAGACTTATATACTGAAAACTACAAAACATTGCTGAAAGAAATTAAAGAAGATATAAATGCATGTAAAGATATTTCACATTTATAGATTAGAAGACTCAATGCTGTTAAATGTTCATACTACCCAAAGAAATTTGCAGATCCACTGCAATACTTATCAAAATCCAATGACATCTTTGAAGAAATAGAAAAAATTTTCTAAAATGTATATGGAATCCTAAAGAATCCTAAGGAATAGCCCAAATAATTCTGTAAAAGAAAACAAAACTGAAAATCTCACACTTCCCAATTCAAAATACTACTCTGACAGTGATCAGAATAGTATGATACTGGCATAAAGACCTATAGACCAATAGAATATAAGAGAGATCCCAGAAATAAATTTTCACATATGTGGTCAAATGATGTTTGAGGAAGGCAAGACCATAACCAAAGCCTGCTTTCTGGAATAGTACCAATGCCAGTGTGGAAGATCTGTGGGCCTTATTGATGAATATAAAGATTTCAGTGGCTGGGTGCAGTGGCTCACACCTGTAATCCTAGGAGTTTGGGAGGCTGAGGCGGGCAGATCACCTGAGGTCAGAAGTTTGAGAGCAGCCTGGCCAACATGGTAAAACCCCGTCTCTACTAAAAACACAAAAATTAGTCGGGCGTGTTAGCACATGCCTGTAATCCCAGCTACTTGGGAGGCTGAGGCAGGAGAATTGCTTGAATCCAGGAGGCGGAGGTTGCAGTGAGCTGAGATCGCGCCACTGCACTCCAGCCTGGCCAACAAGAGTGAAACTCCGTCTCAAAAAGAAAAAAAATCTAAATGCCTTTAACAGCACCCAAGTCACCTCTTGAATGCTTTCCTGCTTAGAAATTTCTTCCACAAGATACCCTAAATTATTTTTCTCAAGTTCAAAGTTCCACAAATCTCTAGGGGCAGGAGCAAAATGCCTCCAGTCTCTTTGCTAAAACATAACAAGAGTCACCTTTACTCCAGTTCCCAAGTTCCTCATCTCCATCTGAAACCACCTCAGCCTGGACTTTATTGTGCATATCATTATCAGCACTTTGGGCAAAGCCATTCAACAAGTCTGTGGGAAGTTCCACACTCTCCCACATTTTTCTATCTTTTTCTGAGCCCTTCAAACTGTTCCAACCACTGCCTGTTACCTAGTTCCAAAGGAAAAGTGTAAAATAATGAAATTTGATTCTTATATCATTTATAAAAATTAACTTAAAAAAGATAATAGACCTGAATATAAGACCTGAAACTTTAAAACTCCTAGAAGAAAACACAGAGGGAAAGCCTCCTGACATTGGACTTGGCAATACTTTCCTGGATATGATACAAAAAACACAGGTAATAAAAGCAAAAATAGACAAATGGGACTATATCAAACTTAAACCCTGTGCATCAAATAAAACAATCAAGAAAGTAAAACGCAACCTACAGAATGGAAGAAATATTTGCAAACCATTTGATTGTTAAGGACTTAATATCTAGAATATATAAAGAACATTTACAGCTCAACAACAATAAAAACGCATAACCTGATTAAAAAATGGACAAATGACTTGAGCAGACATTTCTCCAAATAAAATATATGTGATGGTTAATTTTATGTGTCACCTTGACTAGAGTAAGGATTGTCTAGAGAACTAATAAAGCAATATTTGTAGGTGTGTTTGTGAGGGTGTTTCCAGAGGAGATTGGTGTGCAAGTCAGTGGACCATATAGGGAAGATCCACCCTCACTGTGGGCAGGCACCCCAGGCAGCTGGGGTCTGGAAAGAACAAAAAAGGCAGTAAAGAGGCAAGTATCTCTTTTTCTCTCCTAGAGCTGGGGCACCCTTCTTCTCTTGCTCTTGGACATCAGAACTCCAGTCTCTCCAGCCTTTGGAGTCCAGGACTTATGCTAGTGGTCCCCTGGGTTCTCAGGCCTTCAGCCTCGAACTGAGATTTACATCATCAGCTTCCTAAATTCTGAGGCTTTTGGACTTGGACTGAGCAACCCTATTGGCTTTCAGGAGTCTCCAGCTTGCAGACAGCCTATTGTGGGACTTCTCACTCTCCATAATCATGTAAGCGAGTTCCCCTAATAAATCCCCCATCTATCTATTATCCATCCATCTCTCACTGGTTTTACCTCTCTAAGTATATGAAAAGATGCACAGCATCACTAGTCATCAGAAAAATGCAAATGAAAACCACAGTGAAATACTGCTTCACACCCCTTAGGAGGACCACTGTAAAAAAACAAAAAACAAAAAACAAAACAAAAAACAGAAAATAACAAGTGTTGGCAAGAATGTAGAAAAATTGGAACCAGTACGGCGATTCCTCGAGAAATTAAAAATAGAAGTATCATATGATCCAGCAACCTGACTTCTGAGTATAGATTCAAAATTGAAAACAGGCTTTCAAAGTGATGTTTGCACACCCATGCTTATTGCAGCAAAATTCACAATAGCCAAGATGTGGAAACAACTTAAATGTCTATGGACAGATGAATGGATAAGCAAGTGTGGTATACACATACAATGGTGTATGAGTCATTTCTCACACTGTTATAAAGAAATACCCAAGATTGGGTAATTTATAAAGAAGAAAAGTTTAATTGCCTCACAGTTCTGCAGGCTGTGCAGGAAACATGGTGGCTTCTGCTTCCAAGGGGGCCTCAAGGAAACTTACAATCATGGTGGAAGGCAAATTGGGAGCAGGTATGTCTTACAGGGCCCAGGCAGGAGCAAGAGAGAGAGGGGAAGTGCTACACTTTTAAACAACCAGATCTTCCAAGTACTCACTCACTATCATGAGACCAACACCAAGGAAGAAATCTGTCCCCATGATCCAATCACCTCCTACCAGGCACTGCCTCCAATACTGGGAATTAGAATTCAACGTGAAATTTGGGTGGGGACACAGACCCAAACCATATCAAATGGAATATTATCCATTCTTTTAAAAAAAGACATGTTGTCTTATACTACAACATCCATGAACCTTGAAGACATTATGCTAAGCAAAATAAGCTAGTCACAAAAAGGCAAGTCTTGCATGATTCTACTTATATAGGGGTATCTAAAGTAGTTAAACTCTTAGAAAGTAGAATGGTGGTTGCCAGGACCTGGGAAGAGAGAGGAAAAGGATCATTGTTGTTCAGTGGGTATAGAGCTGCAGTTTGCAAGATTTTTCTTACCACAATTAAGAAAAATCATGTCTCTCGCACAACATGTGTAGGGATAAAAGTACAAAATATTTTGTAATGTTAAGAAACTTCAATATTAGGAGGAATTAACCATGTTTATGGATTGCAAGGCTCAGTATCCTAAAGGTCAATTTATCATAAATTCATCTTTAGATTTAATGTAACCTCAGTCAAAATTTCAACAGGTTTTTTGGTAGAACTTCAGAAGCTTATTCTAAATTTTATATAGAAATGCCAAGGACCGGCCGCGGGCGGTGGCTCACGCCTGTCATCCCAGCACTTTGGGAGTCCGAGGTGGGCAGATCACAAGGTCAGGAGATCAAGACCATCCTGGCTAACACGGTGAAACCCCGTCTCTACTAAAAAATACAGAAAAATTAGCCAGGCGTGGTGGCGGGCGCCTGTAGTCCCAGCTACTCGGGAGGCTGAGGCAGGAGAATGGCATGAACCCAGGAGGCTTGCAGTGAGCCGAGATCGCGCCACTGCAGTCTGGCCTGGGCGAAAGAGTGAGACTCTATCTCAAAAAAAAAAAAAAAAAAAAAAAGAAAAAGAAAAAGAAAAAGAAATGCCACAGACCAAATATAACCAGGACATTCTTGAAGATATAGTGGAAGAAAGTAGCAAGATTTGCTCTACCAGAGTTCAAATTTACCATAAAACTAATTTACTATGAAACTATCATTATTCAGACAATGTGTAGTTGGCAAGATGATCTACATAATTTGCAGGACTCATACAAAATGAAAATGCAAGGCTCCTTGCTCACAAACTATTAAGAATTTTGGGACAGCACCCCTAACGCATTAAGTCAAGTACAGGAGTCTTCTAAGGATGGGGCGCTGTACAGTGCTGCATTCTGTATGTTCATTTAATTGATGACAAAAAGTGACAGTGCAGAGCAGCAGGGAAAGGACAGCGTTTTCAGTGCAGCGTTTTCAGGTGGAAAAAAATGATAGACTTAAAACCATGAGAAGTCCCTAAAAAGGAAGGGAATTCTGACACTTGGTACTACACAGATGAACGTTGAAGACACTATGCTAATGAAATAAGCCAGATACAAAAGGGCAAATAATGCCCGATTCCGCTTACATATGATACCAAGAATGGTGAGATTCATAGAGATGGAAAGCAGAATAGCAGATGCCAGGGGCTGGAAGAGGGGGGAATAGTGAGTTATTATTTAATAGGTACAGAATTTGTCTTTGGGAAACTGAAAGTGTTGTGGAGATGGATAGTGGTAAAGGCTGCACAATAATATGAGTGAACTTAAAGCCACTGACTTGTACACTTAAAAATAGTTAAAATGGTAAATGTTATGTATATTTTACCAGAATTAAATAAAGATGAAAAGCAAAACAATGTATCTGTAGAAGAAAATACAGGAGACTAACTTTATGATCTTAGCACAGAGAAAGATTCTTTTATTTATTTATTTATTTATTTATTTATTTATTTATTTATTTATTTTGAGATGGAGACTCACTCTGTCATCCAGGCTGGAGTGCAGTGGCGCAATCTCGGCTCACTGCAAGCTCCGCCTCCCAGGTTCACACCATTCTCCGGCCTCAGCCTCCCGAGTAGCTGGGACTGCAGGCACCCGCCACTATGCCTGGTTAATTTTTTGTTATTTTTAGTAGTGACAGGGTTTCATCATGTTAGCCAGGATGGTCTCGATCTCCTGACCTTGTGACCGCCCGCCTTGGCCTCCCAAACTGCTGGGATTACAGATATGAGCCACCGTGCCTGGCCTGATTCTTTTATTTTAAATTAAAGATCATGCTCTGTTGCCTTGGTTGGAAGGGGAAGATTGTTAAACAAGGTCCAAACAGCACTAATGATAAAGGAGACATTTGATAATTTTGATTCATTAGAATTAAGAAACTTTTCTTCATCAAAGGACACTATTAAGAGAGTGAAAAGCTAAGTCACAAAGTGAAAGAAGATATTTGCAGTACATACACCCAGCAAAGAGGTCATATCTAGATATATAAAGTACACCTAAAAATCAATAAGAGAGAGAACAATGAGTAAAAGGGGAAAAAATGGGTGTCTTAGTCTGTGTCATGCTGCTATCACAGTACACCAAGGATTGGGTAATTTATAAAGAACAGAAATTAATTTTCCTACAGTTCTGGAGGCTGGTAAGTCAAGATTAAAGGGCCGGCATCTGGCAAGGGTCTTCTTGCTGCATCACGACATGTTGGAAGGCATCACATGGTGGAAGGGCAAAGAGAGGGTGAGGGAGAGAGTAAAATACCCTTGAAAACAAACCCACTTCCATGATAATGGCACAAATTCATTCACTCTGCCCTCGTGGCCTAACCACCTCTCCTTAAGGCCCCACCTCTCAACACTGTTGCTTTGGGGATTAAATTTCCAACATATACTTTCTAGGGGACACATTCAAAGGTTAGCAATGGACAAAATGTTTCAACAAGTTGAAAGAGAAGATATCTAAATGGCCAATAAACATGTAAATGTTCCTTAATCATGTAAATTCAAATCACAATGAGATCATTCCATATTCTGAAAGTCTGACAGTGCCAAGTATTGGTGAGACCTTGAAGTCATAGGCACTCAGAACACTGCTGGTGGTAGAATCTCCATTCTTTGGAGGAGGATGTAACAGTATCCACTAAAGCTGAAGACAAGTACACTCATGAGCCTCCAATTCATCATAGCCCCTGCTACGGACTGAGTATATATGCACCACCCCAATTCATACGTTGAAATTCTAACCCCCAAGGTGATGGTATTTGGAGATGGGGCATGCAGCAGATGATTAGGTCATACGGGTGGACCTCTCAGGTGGAGTTAGTGACCTTAAAAAAAGAGACACAAAAGAGCTTGCTGCCTCTTTCTCTCACTCCACCATGTGTGGACACAATGAGAAGATGGCAGTCTACAACCTGGAAGCGAGCCCTCACCGAGAACCCAACTATCCTGGCACCTTGATCTCAGACTTACAGCCTCCAGAACTGTGAAAAATAAGTGCTTGTTGTTTAAGCCATCCAGTGTGTGGTATTATTATTTTTTATTATCTCAGCCCACACTGACTAAGACAGCTCTCAAATGGAAACAACAGAAATGTCCACCAACAGTAGGATGGACTAAAAAATGTATATTCATATAATGGATTTTATGCTGCAGCAAAAATGAATTGCAAATGCCTACAGCAACATGGTTAAATTTTTTTTTTTAGACAGAGTCTCCCTCTGTCGCCCAGGATGGAGTGCAGTGGCGTGCTCTCGGCTCACTGCAACCTCCGCCTCCCAGGTTCAAGCGATTCTCCTGCATCAGCTTCCTGAGTAGCTGGGACTACAGGCACCCGTCATCATGTCCGGCTAATTTTTTGTATTTTTAGTAGAGATGGGTTTTCACCGTGTTAGCCAGGATGGTCGCTATCTCCTGACCTTGTGATCCTCCCGCCTCGGCCTCCCAAAGTGCTGGGATTACAGGCGTGAGCCACCGCGCCCAGCCTGGCCAAATCTTAAAAGCATAATCTTGAGAGAAAGAAGCCAGATCTCAAACCATGCAAACACTGCACGATTCAATTTCTATACCCTGCGAAGACTTGCGGATGCGACCTTATCATTTAGGGACGCTTGCTTATGTGGTCAACTCTAAAGCAACGGAAGGAAGGAAGTGTTGACTGGGAATGCCAGGTGGCAGAGATCTGGGGAAGGGCACGGGGATGGAGGAGGTGGGATACAGATGGATGCAAGTGGTGGCTACACAGGTGTTTGCTTTACAACAACTTGCTAAGTTGAACATTTGCATTTTAAACATTTTTCTGGATGTATGTTATATTTCACAATAAGGAGGAAGACTAGAGAGAAAGGAGGAGAGAAATCAGAGCACTTACAAAACCTTTCAGGTCGTTTTGCTGAAAAAGGAAGGTTGCTGGAAGGGGAAGTGAAGTTGAGAATTTTTTTTCCTGGAGCTCTTGCACTGGAAAGGGGGCTCCTTCCTGACCGCCTCTCTCTGCTCCCTGTTTTCCTATCTAGACATGGCCTCTGCCCTCCGTAGAAGGTTCCATACCAGCCAACCGGGCCACACCTTCTCCTATACCTGGTCATTTTCTTTCTCTGTCTCCTTCCCTCCCTCCCTCCCTCCCTTTTCTTGATTCCTCCCTTTTCTTGCTTTCTTTCTTGTTCTCTCTTTCTTTCCTTTTTTTTTTTTTTTAAATAAGGTCTTACTCCGTTGCCCAGGCTGGAGTGCAGTGGTGTGATCACCGCTCACTGGAGCCTCAGTCTCCTGGGCTCAAGATATCCCCCTGCCTCAGCTTCCTGAGTAGCTGGGACTATAGGCATGCACCACCACACCCAGCTAACTTTTAATTTTTTTTGTAGAGATGGGGCCTTGCTTTGTTGCCCAGGCTAGTCTTGAACTCCTGGACTCAAGCGATCCTCTTGCCTTAACTTCCCAAAGTGCTGGCATTACAGGCATGAGCCACTGCACCTGGCCTGGTCATTTCCATTTGAAGCTGGATATTGTGAATTTTACCATGCTGGATGCTGGATATTTTTGTATTATTATAAATAATCTTAGGCTGGGTGCGGTAGCTCATGCCTGTAATCCCAACACTTTGGGAGGCCGAGGCAGGCGGATAACTTGAGGCCAGGAGTTCAAGACCAGCCTGGCCAACATGGTGAAACCCCATCTCTACTAAAAATACAAAAATTAGCTGGAATGGTGGCACATGCCTGATTCCAGCGCCCACTGCACTCCAGCCTGGGCGACAGAGCGAGACTCTGCCTCAAAACAAAGCAGAAAAATAAACACATAAATAATCTTGAGCTTTTTTTCTGAGATACAATGAAGCTACTGAGAAACTGTTTGATCTTGTTGGGTCTTGCTTTTATGATTTGTTAGGTGGGCGTGGAGCAGTGCTTAGTCCAGGGCTGAGTTTAGGCTACCCACTGAGTACTGTGCCCAATGGCCAGTGAATCAGGAGTTATGCGTTCTGGCTGGTGGGAGCCCCCTGGGAGCTCCAGCTGCTGTTCTTTACTTCCATGCGGTGGCTTTTCCCTGGCCCCAGGCAGTTTCTCCACACACATGAGGTGAATAACCGAGGAGTCCCTTTGCAGATGTCCAGGGCTGTGTTTTGCCAGCTCTCTCTGTTTAGGTCCTCTGTCCTAAAAACCCTAGCCACCTTGGTCTCCCTGGGCTGTCAGCTGTGTTCCCTTCTCTCAGGGAGTCCACTCTCTTCCACCAGGGTCCCCCCCTTCCCCAGTCCCTGTGTGCTCTGCACCCTGTACATGCGATCAGGGCAGTGAGCCAGGACTGCTGAAGGACTCACCTGTTTCCCACCTCCCGTTCTACTGAAGGCTATGGGCTAGGATGCCCGTCCAGCCTGTGGGCTCAGACTATGGCACCTTTGTGGGCCCCAGGGAATGTCATCTCAAAGATACCTCTGCCCTGAGAGCCCAGCCCTGTGAGGTCTCCCTGAGCCCTTGGTCTGGAAGCAGTGGTGCCCCTGTGTGGGCTGACACTGACTGGCCACTCAGGCTCCATGCAAGGGACATCAGTCCCACGCCAGTCCCTGGCAGCCGAGGCCACAGCTGCCCCACAGCCGCTCTTGCCCCTCCTGCAAAAGGTGTGGTTTGCCTAGCTCAGGGTCTTATCTGCCCTCGCCATGTGAAGAATCTTCTGGCCCCAGACCACCAGGAGACACCACCCCTCACATTTCTTTTTTGAGCACCTGCCAGATGTAGGAAATCTTTTTAGAACTAAGAGAAGATGGAGAGAGAACAGCCAAGTCCTACCCCAGAGAGATTCCCACCTAGTGGAGGGTAAGAGGCCTGCCATCATTGCCACTGGTGGTACAATGCTGGTGCCAAGACTGTGTGCCAGGCTCGTTGCTTCGCGTCCGTTACTTCATCTCAGCAGACAACTCTCAATATCCCCATTCTACGGATGGGGAAATGAGGCTCAGAGAGGTAAGTGACTTGCTCAGGTTCACACAGCTGCACACAGCTGGACATACAGCTGCCCACACAGTAAAATGCAGGATCAGTGGCAGCAGGAGAGAGACTTGCCAGTTGGAGAGCCAGGAAGGTGCACAGAGGAGGTGGCATTGAGCTGGCTCTGGGGATGGGCAGGCCTTTTATAGAGGACTGGGAAGAAGGGCCGGGAACCAACAGTACCCCCCAAGGGAGGTTCGAATCAGGTGCTTGCCCCCAGTTGAGCCAGAGTTGGGGTGTGGAAAGGCTTGGAAAGCAGGAGAGGCTGTGGATGGAGGTGGGAGAGGCTTGGAACTGGGTCTTTGCTATCTCAGGGGCGTGGAAGGGACTTTTGAGTTTGAGAATGACGTGTCTGGAGCTCCCTGGTTCCACAGGGCTGGACCTGCTAGGGCCTGAAGCGGGTTAAGAGCAGAAATCAAAAACAGGTTTGTTTGTGAGTCAGTAGCTGGGAAAATACTGGGAAGCAGGCTTCTTGGAGCTCCCCTTCATCCTCAGCCCTGTGGATTGGGCAGCAGCCCACGCCTCCCTGCCCCAGCCACAGCCCCCCGTCAATGCCGGCGCGCAGCAGCTTTTGCTCATCCTGCCCTGGTTCCAACCCCAAGGCCATGGGGCAGCCCACTGGGCGCCTTCCTGCATGGGTGTCCCCCTTTGCTGCTGTGTCTAGACTGCAGACACAAGTGCTGGCGGGGGCCGGGGGACTGGCCAAAACTAGGGCTGAAATCATGTTCAAAACCACAGTCAAGGCGGACTTGTCAGAAATATTCCTTTCCTTGAGCCGTCGCAGCT
The DNA here is from genome assembly GCF_000001405.40 of Homo sapiens. Lineage (NCBI taxonomy): Eukaryota > Metazoa > Chordata > Mammalia > Primates > Hominidae > Homo > Homo sapiens. The sequence continues at coordinate 3,608,427 of NW_011332701.1, forward strand.
CAGCCTCCTTGAATCACCCTGGCCACTTCCTTCCTGTGTATATCTTATGCACGCTAAGGGACGGGGCGGGTGCAACGTGTGTGTTTTTACTTCTTTTAAGTTTTGTCTATGTTTTGTCCTTTCAATGTGTTGTAGGCTGTGGGGGCGGGGCTGTTCCGAGGGGCCTTTGTCACAGTAAGGGACACTGGGGACAGCTCGGGCTTTCTCTTCAAGCTGAAAACCTTTGGTTGTGAGAATGACTAGGAGAAGGGTCTCGCTAGGGTCATGCTTAGGACCCTTCGCAGGTGGTGTGTTTAATCTCAAAACGGCCTCAAGAGGCTCTCGATCTTTTACAGGTGACAAAGAAGACAAGGAAGACAAGGAAGGTGATCCGGGAGGCTGGAGAGCTTGTCAAGGTCACAGACCCACGGTTTTCCGCCCCCTAGGGTCCAAGCTCTTTCCTGGACATCTGCAGGCAATGTCGACACGCCCTCCAGTGTCTGTGGCGGGCAAAGGATGTGTCTCCACCCCCAGACCTTCCGATCCTGTGCTGAAAGTGTCCCTCAGCCTGTTTCCTGAGAAGCCCAGGGGCTTTTGGCTTGTTACTTTTTCTTTCTCTTGAAGTAAACAGAATAAAAGAGAGTTGCTCAGACGTCTTTGGCTGTGACCCACAGGAGATGATGCAATCTCCACGGCACCCCCACATGCATGTGTATGCACAGGCGTGTACAGATATCTAAAACTGGCACCAATTTCACAAAAACACTCACCCTTATGCGAGACACATTCACCCTACACTCATCCCCCATCTCTACAGAAAATTAAAGTATACATTCATAGTTGCTGTATTCATGCATGTACAGATGTATGTACATTTATTCATGTATGTGTATAACTTATGCCATTTTCATGAAACACTCACCCTACGTGTGATACACTCCTATTTTCTAGGAATCGCCGCCCACTGAGCTTATGTCCAAACCTTAGTGGATCATAGTCTAAGTTTGGCAAACACTGAGCCGGGAGGAGTCATGTCTGCAGGGCCCCAGGAGTCCCTTAATTTGGGTCCTGATCACTCTGCTCCACCCAGTGGAGCAGGCACATGCACTTGGCCCATAAGGAAGGAAAGGAGGGCGGGGGAAAAAGGGAGGGAGGGAGGGAGGGAGGGAAGGAGGGAGCACCTCCACCATCGTAGGCAGGACCTGTGAGAGCTGAACAGGGCCAGGCAGCTAGGCACCACTCTGGGACTCTGGGGTTTCTTAGGGGATGACTTGTTTCTGGGGTCCCAGTAAGAGGAACTCAGGGTGACGCCTCCGAGGATGTGAGTGCATGTGGCAGCCGGGCCCCTCAGCCCCTCTGTGTCCTGGTATCCTCTAAATGCAGATGATGGTGAGAATCCATGCCCAGCCCGTGGCTCGGCCCATCTCTGGGAGAGCGTGTTTACCACAGCACTTGGTGTGGTAGGAGGTGAGCAGGGTGGAAGTGCTTTGCATTCACGTGGGACTTCTGGCTCTCAGTTCATCCCACCCCCAGGGCCCGGCATGAGTGAGGCAAGGGTGGGTGGGAGGGTGCAGGATGTGGGAATGCCATGTGCTGTGCACTGCTCACTTCACCCCTCGCTCGCCCCAGTTGGGGTCCCAGACCAGGAAGCTCCATTCACAGAGGTGTGGCCTGGGGCTACTGCACTGCCCAGCAGGTTGTGGGGTCCCTTTACTCTATGCTGTGTGACAATGTTACCTTCCTGGAAAGAACCCGACCAGCCCCCTTTTGCTAGTCATTACCACAGATAGGAGAGAGAACTAAATATCTAGCCAGCCATCCTCTCGGAGCTCCGGAGCTCAGGTCACCAGGCTTCAGGGACTCGCTGCCATCCTCACAGGCTTAGATCCCTGCTGCAGGGTCAGCTAGGTAACCCCTGAGGGTGGGGTGTTCAAAGTTCAGGCTGCCCCCCAGACGTGTGGAATGCCAGCCCTGACTGCCAGGGCGATCTGAGGTGGACTGACCATCCCCTGGACACTTTCATGAAGTGTGGGCACGGGCGCGACAAGTGGCCATTTATCATCCTTCCCTGCAAAGACTGGGCCAGGTTAGAGATGGACCCCAGCAGTTTCATACCCACCAAGGGCACTGGGAGCTTCCACATAGTCACTGCCAGTAGTGGCTGCTGGCTGGGGAGAGGATCTTGGAATGCTGGTCACTGGAGGCCCTCACAGGTGACTGGGAATGTGGAGGAGCAGCAGGGTGCCTCTTCTCTGCCATGCCTTATGTTGGGGTTTGCTCTGGTTCCCCTCGCAGCCACTTACAGCTCCCCCATTGATGATGGGGCACTGCCAGCCCAAGGCCTGCCTCAAAGTCTAAATATCTGTGGGGTGGGGTGCAGGGAGGCGTGCACCCCAGAAAGCAATCCTGGGATCTCCCTTTCTACCTTAACCTTTCTTCCCACTCGGGGGCTTCCTCCCATGAGTGTTGTCAGGTCTTAGCAAATAAAAATACAGGATACCCAGTTATATTTGAATTTCAAATAAAAATTTGAGTAAGAGTTTAGTATAAGCACATCCCAAATGTTGCATGGATGTTCTGCATTTTATCTGGCAGCTGTACCTGCTAGACCTTGGGCTCTGTGGTCGGGTCTTTGGACATGACATCTGCACGGGCTGGGGGCTGAGGCTGCTGGCCAGGGCGAGCCAGGGCAGGCCACCAGGCTGCAGAACCCACATGCAGAGAATGGATGTGAGGAGAAGGGGCCAGAGGAAACAGGCCCTGCAGGTGCAGGAGAGAGAAGCTGCACACGCTCCCAAGGACCCGAGAGCACTCATGTCGGTGGGCCGTGGTCTCCTGTGGCCTGCTAGGAAATCCCCCTCTGCCTGAGCTCACTTGAGAAGGTCTCTGTTTCCCAAACCCTGTCCCCCATTGCACCCAACCCTGCAGTGAGTCACGAGGAGCTCTCCCATGAGGGGCAGAGGAGGCTCACTCAGTGACCCCTGTGCCACCCCACGTCAGAGGAGATGGGGCTCTCTAGTGGTCCTAGGAGCACCTCATTTCTGTCACATCCCCACCCCTGGGCCCACAGGACATGAGCTTGAAGGGAAATGGGAAGACTGGGCATGAGAGGGAAGGGCCAGGATAGACACACCCCCAGCAGAAGGGCCTGTGTCTTCCTGCTCCCACACAGAGGCCGGGTAACTTGCTTTTTTTACTAACAGGTTGGCCTTAGGGGAAAAGGGGGCCTCACCAAAGGAGTGCTACTAGTGGGTCAGCCTAGCTTAGGAGAATTCTGTGTTGGGCTTTGCACCAAAGACCAATTAGTAATTGGAATTTTTCATTTATAACTGAGGATATGGCTCAAGCTAGCTTAAACAGAGAGAGGACACGTATCGGCTGTGTAATGGGTCATAGCTTCAGGCACAGTTGGTTCTAGAAGCTCAAGTTGGATCTGTATTCTCTCTCTCTTTCTCTCTCTCCACAATTCTATTCTGTTTCCCCCCTTTTTAGGCTTCTTCCTCAGACCAGCTCTCCCAGCAGCAAGCTGATCATCAATAACTCCAAGGTCAGAGAAGCTAGAGCTTCCAGAGCGGAGAGCTCAAGAAAGTCCCCATGGTCTTTCTGACTCCTCTCCCTTGGGTCATGTGCCCAGCCCCTTGGCTGGAGAGGCAGAACTGGGACCAGCCCAGTTCTTCACTCAGCCCAGTCACATCTTCACTCTTGTACAGGTAGGAGGTCCATGTACCAATGGGGAATGGGAGTGACCTCTGCAGGCCACACCCATGCTGAATTCTCTGCCTGCCTCCCGAGTGCATGTGTTCCTAAGTGAGGCTGAGTGCGGCTTCAGCTGATCTTAAGTACTTCACAAGAGACCTCTTCTCCATAGCACTCTGCGAGCACCCATTGTTGAGACTTCTAACAAGCCAATCAGATGGCCATGTAATTACAGACAGTTTCCAACTTATGATGGTTCCACTTATAATTTTCCTGATTTTATAATGGTGAGAAAGCAATATGTATTCAGTAGGAAGCGGTAAGATACTCTCTCGATGCCGGACACCAGCCACGTGATCACGATGGTAAACGACCTTATAGGGGACTGTGCGGCCAGACAATTTGCCCAGCTGTAGGCTAAATGAGTGTTCTGAGCATGTGTAAGGTAGGCTGGGATATGATGCTCAGTAGGTTAGGTGTATTACATGCAATTTCACCTTATGAAATCTTCAACCTACAATGGGTTTATTGGGATGTGACCTCATAGTAAGTCCAGGAGCACCTCTATGCAGCTGACAGGTGACAGAGTGCAGCCCCAGGCAGCAAGCCAGCCTCCTGTGAAAGCAGGGTGTAGGTAGAATCAGTCCACAGGCTCCGGCCCTTTGCTGATGGAGACTTTCAGCGCCGACCCCATCTGACTCTCCTCTCCTTCCAGACCCCTGGGAGATGACACTCCTGAATCCCTCACAGGGAGCGAGGTCATGTCATGGATGAAGGCTATGTCACCTCCAGGGGGAGGCATTTACCCGCCAATCTGACTCTCCAGGTCCTCTCATTCTTCCCACCCACAGTGACCATGGAGGAGGCCTCGGGTGGAGACCTGCCACCAGGGCGACTGCTCCTTCAAGAGTTGCCCATGTCTGAAGTGCACTTTATGTGAGGGGAAACGCACCTTCGCTGTGCTCAGCCTTGAGGTTAGGTGCTGTTTGGTGCTGCAGCACGTGTTGGCCTCCCCTGACACCTCAGCTATCCCTGGGCAATCTGAGGCCCCACCGCCCCCATGATAGCTCCTCTGCTCCTTCTCTCAGTCTCTTGGGATCTGCACCATGCCTCCCTCCTCTATCAAATATTCCTGGGCTGGCTGATTGAAATACTAATATGAGCTAATATCTTTTTTTAATTTAAATTGATGAAATTGTATATATGTATGGTATACAACATGATGTGCGATATACAGTATGTATACATTGTGGGTGTCTAAATCAAGCTAATTAACATATCCATTACCTCACCTACATTTTGGTGTAAGAACACTTAAAATGTACTCTCAGCAATTTTCAAGTCTATAATACGTTGTTATTAACTATAGTCGCCATACTGTACAATAGACTTCCTGAATTTATTCCTCCTCTTTAACTGAAATTTTGTATCTTTTTTTTTTCTTTTCTTTTTTTGAGACGGAGTTTCGCTCTTATTGCCCAGGCTGGAGTGCAATGGCATGATCTCGGCTCACGGCAACCTCCGCCTCCCGGTCCAAGCGATTCTCCTGCCTCAGCCTTCCGAGTAGCTGGGATTACAGGCATGCACCACCATGCCCGGCTAATTTTGTAGTTTTAGTAGAGACGGGGTTTCTCCATGTTGGTCAGGCTGGTCTCGAACTCCCGATCTCAGGTGATCCGCCCGTCTTGGCCTCCCAAAGTGTTGGGATAACAGGCGTTAGCCACCGCGCCCGGCCGAAATTTCGTATCCTTTGACCAACATCTGGAACCCCTTCCCCGCTCCCCCTACCAGCTAAGTTCTTAATGGCTGATGTGGGTTAATCGTGTTATGCTATTGGTTAGCCTTATTTCCCACCAAACCTTCCTTTAGGCTTAACCTAGCCCCTTGAGCTTCCTCCGGGGTCCTCTCCTGGGCCTGCGCTGTCCTGCTCCCTGCGTGGGCCTTGCTCCCGGGTGCACAGGTGCACTACGGCCATCCTTCAAGGCAGGATCAAATTCCTCGTGGACTTTCCCAGCGTCCAGACCCCAAGCCTGGGCTCTGGCAGCTGGCTCCTTTCTTGCAGGTCTCTTGGAATCGCTTCGCGCTTGCCGGCCTGGTTGTGGACTGAGGGCTCCTGGAGGGCAGGTCAGGGGTCCAGCCCCACCCCCCACGCCTGTGGATTCTCATCTGCGCTCGGGTCCCGCGTTGGCGGAACTGTGGAAGCTTCAGGCCACCCATCCGAGTCACGCGGACTAGGATGCCCCGCCCCAGTCTTTGGCTGGGGGTGGGAGGGTGGGGGAAGGGCCGGAGTACCGGGGGCCTCTGCGCAGTCCCCGCTCCTGTGGCCGATGTGGCTGCCGGGCGGGCAGCAGGAGAGAGTGGTCCGCGCTGACCCGCGGGCCCTTCGCTGTCCGGGCACCGCCCCAGCGGAGCCAGCGGAAAGCGCGAGTCAGAGTCGCGCGGTTTCGAGGTCAGGGTGACCCGCGAGCGTGGGCGGCGCCTGCAGACCCGCTCCAGAGACGCCCGGTGCCCGCGCCCGGGACCCTGTCCACGCGGCCTCCGCGCTGCGCCGCACCTCCCCCCGCAACCCACCCGGCGTCAGCTTCTCCAGAACCTAGATTTAAATCGGGAAACTGGCTGGACACCAGGATGCAAAGAAAGTCCTTTAATTAAAAAAGAAGCACATGAATGAAAGGAAAAGCGAGGGACATTAGGGTGGGCGAGTTGGTCCCAGAAAGCCCTTAATGTCTTTTTTTTTTTTTTTTTGACGGAGTCTTGCTCTGTCTCCCAGGCTGGAAGTGCAGTGGTGCGATCTTGGCTCACTGCAACCTCTGCCTCCCGGGTGCAAGCAATTCTCTGCCTCAGCCTCCCGCCACCAAGTCCGGCTAATTTTTGTATTTTTAGTAGAGACGGGGTTTCACCATCTTGGCCAGGCCACTCCTGACCTCGTGTAACACCTGCCTCGGCCTCCCAAAGTGTTGGGATTACAGGCGTGAGTCACCGTGCCCGGCCCTTTATTTTTATTATTCTTTTGAGGCAGTGTCTTGCTCTGGAGGAGTGCAGTGTGGCGATCTCGGCTCCCTGCAGCCTCAGAACTCCTGAGCTCAAGCAAGCCTCCTTCCTCAGTCTCCTGAGTAGCTGGGACCACAGGCACGCACCACCACACAGGTTGTTTGTTTTTGTAGAGAGGTGTCTCACTATGTTGCCCAGGTTGGCCTTGAACTCCTGGGCTCAAGCCATCCTCCTGCCTCACCTCCCAAAGTGGTGGGATTACAGGTGTGAGCCAGGGCGCCCGGCCCCTGTTGATGATATGTTTACATGGCTACAGGGACAGGATAGCTAGTTCACATGAATGCCACTGGCTAAATACGTCCTTGCCAGTATTGGGAGAAGGGCTGCTGCCGGCGGTGGTGAGGGTGATGATGGTAGCCACTGTTTCTATCTTGAGCGCCTAGTGTGTCCAGAGACTTTGCTGAGCGGTTTGCATACAGGGTCTCTATCCTGACTACAGCCCCGCGAGGGTATATCGATTCTTATCCTAACAACAACATTTTACATTGCTGTATAACACATATCAGTCTAAGGCACAATCTCTCGGCCTTTGACGTCACACTTGCTTTTCCTTAATTTCTTCCTTGATGCCCTTTTGCAGTCACTATGGCTGTGTGCCAACCCACCTGGAAACTTAGTGGCTTGACAATGATAACATTTCTTTTACTCTTGAATCTCTGCAAATTGGGTGGGGTTGGCTGGCGGAACGGTTTTAAAGACCCTGCTCTGAGGAGTGTTTTTCCATGACAAAAACCAGTCTCTGTCTGGGGCCACCGAGGCTTGGAGGAAACTGACTGCCAGGACCCAGAGAGCCACATCGTGTTTGATAATTCTGCACCCTAATGCTGGAGGGGGCGCCGATCAGGAGCCTGAGCCCCGCAAATAATAAATGACCCGATCCAAGTCATGCAAAATTACAAAGCAGTTACATTAGGTAGGAAGAGGGGAGACTTGGGTACAAATTGGTACCATAGGCTTCTCTATGACGGTCTGATTTACAGTCATCCAGCAGATGGAGGGAGACAGGGAGCTCAGAGAGGCTTAGCTGTCAGCAGCTGGGCTGGGATCCTAGTCTCCCCACCCTGTGCCTGCAGGGGGACCAGTCTCTTCTCAGAGCAGCCCTTAGTGTTATTTATCAAGACTAGACATTTTTTTCTCATGTAATTCACTTACAACTTTTGTTTTTGTCCTGACGTGTGTGTCTTTTAAAGCACATTCCTCGCATCTTATTTCTGTTTTTCTGACTTCATCTGTTGACTACTCATCACATGTCTATTCATTTCTTCTTGCTTAGTAATAAAAACAGGCTGTGGCCATGTCCCATAAGTTTTGCTGGGCAATTTTCTCATCATTCCCGTCTTATGTAAATGCAGTTTTGTTTTTCTCGGTGAGCTGACATTTCTTTAGGACAGTGGTTTTATTTCTAAGTTTCAAGGGGTTAGATGTTTAAAATTGGGGTGTGATTTACATACATGGCATTTTAAAAATTAAACTTTTAGTTATTGACTTGAAGATTTATTACATTGAGGTTTTTAACCTTATTACCTTTTTTGCCTTTTGGTATTTATTGAGGTTTCTCTGTGGCCCAATATTTCATCGATGTGTATAAATATTGCTTGAATTCTGGAAAGGAAAGTTCTCTGTCTTTGGTGGGTTTTTTTTTTTTTTTTTTTTTTTTTGAGACAGAGTCTCGCTCTGTTGCTCAGGCTGGAGTGCAGTGGCACAATCTTGGCTCACTGCAACCTCTGCCTCCCAGATTCAAGTAATTCTCGTGCCTTAGCCTCCCCAGTAGCTGGGATTACAGGTGCCTGCCACCATGCCTGGCTAATTTTTGTATTTTTAGTAGAGACGGGGTTTCACCATGTTGGCAAGGCTACTCTTGAACTCCTGACCTCAAGTGATCTGCCCCCACTTGGCCTTCCAAAGTGCTGGGATTACAGGCGTGAGCCACCATGCCTGGCCAGTTCTCTATTTTTATATAAAATTTAACATAGATATGACTCATATGTCATAGCCTATAACCACAAAGTCATATGCACACTCATGTTACACCCAGATTATGAAGGCCTGTTGAGACTCCCACCCTCCCTCCCTCCCGTCCCATTGCCAAGGGCACAGTCCTCCATGGAATATGGCTTATGTCCCTACAGCAGTGGAAAGATCAAAGGTACAAACCCAGCTCGAAGCTAGACTTTCTCACCTAGACCAAGTAAGGCTTCCTTTGTTCCCTAATCTGGGCTCTAAGACTTCCTCTTCAACAGTTAGATGACCTCAGACTATGACCTCATGGCCTAGAAATTTACCAGATTGCTCAAGAAAATCTTGGTTTTGGGCCCTCAAACCGATCTCAATCCCAGGAGCTCAAACAGAGCCCAAAAGCCCCAAGAGAGAACCTTTGCCATGGTGTTTCTTCAACCTCACCCACCCACCAGCCTGCATGTGGTCCTCAAGAAAGACTGTTTCCCTTAAAAAAAGAAAGAGTTCACATGACAACTGATGTCTCTGAACAAACGTGTGTGTGTGTGTGTGTGTGTGTAGGTGTGTGTCGGGGGGTCGGGGGGTGGGGGTTGACTTCATTAGCAGTGTCTATTCAATCAGCGATATTGATTACATTATTCAAGGCCTTCATATGCCTGTGGATTTTTAATATACTGCCTCCATCAAAAAGGTGTGAGTGAGGCTGGGCGCAGTGGCTCAGGCCTGTAATTCCAGCACTTTGGGAGGCCGAAGAGGGCGGGTCACGAGGTCAGGAGCTCGAGATCATCCTGGCTAACACAGTGAAACCCCATCTCCACAAAAAATACAAAAAATTAGCCGGGCATGGTGGCAGGCGCCTGTAGTCTCAGCTACTCCGGAGGCTGAGGCAGGACAATGACCTGAACCTAGGAGGCGGAGCTTGCAGTGAGCCGAGATCACGCCACTGCACTCCAGACTGGGCAACAGAGTGAGACTCCCTCTCAAAAAAAAAAAAAAAGTGCGAGTGATACAGTAAAACCTCCCCGTGCAATTGCATTTTTGTCAATTTCCCTTTGTATTTTTTAAAGTTTTCATTTAATACATTTTAGTGGAATAATATTTCCCATGTAAGAAGGATTGTGGAAGTTGTCATTTCATGATTTAGAAAAATAAAATGACCACCTTTGCCTTATTTTCATAGTTGTTGTTTTAGATTCTATTTTCTGTGATTTTTTTTTAAATGTAACATCTGTTCTTTTCACTTACTTGTTTGCAGTAGACCTAGAACATTTTCGTTTGTTCCTTTGCTTTCATTAGCAAATCCACAGTGAGCATCTCCTATATGTATGCCACGTGGTGTCTCAGAACTGGGCTTTGCAGAGTGTCATAGAGACATGGTTCCTACCTTCGTGAATCACATTCCATGCCTCACTCTATTTTAACTGTGTCTCTTATAGCCAGCATATAGTTGGATATTATTTTTTGAGTTTAGTCAACCAATTATGTCTTAGTATAGAGGTATTTGAACTACCCACATTTGTCACTATAACTAATACTTTCGGTATTATTTTTGTTATGCTGTTTCATGCTTTCTGATTTTTTTTTTTTTTTTTGAGACCGGGTTTCACTCTGTCACCCAGGCTGGAGTGCAGTGGCACAATCTCAGTTCACTGCAAACTCCACCTCCCAGGCTCAAGTGATCCTCCCACCTCAGCCTCCCAAGTAGCTGGGACTACAGGCCTGCACAACCACGCCCGACTAATTTTTGTATTTTTAGTAGCGACAGGGTTTCGCCATGTTGGCCAGGCTGGTCTCGAACTCCTGACCTCAGGTGATCCACCTGCCTCGGCCTCCCAAAGTGCTGGAATTACAGGAGTGAGCCACCATGCCCAGTTGCTTTCTAATATTTATGCTTACTTACTCTTTCCTTTGTTTTCTGTCTTTCACTGTCTGGATTTTGTCATCTTTGGTTGTTATATTATTCTGTATTTTATAAGGCATCGTCTCTGCTTCTTTTCTATTAGTAGAGCTCTTTTAGATTATTGCCTATATTAAAAATAATAAGTTTAGAAAAGATTCCTCTTCACCTGGTCTCTTATCCACTCGCTTCTTGGTTCTTAACAAAATAAACTGGCATTGACATCTAGACCACTGGCATGGGACTAGTGCTATGATGTTATGTACTTTCAGCCTTAAGAATAATTCTAAGCATTCACATTCAGTTGTGGAACTGTATTCACAGCACCAGTATAGATTGATCTCTTCTTTCAAGTGATTTATCTGCTCACCATCCATCTTTGACATCATATCACTCTCGTTTTTTGAACCTTTAAATAATTTCATATGTTATTCAATTGGGGTTATGTTTTCAAGAATTTTTGGTGATATAATTTCTGAGCAAGCTTTTGCATATAGTCTTTTGGCTTTTTCACATAAGATGAGATACAATTTAGTTAACTATATAATTCTTGGGTCACAGGCACTCCTTTTTGTAAGTTTCTTAGAAAGAACTTTACTGCCTTCTGATATTTAGCATTGTGGAGAAGTCCGATTCCCACCTTAATTTTTTTTCTTTATAAAGAAACTTTTATTTTTGCTTTCTGCTTAGATATTGGAAGGATGCTAAAAGTGAGGATGTAAAACATTATGGCCACTCTGGAAACCAGGATGGCAGGTTTTTTTAAAAAAAATTAAAGTAAGCATGCTAGAGGTTTATCAATTTTATTGTTTTGATTAACCAGCATTTTACTTCATTGATTTTAATTTCATTGGGTTTTCAGTATAACAACTGTTTTAATATATAATTTGTATGCCTTACAAGTCACCCATTTAAAGTGTGCTGTTCCATAGTTTTAACAGATCCGCTTAAGCCATCACCATAATTTTAGAATATTTTCATCACCCCATAAAGAAACACCATATCAGGCTGGGCGAGGTGGCTCATGCCTATATTCCCAGTACTTTTGGAGGCAGAGGCAGGAGGATCCCTTGAGCTGAGGAGTTCGAGACCAACCTGGGCAACACAGGGAGACCCCACTGTTGCACCACTGCACTCCAGGTTGGGCGACAAAGCCAGACCTTGTCTCAAAAACAACCAAACAAAAATCTTATTTGAGTTCGAAACGCATGTCAATTAGCAGTCACGCCCATTCTTCCCATCCCTCACAGCCCTGAGACAACCACCTGTCTCTTTAGATTTGTCTATGCTGGATGCCTCATATAAATGGAGTAATACAGTATTGGCTCTTTGCCCCTGGCTTCTTCCACTTAGCATGTTTTCAAGGTTCATCATGTTGTAGCACGTGTCAGCACTTCCTTTCTATTTTGTATATTATTCCATTGTATGGCTATACCACATTTCGTTTACCCATTCATCAATCAATGCATATTTAGTTTGTTTCCATTTGGGGGGCTGATACGAATAATGCTGTTATGAACATTAGTGTACAGGTTTTTGTGGAGGCATATGTTTTCATTTCTCCTGGGGATATACCGAGAAGCAGAATTACTGTGCCACACAGGAACTCTCTGATTAACCATTTAAAGAACTGCCAGACTCTTCTCCAAACTAGTGGTATCATTTTACATTCCTGCAACAGTGTATTGATATAAGGGTTTGATTTCTCCACATCTTTGCTGACACTTGTCATCTGACTTTTTTTTTTTTTTTGAGTTGGAGTCTCGCTCTGTCGCCCAGGCTGGAGTGCAGTGGCGCGATCTCGGTTCATTGCAAGCTCCACCTCCAAGGTTCACACCATTCTCCTGCCTCAGCCTCCTGAGTAGCTGGGACTACAGGTGCCCGCCACCACGCCCAGCTAATTTTTTATATTTTTTAGTAGAGATGGGGTTTCACCGTGTTAGCCAGGATAGTCTCGATCTCCTGACCTCGTGATCCACCCGCCTCGGCATCCCAAAGTGCTGGGATTACAGGTGTGAGCCACTGCGCCCGGCCCATCTGGTTTTTTAATCGTAGCCATCATAGTGGTTGTGAAGTGGTATCCCATATCCCACTGTGGTTGAATTTGAATTTTCCTGATGGTTAGTGATATTGACCTTCTTTTTTTTTTTTTATTATACTTTAAGTTCTAGGGTACATGTGCACGAGGTGCTGGTTTGTTACATTTGTATACATGTGACTTGTTGGTGTGCTGCACCCATTAACTTGGCATTTACATTGGGTCTATCTCCTAATGCTATCCCTCCCCCCTCCCCCCACCCCACAACAGGCCCTGGGGTGTGATGTCCCCCTTCCTGTGTCCAAGTGTTCTCATTGTTCAATTCCCACTATGAGTGAGAACATGCGGTGTCTGGTTTTTTTGTGCTTGCGATAGTTTGCTGAGAATGGTGGTTTCCAGCTTCATCCACGTCCCTACCTTCACAGCACGTCTACACTGATGTTGTGGCCAGGCAACTTGGCACTATAGCCTAGCCACGTCGACACACAGACTCAGTCATCATAGTTCACCCCTTGTCACCAGACGCATTTCCTTTAAACTGTACTTCATCTCCAAACAGAGGCATTAAATAACAAGGTCATACTTCCACCTAGCATGATACAACTATTCTGCCTACAACCAAAAATGCACTAACCCTTACCCCAGAAAAAGACAGAAAGTCCTTGAAGGACATTTACTTTTCTTTGATATCCTATAACTTAAACACTAAGATATAAAACTAATACATCTTATATGATAAGGCAATAAGAGATGGAAGAAAACAAATGTTTTTTCAAACACATACACACAAACATATTTGTAACAAAATAAGGAAGAAGCACTTATAACAGTTACAGTCCTTGTTTCTGTCACGTGGTCATAGCTGGTATTTCCAGTTACCCTTGTCTTCTGTGCATTCTGTATTCCCTTTGCCTTCAGTGAGCACCTGATGAAGTGACCTGAACTTCATTATTAAAAGGTTTGGGCCATTAGTAGTTCTGCCTGCGTTGTGCTCTGTTTTTGTTTTTTTTTATGGACTTTAATCACAGGGCATGGTAGTATTAAGAGATGCTCTAAGGGAGCTCTTCTATTCCACACGTGTTCTTCCTTATCTTCTGTGTGCAGTAGCGGTCCGGTTTCCTGTTTGTACTCCAGATCAGTTTCCCCAGCCAGTACAGTAACTCTCTTCTTTGCCTGTTAGTTCATTTGCACAAGGAGCTCAAAGTGGCCGGATGGCAGTCTTAACTTCCAGTTCAATGGAATCAGTATTGTGTCTCTTGGTGGAAGCATTCCTTGCTTTGGAACTAAAACCTCTAGATGAGCAGAGCACAGCACAAAGTTGCAGAGACAGGAAGCAAACAATGTCCTAGTGGTTACTACGCGTAATAGTGAATGGTGCCACTCCCATTTCCATCCTAGATTCCTGGACTATTGAAGAAATCCTGACTATCAGAGAAACAGCACCCTATATGGGACACAGATTCAGAGAATGCACAGCCTGCTGGAGAACCTTGCCCCAGCCCCACAAGGTGTTGCCACCTAGTAGGTGCTGTAACTGCATTTTCAAAAGGCCATTCCACCATTCTATGAAGCCAGCTGCTTCAGGATAGTCAAAAACATAATAAGATCAGTAGATTCCACGAGGATGAGCCAGGGCCACACTTCATGGGCTGTGAAGTAAATTCCTTGATCAGCAATACTGTGTGGAATACCGTGATGGTGGATAAGGCATTCTGGAAGTCCACAGATGGTAGTTTTGGCAGAAGCATTGTGTGCAGGGAAAGGAAATCAATATCTAGAATGTCTATTCCAGTAAGAACAAAACTCTGTCCCTTTTGTGATGGAAACTGTCCAACGTAATCAACCTGCCACCATGTATTTGGCTGAACACTTTGGAAAATGGCACCATGTTGAGGGCTCAGTGTTGTCTCTGCTGAGGGTAGATTGGGCACACAGTAGATTGGGTATATTGTCTCTCTTGAGGGTAGATTGGACACACAGTGGGAGCAATTGCTGGGTCAGCCTTCGTGAGTGGCAATTCTGTGTTGCTGAGCCTGTGCATAGCTTCCATCCCTGCCACCATGGCCACTTTTTGCTCAGGAGCCCATGGATGATGACAAGGGTGGCTGGACAAAGAGGCTGACTGGTGTCATCCTATCCACTTGATTATTGTTATTATTATTATTTTTGAGATGGAGTCTCGCACTGTCGCCCAGGCTGGAGTGCAGTGGCGTGATCTCCGATCACTGCAACCTCCGCCTCCTGGGTTCAAGTGAGTCTCCTGCCTCAGCCTCCCGAGTAGCTGGGATTATAGGTGCCCACCACCACGCCCGGGTAATTTTTTGTATTTTTAGTAGAGACGGGGTTTCACTATGTTGGCCAGGGTGGTCTTGAACTCCTGACCTTGTGATCTGCCTGCCTCGGCCTCCCAAAGTGCTGGGATTACAGGCGTGAGCCACTGTGCCCCGCCTCCACTTGATTATTAAGCTCCTCCTTTTCTGAGGTCACTGTTTGGTGAGCTGTCACATGGGACACAAATATCTTCACTTTTTGTGCCCATTCAGAGAGATCTATACACATACCTACCTTGACACATAATATCAGAGATCTATACACATGACCTCCTTGTCGCCAATTTTCCAGTTATATTCCCTCCAAGTCCCTGACCATCCATTCAGACCATTGGTCATAGTCCATAATTGGTACATAATCACATGTCTGGCCATTTCTACTTCTAAGCAAAAAGAACGAGAGAGAGAGAGAGAGAGAGAGGCTTAAGGGGGAAGGGGAGGGAGAAGGGAAAGGGAAGGAAGACGGGGAAGGGGAGGGAGAGGTGGAAGGGAAGAGGAAAAAGGAGTGGGAGGGTAGGAGGTAGGGAGAGAGAGATTTTAAGAAATTGGCTTGCACTGTTTTGGGGACTGGCAAGTTTGAAGTACGCAGGGCTGGCTGGAAGGCTGGAAATCCCGGCACAAGTCAGTGTTGTAGTCTTGAGTCCAACAGCAATCTGGAGGCAGAATATATTTTTCTGGAGACCTCAGTCGTTTCCCTTAAGGCCTTCAACTGATTGGATGAGGTCCACCCACATGATGGCAGGTAATTTGATTTTACTCAGTGTATTGATTAAATTATTAATTTGAATTAAAAAAATAACTTCACAGCAACATCTGGACTGATGTTTGACCAAGCAACTGGCCCCTGAGCCAAGTTAACCATCACAGTCATGGTGCCTAATCCTTTTTGTAGTTACTGGATTAGTTCTGCTAGTATTTTATTGATGATTTTTGCATTTATATTCATGGGAGATACTGGTCTGTAGTCAATTTAATGGATTTATATTCCTCTACTTCTTATTTCCTTCTTCCTTGCTTTTGGTTTAATTTTGCCCCTTCCCCGGTTTCTTGAGGTAGAAACTTAGACTACTTATTGGAAACCTTTTCTCTATTATTGAAAATGTGGTATTGAAATCTGTAACTCTCATTGCTGAATTGTCTGTTTCTCCCTTCCTTTCTGTCAGTTTATGCTTCCTCCATGTTGGTGCTCCATTACTGGGTGCATAATTTTTAAATAATTGCTTTATCTTCCTGATAGATTAATCCCTTTATCACTTTTAAATATCTCTTTATCTTGACAAACTTTTTTTGGTTTGAAAGTCTAGCTTGTCAGATGTCTGATGTTAGTATAGCCACTCCAACTTTCTTGCAATTGCTTTATGCATGGTGCATCCTTTTTCTATCCACTTACTTCCATCCCACTGTGTCTTTGGGCCTAGTGCATCTCCTGTAGAGAATACATAGTTAGATCATGTTTTTTTAAATCCAGCCAGATAATCTTTGCCTTTTGATTGTATTATTTAATCCATCCACATTTAATGTTATAGTTAGATTTGCATCTGCTATTTTACTTTTTGGGTGCTATATGTTTTACGTCTTTTCAGTCCTCGATTCCCCTTTATGTTAAATATTTTCTAATGTACCATTTTAACTTCATTAATTTTTTTTCACAATTCTTTTAGTTATTTCCTTAGTGGCTATTCTAAGTCTTACTACATACGTCCTAAATTATTAGCATCAGTTTCATATTTATACTAGCTTAGTTCTAGTGATACATAGAAACGTTACTCTTATATAGCTCTGTTCCTTTTATCCCACTTTTGGTGATATTACTGTTATACATATTACATTATTGTTACAAACCCAGAGACTCTTTAATAATTATTACATTATATACTTTTATGTCTTTTAAAGAAGTTTAGAGAAGAAAGAAGACTGAGTATATATTAATAGCTTCTGTTATATTAACCTTCTTCCTTATTTCTAGTTCTTCTCTTTTGTTCCTGTGGACTCAAGTTACCGTCTGTAGCCATTTCTTTAGCCGAATACAGCTTTGTTGCCACCTACCTCCTTTTTATTGTTATTGGCAAGTATATTGCACTTCTATATGTTATATGTCCAACTATACATTCTATATATGTAACTTTATATAATTGCTTTTAAAATCAGTTAAGAGAACAATGAAAAAAACATGCATTTTATATGTCTTTTGCAATTATACGATGTAATTACGTAATTACCTATACCAGCACTTTTTGGGTTTTTTTTTAGGGTACATTCTAATTACCCTCTGGGGTCACTTTGTTTTAGCCTGAAGAACTTCTTTTAGTATTTCTTGTAAGTGGGGAAGTGAAGTCGGGTAGCAACAAAATCTGTCAGTTTTTGTTTATTTGAGAGTTTATTTTACCTTCATTTATTTTTCGTTTTATTTTTTGTAGAGATGGGGTCTTGCTAAGTTGTGCAGGCTGGTCTCAAACTCCTGGCCTCAAGCCATACTTCCACCTCTGCCTCCCAAGTGCTGGGATTACAGGCATAAGTCACCATGCTCAGCTCATCTTCATGTTTGAAAGATAGTTTTGCTGGATATAGTTTTTTTTTTTCTTTTTGAGCATTTTATTTTATTTTTTATTTTTATTTTATTCATTTTTTTTCAAAGTAAACTTCTGCATTTATTTTAAATCACATCCTCGGTGTGACTGCACCTTTTCTGTCCAGCTGTCAGGTGGCCCAATAATGCCTTGGACTCCGTCCCCTTGTCAGTGCCACTGGCTGTTCCTGACTCTAGTTCCCAGGGGAGCCTCAAACTGGGGCCTAGCCAAGAAAGCTACTGGCTAGCATCACATAGCTTCTCCAGCTCAAATAGCCCAAGGTCGGCATGTCTGCCGACCTCCAGGAATAACCGCGGTCACCGTGCCCAGACGACACATCCTCGTGCTATGGGGAGAAGCCTCTGCTGGGTGACCCACCAGCCAACCCTGGGCCAATTTAATTTAGATAAACGCTCAAAGTCCAAACGGCCACAGGAAACCCCTGATGTAACACCTGTTGTGCCGGCCAGCCGTGTCTCAGGAGCTGACTGCAGACACCTGGTCTGGGTCCCTCAAGCCCAGCAGAGCTTGTTATGTCCCCTAAGACAAAGGAGGAAAATGTGGCTCCCCGAGAGGAAGGTGCTGAGCCCCTCACCCCAGGGTGTCACTGAAGATAAGCGGTGACAGTACCGTTGTTCCTTCTGACAGTTGTTCCTTCTGAACAACTTCAAGCTCTTCTCCCTGCTTGAGGTTCTCAGGCTGAATCCCACTGACCGCTGTCCTATAGTCCGTCACGGGCTCGGTTGGTTTGACTACTTGTCATAAACGCACTTCCCCTACTGGTTCATGATGGATACACGGGCGGCCACGCTCTCCTCCCCTTTAGGACTCACGCCCACCATCTCACAGTCCAAGGCTAAGGCTCTTGTCAGGCCGCCGAAGGCCGGCTCTTCCACGAGTCTGAGGCTGACGCTGCCCTCACTGTGACTCAACTGTTTCCTCGCTATCTTGGCCACCTCTGGACCTATGGCAGCTTCGATATCCGCCGGGTCCACGTCGTCAAACCACATGTCTTCCTCGGTGGGTGGGGCAGGGTCTGCCTCCTTAGCTTTCTGCTTCTTATGCTTGATGTCCCCTCATTCTGGAACAATATCACCATTTGTCCTTTCCTTGGTTCCTTTCTTATTGTGCTCTGCTCCGCCGGCCTTGGTGCGAGGTACTGGCGCCTTCCTGTCCATCTTGGAGCCTGAAGGAACAGAGCCCCTGCTGGCCTCTTGGTCTTTTCCCGCCAGCATTTCCTCTCCCTTCACTTGAGGCGAGATCTCTTTTTTGTTTTGCTGGATAATTTTGGGCTTCTTTTTGGAACCCATCTGAGAGATGACAAAAGGCTTTTCTGGGGCCTGAGATTTTTGTTTCAGCAGCCACTCTTGCAGCACCTTCCAGTTTTGAGAAAAGTCTTCTGGTGCCTTTGGAGGTCGCACCACAGCACCAGGGCCGCTTCCTGGCTTCTTGCTTACTTCCTGCGCCTTGCTTTTCCAAAACCTTTTTTTCTTCTTGTTTTTCTTCCAAGTGAGCGTCTTGACAGGACCCGGCTTAGCCACGGGGCTGCTCGGGGCGCGCTTGGAGGTGGGGACCTTCGCCTTCCCCATCCTGCTGCAGTCCAGCGCCTGGGCCGGCCGCCACCCGAGACCCCGGCCTCCCCGGGCCCGGCGCCCTGGCAGCACAAGCGCCTGCCCAGGCCAGGCCGAAACACACCCGCCGCAGGGACCTATTTTTTATTTTTTTGAGACAGAGCCTCACTCTGTTGCCCAGGCTGGAGTGCAGTGGCACGATGTCAGCTCACTGCAACGTCTGCCTCCTGGGTTCAAGCGATTCTCCTGCCTCAGCCTCCCGAGTAGCTGGGATTACAGGTGTGTGCCACCACACTTGGCTAATTTTTGTATTTTTAGTAGAGATGGGGTTTCACCATGTTGGCCAGGCTGGTCTTGAACTCCCGACCTCAGGTGATCTGCCTGCCTTGGCCTCCCAAAGTGCTGGGATTACAGATGTGAGCCACCATGTCTGGCCTGTTTGAGCATTTTAAATATGTGATTCCAGTGCTTTTTGGCCTTTTTTTTTTTTTTTTTTTTTTTGAGAATGCAGCTGTGAATCTTATGGGAATTCTTTTGTAAGGGACATGTTTTTGTTTTGCTTTGTTTTGTTTTTTTGTTTGCAGGTTTTCAAAATTGTCTACTTGATTTTGGCTTTCAGCTTTTTTTTCCTCCAGCACTTTTACTATTTGAGATATAGTACATTTTACTCTTTGTGGATGTCTGTGGTTATCCTACTTGGAGTTTGTTGAGCTTCCTGGATGTATATTGTTTTTCAATCAACTTAGAAATTTTACAGTCATTATTTATTTGAATATTTTTCCTTCTCTTCTGTCTGCTCTCCTGGTATTCTCATGATGTGTATACTAGTGTGCTTGATGGTGTCTCATATATCTCTGAAGCTCTGTTCACTTTTCATTTATTTTTCTCTCTGTTCTTTGGCTTGCATACTCTCTGATGATCTATCTTCAAGTTAATGAATTCTTTCTTCTGCCAGTTTTAATCTTCTGCCAGTTTAATCCACTAAAAACTCTAGTGAATTTTATTTCCATTATTGTACTTTCCAATTCCAGTATCTTCATTTAAAAAATAATTTCTCTCTCTTTGTTGCTATTTCCTATTTGATGTGATATTGTCATCATGCTTTACTTCTTGAATCATGGCTTTCTTTAGTTCTTTGAACATATTATAATGGCCACTTTAAAGTCTTTGTTAAATCTGACACCTATTTAGCTGCTCTTGTCACAAAAAAGTAGCTATAGGAGATGACAGCTATGTTCATCTGCTACACTATTGTAACCATTTTTCTGTGTATACATATAACATCATGTTGTAAACCTCAAATATAGACAAATAAAATTTATTTTTAAAAATCTGACATCGAGTTACTCTCACAGGAAGTTTCTCTTGCTGTTTTTTTCTGAGGTACAGATGATGCTTTCCTGTTTCTTAGCATGTTTCATTATTTTTTGCTGGGATATTTTAGATAACAGATAATATATTGTAGCATCTCTGGGTGCTTGTCCCCATTTCCCCCAGAGGGCTTGCTATTTACTTGTTTATTTTTTAGTGAAGGGCTGGATTGTTTAAGTGAAACCTACTCCCCTGGTGTTGAACATTTGCTATTGCTTCTTCAGGCAGCTTTGGCTCCACAGTCACAGTGATGGCAGTGGTTTTGGCAGTCCCTCTTTGACTGTCTCTTTCCCTGACCACACCAGCTTTAAGCTCCAGTAATTGCTGGCTGATTGTGGTGTTGTTCTCAACAATGCCCTTGAGATTCAATTGCTCTACAGACGGAGTCAATCAAATACAGGATCCTTTGAAGGAGTGGTTCTGGAGGTTGGTACTGTTGGCCCTCCATATCATTGAGTTCCACAGCCATCATTTAACCAACCGCAGATAGAAAATACTGTTAGTTTGTTTTTTTTAAAGAAGAAGATGGTTGTGTCCATATTGAACTGCCTTTTTTCTTTGTCATTATTCCCTATGCAATACAGTATAACAAATATTTACCTAGCATGTATATTGCATTAGTATTTACCTTGCATAAGTAATTTAATGATTCAAAGTATATGGGAGGTTGTGTGTATTTTATATGCAAATACTAGGCCATTTTATACAAGAGACTTGAGCACTCATGGATTTTGGTATCCTTGGGGAGTCCTGGAACCAATCCTTGTGGATATGAACTGAATTTGATATATGTTCTGACTCCAGATGAACTCCTCAGGTTCTCTGGGAAAAATCTCCAAGCAATGGATATTGAGCTGGGGGTGGGGACAAGGGTGCACTTCTCTCCAGGTGATAGTCCCACCTCAGGAGCTAGGCACTTGATGGATGGAGGTGGGCAGTAGCTTTGGGTTTTTTCAGCTTACCTCTTCTGGTGGGGCCTCACTATTCTCAGCAGCACTGTGCCCAAGGCAGAGCCTTCATGTCACGAGTGGTGGCTGGACATCAGGGAGCCCCCACCTCTCGTCACCCTCACCTAGAACTTAACCTCAGGCAGCTGGAGGCAGGATAAGAAATGCTGACCTGCCTCTCCTGGGAAGATACTGTGGACCTCCAGCTGAGACTCCAGGTACAGGGGAATGTGGCTGCTTCTCCTACATGCAGATGAATGCAGCTGCTTCCCACTCATACTTCTGGAACAGTTTGTCCCCATCCACTGCACCTTGCTCCTCAGGCTGGAGGGTCTACAGGGCAATTGGACTCAGCACTGCTTCTGGTCCTCTCAGCTGGTCCTGGATGGGCAAAGCCTAATGGGAATCTCAGTCTTATTCAGATGCCTGAGTCTCCTCAGCCCTCCTCTGCTCCTCCTCCCTATGGTGGTGCTGACTGTGGGCATTCGTCCTGTCTTCGGGGCATGCTGGCGCTGCTCCTCTGGTGCCCCCTGGGGAGTGTGGCCGAGGTCAGAGGCCCTGTGGCTGGTGTCTGGCCAGTTTTGGTGTGGACCCCTCGCTGGGCTCTGCCCACCTCGACTCCCCACGGCTCCAGCAACATCACTCAAACAAACTGTGTTTGCACACATGTGACTCAGTGATTTCTTCTGTAGGACTTTATTCTGCAAATGTGCTCATGATTGAGTAAAGACAATGACAAATGTGTTCACTGAAGCAGTGTTTGTGACAAAAGTCAGGAAACACCCAATGCCCACCAAACAGGATGACTTAAGTATCATCCATTCACACAATGGCATGTGTCTTTCCAGAAAGCAGGATTCTGTGATCAAGATATTTGGACATGTGCACAGCATGCTCCCACATGTACAAAGCACTCACACAAATATCCTCACGCATGCGCATATGGCCTTGGGTGTCTGGAGGGACACGTGGCACATTGCAGGCTGTGGCTCCTCGGGAATGGGTGTCCAAACCCCAGTTCTCTGCATCACTCTCTTTTAACTAAATCAGCATTTCATCCCTTTTAAGCCTGCTTTCACCGTCCTTCTACTATATGTGTTTAAAACCCATTCATGACTTTATAAAAACATCTCTTTGGGAAAAAGTGAGCCTGGGAAGGAAGTGTGGATTAGGAGTTTTGTTTTTTCCTTAAGATGATCTATTTTCTCCCTGGTGTTTGCAAATTATTTTCATGAGTCATTTGGGAATGTCCTTTTTATTTACTGTGGATTCCAGACAAACCCAGACTCTTGTACTGCACAGCACAGCCCGAAGCAGCCTTGGCCCAAGAGGCCGTCTGGGCTGGAGCTAAGAGTGTGACTCAGCTGGGACCTATTTTTCCCAACCTGCCCTGCCTGCCGCAGGGGCACAGGCAGCTGTAAGTAGAGGTGGAGGTGCCCCAAGACAAAAGGGAGCCCCCCACAGGGTGCCTTCTGGTTACAGAAGGGGTCCGCCAGGATCTCTGCCTGCAGCTGTGCGACACCTGGACTGGCCATTTTCTCCCCCTTAGCTTTTGTGGGCAGAGATTCCAGGTGCAACTGCGGAGGAAGAAAACCAATGGCCTCTTCATGCAAAGCTGCGTCCCACAAGGTGGCCTGGTGAACCATGCAGAGCAGGCCTAGCCAGCTTTAGGACCCTGCAGGCTGGGGTGAAGGGAGTGCAGGGATTTTCTAGGTTAGGGGCCTCAGGGCAGGTCTAGTCCCATTTTGTCAAAGTCCCTCTGATGGCAGCACAGATGAGTGGTGTCACTGACTTTGAAGGGATGGACCTGAGTTGAAGCATATGACAAAATGAGCTCCAGCTAGACCTGGGGCAACCCTGGGGGTCTCCCCCAACTCAGGCTGAAGGGAAGCAGAGATATGCTGCAGCCTCTGCCTTTCTTTCCTGGATTTCTCCTTTCTCCAGGGATCCTGTTTCCTTTGATTGGAAAATGGTATAGAGCCCAAGATCTGGGCGCTGGGTGTTCTCCTGGCCACTGGAGAGTTGTTGCTCTAGCCTCTCTTAGTGGACAGAGCTAGGACACATATGTATGTGTACTCACCCATTTGTAGATCATGTTAGTCTATTTGCATTGCCATAAAAGAATACCTGAGGCTGGATAATTTATAAAGAAAAAAGTTCATTTGGCTCATGGTTCTGCAGGCTGTGCAAGAAGCATGGAGCCAGCATCTGTTTCTGGTGAGGATGTCAAGAAGCTTTCAGTCATGGTGGAAGGAAAAGTGGGAGCTGGTGCATCACATGCCACAGAGGGAGCAAGAGAGAGGGGAGGGGTGTCAGGCTCTTTTCAACAACCACCTCTCATGTGGACTGACAGCACGAAGTCACTCATTACTGTGAGGAGTCACCAAGCCATTCATGGGAGATCTGCCAACATTGGGGATCACATTGGGATCACATCCAAACCATATCATATCCTGTGCCTTTAGTGATTTCTCTCTGTCCCTCTTTGTCCACTGAACTAAGCCTGGATTCACACTGATATCTCAGACTCAAGGCCAGCCCTACAGGACTCATTCCCGCCCCCACTGTTGATCCATAACCCCCCTTCCACACTCGCCACACTGAGACACTGGCTCTAACCACCCAGCATGCCTTCACTTGTTTGTTCAAGCCCAGTGTACCTGTGTGGAAGCTTCGGAATCATTAGCCTGCTCTCACTTGACATGCATGTGCTGAGTAGAGCATCGCTCCCTTTGTCTGCAGGTGTTTCCAGTAAGAACACCGCTTTCCCAACTTACTTAGGCCAGCTCCTCCTCCCACCCCCTCACGGAGGTCATGTTTGTAATTCAGTGAGTGTCTTGTCACAGTCTGTGTTCCATCCTGGGATTCCCCAACCTACTGGTTGAGGTTTTGTAATTTGCATGCACTAAAAATGAACTCTTTGTAATGTGTACAGTTCTATGGGTTTTGACAAATACAAAGATACTTGTAGCTAGCACTCCAGTAGCAGACAAAGTAGCTCCATTACCCTAAAAATTGTCCTATGCATCCCCTTTATAATAGCCATCTCCTGATCCTCTGAATCTCATAACCCCTGATGTGTTTTCCATCCTTATAGTTTCATCTTTTGCAGAATGTCATATGAATGGAATCATATGATATATAGCGTTTTGGGTCTGGCTTCTTTCATTTATGCTATTTCATTTAAAAAAAACAGTTTCAGTTTCACCAGAATTTTTAATTATGTGTTTTATCTTTTTGAAAGTAGTAAGCATAGCTAGTTAAAAATCTCCATGTGATATCCTCACTACTTGGGGCTTGCATGGGTCAATTTCTATTGCCTATTGTTTCTACTAGTTTTCGTTTGTGTTGATTTGTCTTCTTGAATTCTTGGTTCTCTTTCATTTTGAGTTGGATATTAAGTATGCAAAACTTTATAAAAATACTTTGAAGCATAGGATAATGATATTATTGTTATTATTATTATTGTTATTTTTACAGAGACTTGCTTCTGGCAGGTTCATAGCATAAACATTCTCTTTAATCCAGCTCAGAAATTGAGGTCTCCTGAGCCACACTGATGACTGAAGCCAGGCTGTAGCCCTCATGAGGGTTAATTTTCTTGTTTTCTCAGAGAAGGCAATCTTTTGGTATCCCCATGCAAAGGGTGACACCCACCCCAACTAGTCTTTCTTTTTTTTTTTTTTTGTTGAGACGGAGTCTTGCTCTGTCGCCCAGACTGGAGTGCAGTGGCGCGATCTTGGCTCACTGCAAGCTCCGCCTCCCGTATTCACGCCATTCTCCTGCCTCAGTCTCCTGAGTAGCTGGGACTACAGGCGCCCGCCACCAGCTGGGACTACAGGCGCCCGCCACCACGCTCAGCTAATTTTTTTTTGTATTTTTAGTAGAGACGGGGTTTCACCGTGTTAGCCAGGATGGTCTCCATCTCCTGACCTTGTGATCCACCCGCCTCAGGCTCCCAAAGTGCTGGGATTACAGGCATGAGCCACCACACCCAGCCTCTTTTTTTTTTTTTTTCTTAAAGATGGAGTCATGCTCTGTCGCCCAGGCTGGAGTGCAGTGGTGCGATCTTGGCTCAGTGCAACCTCCGCCTCCCGGGTTCAAGTGATTCTCCTGTCTCCCGAACAGCTGGGACTACAGGCACCCACCACCATGCCTGGCTAATTTTTATATTTTTAGTAGGGATGGGGTTTCACCATATTGGCCGGGCTGGTCTCGAACTCTTGACCTCAAGTTATCTGCCTGTGTTGGCCTCCCAAAGTGCTGGAATTACAGGCGTGAGTCACTGAGCCTGGCCCCAACTAGTGTTTCTATTCTTGGTGGGCCCTGAATTCTGCTTTTTGTCCCCTTAACCCTACAAAAGATCTTCATGTTTCTTTGTCACTCTTCCAGCATCAGCAGTCACCTCTAGACTTTAAATAGTCCTAAACAAGGTCATTCTTTATAACCTCATTAATCTCATATCTTTAGCAGATGTTTCTCATATTTTGAGCATTTTTTTTAAGTTGTTGGCTGGATTGATGGGTGGACAGATTAGCTGGGTTGATTCAGATGAGTTTATTCATCCCTCCTGGCAGTGGAGATCCCTGTTTCTCTCTCGGGCAAGCCCTTCCACCAGATCATTGGCCCCTGAGCTCATTCTCCACTGCAGGCTTGGGATGTGGACTTGTTCTTCACTCTGGGGCACTGAGACCCATTTCTGAGCGAGATCCTTGAACTGAATCTGAGGAACGTTCTTGAGGTGTTGTGCCAGATCCCTACTGACTCCAGTAGCGATGGCAACATGTCTAAGAGCTGGAGCCAGCGAATGAGACCTAGGGTTTATTGGGGCACTTCCAGTGGTGGCAAACTAGACAGGAAGATTGCTACCATTTGTAAAAAGCAGACAGTTTATGTAGCATTTTCACTTAGCACCCTCCACCTAGCAACCTCTATTTAACCCAGAACAAAGGGCTCCTATCCCCTGTACAGTCTGCATTCCAAGGGATGGGCCAGGGGTTCGGATGTCCTTCATGGATAAGGAGTGAATCTCCAAATTGGCCACTCCTGGATTCCTTAACTCAGAACTCTGCCAACACTCTTCTTAGACCATAGGACCATTCTCAGGGTAAGCGCCAGTGATGGCTGTCAGATGCCTCCGTCATACATAGAGGTGACTCACATATCCTGGTGTTCTGTGACTGTGCCGCTGGTGTTTGTGACCAGCACCCCAGAGGAGCTCCGAGGTGGGTCCTGGCATACCTGCTAACTCACCTCCTTCCTGACCTGCATGTGGCCCCACTCAGGGCTTGTTTCTCTTTTTCCAGAAGGTTAATTAATTAATACATAATGTCCAAATTGAAAAAAATAAATATTTCCACCATTTTATCACGTACATTTTGGAGTGACATTATAGAATGCTGTTATAGAATGCCATCTCAGGAGTTCAAAGTCAAGGTGGCAATGACGGAGTCATTTCCTAAAGGCTTGGGAGGGAAGCACAGAAGAGAATTCAAAGTCTTACCTTAAAGCCTTTGGATAGCGACATGAGCGCAGCATTCCAGTTCACAGCCAGGTTCTGCCCAGGGCCCTCTGCCCCCTCTTCCATCACTGACCTTTCCTGTTTGCCCTTCAGCCTGATGGGGCTTGGCACCCCTAAAGCAGTGGGTGCCTTGGCCACAAAGCACCTGCTACACGGCGGACCAGAATAGCAACATGCGTGCCAGGAATAACCGTGAGCACGGACAAAGCAGGAAAGGGCCTGGGGTTTATTTCAGGAGCTTGGGGGAGGAGCCATAAAACAGACTCAAATGAGCCCTCACCCCCAGACCATCAAAACCACTTTTAAAGCATTTTCCTCCAGGGGACAGGGTTGGTTACTCTTATTCCATCTCCCCTGGGTAGAAATTCTCCTCATGGTGGCAGTGCTGAGGCTCTTACAAAAGGATTTTTAAAAACCTGGTACAAAAAGGAATCTAACTAATGAAGTTGATGATGATGATGATGATGATTTTTTTGCCCAGGAGGGAGTGCAATGGAGCAATCTCGGCTCACCGCAACCTCTGCCTCCCAGGTTCAAGCGATTCTCCTGCCTCAGCCTCCTGAGTAGCTGCGATTACAGGCATGTGCCACCACGCCCGGCTAATTTTGTATTTTTAGTAGAGATGGGGTTTCTTCTCCATGTTGGTCAGGCTGGTCTTGATCTCCTGACCTCAGGTGATCCACCCACCTTGGTCTCTCAAAGTGCTGGGATTACAGACATGAGCCACTGCGCCCGGCCTATGAAGTTGATTATTCTTAAAGAAGTTGTTTTTGAATATGATGTGTTTAGTATCTGTGGTGTTATTATATATATATGTGTTTCTGTCCACGGTTCCTGGCTTGTAACTCCCATAGCCTGTGTTAGGGTCTTTTGTTATAACGTTGGGTGCTTTAGGGCTCAGGAAACAGAATCTCTCTGATCTTCTCCTGACCTCCTTTTACCTGCCCCAAGACAGGACTCTATTCCTCCTGCACCTTTCTGATTGTGGGTCACCAGACCCTCCCCAGAGGGAGTCCTGCCCTATACCTTGGGAGATGGAATGCTGATGTCACGGAGCTGCCATCAAAACCCAAAAGGAGGCTGGGCGCAGTGGCTCACGCTTGTAATCCCAGCACTTTGGGAGGCCGAGGCGGGCGGATCACGAGGTCAGGAGATTGAGACCATCCTGGCTAACACAGTGAAACCCCATTTCTACTAAAAATACAAAAAATTAGCCGGGCATGGTGGCGGGCGCCTGTAGTCCCAGCTACTTGGGAGGCTGAGGCAGGAGAATGGCGTGAACCCGGGAGGTGGAGCTTGCAGTGAGCCGAGATCATGCCACTGCACTCCAGCCTGGGCGATAGACCGAGACTCCATCTCAAAAAAAAAAAAACAAAAAAAAAAAAAACAAAACCCAAGAGGACTGGGTTCGGGAGCTTCCCGAGAGCTGAACACGCGGAGGTTCCTGGAGGGTGGCGCCCAGGGAGGGCATGGAAACTCCGTGCCCCTTCCCTCGATTTCATCCTACGCATCTCTTCATCTGTAGTCTTTGTAATATCCTTTATAATAATAAATATTATATATAATAGTAAACGTGTTTCTTACTGAGTTCTGTGAGCTGCTCCAATAAACTAATAGAACCCAGAGAGGGTTGTGGGAACTCTAACTTGAAGCCGGTTGGTCAGAAGTTCCAGAGGCCTGGACTTGCACCTGGTGTCTGGGAGCCAGGCAGTCCTAAGAGAGGATCTGCCCCACTTTCCAGGTAGACAGTGTGGGAGTTGAAGTGGAGGACACCCAGCTGGTGTCTGCTGCCTGGTGTGTAGGAGAAACCTCCACGCCTTTGGTCACAGAAGTCTTCTTCTGTGATGATGGTTGTGGTGGTGTGAGAGCAGAGGAAAAACACAACTGAGAGAGTTTTTCCAAAACGGTATCGTTGCTCATTCCTATTTTCCGGTAGGAAATGTATGGGTCAGGCGTGTTCCTCCAACTGCTTGCTCGTGACAAAGGAGAATAAACTGCTGGGCTTTATTTGATAATAAACAAAGCATCAAGCCCAACCTTCCAATTTTATTACTGTTGGGTGTAGCACAAGTAGGTTATGGATTCCAGATTATGAATTACTGATCAAAAACTGCAGTAAAATCTAGAACTACAGAATTAACTCACTGGTTAAGATACTAGATTTGAAAGGAGAAATAAATAATTGGTTGGCTACAGGCAACTTACTTTTTTTCTCCTGGGTGAGAAGAATAAAACATGAAAAACCCTGATGTGGACACAGCACGTGGCCAACCAGGGGTCTCTTCTTCCACGGTGCTCACCATGCAGGTGTCCAGCTCTCACCTCACTGCTTAGGGCAAAGCATTTTCTGCAAATGTGGGAACTCTGATAGCAGCTGTTCCTTGGACTGGCAGGAAATATTCTACGCTTCACTGGTTCCTACCCCTGAACCAGCCTCTGAGGTGCTCCTGCTGGTCCTGGGAGGTCAACAGCAGACAGGCTGGGGCTCCCGCCTCTCCTCCTCCATAACTCCTCCTTCCGTTCTGCTGCCGAAGTGCTCAGGTGAGGGCTGCTGAGCTCATCAGAGCAGGGGACACGTGGCTCAAACACCCTCATCCACCCCACAGAGAACTCCAGTTCCAGTGGCTGGGATGAGTTATGGAAACCTGGAAAGTCAAAAACACAGAGCACAAATCTGGAACGGATGAGTGTTGGGACTTTGTTGAGACAGTCTGTAGAGGAAGGCGAGCTAGCACAGTGGGAGCCATCAGTGGCCTCATGCTGCCCAGCTCTAAGGGCAGGGAGGCAGGGACAGACTTGAGTGCAGGAGGGCCATGCTGTCTCCTGCAGTAAAGCCTGGTGGGGACGAGGACTGCTCTGGTCACATTTCCTTCCCTTCATGGCCCCTGCACTGTTTGTGACAATAGGGTGGACACGAAGGGGCCATGGAGGATGGTGCCCGCCTAGCTCTGATGACCTGAGGGCTGGCCAGCACCACCAGCTACTGATGAATGGCCCCTGGTCACTTCTGGCTTCCTGTCCCTCTGCTGGCTTGTCCAGGACAAGTGCAGATTTAGGGACTCGGCCAAGTTACCCTGCAGCCTGGCTTGGCTCCTTCCTCCCTGTGTGACCCTGGGCAGATGATCTTATCCCTTCTGAGCCTCATCCACAAAGCTGCATTGGTGATCCTCCCCGTCAAGGATGTGAGAGTGGCCAGGCTGTGTCACGACAGCCCTGGGCTCACTGTAGGAGCCCCCAGACCCAGGGGAAAGTGGCCACCGCCCTGGCTCTTATTGTCCCTGTTCCTTCTTCTCACAGCAGCGCCTATGCTAACTTTCCTGCCTTCTGTACCACTAAGGGAGGACACTGGGCTGTGTTATTCCTGGACAAATCCACAACACTTAGTGAGCCCAGCACAAAGCAGTCCTCAGGCAGTTTGTGGAAGGAGTGCACGTCCTATCTGCTGGGGTGCCCCTTTGTCCCCTTCTCTGTCTGAGTAGATCAGGGCCCTGTGCAGCCCTCACCTCCACTGATAAGTCTTCCTTCCTGGGCAGTCCCTGCCTGGGGCAGAGCTGAGCCCTGGTGCTTTGTGGAGCTCCTCCCAGGGCACTCCCAGACACTCCCTGGGAATTGCATGGCAGGGAGTCACCTCTGTTCCCCGGGCAAGGGGCATGCCCAGGCTCAGGCTGCTTACCCAGCTCACCTGGGCACAGAGGAAGTCTTCTCTTCTGCACCAAAGGAAAGGGTGCTAATCACACCATTGACTGAGCCTTCAAAGGCACAGGGGCAAATCAAGATCCTGGCACCCAGACACCAAACACCTGAGGGAGGAGAGGAGGCATAGGTGAGGCTGACCAGGACAGAGGGCAGAATGTGAGCTCCACCTCCAAGAGGAAGGGAGTAGGAGGAGGCATGAGACAGGGGAGGCTCCTGGGAGGAGGAACACATGGCACAGGCCTGTGCAAACATGCCATGGGGCATGGCGGGATTCTGTGCTTCCATGCATGTGCCTAACTCAGATGTGGAAAACTCCATGTGCAAGGAACAGACAGCTACTTGGGCTGCTCCAGGTACGTTTGTGGGGGCTACTGCATGGGCACCAGAAAAATGGACATGGTATGGTCCTGTCTCAGGTAACTGAATCCATTTGCTGGTGGAATGGAAAACCATGCAACCTGTTTAGATCACTGTTTGGCAATTTCGAATAAAGTTAAGTACACACTTCTCATCCTGTGACCCAGCAATTTTACTCTATGTATTTTTTTTTCTTTTTTTTTTTTTGAGACGGAGTCTTGCTCTGTAGCCCAAGCTGGACCTTTGCCTCTGGGTCTCAAGCCATTCTCGTGCCTCAGCTTCCCCCGTCGCTGGGATTACAGGCGTGGGCCACCATGCCCGGCTAATTTTTTTTTCTTTGAGACGGAGTCTTGCTCTGTCGCCCAGGCTGGAGTGCAGTGGCACGATCTGGGCTCACTGCAACCTCCGCCTCCCAGGTCAAGCAGTTCTCTGCCTCAGCCTCCTGAGTAGCTGGGATTACAGGGGCCCACTGCTACGCCCAGCTAATTTTCGTATTTTTAGTAGAGACGGGGGTTTCACCATCCTGGCCAGGCTGGTCTTAAACTCCTGATCTCGTGATCCACCTGCCTTGGCCTCCCAAAGTGCTGGGATTACAGGCGTGAGCCACCGCGCCCGGCCCCGGCTAATCTTTTTGTATTTTAGTAGAGATGGGGTTTCACCATGTTGCTCAGGGTGGTCTGGAACTCCTGAGCTCAGGTGATCTGCCCACCTCAGCCTCCCAAAAGTGTAGGGATTACAGGTGAGAGAGCCTCCGCGCCCGGCCCACTCTATGTATTTATCCAGAAGAACTGAAAGCCTGTGTCTACCAAATGCTCACAAATGTTCATAGCAGCTTTATTCCCAAACTGGAAATAACCCAAATGTCCATTAATAAGAAAACAAACACAAATGGTGGTGTGGCCAATGCAATAGGAGACTATTCATCAAAAAACATTACAAACTGCTGAAACCCACAACAATCGCAATGAATTTCAGAAACCTTAGGTTGAGCAAATGAAAACTGACTAGAAACAGCACATGCTGCATGAGGTTTATACAGAATAAATCTAAAGTGAGCACACCTGTGCAATCGCTGCTTCTGAGGGCAGGGGGCAGTGGGAAGGGCAGGAGGGTCTCAGGGGTGGTGGGAATGTTCTGTATCTTGGCTGTGATGATGACCTGGGGGGTGTCTTTGCCAAAATTAATCAGAGTATACTTTGATATTTGTGTATTTTACTGTATATAAAATACACCTCAATAAAATTAATTTTATTGGAAAACACTGCAGATTTGAAGGTGAAATTTCTTACTTAGGTAGCCATATTGTAGACAGTAATGCATCAGGTTTTCCAGAATTCCAGAGCCACCTGACAGGTATGGAGCTCCTTGACTAAACGTGAGCCAGGCCCCCTGGAGAAAAGTCCCTGGAGAAGGGACCCGGCCATGTTACCCCAGATGCCTACTGCCCATGAGCCTGTGGCTTTTCTCTAGGGTGACTGTGCCCTGGGGCAAAAAGAGTTGTTCTAACAAATGTCTCCTCCTGAATTACGGCAGGGGAAAGGAACGCCTTGATAATCCGGTGATTACCTGGCACTGGCTCTGAGATGTCACCGATTTGGGGGACTTCAAGACACTACCATGGCCCAGCAGTCAAAGTGGGGGCTTATGGAGGTCAGATGATAAAAAGTGTTTGGTCCCAGGTGTGAATTTCCATGGGACGGTGTCTGCGGGCTCTCCGGGGGTCATGTCTCCCATTTCTGAATGTACAATTGAAATAGTTCCATTCAGCAACCAGCAGAGCCCCCACATTGGCTCTTCTGCCACGGAGTGAATGCCATTTTGGTAGAAAGTGGAAAGAAAGGGAAAGTGGAAAGAAAGGGAATTTTCCCTCCCTACTTCAATAGTAAATCAAAAGTAATTAACCCCACATCCTAGGGGAGTTGCAGAGATTAGTGCCGCTATCAACTACTCGAGAGATTTCAGGGTGGAAGTTCCTATTATGTCTCTGCTTCCCTGGCCTGCTTAACCTCTACTGAAGACAGACGCGTCTTGGGGAAATACAGTGCTCCAGAGTGAAGGTAACCAGCTGGTGACTCCATTTGCAGCTGCTGTTCTGGATGAAGATTCCTTTTTTTTTTTTTTTTTTTTTTTTTTGAGACTGGGTCTCACTCTGTTGCCCAGGCTGGAGTGCAGTGGTGCAACCTAGGCTCACTGCAACCTCCGCCTCCTGGGTTCAAGCAATTCTCCTGCCTCAGCCTCCCGAGTAGCTGAGATCACAGGCACATGCCACTATGCCCAGCTAATTTTTGTATTTTTAGTAGAGATGGGGTTTCATCATGTTGGCCAGGCTGGTCTCAAACTCCTGACCTCAGGTAACCCACCCACCTTGGCCTCCCAAAGTGCTGGGAATACAGGTGTTAGCCACAGCGCCTTGCCTGAAGCTTCTTCATTGGGAGCCACAGTTGCAGCCCCGCAGCACTGAGAGTTGGCTCTTAATCTCTATGTCAATTTCCAGGAACACCAGAAACAGTCTGCTCGTGTCTAGGGCACCCACAGCACCCCTTCCCAGTTTGCCTCAGGGTTATGCCAGTTTTCCTGCTCTCTCTGCCATGATAGCATCCACAGAGATGCCACAGAAAACCATAGTGGGCCACACCATTGACACTATGCTGATTGGTCCTGATGGGACGGGAGTAGCAAGTACATTAGGATCCTTTGTTTCGGGATCTTTGGGGAGTTGATTGGTGTTGATTTTCTTCCTGGAAACCTCCATGGCGTCTTTGTCCGAGTTCTCGTCCTGCATCTGGGAAGAATGAGGTACGCAGACAAGTGAAGAGTGAAGAAGACGAAGAACTTTATTTAGTATTAGAACAGCTCAGAGAAGACCCACAGTGAGTAGCTCCTCTCTGCAGCTGGTCATCCCATCATCTCTCCGGCCTCTGGCTGACCGTCCTCTGTCCTGCTCTGGCTGAGAGCAGGGCTGTTATGGACCTCAGAGGGGAGGAAGTGCATGCTGACTGGTCCACTGGTGGCCATGGGTGGGCCAGAGGAGGCACCACGAGTCCCCACTCTGGTCCGTGGGACTGGTAGCCCGGCCCCAGCCTTCAGGCCCTCCTTGACCTGAAGGTGGGGTCTTACAGGGACCCCCCGCCCCCGACTTCTGCCCAGGCCTTCCGTTGCCATTCGTGGCCCCAGGGCTTGGCCCCAACCCGGCTTCGAGATTGGAGCAGGTGCCAGAGAGGAGAGGGGCCAGGCAGTGGAAGCAGACACCCCTGAGCCTGCAGGGATGGAGGATGGGGGCCGAGGCTACAGGCTGCAGAGATGCCCCCGTCCTGCACCTGGGAGGGCTGCAGCTGCACCTGGAGAGCTCCCGCCCCACCAACTTGGAAGGGGCGGGGGTCCTGCTTGTCCCTAGCGCCTTCCTGCTCTGTGGAGCAGGAGGGCCAGGTCTGCAGCCGCCGCTCAGGCAGCTGCACCCAGGAGGGCAGCTCCTACCTGCTCCTGCCCCCCTCCAAGAGCACAGGGAGGCTTGGAAGCACAGCTACAGTTTGGACGGCTGTAGCCTTGTCCAGGAGGGCGGGGCTCCTGCCTTCTTCGAAGCACAGGAGGCCTGGGTCTGCAGCTGTGGGTTGGGTGGCCACAGCGACTTTCAGGGAGCTTCTGCCCCAACTCAGAAGCGCAGGGCTCCCACCAGCTCCATGGAGTGTGCAGCCCCAGCCACCTCCCTTCTGCAGCCAGTGTGATGGCAGCAGCCACTGCCATCACCTTGGTAAGACACAAAAGTAGGAGATGAACCCCATAAATGCTCAGGGGCTCACCCACTTGGTGAAGTGGCTGAGGATCCTGTGGAGCATTTCAGGACACCCCAAGAAAGTGAAAGATAAGTGGTCATACCCCAAAATGAGGCATGATGCTTGCTGAGACTTTTTGCATTTTGAAGGCATCCTATACATGATTTGGGGGTGCTATCCCAATGCATTGACCAGGGTGACTTTGAGACTACCAGTTGCAGGTGGGGTCCCCTGGGCCTCATCACCCAACAGATTCAGTGGTGCTCAAGTGTTTGTGGCCAACAGCAACATAGCAGAGAGCTCCAGGAGGTGAACTGTAGTATTGAACTCCATATTCTGGAGCAAACCCATGCCTTCTTCTATATATACATTCTGCTTTCTAAAAAGCAGCTCCTGGCGTACCCCTGGGTCCTGGTAAGGACTGAACAG
The DNA here is from genome assembly GCF_000001405.40 of Homo sapiens. Lineage (NCBI taxonomy): Eukaryota > Metazoa > Chordata > Mammalia > Primates > Hominidae > Homo > Homo sapiens. Next base: position 3,643,603 of record NW_011332701.1, read on the forward strand.
ATGACTGGGGACATCAGCTGACTCTGCAATACTAAGCTGGCCATCAAAGACTGGGTGTTACTCGACCCGCCCATCCATAAGGTTGGGCACACGCAGCTGTAAGCTGTCATCAAGTGAAGATCGGGTATGAGAGGATGGGTTGGAGAAAATCCAGAAGGCACGTGTCAGTGTGTGAACAGGTGGCTGAGACCCCTGTGACATGCACTCCTGCTTGTGTTGACTCCTCTCTCAATCTGTCTGTGGCTCACAGAAACTCCCGTGACCAAATGGCTGAGACCAGCCTTCAGATGGTTATCTGGGATAGTGGGTACCAGCTGAGAGTGGGCCCTGGGAATTCTGGAGTGTCCTTGGAAGATGGCAGGGAAGGGAAATTGTCCCAGTGGATGGCGCTTGAACAGAACAAATGGCTCTCGCTTTTCTGGACCGAAAGACAGCCAGAAGAATTAACCTACACTAGTGATTCTCAGCAGTGGGTGCTCTCCAGTTCCAGTCCCCAGGGACATTTGGCAATGTCTGGAGACATTTTCGATTGCCATAACTAGGTGGGGGTGCTACTGGCATCCAGTGAGTGGAGGTCAGTATATTAGTCATGGTTCTCCAGAGAAGCATAACCAATGGAATATAGAGAGATACACAAAAACAGATTTATTATGAGGGGTTTGGTTACGTGATTGTGGAGGCCGAGAAGTCCCATGAGCTGCACCTGCAAGCTGGAGGCCCAGGAAAGCCCCTGATGTAGCATCAGTCTGAACCCAAAGCTCTGAGAACCAAGGAGGCCAATGGTGTAAGTCTGGTCTCAGTCTGAGGGCTGGAGAGCCAGCAGAAGGGCAGGAGAAGATGGATGTTTCAGTTCAAGCAGAGAGTGTAAACTCAACCTTCCTCTAGGGGCCTTTTTGTTCTATGTGGGCCCTTAACGATTTGGATGAGGCCCACCCACATTGCTGAGAGCCATCTTTACTCAGTCTATGGATTCAAATGCTAACTTCTTCTGTAAACACCCTCACACACACCCAGAGATAATGGCTTACCAGCTAGCTGGGCATCCCTTAACCCAGTCAAGTTGACACGTAAAACTAACCACCACAGTCAGCTAGTGATGCTGCTGAACATCTTACAATGCACACAGGACTGTTCCCTACAGAAAAGAATGATCTGTCCCCAAATTTCAATAGTGCCACTATTGAAAAACCATGAGTTACACTGATTCATGGGCAGGTGAAAACAATTTGACTAGATGCTCAGGAACTTGGAAAGAACAGGATTCCAAGGTTGGTGACAAGGAAGCATGGTAACAGATGTATGTACGGGAAGGTGGAGTAGGATGTATGTGGATGGATCGCTCAGAAGGTGTAAAGAGACTGGAGATATTTGGGTGGCATGTTTATGCTCACCAGGAGCTCCCTCTGCAGAGGAGGCTCTTGAGACTCAGGTGGACAAGAAAGCATGCTCTGTGATGCTAGCTGACCCTCCCACCAGCCATCCTGATGTTTATTCAATGCGCCCAGGACCATGATTACAGGGATGGAGGCTGTGAATGAACACGACATGAATTTCCTCTTGCCAAGGCCAGCCTGGAGGCCACCACTGCTTTGTTGGAGTGATCTTCTGACAGCCTCCCCTGTGGTGCATTCCTGGGGAGGGCCAGCCAGATTCCTGTTGGCCAGCTGGACCCCATTCATAAAGGAAAATAATTTTCCCTCACTGGAATAGGTGTGCCCTGGATTCAGATTTGCTTTCCCTGTCTGCAATGCTGCTGCCAAAAGCCACTATCGTGGACTTAAAGAGTGCCTTATTCATCGCTGTGGTATTCTACACAGTGTTACTTCTGATGAAGAATTTCAATTTTAAAGCAATGAGATCATGCACAAGGATTTCACTTACTCCACATCCCACTGACCCAGAAGCAGCTGGCTTGATAGTGCTGTGGTCCTGCCTAGTGAAGACTCAGTTAGTATGCCAGCAGGGAGACAGCTCCCTGAAAGGTCGGAGTTCTACCTTACAGATGGAGTTTGGGATTTGAATCAGCAACTGCCATATGGTCTGCCATATGATGATCCCATGGCCGGAACACATGGTCTGGGAAACAAGAGGTGGGCATGTGAGGAGCTCTTGTCACTATGAAGCCTTGTAACCAAGAATCTGTACCTGCCCCTGCCCCATACCTCGTAACCAAGAATCTATACCTCCCCTGCTCCACACCTTAGCGCTTTTCTGTTTTGTAGTTCTTACTTCCCCAGGGAGCTTCCCAAAAGGCAGCACAGTGATTTCGCTGAACCTGGAGCTGAGACTTGGCCATTTTGGGCTTCTGAGCTGGGTGAATCAATGCAAAGAAAGTCGTTACTCTATTGGCTGGGTGACTGAATGAGTTGTTGCTACATAATGGGGGCCAATAAATGATGTCTGAAATCTAGGGGACTCTTTGGGGTGCCTTTAATTTTGTCCACATCCAAAAATAAGTTAATGGTAAATGATGGCATTGAAAAAAAGGGCTTGTGAGGACTCAGCATCTACAGGAATGAAAGTTTGGATTGTCCTTCAGGTAAAGAATCCCAACAACCTGAGGTCTGCCTGAGAGCAAAGCCAACATGGAATGGTTATGGAAGAAGGTAGTTTCAAACACCAACAGTGCTCTGTGGCCAGCTTCAGTTCCAGGGGGCCTGCAGTAGGGAGGCATATTTGCCTATCTTTCTTCTTGCTCAGTGTGCGTGTATACACACATACATGTACGTTCATACATGCATATATATGCATGTGTGTAGGTGGGTCAAGACACATAAGGACTTGCTCATTCCTTTTGCTTCCAGTTTCTCTCAATGTTGTCTTAGCAACAGCTCTTCACTTGCTAGCTGCAGTTTGTTTCAATTTCATTCTTCCCCCCACAGGAAAGAAGTGGCCAAATCACAGCCTCTACTGAGACACCGGCAACCCCTCCCTGGTGATCTGAGCCTAGCACTGCGAGCCTCCCCCTCTGGCTTCCTGAGGCACAGGCACCAGCTGGGAAGAGCTCCCTTTTCAAAGGTCTGACCTCAACGCGGTGGAGCCCTGCCCTATCTGCCTGTGGATTTTAACAACATGCTCTCTTTGCTTTGCCCCTGACCCTGTGAGGAAGCTGCTTCCTGTATGTTCTCTCCGTGGGACGTGTATGTCTCCTTTTTGTGTTTTTTAGGCTTCCAATACCTGCTTGACTAGTTCCCTATATTAAATTCTCTGTCAAAATAACTGAGGTGACTTCTGTTTTTCTAAATAATACACAGATTTTTTGATTTGGTGGGGAAACTTCAAGAGCCTTGAGTCGCTTTTTACAGAACAGAAACCTGGGGCTGGAGGGGTGAGATGCCTTCCTCAAGGTCAATTCTGGGGCCAGCCCAATCCAGGGTTCCTACCATCATCCTATATAGTCTTCTAAGCACATTTCAAAGCTTCAAATGCAGTATTTTGTCTTTCATACGGGATTCTCTGCTTGTCCTGAACAAACTAAGAACAGTTTCCTGTTTCCTCGTGTAGAAAAACATTAGAGCCAGAAACGGATGGTCCCATTGGCCTTAACAGGATTCCATGGGTATGTAGTGGCCATGGCTCCAGCAAATCCCACAGCCCTGCCAGGTATCTTTCCTGTCCTTCTCCCATCTGTGCTAACTCACCCCCCACCTGGAGCCAGATGGACTTGGGTGTCACCATCCCCCAGACTCTGAGCTCCTCCTGGGCAGGGGCCTTGCCCATTCCTCAGGATGACAATGTACTCTGATGCTGGGAGCACAGACCCTCATGTCAGACACACCTGAGCTGGAATCCTGGCTTTACGACTTACCTCGCCAAACCTTACTTTTCTTCTCTACAACACAGAGATTTTGCTATCTCACACGGTTGCTGCATGGATTGAATTCCACTAGGCACAGAATGTGCCACCCCCCAATGATGCCTATTCAGTGCGTGAGACCCTGTCATTACCTCCTCCATCACTGTCCCAGTGCATGGCACACAGTGGGTTGGGACTGAGTCCTGGGTGCATCACACCTTCTTTAGATAGGCCTGTGGCCTGGACCCCACCCACAGCTTCCTGAGGGGGCTTCTTTCTTTTACAGAGGCAGCGCCTCTCCTCCATAGAAGAGCACTCACAGATAAAAATTCACGGCAAAATCCTCCTCCTCCTCCTCTATGCTCCCAGCTGCCATTCTCTTGCTTATGGTTGCAACCTCTGGTGAAGACATGTTAAGGACAACCCTATTCAGCTTTTGATATGGTTTGGCTGCGCCCCCACCCAAATCTCATCTTGAATTGTAGCTCCCATAATTCCCATGTGTTGTGGGAGGGACCTGGTGGGAGATAATTGAATCATGGAGGCGGTTTCCCCCATACTGTTCTCGTGGTAGTAAGTCTCATGAGATCTGATGGTTTTATAAGGGGTTTCCCCTTTCACTTGGCTGTCATTCTCTCTTGCTTGTTGCCACGTAAGACTTGCCTTTTGCATTCTGCCATGATTGGGAGGCCTCCCCAAACACGTGGAACTGTGAGTCCATTAAACCTCTTTTTTTTTTTAGAAATTACCCAGTCTCAGGTATGTCCTTATCCGGAGTGTGAAAACAGACTAAATACAGCTTTCATCCAGATAGAATGTGTCATGGTCATTTTAGAAAGGAGAGAAACTATTTTCCTCTTATATGAATGAAACTTGGCCAGGCGTGCTGGCTCGCGCCTGTAATCCCAGCATTTTGGGAGGCTGAGGCAGGTGGATCACTTGAGGTCAGGAGTTTGAGACCAGCCTGGCCAACAACAGAGTAGTGAAAACCTGTCTCTACTAAAAATACAAAAAAAAAAAAAAGATTAGCTGGGCATGATGGTGTGCACTTGTAATCCCAGCTACTCAGGAGGCTGAGGCAGGAGAATATCACTTGAACCTGGGAGGCAGAGGTTGCACTGAGCCAAGATCACGCCACTGCCTGGGTGACAGAGAGCTAGACTCCGTCTCAAATAAAAAAAAAAAAAAAAAAAAAAGAGAATGAAATGGTGACAACTGGGTTTACATCTCATCTGGCTGGGAAAACACTTAAACAAAACAAAACTGGTATGGATGGATGTCTGATATAGTCCTCTTCCTCTTGGCAATAAAGCTTTTCTTAGATGGCATTTTACCAAGAACACAGGAGTCAGTGGGCAAATAATTGGACCAACCAATACTTTACAAACATGTTAATTTTATTGAGTAGGCATCAAAGCTTCTCTCTGTGTCAGGTAATGGAGAAGCCATGTCACACAGATTACAGAGCTATTTTTACTTGAAATAATCTTTCATAAAAGAAAGAAATTAAATACAATTCTTCTATAAAAAGTGCAGTAGTCATTACTGGAAGTTTTCCAAAATGAAAGCAAGATTTACTACATATTGCAAAAACTGGTTTAGTGCTTTAATACTTTACAAAGTAATATCCCAACCACAGAAGACAGCTCTTACAATGGGTTTCTTCTCCAAGAATGGACCGGATTGAAAAGGATATTTGCATTGAATTGGAATTAACACCTGCAGGTAGAAAGGGGTTCTGCACAACTGGGTCAAAGTAATGTGATTGACGACCTACTTTTGCCTCAGTGTTTTCCTTTGTCCACAGTAATCAAAGAAAATGGGAGAAATAAAGCAACATATATCATCCAAAAATCAGTCAAAGAAACCAAAAAAGAAAAAAGAGGAACATTCACTGACTTCATTAGGCCAAACGCACGTTTAATGGAACAAAGCAAACACAGGGTGAGGATGGTCCCTTGTTATAATTAACTTCAACAATCCTTAGTTAAAACAAGGCCAAATTCTCAAAGGTGATGGTGAATGGAGTTCAAACTCCGTAGATGAGGCAGTAACAGGTCACTAAGGAGCTTAGTCCCTCTGTGGACCCAGCTAAGCCTGCTCCTTGCTCCTAACAGCGCCTTTACTTGTAGGACTAAGAGCCCAGCCTTTCCCACCTGGGGGCCCAGGGAAGACAAGCTCCTACTGAACGGTGACTGGCTCTGTCAGAGGTGGGGCTTGCCTCTGTGTGTACAGGGGCTGGAGGCCACAGCTGATCTCCAACACATGCTCATGGTGAGTTTCCTAGTTTTGGTCCTAAGTTAGTGGAGACAAGCTGCCCCACTCCCCACTGCCAAGTCATCATTCCGTATCAGGTGTTTGGATTCCATTCCTGCAAGCGGGAAGAATGTGTGCAAAGAGCTGGACAGCCCATAGGGCCTGGGAGACCTTCACGGACACCTGCCATGGAGAAAGTTTGCATGGGCCAAGGGGGCAGGCTCTTGGGAAGCACACACTCCCTCCCTGAGTGCTGGCAGGAGCAGGCTTCCAGTCTGTTTGGGCAGCAATGAAAGGGACACTGTTTATTTGGCAATTCAAGCACAGGAATGCACATGTGTGGGCCCACTCACTGCTGGCTGGACAGCTGCAGAGAGGGCATCACGATGGAGACCTTATGCCCCCTCCCACGAGGGACCTGAAAATATGGCATCAAGAGAAATGACAGCAAAACCACGGAAGTGGATTAAACAGGAGGACAAAGCCTTTAACCAGGCCACAGTAGGACAAAAGTCCCATAAGAAGCTTGTAACAGTATTTTGCCAACAACTCTTAGAAGAAAACGCATTTGGCCAAAGGACCTAGAAGTAAACACCAAAGTTAGGTAGTTGTGAAAATCATCTGGCAGGGGCAGGAAGGTCATTGGAGGACCCACGCCTCCCCTGCTGTGGGTGAGGCCACCTGCCAGCACTGGAGGGCCACTGTGCTGGGGCCTGGGCCCAAGGAGGTGTGTGTTGCTTGGCTCTGTGGTGTCAAGGCCCTGACCTTCCAGTGCACCTCCACCAGTGGCCAATGGGGATACCCGGGGGCCTTGGCTCTCTGGCCCTGCTGCTTCCAAATTTGTCAATGCAGTTACCCAGCCCTGAGCCGGTTAATGTTTGTGACAAGCTCCTCTTCCTCTGCAGCCTTGCTTTGGTGGCTGGAGGATGAGTCCTTCTAATGGTCAGGTGGACTTTCCCTGGGCTGGGCCATCTGCTGCCACCCGTGTTGAACTGGGAAGGACTGGGAGACACCTAAAGACTGATTACAAAGGATTCTCTGGAATGGTCCAGGTCTACAGTGACCTCATGGAGTGATGGGAACCCACTACTGTGCATCTGGCTACAAAAGCTACCTGCAGAAAACTGTCTTCATCCCAGCTGGTTCCAAAATGCTCCCCTGCGAACAGTGAGCCTCATATTTGTGAGGTGGGGCTAGCGGCAGGGCAGGCATTCACTTGTCTGTGAACAGAAGCCACCGCTGCTGCCCGGTGTATCTAACCATCTTGTACCCATAGGAGCCAGGTCACTGGGTCAGCTAAAGTTCTCACAATAATAGAACCTAGATTTGATGAAAGCTGAAATTGACATTTTCTGGCCTCTTAATAGTTTTCAATTTACTGATTTAATTTCCTTTTTTCAATAAATACTTATCCAGTGCCTAATATGTGTCAGGCACTGTTGTAGGCACCAGGATACAGCAATGAGCAAGACATATAAAAGTTCCTGCCCACATGGAGCTTACAGTCTATGGGAGATGGGGAGGCGAGAATCAAATAAATGGATGAATGATTAACATCTGCAGCACTCAGATGGTGATAGGTGCACAAGAAGAAGATGCAGAGAGGTGGGTAGGGAGGGAGGGTGGGGTGTGTTGTCCTTTTAAATAAGTCAGGGAAGGCCTCGTTGAAAGGTGACATTGGAGCAAAGACTGGCAGGTAGTGAGGGGTGAACCATGTGGCTCTCTGGGGAAGAATGTTCAGGTAGAAGGAATGGCATGTGCAAAGGCCCTGAGGCAGGAGGGTGCCTGTGACTAGAAACGGCAGGAAGGCCTACGTCCCAGGGCAGAGCAGCAGGCAGAAGAAGTACTGGGATGGGAGAGGCCTTTGTAAGGACCTGGCTTTTCCTCTGCCATGGGAGGCTGTTTCTTCGTTTAAAGGAGCACTCCAGTGTCTGCAGATAAATTCTAAAACAGCTGGTTTCACTCATTTGTCCTCATTAAATAGGTTGCTTTGGTCTTGAATAAATTCAGCCTATATTTACTCTTAAAACCAAATGGTACTCTTCGCCTTATGTTAAACTAACAAATTATGTATATATATATATCCTTGATATGCTCTTTGGGAGGAATAAAAAGATGCAAGCAATGTGCATCATTCTGTATGTACATAATTAGGATTAGTGAGGCCCCCTTTTTTGGCAAGATTAAAATAGCAAAAATGCAATTTTCAACAAATCATTTGGCAAAATAAATAGAAACAGTAACATTACTAGCATGGTTGGAGATGATGGCTTCAGTGCTACTCTGCAACTACGTGTGTCTTCGGCTCAGCCTGGTGGGGCCAAGTTCTTCATACTGCACAGACTGCACATAACTGTTGTTCCCAAGGGGTCCCTGCAGGGCATCTCCCTCGCTCTTTTCTGCTGGGGGTGCAGTGGGGAGGAATAATAGATCTTTTGGCAAAGAAGGGACCTGCATAACTGCTAACAGGCCAATTTGCACAGTGCCCGGAGCTGTCTTTTGTGACAGAAGCTTGCAGAGTGGTCCAGCCTGGATGTGCCGCAGGGCCTCCTGGGGTGAGCGTGGGGGGCTCTCCCCATGGCGTGTGCTGGCCTCTCTATCGTGAACTACCCAGGACCCACTCCCGAGTCAGTGAGGCAGCACTGGCAGAAATACACTCCGGGCCAACAGACCCAGAGCTGTGGAGAGGACACGGGCAACAGGGTGGACTTGAATTAAACAAGAACAAAGCTGAGCGCTGGTCACTGCCCCGGCCAGCCACACTAAAACAGGCCAGCTAGAGTTTAGAGTCAGGAGTAAATGGGAAGGTGGTGCCTCAGATCTCTAGAGAGCCACCACTTTAAGGCGTTTTGGAAGGGGCCACCTGCTCCCTGGCATGCCAGCCACCTCTAGGCCCTTCATACGGTGTGTCTGTCCTCAGCTGGCAGCAGAACCGGACTCAACTAGAGCAGGGGCCGCCTCTGCAGCCCAGCGAGGATGAAGCCAGGGCTGGTAAGGTCTGTCTGGCCCAGCAGGGCTTGCTCAGCCACAGAAACACATTTCTTCTTATCTATTAGAAGCACTGAGGAAAGAAAAAGGACAGAACACTGGGGGTACTTAATTTTAAAGTCCACACCAAGATGAGGAGAAAAAAAATCATGGCCATAAAGAAAGGAGCCCCAAACATACAGTAGATGCCTTCAGCTTTTACTCCAGGTCTCTTCGTAAATAAAAGACTCACATGGAATGGAACTTACACACATGGATTTGGAAAAGTCTGTTTTTTCTTGTACAAATTTCCCACCACTGATAAGTACAGCCCTTTTATCTTAACCAATGGGAAGTATATTTTAAGTTTATTTTTGCAAAGTAGAATAGTTCGCAAAATAAGTTTGTGGACACTAAGTGGGGGGGGGGTGGGTGATGGGCCCATGACCCCTCCCCAGAGACAGGGCGGGCTCTGCATGGAGGATGTCCACACCCTGAGGTGTGCACCTGGGGGGCATGGAGAGTCCTTTTATCTTCAGCACCCCCAATTCTTGACAGTAAGCTACGAGAAGTAGTAAATTAAATCATTTGGGAAAACATTCGATTTGTAAATAGATTCAAATGCCACTGGGTGGTAATAGGTATGAAAAGGTCCACAGTAATTTAGTGAATACAAAGTATTCATTTAAGAGGAAAGGTGCAGTACCAAAATCCATGAACAGAAAAAAGGAAATCAAGCTTTCAATAAAAAAAGACACTGATACATTCCCACTTTCAGAAGGTATTTGAACAAGCAGCAAAAAGCGTTTAACCCCCCGGAGCCCACAGTGGAGCTCCTTCCCACCTCCAGTTACCCTTCCAAGGGACAACCCTGTGGCAATAACGGGTGCAAAATATTGCTCTGTGGCATGTTCTGAAAATAATACAAAAATAATTTTTATAGTACAGTTTAAACTTGGCTTGTAAAATTTCAACGTAACACAGCATAAAATCTACCAACAGAATACACTGAAAAACACCTTCCCTTAACAATATATTAAAAAAATCATTTACCCAGATAACAAATGTGCAGGAAATGTAAAGTAAATTTCTGAAATAACCTTCGCAGGGGTTTAGAAGTATCTGGGATCCTCTGGAAACCTGCAGTCCCTTGGAGACACCTGTCCTTCCTAGAAAGGGAAGTGTGGCCAGATCAGGTGGGGAAGGCTGCTCTCAGGCAGGGTCAGCTAGGGCAGCAGGGCCATGCACCCCGGTAGGACTCACCTTCTTCCCTTTCTCCCTGCTCCACAAAGGGGCCTCACGCCATGGAACACGAGGGAAGCCCTTGGCCCACATGCAGTCAACACAGTTTTTAATAGTTTCTGGCCAGCCTGCTGAAGTTGGTCTCTGGCCAGGGACGAGGTCTACACGCCTCTTCTCAAGGAGCATGCTATCGGTGCACGGGACTAGCACATTTAATATGACCATCGGCTCTCTCCCTTTTGCATTTTTAATACTGTTTAGAGGAAGGATGGATCCAGCTCTCTCACAAAAGGAAATGGCTATTCCTAAGTCATGTGGACTGAGTGGTAATGTATCAGCCTGGAGCAGGTGTCTACAGGCGTCTGGCGCCTCGTTACCACATTGAGAAGCTGGGGTGCAGGATGCAGCCAGTGGCTTTATCTCAGGCTCTTATTTAGGGCACATCTGTCATCAGATGGTGATGGGTGGAGGTAACTTGGAAATGCAAGGGTAGAATAGGTCCTGGTGTTTTGATAATTACGTACTCTGCCTGGTTTGGAAGGTTTTCCTCTATTACAATGGACGGTTTTTATTCTGTTTTATTTTTTTATTTTTTAAATTAGACAAACCTGGCAGATAGCGTGAGAAAGAAAATATCTGAATTAGCATAGCCAGTTTTAGAAATTTCTGGTTGGCTGTTTTTACATTAAGAAATGAAAAAAACAAGCAAGAATTGACTTTATGCCTCCTTGACATCTTGTGCATATGAGTTTGGTTTCTGAATGGATTATTGGAGCATTTTTAAGGTTGGGTGTCTCAATCTTTTAAGAGTGACGAGCATGAGGAGTGGCTGGCATCCACACCTGAAGCAACACTTTCTGTGATCCCACAGCTTTGGATGCCAAAGCAGCTGCTCAGCGTGACACGAAGAATCAGTCCAGAAAGCTGCCACAGACCCTCTCCATGAGATTTTTAAAAAACCACTTTTGTTTTCTGAGTAATAAAAGAAACCCCAGTAATATTAGGGACATGGATGTTAGTACAGTAATTACCACACATTGAAAATATTGTTCAGCAGGAAAAGTAAACTTTCAAAAAATTTCTTAAAGATCCTATTTAATAAATAATTTTTGATTTAAGGAACCACTTATGCAAAACTTGAACAAATTACTGAAAACTCCACCTGCTGTGGAATAATTAAAAACAAAAAGGCATTACTCACAGGAGATACTCAATTATTTTATTATAATTTCTCAAACAAGTAAAAAAAATCCCCTCGCCCCCCTTTTTTTTTTGTTTTTGCTGCTCTTTAGTTAGGGAAAAAAGCATCGTTTCTAGAGGAGAAGCTGGCTCCAGTGAAGAGATGGTCGACCTCCTGCTTTTTCTGAGGATACACTCACAGCAAAGCCAGGCGCTTTCTCCTGTCCTAGGATTATTAGAAGCTATTCTAAGGCTCTCACAGGTTTTATAGTATTCTTTGTTAGTGAGGATTTTACCCATCTTATCCTCATTTCTTGGAAACAAGCTCGTTCCTTAGTGAGGCAGATTTAGCTCCTCAGTGTCCTTGGCCAAGAACGGTGTTCTCCGGAGGTAATCTTGGAAGGAAGAGGCTGCATATTGCTGCTCAAAACAGGGTAGCTAAGGACACATTTTTTTTTTCCTCAAGAAATGTAGGAGGCACCAAAAAAGAGACCGCTCAGGGATCGGGCTGCTCCCTCATTGTGTCACGAGACGGAGGCAGGGTCGTCCTGCCCCGTGGAGGGGCCACGATCACAGTGAGTCCCTTTACCTGGCTGAACCCAGACAGATGCAGGTGTGGGGGTGGGCTTCCTTCCTGGTTCCCCCAGCCCCTTCCCTTTGGAAAGAGCAGCAGCCTAGTGGGGGCTTACACAGTGACCAAAGGGTCAATTCCTCGCTGTCTCCCGGGGCACCGATGGTCACCGCCCAGGGGCCCGCCAGCGACAGTCCACTGTGGAAGTGCCTTCAAAGGAGAAATGTGAGCAGCCTGTCCTATCTGCTCCTCTATGAGCAAATCCAAATTGTGAGATGGGAACCCTGCTTTTTGGACCCTAGGTGTCTTTGGAAAGCTCCTGTCACCTGAACTGCCCGGCACTGGGAGCCATCGCTGTACCTCACGGCGCCCGCGAGACGGGTGGTCCAGTGCCCTTTCCACGGCCGCCCGCGGCTTGGATGGCAGTGTGAATGGTGCTTGAGCCGGGGCTGGGGGAGGAGGTTTTGCTTATGAAATGGAGCTGTGTGTTTCTAAAGGGCCACAGTGACCACCAGGGCGTCAGCTGGCGGCCAGGTACCCGCCTTCTCCTAGGCCTCGGGATGGGAGGCAGGTAGAGCTCACAGAGGAGCCTCCACCGCAGCCCCGGGTGCGCGCTCGCTCTAAGCCCTGGGTACTACCAACCGCGCACAAGGGACCGCTACCTGGAAGAGGTCATCGCTAGGGTAGGAGAAAAAAAAAAAGCAAAAAAAGCATGTAAAACACTCCCTTCTTAAAACAAAGGGCTGCGAATTTCTTTATTTCTCTTACTGAGGAACAAAAATACTCTTGCAATGGCTATTGAGTTTCCACAGGTACGAGGCAGATGCTAGGCTAGCACACCCACTTCCAACAGTATGACTTGTTTCCTATCCGTCTACTACCTGAGTGGCGTCAGTGTAGGTTCAGGCACCATTAGGAACGTTTGACCAAACACGTACACGGCACTGACAGAGGAGGCGCCGGCCTTCCGGTGGACCAGGGCATGTAAAAAAGACACCGACACAATGGAAAAGAAATCCTCGAAGGTAGAACCTCGCCGCCCGCGCCGCGCCGCGCCGCTCAGGGCCGGGCCCCGCGCGCCTCGCGCCGCCGCCGCAGCTCCTCGCGGTAGCAGTAGGAGCAGTAGTGCTCGGTCTCGGCGCGCCCGTAGAACGCACAGTTCTCGCGCTGGCAGCGCCGCTGCACCGGCCCCGGGCCGCCACGGCCGCACTCACCGTTCGAGCGCGCGGTCGGCGCGTCGGCGTCGGCGAACTCCAGGCCGTCGCGCAGGGCGCCGAAGCCGTTGGTGTAGGTCTGCGACTTGTGCTCGGCCGCCCCCGCCGTCCCCGCCGCGCCCGGTAGGGCCCCGGGCACCGCGCGCGCCAGCGACTCGACCGTGTTGACGGTGCGCAGGGCGGCGGCGCGCGCCGGGCTGTAGCTCTGCGACGACAGCGAGCGGTTCTGCTGCGGGTACGTGGCGCACGGCCGCAGCGCCCCCACGGCCGGCGCGCACGCCTCGTCCCGCGCGCCCGACGCCTGCACGTGGATGACGCTCTGGCGCGCTGGCGCCGGGGGGCTGCGTCCAGGGACTGGTCCGCTGGCGCCCGCACGCCGCGCGCCCTCCCCCCGGGGAGGCCGTGTCGCCCGCCGCCGCCCGCGCCGCACGCCTGCCGCGGGCCCGGGGCTCGGCCGCTCCTTGAGCTTGAGCACCAGCTGCGTGGGTGGGCCCGGAGAGGCGCGCTCCGGGACCGGCACGCCCTCCGTCTCCGGTCTGCGCGGCGGCCGCTTGGCCGTGGCGGCGGCGGCGGCGGCAGCGGCGGCCGCAGTAGCGGCGTCGCGGCGCCGCTGCTCCTGCTCGGCGCTGAAGCGCTCCTGCGCGCTCGTCAGGTAGTAGCCGATCATCTCCTCGTGGAACTGGTGCCGGTGGCTGGTGAGCAGCAGGCCGGCGAAGATGAACTTGCGCTCCCCCTGCATGGCGGCGCGCAGGATGTTGAGGCTCAGCTTCACATCCGTGCTGTACTTCCAGGCGTCGCCCCGCGGCCCACCGCCCTTCTCCGCCGGCGACGCGCCCGCTGCCTTGTCTGTGGGCGACGGCGTGGTCTTTTCCGACGGCGACGTGCTGGCCGACGCACCAGACTCCTCCTTGCTGCCCTTGCGCGACTTGGCCTTCTTCTCCTTGCCCCGCTCGGCCGAGTCCCCGTTCTTGCCATTGGCGGAGTTGGCGCGGCCCATCTTGCCGTGCACCAGGCCGCCGAGGCCGCCCATGTTTTTCTTCAGCTTGATGCCCAGCGTCTTGCTGAAGCTGCCCAGCTTGTTGGCCACGGAGTCGGCGCGCGTCTTGTCCTTCTCCTTGCGCTGCTTCTCCTTCTCCTTGTCCTTGCCGTTCTTGCCGTTATTGCTGTTAGAATTGCTGCACACCGAATCGCGGTCCGAGTCCAGCGAGTCGGCCAGGGACTGCACGTCCTCCCCTGCCGAGGCCGTGGGAGACTCCGGCTGTGCCAGGGGCGCCTGTGTGGAGAGGGAGGGCCGGATCGAAGGTGGTTAGAGAAGAGCTGTCCACGCGCCAGCGAGGAAGACACACCTTGCCCCTGTGTTGCCGAGGCTAGGGCCCTGGACCTTCACTGTCCCAGTCCCCACTGTCGCTCTGGTGACTGTGACATCCGGATGGGCGGTGCTGAAGGAGCAGATAGGAGTGGGCTCTGATCTGCTGCGGTAGTAAAAGGATGTAGGGACCTCTTAACTGCGTGTGTCTTCTGGCCAGGGAAGCTGGGGTGTACTCATTCTTTCTCTCTGGGGGACCTCAGGTACTTGGTACCCTGGAACCCTGAGTAGGGTATTGCAGCAGGGTGCAGATACCCTACTTGGTCTTGGTCCCCAGAGCCTTGTCACAATTTAGAACGGTCAGGTTCAGACTCTGGCCTTCCCCCACTGGCAAGGCCGCCTGCTTGACCAGACACAGGTCCCAGGCTGGCCTCTGTAAGGATGGAGGCCTTCAGGTGGGGAGGACACTGGGCCTGCACAAAAGTGCCTCCTCTGAAAAGATGTCTCACCTCACGCCAGGCATGGGACAGAAACCTTGCACTCAACCTCATTCATCGGATCTTGGATCAAACACCCCCTTGATTCAGGGATGCCAAATCGCTTCAGGAGTTCCTTTCTCACTCAGTTTGGCAAGATGGAATGCTAAATTGAGGAGGATTCTGAAATAGGCCTGCGCTCAGCAAAAAAGATGTTCCCATTCCCAGAAAAGTCCCCCTGGGTGGGGTGGGGTGACGCTGGGGAGCACTTCTTGGATGAGACCCACTGATGAGGTCAACCAGTCTGAGGGGGGCACGACCATATCTGGGGTGGGGGGACCCTGAGAAAAGAGGTGGGAGAGCAGAGAGGCAGGCAGCACCTACTACTACTCTGTAGGGACCTCCCTGGGTGAGGAGAGAATTCTGACCGAGTGTCATTGGACGAGAGGCAGGGCCCATCATGCTGGCCGCTGGGTGCTGCAGGAACTGGTGCTCATACCTGAACAGGCGTCCCTGGCTTCCAGGGGATGAGCCTGGGAGAAGGCCCATTGCTCTCCCACTTAATTTTTGTCCCCCCCTCAAACCCTTCAAGCAAGTTCAAGAGTCGGTGACTCTCCTGTGACCAGGTCACCCCAAAGCAAAGGTGGGCAGAACTGACCCTCACCACCTCCCACTCTGACATTCCTTTCCCCTTCCCACCTGGGATAGGAAGGTGTGAAGTGTCTCAGACTGGTGCGTGAGACACTAAAGGGTGGACACTCGGGCTGGGCCAGGAAGGGAGGTGCGCCTGGTGCTAGCAGGAGCGCACTGAGAGCGGGCTCAGGAGTCCCTGGCTGGAAGGACCCTTCCCACAGTTGTCTGCTGAGAGCCCTGCATCTAACATGAAGGCACCGAGGCCTGGCAATTGCAGGCAGAGCTATTCTCAGCCCGAGAGCCTCCTGATTCTACATCTCGAGCCACTGCCATCACTCCCCATGTGGGTGCTGAAGAAGAACAGCCACAGCACTACGGGAGTGCTCCAGGCCTTTGAGACGCAGGACTCAAACTGCCACCGACTGGCTGTCACTTATGCCATCAGTAAAATGGGGTATCAGTCCCTGCCTCATGGAGCCCTGGGAGATGACGTACAGGCAGAGGCTGGAGTCTGAGAGCACTGAGCAGTGCTGGCCACCGCCCGACTCCTTGACTCATGCCACTCCTTTACTAATTCTTTGTGAACCCCACTTTAAGTAAATGTCTGGAGAGGACCAATTACTTGCAGGCTGTTTTTTACAAATCCTTTTCCCTGGCAGTTCACTACTGAGATTTCAAAAAACATCAATCAGTCAGATGCTTAAAATGAATCCCTCAGCGTTTGCAAGCAGGGGCAGCCCCGACCCTCTGGAGGCAGGCAGCCTCATGGGGCGTAGGCCCCTCTCCTCACCTTCCTGCCAGCTCCACCCACCAGTGTGCTGCCTCTGGGAGGGGAGGAAGGGGGCGCCGAGGAATCGCGCTGTCAGTTCCCTGGCTTTTTTTGAGGACCCACACGGTTTGTAATTAATTCCGCTCTGCGGCAGCACATTGTGTTCTGATCTTAGCAGATAGTTTTGTGTTGTGACTTGCCTGTGGCTTGTTTTCTGAGTGGGCGTGTTGATTCCTTCTGCAGAAAATAGGGGGACAAAAAATCCCTTTACAAGAGCGCATGCTTGCATGCACACATGCCTACATGTGTGTACACAGCCACTAGGTCCAGCCAGAGCCACTTCAAGCCATAGCCAGGGTGGCCCCAGCTGCATGCAGCTGGGATGGCTAGGTCAAAGGAGGTGGAGGAGCTACTGGGCTGTGGGTATGGCTGGGGTGGGCGGCCGGGCAGGGGCAGGCAAGAGTGTGGGAGCATTTGGGAGGATGCACCCTGGTCAGACTGGAGCTGAGCAGCCTGGACCCTGCTGCCAGGTCTGGTCCCAGCACAGCCAGGCTCACCCGTGTCTCGGAGGGGATCCGGATCCACGTCACGTTCATGTAGCTGTGCAGAAGGTTCAGCTTGGCTTCTAGCGACAGGATAAGGCTGGCAAGAGAAGAATATCCTATTGAAATGGTCTGAGCTGGCCCTTATAGCACCCAGTCCACTTGCATGCCAGCTGTCCCAGGAGGAGCAGGGGTGGTACATTCCCTCCCCAGGATGCCCCAGCCATAGCCCTCCCTGTGGGCGCTGGGGAAAGGGACAGAGTAGGATCTTACTGGGCCAGCCGGGCGTTATCGTTGTCGTCTTTCCCCCACTCCCAGTCCTTGCCAGGGTCCACTGCAAAGTGCAGAGGCAGCAGCTTGTGCTCAGAATCCGTCAGGGGGATCACGGCTGGAACAGAAGAGACAGAGCCGTGCTTGGAGCCCCGGCAGTCCCCAGGCAGGATGGCAAGGAAATTCCCAAGCCAGGTATCTGGGTGACAAATGCACCGAGTGGACATCTACACAGATCTGTGCCAGCAGGAGCATGAAGACCAAAACCACTATTGCTAGTTTTTAAAATTTCGTATTTATTGCGGACAGTGGAGAGCAGTTGGAAGCGTCACCTGGACCCTGGCTCTCTTTGGGTCTGTCCAATGGCAGATACTCCATTGGGCAGCAGAATGGGAAAAAAGCTATTGCTGCCTCTGCTATTTCTAGGAAGGATCTAGGCAGGTTAGGCACACTTTGGGAGGCCACCTTGCAGGTGGGCCTGAGGCTCAGCTCTCCTGTCTCGTCCCAGAGAAGGGCCGAATGTGCAAGTCAGGTGAGCAAGGGTGTTGCTGACCTCTACTGGTTTGTAATTTTGTGCCACAAGTCTGTATCAGTGCCTGGGACCCATGGACCCACCCGCCCCTGCCCGTGGGAAGCTCACCTGTGCTGGGGACAGATAAGCAGGTTAACAAACATCTCATAATGTCAGGTGGTGATGAGCCCTGGAAGGGTAAACACCAGGCAGAAGGCAGTGATGGTGAAGCCTTTTTCGGATGGGGTCAGGGGGTCCTTTTGAGGAGGTCACATGTAGGTGGAGATTGCAGTGATGAGCCACTGGCTGGTCATTTCTCAGAGGGATTGACTCATCACAAAACTTCTGTGGTGAAACTCACCACCCGTGGGAAATCCTGGCTCACTCCAGAAGGGCTAGGGTGGAGGGGGTATCTACAGGTTTGGGATCTTCTAGGAGCTTCTGAGCTGCTGGGGGACCTGATGAGAGGAGTGCCTAGTGACACGGTTGACTCCTCCCAAGGGCATTGTCAGGGACAAGGGCAGGAGGAACTGGGAGATGGTCTCCCCAAGTCTTTCCTCGCAACAAGCAGCAGCCTCCTCCATGGGCTCCACTTAGCTCCCCTGCAGGCCCCACACCTGGGAGTCACACACAGCAGAGAAGCACAGCCACCTTGGACCAGCTGCTTTGCCTCTTTGCTGGTGCCCATGGTTCATGGCAAGGGTGCCATGGCAAGAACAAAAAGGCAAGGAAATAGATCAAATCGAAGACTGAACACCAATAGTTGATTTGGTAAGAAATTGGAAAAACTGACTCAATGCTGCCCTCCAGTGTTGCTTAAGAGGAAAAGTGGGTGCAAATAATTCCCCTCTCCACCCCCGCACCTCTTCTTCTCCAGCTTCCCCAAGCTGCCAATAAGGGAAATGCAGCTTTGCTGACCAATGACCAGCTCCGGGCTTTTCATTAATCTGGCTTGGGATTGGAAAGTGCAGTGCTCTGATTTGAGAGGTCAGGGGTGGCTTGGCCTGGCTTTGCTGCAGCCTGCTGGGTTCTGCCTTGACGTGGCCACCCTTTCCAGATCTGAGCTGCAGGGCAGACACACCCAGGGAGGGCTGCAGGGCTGGCTCAGGGACAGGTCTCCCTTGGGTGGTGCCCAGCAGCCTGTCCCATAGTTCTATGAGTCACTACACAAACAGAGAAGGGGTTAGCCTCGCTTCTTACTCATGGGGCAGGGGGTGGCACAGGCTCTCCCCATCCACAATGTTTCCCAGAATAGAGCAGTGCAGCTCCTGGGAGTTCCAAGCCCCCATGAATGGATGGGCCAAACCAAAGTGTCCAGGAAAGGGACTCAAAAAGCAACATTTTAAATAAGCATCTCCTGTGGCTTTTAAAATCAAGCAAATTCAGGAAATATTGTTCTAGAACAAGAATAATCTGTTAGAAGCAGTTCCTGTGGGTGCAACTTGGACATTTTGGGTCTGGCTGTCCACCCGCTTCCCAGGGTAGAATTGCTGTTGGAGAACATCAGCCCAGCCACCACTCCATGTCTTAGCCACCCTGGCCCCAGGATTTAGGGGGAACAGGCACCTAGTGGCATCCATGGTCTGTGGGCAGAAGCAATGTGGGAAGTGCTGGGTGATGTGCTCAGGCATGGGGGTGTCTCTCCCCACTCCCCTTCCATGGTGCCTGCAGAAGACAGCAGATCTCCACTGAAGAGCTGCCTGACAATTGAGAACACTCCTTTTAGATTTCCACTGTGTTAAGTCACTGTGATTTTGGTTTGTTTGTTTCAGATAAACCACCTAAGCTAAGACGGCACCCCAGACAGTCACCCTCACTTCCCTATCATGGGGTTCCTGGGGACTCCTCCCCTCAACAGCAGGGCTGGAATGGACTCCTTGGGCTGCCCAGGGCTCCAGTGCACGGTGGGAATACCCCTGAAGGGGCTAGTGCCTGTCCACCTAGAAGGGTCCAGCAGCCTTGCGGCCTAGATCTGGCTGGGGTGAAGGGCCAGGTACTGAGAGGCTCTACGGACATGCCTGCTCACAACTGAAGACACCGAGGGGCTCAAAGGAAGGCTTTTCTGCAGAGGGTCAACTGCGGCCTGTGGTGAGGGCTGGGGCTGCAGAGCCCAGGGACAGTTCCGGCCAGGAGGCCATGAAAACAGGTCCTCCTCGTGAGCAGCGGCTGCTCAGGATGCCTCTGCTTCTCAACTGTACACCCTGACATTTCCCTATTGGAAACCTGGCTTTACCAGTGAGGAGCAGCCATGCAGCGGCTTGCCCTCTGGTGGTAAATGTCTAGAACAGCAACTGCTTTTCAAAATGAGCCTAAAAAGGCCGGAAAGGTGTTTTGTTTTTGTTTTTGAAAGGCCTCTTGTATGTCTTTTAGCCTGGAAACATATAGGCATCATCTCATGCTAGCCTGAATATATTCTGAGTACTTATTTTCTAAAAAAAAATCAAGATTTCTGGTTTTTGTCTCCGATGTGAAAAGCTGGAAGAGCATTGTTCCACCATGAAAACATTCCAGTCAAACTGCAAATTCACAACTTATCTTTAACCCACCAGACAGCTGAAGTCACAGGGAAACCAACTTATCCAATATCTAAGGAAAGACAGGTGCCTCCAAGGAGAGACAGACATGAGCTTAAGAAGGGCCAATTCAGCTGGACCCCAGTAAGAATCATTCAGCTAAAATGGTTAAATTGGTAAAGGAACAGTATCAGCTAGTGAAATAATATGGAACCCTGGGGGCTGAAGATATAAAGGAAATTCACATGCACCTGCAGGCTCCTCTCCACAGGACCTACCTGGTTCTCCCAAAAAAGACTGGCAGGAGTTCTAAGAGAGTGTCTCCATAGATATTTCCATCCTACCTCTACCAAGGAATAAAAGCTTAAACTGCAGAGTGTAGGGCAACAAACACTGGGTGCACTAAGGGTCATCTTCTGTTACTCTGATTAAGCATCTGTCTTAGGCAGGCACTGTATCCCTGGATCTGGGGATGGGGGTGACCTTCCTGGGCTATCATAACTAGACTGGTCCAAACCTAGACTCTGAAAACCTAGCAAAAGGAAAGGCATGCTTCTTTCCAGGAATAAAAGTGATTTACTGCAGTCTTTACTGTCCTACTCAAGATGCCTGGCTTTCAGCAACGACAACAAAAAACCTATGAGGCGAAAGGAAAGATAAAAAAAAAAACCCAACACATTGATAAAAGACAAAGCAGTTTATAGAACAAGACTCAGATATGACACAGGTGTTGAAACTATCAGACAAGGAATTAAAAATAACTGATTAATAAGTTAAGGACTAATAGAAAAGCCAGATACCATGCAAGATTTGATGGTTAATTTCAGCATACAGAACAAATCTATGAGAAAGAAATGAAAATGCTAGAAATGAAAAACACCATAATAGAGGTGAAGAATGATTTTGAGGGGCTGGTCAGTTGACTTGATATAGCTGAGCAAAGAATCTGATCTGTAAACCTCAAGATAGGTTACTAGAAATGACACAAACTGAAACAGAAAAAAAGGAGGTGGGAAACTGAACACAGCATCTAAGAGCTGTGTGACAATATCAGCACCTTAAGTTCTGTGTAAATGAAATCCCAGAAGAGAGAAAGAACAATGCAAAATAAAATTTTAAAGAAATAATGGCTAAGAATTTTTCAAAATTAATGACAACCATCAACACAGATCTAAGAAACTAAGAGAACATCAAGAAGAAAAAGTAACACCACCACAAATATTCCTATAATAGCCTCTTAACACTTCTGAAACCCAAAGACAAAAAGAAAGTCTTGAAGGCAGCCAGAGAAAAAAGAGGATACATTATACAGAGAAAAACAAAGGTACAAATTACAACAGACTTTTCATGGTAAAACAGGTAAGCCAGAAGATAATGGAGTGACATTTTTAAAGTGCTGAAAGAAAAAAAAAAACTGTTAATCTAGAATTCTATACCCAGCCAAAATATCTCTGAAACATGAAGAAGACATAAAGAGTTTTTCAAATAAAAGTGAGCAAATCATTGCCAGCAGACCTGAACTACAGGAGATGTTAAAGTGCAAGAAATATGGTACCAGTAGAAACTTGTATTTACACAATTAAGAGTGATGGAAATGGAATAAATGGATGTGAAAATTCATTTTTTTCTTCTTTTTAATTGCTCTAACAGATAACTGTCTAAAGCAAAGGGCAGCAGTGCATTATGAATTTATAACAGATGTAAAAATAAAATGTCTGATAATAGCAAAGAATGGGAGGGAGGGATTGGTAATACACTGTTGTAATATCCTTATACAACATGTGAAGTCAAGTAATATTACTTAAAATAGAATCTCATTAATTAGACCAGGTGTGGTGGCTCACACCTGTAATTCCAACACTTTGGGAGGCCAAGGTGGTTGGATCACTTGAGGTCAGGAGTTCAAGATCAGCCTGGCCAACATGGTGAAACCCCATCTCTACTAAAAATACAAAAATTAGCTGGGCATGGTGCTGTGTGCCTGTAATCCAGCTACTCTGGAGGCAGAGGCAGGAGAATCGCTTGAACCCAGGAGGCGGAGGCTGCAGTGAGAGGCTGCAAGATCATGCCACTGCACTCCAGCCTGAGTGACAGAGTGAGACTCTGTCTCAAAAAAAAAAAAAAACAAATCTCATTAATTAAAGATGTTTATTGCAAACCCTAGGGAAACCACTAACAATTAAAAATAGGGGTATAACAGGTCCATAGTGGAAATAAAACGGAACCATTAAAAAGCTCAATTTACCCAAGATAAGATAGCAAAAGAGAAACAAAAGGAAAAAAGAACTCATACAGTACATAGAAAACAGGTAGCAAGATGGTGGATTTTAATCCAAACATATCATTAATACTATTAAATGAAAATGGTCAAAACGTATCTTTTAAAAGATAAAATTGTCAGACTGGATGAAAAAGCAAAACCCACATATATGCTGTCTACAAGAATCTCATTGTAAGGGCCAGGCACTGTGGCTCATGCCCAGCACTTTGGGAGGCTGAGATGGGTGGATCACTTGAGGTCAGGGGTTCGAGACCAGCCTGGCCAACATGATGAAACCCTGTCTCTACTAAAAATACAAAAATTAGCTGGGCATGATAGTGTGTGCCTGTAATCCTAGCTACTCGGGAGGCTGAGGCAGGAGAATTGCTTGAACCTGAGAGGTTGAGGTTGTAGGAAAAAAAAAAAAAAGAATCCCATTTTAAATATAAAGACATATGGAGGTTAAAAGATATTCACTAATGGAAAGAGAGCTAGAGTAGCCATATTTATGTCAAAGTAGGCTCCACAACATGGACTGTTACCAAAGAAAAAGAGGAACATTACATAATGCTAAAGGGGTCAATTTTCCAAGAAGCCATAATCATCCTATGTGTATGCATGCTAACAACATAGCTTCAAAGTACATGAAGCAAATACTAACAAAAATGAGAGAAATAAACAAATGTATTACAGCTGCAGACTTTGCTACTTTTTGCTCAGTAACTGACAGAGCAAGTAGGCAGAAACCAGTAAGGATATAGAAGAACTGAGCTGCACTCTCAGAGAATTTGAGGTAATTGACATTTCTAGAACCTAACAAGAGCAGAGTATATATTATTTTCAAATACATATGGAATATTCACCAACACAGAACATATTCTTAGCCAGTCTGAGTGCATTAAAAAGAACAGAAATCATGATGTTTGTGCTCATGTCATAACTGAAACTATAAACCAGTAACGAATATTTGAACAATCCCCCAAAACTTGAAACTCAAACAGCCTGTTTCTAAATAATCCATAAGTCAGAGGAAGTCTCATGGGAAATTAACGAATAGTTTGAACGGAATGAAAATGCAAATATAGCACATCAAAATTTGTATGGTGTAGTTGTTACAGCAGTACTTAGGGGAAAAGTTATAGCATTAAAATGCTCATATTAGATGAGAAAACAGTCTCAAATTAGTAATCAAAATTTCTGCCTTAAGAAACTAGAAAAGGGGTAGCAAATTAAACTCAAAGCAGAGAGGGAGGAGGGAAGTAATGATAGCCTGTACGTGAGGCCAAGGCCAGCCCCTGAGGATCGGGCCCCTAGGCTGGGGCATCAGGGCCAATGGTGGCAGACATACATTCTCTGGCCTAAAGTTTATATGTAGATAAGATATTTGGATTGGTCATTGGTCTATAGACTAAGCTTGCTATTGACTGAATATTTGTGTTCCTCCAACATTCACTGTTAAAGCTTAGTCTCCATGTAAGAGTATTAGAAGTGTGGTCTTTGGGAGGTGATTAAGGCATGAGGATGGAGTCCTTGAGAATGGGATTAGTGCCTTTATAACAACAGGCACGAGAGCGCTCTTCTTTCTCTCTCTTGGCCACGTGAGGACACAGTAAAAAGTGGCTGTGTGTAGACCAGGAGGAGGACACCCTTACCAGACTCCAAATCTGCTGGCTCCTGGATCTTGTATTCCCAGCTTCCAGAACTATCAGAAATAAATTTCTATTGTTTATAAGCCACCCAGTCTATGGTATTCTGTGGCAGCAGCCTGAATTGACTAAGACAAAACTGGAAAAAGTGCTGACCAGAATTAAGGAAACTGTACTGCTGAAAAAACTCTCAGGCTGAGAGAGCGTTCAGCATCTAACACAATTTCTGGGCTCCTGAACTCATGCCAAAAGTGGGTGGTGAAGCTCTCAGCCCCAGAGGGTGCACTCTGTGCACACATCAGATGTGGCCCTGTGGGACAATGACAACTGGGGTCTCCTCAGAGAGCAGAACCAGGATGTCACCCTGGCCCACCAAAAACTCACTCCCCACATCCAGGGCAGTGAGTGCTGGCTGCTCCTGTCCTGCAGGTAGGACAGGTGGCTGGTGCTGCTGCCTCCCAGCCCCTCTCAGAAGCGGTTTTGTTGGAGCACATGTTCTCACTCCAGTACCATGCATGGGAGCGTGGAGTCCTCAGGAGCCTGGAGTGGCCAGATGGAGGAAACTGCACATCACACAGAGATGGCTGGGGCCCTCATTTGGGAATCAGGGGCGATGGTGGCTGGTATGCGCTTCCTGTGGGCATGGACGTCTTGGGGAGGTCTGGTGGGGGATCCAGGTGTCTGTGCCTAATTTGTAGCTCAGGAGGGGACAGGCAGGGCTCCTGAGGGGAGGCTGGCATCTGGGTGCACTCTTGCTTTCTCTTCTCTCCAGGCCTTCAGGCATGACTGAAAAACCCTCAGCCAGTTCTTTCCGTGGAGTTAACTGTGGCTGGCATCCCTTTGGAACAGTGCTTTGGGTCCCTGAGTTGATGGTCATTGGGGTAGGGCATGAACCAATCAGCAGATGTATTGTGGATAAACACACCTCGTGCTTTTAATCAGCGTTACTCAGCTCTCTGGGCACCTGCCCACTCTATAAGCTGAAGACAGAGCTCCATAGCCATGAAGTCCCTTCCATAGCTCCTGGCCACCTCATGGTGCTTTGTGATCTGTAGGTCAACAGTGTCAAAGATGACAGACTTGAGAAACAAAGGTCTCAGCTAAAAGTCTGGATGCCCCCAACCCCAGCTCCTCGGCCTCTCACCCCTTAGCCAGGGGCCTTTGCAGACAAAGGTTCTTCAGGGTTCTGTGCTCTGGGGCTCCTGAGAGGAGTGGCAAAGAAATATGGCCCAGTGAGACTGGCCACACACCACAAGGGTAGGCGTAGCTGTGCTTTTTACTCCCACTCTGACCCTATCTTTCAGTGGCAACTGACAAACTTAGAAAGTAGCCAAGAGAAGGGAGACTAATTACAAACGTAATTCAGTTTGGGGGCACTTCTGGTTTCCAAAACCTTCTTGCTGGCCGGGCGTAGTGGCTCACACCTGTAATCCCAGTACTTTGGGAGGCTGAGGTGGACAGATCACTTGAGCTCAGGAGTTTGAGACCAGCCTGGGCAACATGGAGAAACACCGTCTGTACCAAAAGTACAGAAAGTTAGCTGGGCTTGTGGCATGTGCCTGTAGTCCCACCTACTCGGGAGGCTGAGATGGGAGGATCTGTTGAGCCTGGGAGGTGGAGGTTGCAATGAGCCAAGATCATGGCACTGTACTCCAGCCTGGGTGACAGAATGAAACCCCATCTCAAAAAAAAAAAAAAAAGTTTCAAAAAAAAAAACTTTCTTGCCACCATGAACTAAGCTGATTCTTACCGTAATGTCTTGTAATAGGCATTACATACTTCCTCCATTATTTTATTCAGATAGGTACACAAATAGACCAATTTGATTGGTATTTGATAAATGATTTTTTTTTTTTTTGAGATGGAGTCTCGCTCTGTCGCCCAGGCTGGAGTGCAGTGGCACGATCTTGGCTCACTGCAAGCTCTGCCTCCCTGGTTCATGCCATTCTCCTGCCTCAGCCTCCTGCGTAGCTGGGACTACAGGCACCTGCCACCATGCCCAGTTAATTTTTTGTATTTTTTAGTAGAGACGGGGTTTCACCATGTTAGCCAGGATGGTCTTGATCTCCTGACCTCGTGATCCGCCTGCCTCAGCCTCCCAATGTGCTGGGATTACAGGCATGAGCCACCGCGCCCCGCCGATAAATGATTCTTTAACACAATTTTAAAATCAAGTTGAGCAGAATATGTAATGATACTTGTAACATGTAAAGATACATTTCTATTTAAAAAGAGATTGGATCTGTTTATTATAAATTAATCCTGCAAGAAAAAGCATGGTTCATTGTCAAACATATTGAAAACTGGAATGTTACATTCCGTGTGGCTTGGGGAATAGTAGAGCATAGGTGAGCATTTGATTTAACCACGAGCCATACATCAAATACAGATGGAAGGCTGCTTCCATGGCCCGGTGGGTAGAAGTACTCTGTTTGGCTCCCAAGATCCCTAGCAGACACTTATAAACTTGCTGTGTTGTTTCTAAGCAGCAAGAGACAAATTGGTAAGCTGCTCTTTGCAAAAACTTTTTTTTTTTCAAGTATCACATTTTGAATGTGTTGAGTCTCTGTTCCCAATAAAGGGATGGCCAACCTTGGTGTGATCATCTGTAAGCCTCGATCCTTGCAGTCTGCAGCCGTTTCAGAGCTCTCTGTTCACACCAGCATCTCCCCCTCCATCTGTAACCAGTGGACTCCCTCAGGGCTCCTGTGTGCTGCTCTCTAGGTTCCTTAAGTGGGACCCTTGGGGGAAGGCACTGAGGACACACTGAGGGTGCCCTGACCTCTGTGTGGCCCCTGGATATGCCTCAGAGGCTCACAGGCTGTTTGTATATATGAGGGAAAAACTATTTAAATAATTGACTTATATGTTAATTTTTTTTTTTTGAGATGAAGTCTCACTCTGTCATCCAGGTTGGAGTGCAGTGACGCAAGCTTGGCTCACTGCAACCTCCACCTCCCAGGTTCAAGAGATTCTCCTGTCACAGCCTCCTGAGTAGCTGGGATTACAGGCACATGCTGCCATGCCCAGATAATTTTTTATATTTTAGTAGAGATGGGGTTTCACCATGTTGCCCAGACTGGTCTTGAACTCCTGAGCTCAGGCAACCCACCCACCTCGGCCTCCCAAAGTGCTGAGATTACAGGTGTGAGCCACTGTGCCTGGCCAATAAATATTAATTTTTAAGAAAAGAATAGCCACAGATGGCATTGACACCTTCCATGAAACAAAGCACCCCCTCCCTACCCTCTTCGACCCTGAAGGTTCCTGAGTCCTGGGTCTGAGACGCTATCTTATCCCAAGCAGGCTTTGACTTGGGGTACCACTTCCTGAGCCTCTTCTCTTGGAGATGCCACTCTCTTGGGCCAAGTCTTTGTGGAAGCCTCGCCATCCACCCTCCCAACCCTTCACTGGCTGCAACTATTCCCTGGGGATGGTTCCTCCTTTCTCAATTTCCCCCTCTGTAAAGTGGGGAAGAGGAAATGGGAAGGGTTAAATAGGTATTCCTGGAAAGGACCTAGAACAGCCCTTGAGCACAGGAAGCACCTGCAAATATATGAGCATGAAGGTGGGGTGCAGACCTAGGCAGCACCTGTATGCACCCAGCCCTTCCCAGTGCAACCTGCTGGCCAGGCCGAGAGCTAACATGTACACATGGGTATGCTCTGCACGGCTCTATATCCACCCAAAGGGAAGAGGAGCTGTGGAGATGGGCAAGGCTGTGCTTGGCTTGTTTGGGACTTTACCAAGAGTTAGCTGCCATTTTGGACTGTAGAGCCTCCTGGGGTATTTGAGGGTATGCTCAGCACACCTGTGTCCCCTCTCTGTGTAACTGGGCACCCCACATATGGGTGCCAGGATCTGATTGCTTCATTGAGTTTTGCAGTATGGCTGTGTGAGAATATTTACAGAAATGCAGATTATTTTATTACATTGGTTTCCTTTGATTTCTCCTGATGTGGGGGTACTAAATGGACTTTATTCCAACACAGGTAACATTATCCATGAATTTCATTTCAGGGTAATGAAGAGTACACTGGACAATGTTTGCTATAAAAGGAGGGGAGTTGGGATTGTTGCACTGGATGATTCCAAAGTTCTTTCCTAGGTTCTATGTTTCCAGGAACTATGCGGCACCTCTGCTTCTCCTGTTAATTGATTTGATTTTTCATAATGTACACATTTGCTCAGTGGCCAGTAGGAACTGACCTGAGCTGGGTGCTGAGAGAATGCCCGGATCTGGGTTTCACAGAGCTCCCCTGCAGGCCATTTTAAGATGTGGCTGCAAGGAGGCTGCTTCCTGCAAAAAGCTGAAGGCCCAAGGCTCAGGTTGTCAGGGAGCAAATGACTAATGTCCTCCCCAGGAGAAAGCAGGTGACCATCATGTGTGGAAGCTACCAAGAAAGAATGCATACATTTTATCTAAAAAGTCCTAAGATAAATTTGCAAAGCCTGGGCCACTGAGGTTGCCCATAGCTGACCAGTCCCACCAGCTCCTGACCTTCCACCTCAAGCCCTTCCCTCTCCCCATGTTGCATGCCTAGCCTGGGAAACGGGAGGATTCCTGAACTTGAAGATGGTCAGTGGCGGCATCAGCAGTAGCCGGGCCACGGCAGTAGCACCTATAAGAGGGGGCTTCCCTTAGAGGGAGAGGCACTCGATGAGAAGTTTAAAGAATGCTTCATGGATTTTTAAGCCTCCAGGAGCTGGACACATGTGGATGAGACATGATGGGGCATGTAAACAGAGGAGGAGGAAGTGGGTGGTGGGAAGAAGGGAGCCTTGTCTCAGCCTGAAATACATTTTTTATCTCATTTCCAGGCTCTCAAAGCATCGTTCCGCAGGCACAAGGATGCGGTGTCTGCTCTTCCTGGGGCCTGTGATTATTGTATCTATTAGCCTCTGTCACAGGGTGCTGTTTATAGGACGGACAGGGTACCATGGCAGAGGGTGACACCTGTGCTTCACAGTGGGGGCCGGTGGCATCCTGGGGCTCGATATTCTGGAGTCTCCCATCTCCTGCCTCCCACCAGGTCCTGCGACTTTGCGGTCTGGCCAGCTCACTCCAGCAGGCCTGAGTCTGCAGCTCATCCTGGAAGCTGCAGCCTCACTGTGATTTCCACGTCCCTCTCTGCTGAGATGTCGTGTGACTTGAGAGCACAGCTGGGACTCTGTCCCGTCCCCACAGTGTCCTTTGAGGCACAGAGGGAAGGCTGCAGAGGTGAAGGTCTAAGGGGGCACAAGGGTGCATGTGACAAAGAGCGTGGCCATGGCACCTGCCCTGCAGTGGGTGGTGGGGACCTTATGGGTGAATGTGCAGCCTGGCCACAGGATGGTCTTAGAGGCAGGGACCTGCATCGCCCCAGGAGGACCCCAGTGGGCTGCTTTGACTGTGAGGGAGCCAAAGACCCACACCACAGTGGCTCTGAGAGGTGCACTGGGACCAGATCCCAGTTTTTAGAAACCAGGTCATCAGAAGTGAAACCACCCACAACTCTGCAAGGCCCTCCTGAAAGGTCCCAAGCCACAGCGCCCTCCATGGGCATCCTTTGAAGGGAGGATGCTTTCATATGTGCCTTGAAAACACCAAGCAGCAGTATCTGGAAGGCCTGGAAGAGTACTCGGTGCCTTTTGCGAGGAGGGGGTCGGGTATCTGAACCCCATGCTCGGAACTGGGAGACGCTGGCCTTGGGACCATCACCTTCTGACCACAGAATCTCCCTGGGGACTGGACAGAGGGCCCCGCCCCTGGCCGATCCCAGGTCCTGAAAAGGCCCTTCTGGTCTCCCAAGAGGCGGGGTCAGCCCTACGAAGAGCTAAATCCCCGGGAAGGAGGTGCAGGCATTCCGCATTCCGGATTGAAAGTGGGGAGACAATGGAAAGACCGGAGCACCTCCGAGGCCTTACTGATTAAATCTTTCCTTCTGTGGCCAGTGCCACATC
This sequence comes from Homo sapiens, assembly GCF_000001405.40. NCBI lineage: Eukaryota > Metazoa > Chordata > Mammalia > Primates > Hominidae > Homo > Homo sapiens. The sequence goes on from NW_011332701.1 coordinate 3,673,697, forward strand.
TGCAAATAATAAAGAACCATGATGTGACATTCTTGTCACGGCCGGCTGTAGCCTCCAGTCGTCTCTCTTCCTGTGACTTGGGTTCTGCGGCTGCACCACGCATGTCAGCTCCTGGGAGCTCTGCATCTGCTCTTGGGAAGGGGTCTCAAATGCCCTGTGCATTTCTCACCTTCAGCTTCTGCTCCACAGCCCCAGCCTCATTCCCGACTCAACTGCCAGGCCAGGAAGTGACACGCTGGTGCCGCCTCTGGCGGAGGGCTGGGGGAGGCTGGGTTCTGTTCATTTGTCTGTGTCCTTTCCTTCCCAGCTGTCTACAGGAAGGAGTAGCATTTGGGAGTCCTAGGGGTGCAATCTTGTTGCTATATTTACTTCCTGAGCTGCACACTCAGTGGAAAAGGTCAGAAGCAGACACCCCTGAGCTTCCTTCCCCCTGTTGGCCCTGGACAGGGCACTTCCCATTCTCTGGGACCATACCTAATGGCAGGGACTCTGAAATAGTTGGTCTTGCCTGTCCGTCTGTCCCCTGGGGGAGTGAGTCTCTGCCTATACTACAAACAAGAATGACAACAGGAAGGGGTTTCCTCTCCACTCAGCTGGTCACACATCCATCAGTAGCTAACATGAGAAAACAGCAATTGTTCCAAACAAAATCCCCCTATTTCCCCAGTAAAGACATTGACTGGTGCCCTGGAATTGTGCAGTGCACAGCCTGTGGGCTGGCCCAACATCAGCAGCACTGAAATGGCTGCTTAGAGGAAACTCAGCTGCAATGCTTTGAAAGGAAATGTTGACCTTTTGAGTTAAAAGCTTACCCTGGAGCAGGGGTGAGCAAACTCTTCCCATAAATAGCTAATTAGTAAGTAAATATTTTAGGCGCTGCAGGCCTTGGTGTCTGTGGCTGCTCCTCTCTCTACCACTGTAGTGCAAAAACGGCCACAGATGATGCATCTGTGAATGAATGTGGCTCTGTTCCAATAAAACTTTATTTATAAAATGGGTGGTGGGCCATAGTTCATTAATACTTGCTTTTGAAGTTTTTTTCCCTTTAATTTATATCTAAGACTAATTGCATTCCTATAAAATATGTATACATGTGAAAGGGAAAACAGTAAAAGCTATTTAAGGGTAGGTTGCCTTTGTTTAGTATTTTAAAGAGAATGTTGTCTTTAACATTGTTATTTTCAATGAAAACGTTCACACATGCATAAGGTAGCTTTATGCAAAAACTGTCACTGCTGAGTGTGCACAGGTGTGCTTCTAAGGGGGGGTCTCCACAATCCACCTCCCCGTGCAATGGGGTCCCTTCTGATGGCTCTGCCCCCACCCTAGGCTCCTGCGTGCACTCTCTTGGGAGACAGGCATACCTTGTTCTCTTTGCTGGTCTCTCTGTTCCATGGACACGAGGGCAGAGAAATGGGCTTGATCATAGGCCAGAACCAGAGGCGAGCAGTGGCATCTGTTGGGAGGGACCTCCAAGGGCAGGTAGATCCCTCCGAATGGGATGGGTGCGAACGCTGTGGACACAAACCAGGGTGAGGGTGTGAGGAGCAGCCAGCTCGAGCTGGGAGGGGAGGCCCCTGCATCCCTGTCCCTCACTACCCCGGGGGGACTCCGTGGAGAAGCGGAGGGACAGGAGGGGTGGATGGAGGCGGTGCTGAGGGATGGGGCTGAGGGTTTCCAGAGTCATCTGTCTGCCCCAGGACTCCTGCTGCCCTGAGACCTGCACAGGTGTACAGGAGCCCCAGGGCTGGGATGACAGTCACCCGAGATTGGTCAGAGCAGTTGCAGCCTGGAAGCCCACCTTTTTCTGGATGTACTTCTTCCTTTCCTAGTGTTTGGTAAAGCATTTGTATACAACAGAGTATGTGCGCTTCTCAAGGGTGTATATTTGCTCTATGTTTTGAGAACCTCTTCTATTGAATTTGAAGGAACCAGTCAGAGAGCTCCAGGACCAAGATGTAAGTCAGATGGGAACTGAGAATCAGAGGGATCAAGTCCTTCAGTGACAGGGACACAATTTCACTCATTTTCTTACTTGTAAAAAAAGAGGGCAGAAAAGCCTAACACCCTCAGCAAAATAGAATAACTTCTGGAAATATCTGTCCTAAAGCAGCATCTGCTTTGAGGTCATGAAACGTCTTTACTTTTGGCCCTAGAGTGAGTGTATTGCTGCACTCCTTGAGCAGAATTCAGGGACGGTAATTTCAGGGATGTCTTTGATGAACTCTTATGAGTTCCTCCGCCATCCTCACTTTGTCTAAATTGATCACTGTGCTCACAGGAGAGTCAGACTGAGAGGCGACAGGGTGGGGGTACCTGCAAGAGGGCTGTGAGTAGCATGGTAGGAAGCGTGGACCTTCCTCTGCCCCGCAACTCAGAGATCTGATGGTGCTGGGAGCTCAGTCCTGGGCTTACGCAGCAGTGCCCTGATGCAAGCCCTGGTGTTGCACGGAGACCTGCAGACCTCAGCAGGCCCGCGTCCCTGAGCCACACAGGGAAGGGGGTGGGCCAGGCAGGACCTGTGTCCTACCAGTTCCCTGGCTACATAACCATCGTGGCCACATCAGATTTTTTATGGCAGCTGTGATTTAGCGTGAAGAGCCACATCCTGATTCGTAGAGCTCCCTGGAAGACCTATGACTTTTGTTAAGGTGCAGGTGTAAATTCAAACTGGGCAGCTGCACGCTGGAGGGAGGACAGGCTTTGGATCACTCCCTGCCCTTGGCTGATCCCCGCTGGGGACATTGCCTAGCCTCTCTGGGCTTCAGTTTCATCTCTGTAAAGTGGGGAGGGTGGTGTCCACCCTGGGAGGTTGTAGCAAGGGCTGAATGGAGGAACATTCTAGAAGGGGCTGTGCACAGAGTGTGGCTTTTGGTGGGCAGGCCATAAACTGCCCTTGCCTCTTTCTCTGCCAGTTCTGATTCTACCATAGCTTTTGCCAAATGACTCTATGCATTCTGTCTTCCTTTCTTTTTAGTCTTTAACACACATGTGGTCTGCGGAGGGGTGGGAACACACCTGAGTGACTGAGTGCCTCCAGGACATGGCCCAGGGCTGTTGGAGGGGTGTGGGCTGTCTGCTATGCCCTAGGCACACGACAGGAGACAGGAGCCCCTCTGGGCTTGGTCCTGGTCCTCACACGACCAGATTTCTCCTGGCCACCTGCCGTTGATAGGCAGGGCAGCTAGTCAAGAACAATCTCTGCTGCCATCAGGGAGGAGAAAGAAACACGTCGAGGAGATCTTTGCACAGAGTGATGCTTTGTGGCCTCTGGGAGCTCGACCTTGTGCTGTGCTATCTGCTTTCTAGCTGGGATGCTATGCTTTCTGTGTCATGAATACAACACATCTCTTTGAGGAACTTACCTTCTCCACCTGAGTCTCTTAACATTGTATCTGCCACAACAACGATGGGCCTTCTTAATATATGGGCTAGGACAAAAACGTGGAACTCTTCCAGGCTCTCGTACACGGGGTCCTCAGAGTTGTCCACACTGTGAAACAAAACAGAGCCAGCTGGTCACTGACTAAAACAGGGTGGAGGATGGAGAAAGTGGGGACTGCTTCATGCAGGGGCTGAGCCCTCCCCACTCTGGATATTATCTTCATGGACCCCGGCAGCTGCGCCATCCTGGGCCACTTCTCATGCCATCCGCCGATGGCAAATGCACAGGTCCCAGCTCCCCTACCCCACCGTGGGAGCGGTCTCAGAAGATGAGTTGGAAAGAGCCCGCAGGTGAAGGGTGCCGGCCGCTGTGAAGGCGAGTCTCTCTGCAGGCGGAGGCAGCCCACCAGAGCCTGTGGTAGCAGGGCTATTGGCTTTCTGGGGGTGTTTCACAAGGAAGCAGTGGGGGCCAGAGGGATGGAGGGGTTCCTCTCCTGTTTATTTCTCTCAGGGACCCAGGGGTTCCCTGGGCACATCTGATGGGCTGGTGGGGTCATTACCACCAAGATCTGAGGAGCCTTCTAGAAGACACTCACCCCAATGGAGGAGAACAGTGAGAAGGCTGTCTGGATTTCAATCCAGAGCTGGAGGGGATGCGATGTGAATGTGCAGCCCAGGTGGCCCAGACCCTCCCTGACCATGCCCAGGCTCACGTCTGAGGATCAGGGAAACCGCAGGCTCAAGAATGCTTCCACTCAAACCCTAAGACGTTCGGGCAGAAGGTGGCAGCCTCGATGTCCCCCCATAGCAAGGCCACCCAAAAGGGAGGTGCACGTTGAGAGGACAGCCAGAGCTCACAGCGTTATGGAGCCTCGGCTGCACCTGCAGTGCCTGCCAGCTGAGATGACAGCACCAGCCAAGACTCCCCAGAGGTGGCTCTCAGACTTGTTCCTGAGTGTCTGAGGAATGCTCAGAATTAGCTGAGGGAGTCTGTGACGACGGCAGCAGGTGGGGCCAGGGCTGGCAAATGTGGCCCCTGGCATGGCCTGGGGAAAGAGCTTCATGGGTTCATGGGCACAGTTCCCAGCCACCTGGGACTTCCAGAATGCAGGGTGTGAATCCTAGGGAATGCATTACCATCACCTGTGGAATTTTGGTTACATACTACCCATGTTTTTTCTTTTTCTTATGACTCAATTTACCTTTTTTTTTTTTGAGACAGAGTCTTGCTTTGTTACCCAGCCTGGAGTGCAGTGGCGTTATCTCAGCTCAATGCAACCTGCTTGAAATGTTTGTTTTCTGGTGGTGTAAAGAAATAGCACTTGAATATAAATTTTTTTAGTAAGGCTATTTTTATATTTTTTGTAGAAAGGGTATACTTGCTCGCAGTTTTGTTATGAGAGTATATTGAATAAAGGAGATAAGGTTATTTATAACCTGACATGTCCACCTTATTGCTGTGTCCAGTTTTTATTGGGTGGAATGGGATTTTACATTTTGTATTTGTTTTGATTGGTTAGTAACTTTGAATTTTTTAAAAGAGGCAAACGCAGAGGAGAATAAAGGAAGGAATGTTGAGAAAGGTAAAAATACTTTTAAATAAGGAAGAGGAACAGGATGTGACTTACTGCTTTCTTGGACTAGTATAAGTATGCTAGGGCAAATATTTAGGCTAAATTGTGGGAGCTAAGAATATAAAGTATACTGATTTTTTTATTATGGCTAGCAGATATTTAAGAATCTTAGCACAGGTCTTTGAATAAATTTTGCTTCTAAGAGAAGTTACTATTTATTTTTAATTAGATGGGGAGGAAAGGCTTTGAAGAGAAAACTCTATTTTACTTTTTACAATTCTCCCTCTTATAATTTTTTTTTAATTTGTCTGTTTTAATAGCTTTAAGAGAAGTAATTTTTCGAATAGGGTGGAGGAGAGTTAGGAGTTAACTTTGTAAGAGTGGTAGAGATAAGTTTTTGTATAAAATTTTGAAGGCAGGGAATAACATAATAGCTTATAAGTATATTAATAAGAGCGAACAAGGTGAGAATTGAAGTTAATTTTTTTTTTTTTGAGGTGGAGTCTCACTCTGTCGCCCAGGCTGGAGTGCAGTGGCATGATCTCGGCTCACTGCAAGCTCCACCTCCCGGGTTCACGCCATTCTCCTGCCTCAGCCTCCCTGGTAGCTGGGACTACAGGCGCCCGCCACCACGCCCGGCTAATTTTTTGTATTTTTAGTAGAGACGTGTTAGCCAGGATGGTCTTGATCTCCTGACCTCGTGATCCACCTGCCTCGGCCTCCCAAAGTGCTGGGATTACAGACGTGAGCCACCATGCCTGGCCACAATTTTTTTTTTTACTTATCGAATTAATGTTTTATTATTTTAGAAAAAGGGTTATTTATTTTAGAATTTTTGGCAAGTTTATTGGATAGTGCTGTTAATTTTTGTAGTGCTTTTGTTATAGTTTTGTTAGGGGCAGTATTAGGAATAAAGGTACAATATTGAGTTTTAATTATGACTTTTTTTTTTGCTGATATTATATTTAAAGCTTTTTTTAAGGCAATTTGTCTGGTAGGTCCTAATTGCTTAGCTATTTTTTTGATGGCGTTTTCAGTGTAATTTATGAATTGTTGCTGATTGTAACAGATACAGTTTAGTTTACATTTTTTAAATTCATACTTACCAGAATAACGTGGACTTAAATTTTGCAGCTATTTGATTTTGTATTTTAAATTTATTTGAAATTTTTTTTACAGGATTTTAATAGCATTTATATAAACTTGAGGATTAAAGGACTTACAAGGAATTTTTTTTGGCCTGCGGTGTTTTGTTTTTATTTTTTTAGATTGATGAAATGCTAGAGTGAAGGACAGCTAACTGGATTAGTACTGTTTCAAATATTTGGCACAGCGTTTAGTAAAGGTCCTTTACAGTACTACCATATATTTGCTTGGGGATGGCTAAGCATGGATTGATGGGCGAGCTTTTGGAAAAAGCATTTTTTAAATGCTTTTAAGGAATATTAAATTTTTTTCTTGCCATGAGAGGCACAGTGTAAGTTTGGCATTTAGAAAAGGTGCAAGCTGGATTGTCCTCAGGGGCTGACCCGCACAGTGTTAAATTTTAGGAAATAGCAGAGAGAGCTTGGCATGATGGATTATTTTAAGCAGTGGGATTTTGAAAAAGAGCTACTATATAGTTTATATTTGGTTGATGAGGTGACCATTTAAGTGGAAAGGGGATAATTTGGGCCTCTGGAGTACCATGTGTACAAATGTAATAGTGTAATAATTGTTTTTAAAGTGTGAATGGAATATTTTAGCTAGGCATTTGTATTTTGATGTATTGTTTTGATGGCTAAGGTCTGTCTTTAATTTTTTATTTTTATAATAGGCATTCTACTTTTATTAGATGCAGGAGTAACTGGTGTCGGATTTAGAACTTAGGCTACTGAAGAAGGGGAAGATGGGGGAATAATGTGTATTTTAAAAATATTTAGGGTTTTTAAAAATTTCTGTCAAATTTCTATATTATAGAAGTGATTAAGGGTAGGTTTAGAGTTAGTTAAGGTGGAGGTGGTGACAGAAGGACAGGGTTATATTGAGAAGGTTGGGTAGGTTTTTTAATGAAATAGATGAAGGGTTTTAGATCTGTATGTTTTTTTTGTGTGTGTGTGGAAGTTTAACTTTGCTCTTGAGTAATTTAAAGGACGTCGTTCCATTTATTATAAGGTTGTTAGGCTGTAGTGTATCCGGAGTTGGTTCCTTCCAGTGGCTTTGTGGTCTCACTGACTTCAAGAATGAAGTCGCGTGTTACACCTCTTAAGTGTGGCACGGACCCAAAGAGTGAGCAGCAGCAAGATTTATTGTGGAGAGAGAAAGAACAAAGGTTCTAAACCATGGAACAGGACCCGAGCAGGTTGCTGCCGCTGCTGGCTGGGGGGGTGGCAAGCTTTTATTCCCTTATTGGCCCCTCCCATGTTCCATTTCTGTCCTATCAGAATGTCCTTTTTTCAATCTTCCCTGTGACTGGCTACTTTTAGGATTCTGCTGATTGGTGCGTTTTACAGAGCACTGATTGGTGTGTTTTACAGTCCTAGCTACAGAGTGCTGATTGGTGCATTTTACAATCCTCTTGTAAGACAGAAAAGTTCTCCAAGTCCCCACTCAACCCAGGAAGTCCAGCTGGCTTCACCTCTCAGTAGGAGCAGAAAATTGGCGTTTTGGCTGCAGGTGATTATAACGATAAGTGTTAGGGGTAATTGTGTTAATTAGAGGGCCAGGACATAAATATTTGTGTGAAAAGGCTAGCTGTCATTGATTTTTTAATATTTTTACAAGGTATGATAGAGCAAGCATTAAAGGCAATGGTTTGAGGTGAGTTAGATTTAGTTACATTAATAACAAGGGAGCTAGTAACAGAATAAGGAAAGGAAAGGAAGTAATAGAGAAAGTATATGAAAATTAAGCTTTTTAAAATTTTAACTTAGTAGGGCTTGATTTTAGTATAGTAACCTAAGATGTTTTCTTGATTTGAGTATAGTGGGTCCTTTTTTTCTTGGCTGTGTGGACAGGGGTCTTAGTGGTTAACAGCATAAAATAGGGTCCTTCCCAGGCTGGCTTGAGTTTTTTATTTTTTGATAAGGATGTGTTTTTGTTTTGTTTTGAGACGGAGTCTTGCTCTGTCACCCAGGCTGGAGTGCAGTGGCGCGATCTCCGCTCACTGCAAGCTCCGCCTCCTGGGTTCACACCATTCTCCCGCCTCAGCCTCCCCAGTAGCTGGGACTACAGGCGCCCGCCACCACGCTCGGCTAATTTCTTTTTGTATTTTTAGTAGAGACGGGGTTTCACTGTGTTAGCCAGGATGGTCTTGATCTCCTGACCTCATGATCCGCCTGCCTCAGCCTCTCAAAGTGCTGGGATTACAGGCGTGAGGCACTGCGCCAGGCAAGAATGTGGTTTGTAGGCTGGTGCTGATGTACTAGAAATTTTAGGGTTGGTACCTGTGTTAAAAGATTTTTAGTTTTGAGGAAAGGGAAAGTGGAAGATAAATTACGTATATAATTTTTGTTGCGTATTCTGGGGCTTGAGGCCCCATGGTGACGTCTTCTGCTCCATTTCTGCTTAGCGTTGCCTAGGGGACATTGTGGCCCTGCCCCCTCTTAAGGTCTTGGCTTTTTTGTGGCCTTCACCGCCCCTGCGCGTTGTGGCCTTGGGGATGAGGGGCCTTGTGACTTATTCGGCCGCCCTCGGGCTTTGAGAAAGTTAAGCACTATTTTATATTTGATAATGCTTTTTGTATGATTTTATGTTTTTTAACATTAATGTGCTATTAATGTTAAACTTTATTTTAATAAAATTTTGAAGACATTATTTACTTTTAATGTCTGACTATAAGGTAAGGTTTTTATAGACTTTTTAAAACTTTTTATAATTTTTCTTAAAGAGCAGGTTAGTGCTTTAAGAAAAATTTATTGTGCTTTTATTTTAATGTTTAGTTTACAGAAAAATTGGATACCTCTTTAGCTAATATGTTTACATACAGAATTTTCTTTATAATTAATATTTTTAAATTTGTTTAAACTTTTTTTTTTTGAGACGGAGTCTTGCTCTGTTGCCCAGGCTGGAGTGCAGTGGTGCGATCTCAGCTCACCGCAAATTCCGCCTCCTGGGTTCACGCCATTCTTTTGCCTCAGCCTCCCGAGTAGCTGGGACTACAGGTGCCTGCCTCCATGCCCGGCTATTTTTTTTGTATTTTTAGTAGAGATGGGGTTTCACCATGTTAGCCAGGATGGTCTTGATCTCCTGACCTCGTGACCGCCTGCCTTGGCCTCCCAAAGTGCTGAAATTATAGGCATGAGCCACCACGCCCAGCCTTGTTTAAAGTTTTAAAACAAAATTTTTTTAACCTTTTAATGTAGGTAAAAATTCATATTTTTATGTCTTTTTGTAATTTTATTAAAAGTATATATTTTTACATATTTTGTATATAAACTGTATAAACTGTTTTTTAAATAGTTTTACATTTAGGAGGCCTAATTACTTTTAAATTACGTAATATTTTTTGCATAAATTTTTTTTATAACTTCTTATGACTTTTATAGACAATTTTTAACATGTTTTAACGTTCTGCCTTTTACATTATTTCTTTTCCTAATTTTACCATGTCTTTCTTTGATTTTTGTCTTTTCTAGTTATTTTTTTACTTTTTTCTATTTTTTTTTCTTATTTGCACTTTATTTTCCTTTTTTTTTAATTTGCATTTATTTTTCTCTCCCTCTCTGTCATTTTTTGTTTCCTTTTTTTTTCCCGGTCTTGCGGCGCAGGCTGGGCAAGGGACGGGCCCCGCCTGCATGTATGCGCTGCCGTCTGTTTCCCCTGTTTTTTTTTTTTTTCCCTGATTTATTTATTTTTTCTACACTTAGTTTTCTGGGCTGGGTGGGATTTGCATGGCTGTAGTCTTGGCCCCCGGCCGGCTGCAGTCCTGGCCCAGGGCCATCACTGGCCCACAGGCTTGGCAGACACCTGTCGTTAGTCGTAAGAGTTAGGTCCTTTCATCTTGTTGGCTTTTCTTTCTGCGACAGTCCCCGCTCTCTTTTTCACACAGAGCTCGGGTGGGGAGAGGGACTTAATTTTTGGTGTGCCTGGCTGTGTGGCGTCATGCTTGGTGTTTTTGCTTTTTTTTTTCCCCTTCCCCTAGAGGAGCGACTGGCAGGAGTGGAGCTTAGTCTTTTTTTTTTCCCCCAAGAAGAGGGGAAAGGGGAGTTTTGAATATATATATGTATGTATATCTATATGTAACATACATATATATGTATATCTATATGTAACATATATATGTATATCTATATGTAACATATATATGTATATCTATATGTAACATATATGTATATCTATATGTAACATATATATGTATATCTATATGTAACATATGTATATCTATATGTAACATATGTATATCTATATGTAACATATGTATATCTATATGTAACATATGTATATCTATATGTAACATATGTATATCTATATGTAACATATGTATATCTATATGTAACATATGTATATCTATATGTAACATATGTATATCTATATGTAACATATGTATATCTATATGTAACATATGTATATCTATATGTAACATATGTATATCTATATGTAACATACATATATATGTATATCTATATGTAACATACATATATATGTATATCTATATGTAACATACATATATATGTATATCTATATGTAACATACATATATATGTATATCTATATGTAACATACATATATATGTATATCTATATGTAACATACATATATATGTATATCTATATGTAACATACATATATATGTATATCTATATGTAACATACATATATATGTATATCTATATGTAACATACATATATATGTATATATATTTTACTATCGGAGGTTTGTGTGAGGTTCAACTCCTCCCCCATGGGGATTTCTCACCTCTTTTTGAGGTTTAACCCCCGACAATGGGGATTTTTTACCTTGAGGCTTAACCCCCCCGCCCATGGGGATTTCTCACCTCTTTTTGAGGTTTAACCCCCACTCAGTGGGGATTTTTTTTACCTTTTTTTAACCTTTAAGACATCCTGGCTAAGAAATATTTTACCACCTCCCATGGCTTTTTGTGTCTAGTCCTAAGGAATGTTTTACTGCCCCTGCAGTTTCTCTCTCCTTGGTATGTTTTAACTAAGGAATGCTTTACTGCCCCGCAGCTTTTTCCTCAGTCTTGATTACTAAGGAAATACTTTACCGGTGTTTTTTCCTGGTGTTTTTTCCTCAATCTGTGCACAGTTTTCTGGTTCACGTGATATGTGAGGAATTGTTTTTTTTTTGCATTGCTGAGACTCTGAGTTTATTCCACATACCGGGTGGGTTTTGAGCTCTTATCCTTGAGGCCACTGCAATGTGGCAGAGGAGCACGCTCCCTTATGAGGAGGGACTGGAGACCACCCCCGGCAGAGAATGTATCCCCATACGGGTCACCAAAATTGTTTGAAATGTTTGTTTCCTGGTGTCGTAAAGCAATATTACTTGAATATAAATTTAATTTTTTTTAGCGAGGCCATTTTTTATTTTCTGTAGAAAGGGTGTACTTGCCAGCAGTTTTGTTATGAGAGTATATTGAATAAAGGAGACAGGGTCATTTATAACCTGACGTGTCCACCTTACTGATGTGTCTGGTTTTTATTGGCTGGAACGGGATTTTACATTTTGTATTTGTTTTGATTGGTTAGTAACTTAGAATTTTTTAAAAGAGGCAAATGCAGAGGAGAATAAAGGAAGGAGGAAGTAACTTGTGGAATGTTGAGAAAGGTAAAAATGCTTTTAAAGAAGGAAGAGGACCAGACTATGACTTAGTGCTTGCTTGGACTAGTATAAGTATGCAAGGCAAATATTTAGGTTAAATTGTGGGAGCTAAGAATATAAAGTATGTTGATTTTTTTATTATGGCTAGCAGATATTTAAGAATGTTAGCACAGGTCTTTGAATAAATTTTGCTTCTAAAAGAAGTTACTATTTATTTTTAACTAGATGGGGAGGAAAGTCTTTAAAGAAGAACCTCTATTTTACTTTTTACAAGCCTCAGCCTCCCAAGTAGCTGGGATTACAGGCATTTGCCACCATGCCCAGCTAATTTTTTTGTATTTGTAGTGGAGACGGGTTTTCACCATGTTGGCCAGGCTGGTCTCGAACTCCTGGCCTCAAGTGATCCACCAGCCTTGGCCTCCCAAAGTGCTGGGATTACAGGCATGAGCCACCACATCCAACCCAATTAACCTTATTTTAACAGTTCAAAAAATTGGCAGCAATCGAAACCTCACAAAATAGTTGCGCACATACAGTAAAAAGAGCTTTTGTTTCCCTGAACCATTTGAAAATAAACAGCCAACCTGGCACCCCATCACCCTGGAAAGTTCTTGCTCATTTTCTATGAACAGAACATCCTCCGACACAACCACCACACGGCTACCGACATCAGGAATTCACACAGTTACATGCAATCACCAGACCCCACGTGTGTGTGCCAGCTGTCCCAATAATGCCTTTTAGAACAAAGGTTCCTGCTCAGGATCAGGTGCTGCATTCAGCGGTGGCGTCTCCTTAGTCTCCTTCACCTGGAACATTTCTCAGGATATCCTTGACTTCCATGACCTTGACATTTTTGAAGATTACAGGTTGGGTATTTTGTAGAATGTCCTTCATAAGGGTTTCTCTATTTCCTCACAGTTAGATTGGATTGGGTCAAGCTGAGTCCTTCTTGTGACATCTTATCAGGTTGTGTGAACTGCAGATTGTCCCATCACTGGTGAGGTTGTCCCATCACTGGTGAGGTTGACCTGGACCACTCCTTAAGGTCATCTTCCAGGCCTTGCCCCTGCAGACTACTAATTTTTCATTTGAAATTAACAAGCATTTTGTGGAGAGGAACTTGAACCTATGCAAATACTCCATTCCTCACCAAATCTTTATAGGTTTATTGGTATCACTATGGATTTCTGGTTTTCCATTTTATTCAGTGGGTTATAATCCATTAGTGTGATTATGTGGATGCTCAGATACTCCTTGATGTGGTCAGTGTGGCTTCTCTAAAGCTGGATCTGTGTCCTTTTGACATCCTCATCATTTCTTTTTTTCTTTTCTTTCTTTCTTTTTTTTTTTTTTTTGAGACAGGGTCTTACTGTGTTGCCCAGGCCGGAGTGCAGTGGTGAGATCATAGCTCACCGCAGCCTCGAACTCCTGGGGTCAAGTGAGCCTCCCATTCTGACCTCCCAAGTAGCTGGGACCACAGGCCACCATTATGCCCAGAAAACTTTTTTCATTTTTGTAGAGACGGGGTCTCGCTATGTTGCCAAGGCTGGTCTCGAACTTCTGGGCACAAGTCATCCTTCTGTCTCAGCCTCCCAAAGTGCTGGGATTACAGGTGTGAGCCACCGTGCCCAGCTCCCATCATTTCTTAGAGCACTTTCTTGCTTCCTGGTGCAAAAAGATGGTTCAAGTTCACACTCACACATGGATACATATTTTTGCATGTTTATTTTCATCTTTCTCTCCCTCTCCATGTTTATTTTCATCTTTCTCTCCCTCTCAATATTTATAGAAAACCTTGAGTTCACTGATACCTCCAATTCCAATCCAACCCCATAAAGTTAATTCTATTTGCAACTTTCTTCACTTACTTTCAGAAAACTTGTTCGTATTCATTCTAAAGCATTTCCTTATTTGATCAGTCTTCCCATATGTCAGCCATCTCCCACCTCTGCTCCCCATCCGTGAGGTGGCCCTCTTCACCTGTGTGGCTGACATCTGGCTCTGGCCCCTGGTGTCCTCCCATCCCCCACCCACTCCAGATGCCACCTTGCTTTGCCCCACCTAATGGCTTTAGAACTTACTTTTTCAGCAAGGAAGGAAAGGGAAGTAGAAGAGGAATGTTTTAAATATGTATTGACATGAATACATATTCACACATACACACACATATATTTTATGCCAGGTCTAAATGCAGTGCTCCTGGGTGTGCATTTTGAAACACTGCAGGTGATTAGCCTGCCCAGCCACACCTGAAAGCCAAGCTGCAGTGCCTGGGGGGTCAAGTGCTTTTGGAAGTTGCTTGTTTGTCCCTGTCACCTAGTATGCGTTGAGTGCCGGCGAGTGAATGGTTGAACAACATAATGAACAGCACAGGGGGAGAGAATATGGAGTTAAAACCTGCATACTTGGAGAGAGAAATACCCCAGCTAGAAATGTGGAGCACTGTTCCTTCCCTAATTCAAGGAATGGAGGGGGCAGTGCTGGAAAGAGAGGAGCTGCTCTTGAGTCAGGTACTAATACTGAGAAGCGGGCAGAGCAAGGTGAATGGTAGCCCTCTCAGGCCTGGGTTCTGAGTCCCATCTTCACTTCCTGGCAGAACACTCTGGGATCTGAGCAGCTACACAGGAGGACCCCCATGGTAACAACAGCGTGAAGGCTCAGTATTAGGCACCTTTGTACTGGCACAGCATTCTTCTCATGCAAAACTTAAAGCAGGGCCATCATATTTCCAACCAAAAAACCAATAAATATTCATTGAGCACTTACTATACACTGGTGCTGTGAAAGGCACTGCAGAGGCCCTCAGAGAACTCTGCCTTCATGTAACATCTACCAACCTATCCATCCTTCTTCCTATCTATCTATCCATCCATTCATCCATCTATCCATCTACCCACCCACCCACCCATCTCTCTTCCTTCCCTCCCTCTCTCTCTTCATCCATCCATCTATTGATCCACCCATCCACTTGTCCATCCATCCATCCATCCATCTGCTGTCTGTGCATCCATCTGTCCATCCATTCATGCCATCCACCCACCCACCCACACAACTGTCCACCCAACCACCCATCCACCTGTCCATCCACCCACATGTCCATCTATCCATCCATCCATCCATCTGTCCATCCATTCATCCATCCATGCCATCCACCCACCCATACACCTGTCCACCCACCCACCCATCCACCTGTCCATCCACCCACATGTACCTCTATCCATCCATCCATCCATCCATCCACCCACCCACCTACGCACGCATCCATCCATGTACTCATCCTTCAATTCTTCCATTCAACCATCTATCTGCCCAAGCACCTACTTGTCTGTCCATTCATCTACCCGTCCTTCAAGTTCTGTGCTAGGGCAAAGGCATGGAGTTGGACCATGCCCAGCATGGAGCCTCCTGGCAGAACACTCTGGTATTTGAGTAGCTATGCAAGAGGGCCTCCAAGGTAACAACGGTGCAAAGGTTAAGTATTAGGCACCATTGTACTGGCATGGCATTCTTTTCATGGCTAACTTAAGGCAGGGCCATTTTATTTCAGCAGCAATGATAGGATGGCGGGCCCAGTTGAGAGGTGATGGAGGACAGCTGGAGCAGAGCAGCCTTTCTCCATTCCAGTTTTGGTGTTGAGCATGGGAGCCATGTGAGCAACTGAAACCTGCTCAGTGACCCAGGGGGTGGCGGAGAGGATCCCAGCTCCAGCGGGGGGCAGCCTAAAAATCATAATGATGTTCCCTACTTGCTTCTGGCTCCTTGTCCAAGACTTAGGGAGGGTCCTGGTTCTATACCAGGAGCCTCAGTGTTGAAGGCAGCCAGAGAGCACCTGAGGGTGTAGAGGGTATAACAGAAACAAAACAGCAGAGGTTGCTGCCTGGGCATTAGAAGTAGAACACCACACCCAAAGACCCAAGCTGGTGGCCAGAGATAAGAACTTAGAGGCGACTCTCTGCCTAGCAGACTGGGCTTTCCACTTTCCCACCACTTCCTTTAAATGGACCATTCAGACATTTGCCCATGAACTTAAAGTGACCCACATCCTATTCCCCTATATATATTTCTAGTTGGATCTCTCTGCCTGAATCTTAATCCCTGCCTCAATGTGACCCTGGGATGGAGCACTGCCCTCCCAACTCATGATGGCCTCCATGCCCAGGATCTATAAGTAAAAACCTTTGAACTTGCTTCCCATTGTGGCGGTGGATTGAATTTGCACCTTCCTTTGGAAGAAGCAGAGGCTACCCCAGGCCATGTTTTCACCAGACGCCAAGGAGAACACAAGGCTGGTCCCAGCCACAGAGCGATGGTCAGGTAAGAAAAAACTAGACACAGGCCAGACAGGAGCCACAAAGCCATCTGCCAGTACAAACAAGCTTCCCATGTGAGGGACATGGGTCATGGGTTAGGCAACCAGGCATTAGGACACCTGCCAGGTAAGAGAAGTATCCCATGAAAGGCACACTGTAAACGCCTATGTCCAGGTCCCTTTTCATTTCTCCTTATTGCAGGTTTTCTAGCTGCTCTGGTACTGGAACTCCAATTTAGCTGGGGGCTCTAAAATGAAGGGCAAACAAGATCTTATCTGGGACGAGAGTTTGGAACTGTGACCTGCACTCTGTGACCAGAGCCCATTGGTAGAAATCAGTTTCAGAAAAACCAATTCTGAAAATTCACTCCCACTTTTAGCCCTGAGACTTCATGTCTTCTTCTTGTGAGTTTGCTGAGCAAATGCGAGATCTGGGATTGTGGGGAGAATCTGGCCACTGGGCAAAGACATAACAATTCCTAAAATGCTTAAAAATCAGTGCTTACTGCAAAGAAGACTGACATGCAATATAATGACTTCATCCTCCAAGATGTGCATGTCCTGAGAACTTCCTAACATGCTTTGGGCCCCACACACTGAGTTCTCCAGGGCACCTACATCTGCTTCTCCAGTGGGTACTTGAGGAGGGAGAATTTCCAGGGTTAGGGATATACCGTCTACCCAATGAAAACACCCTGAGAAAGATGGGGGTGGGCAGAGGCTGAGGAGTCCCTCCTGGCAGGACCAAGAAGCAAAGGTCATGGAGCAAGGTCCAGATGGTATCTCAGGCCCCAGGGAACAGTTTGGGGGCACCCTGGCTTAAGCTGTAGCCACCATCCTTGGAGACCATCCTCGGCAAGAGCGCGTGTCATAGATAAGGAAGCCAGTCTGGGGCCGGCAGGTCTTGTTAAAGGGCAGTCACCCAGCCACCCAGACGGAGAGCCTGGATGAAGCCTCCCAGGTCCCTCCCCATATCCCCTCCTCCAGATGGGGTGTCCACACCTCCTGTTTTGCTTGGGAAAGTCCTGTTCACACATCCCAAGTGGTTAGTGCCCACTTTCCTTCCCCCAAATGAACCAGTTTGGATGATAAATTGTAGTCACCTCACCTATGGGGACATAGGTGTTGGTTTTTGGTGTACCCTTCCATAAAAAAAGTAAGTGCAAGGCCAGGTGTGGTGGTTCACACCTGTAATCCCAGCACTTTGGGAGGCCGAGGCGGGTGGATCATGAGGTCAGGAGATCGAGACCATCCTGGCCAACATGGTGAAACCCTGTCTCTACTAAAAATACAAAAATTAGCCAGGCATTGGTGGCTTGTGCCTGTAGTCCCAGCTACTCGGGAGGCTGAGGCAGGATCATCGCTTGAACCCAGGAGGTGGAGGTTGCAGTGAGCCGAGATCGCACCACTGCATTCTAGCCTGGGTGACAGAGCGAGACTCCATCTGATTAAAAAAAAAAAGTAAGTGCACATCTGTGTGCACACACGTATGAATGTGAGTAAATGCGCATAAACTGTATGCACACATCCTCCCACCTCTAGGTAGCATGTTTATACTCACTAGTCCAACCACTGCCTTTTCCTCCTCCTGATGCATCCTGAGACACCCACAGCACAGTAGGTGGGGATGGTCCTTACTCCTTTTCACAGGTGCAAGGTTCTCCTCATGCACAGATCTCATGGGCAGCATTTCTGAGAGGTGTGCCTCAACCCCTCTCTCAGGTAGGGCCCTGCACAGCAGAGCCAGTCTGAGGAGGCTCAAGGGGCTGAACCCAGCCTATGTCCTGCTGTGGGCCTTTGCCCCTGGTCAAGGACTGTGCCTGCCCAGACAGGCACCTTTTACAAAAGACTCTCCAAAGGCACAGTACAGGCTAGCAGGGACTCTGCTAAGAGCTATGGCCTGGGAAGCTGAGATGGAAGGACGGGGGCCTCCCAGTGCTTCGAAGGGACTGAATGGATCTTAGGCTCTGAAAGACCTTCTAGCAGTGGCCAGTGTGGCTTGAGGAACAAGACTTATTGCTTAGGATCAATAAGCTGAGGTCAGTCATGTGACAAATAGTTACTGATTATCCACTACAGGTCTAGCACTGTGCTGTGTGTGTGTGTGTGTGTGTGTGTGCACGCACGCGCACTCACACTTGCCCATGTGTGCCCATGAATGCAGGTTTAGGTAGGGAGAGATACTAACACATGATCAAATAAGAAATTATCAGTTATTTTTCTGCATCTATCAAGATGATCATATGGTTTTTGTTCTTAATTCTGTTTACGTGATATATCACATTCATTGATTTGTGTATGTTGAATCATCCTTGCATTCCTGGGATAAATCCCACCTGATTATGGTGTATTATCTTTTCGATGTCCTGTTAGATTTGATTTGCTAGTATTTTGTCAAGGATTTCTGCATTCAATACAATTCAGCATCACTTCATGATGAAAATCCTCAACAAACTAGGCATAGAAAGAACATACCTCAACATAATAAAGGTCTTCTATGACAAACCCACAGCTAACAGCATACTTAATGGGGAAAAGTTGAAAGCTTTTCCTCTAAGGACTGGAACAAGATGAGGATGCCCACTTTTACCACTGTTATTCAACATAGTACTGGAAGTACCCACAGCGCAGTCAGGCAAGAGAAAAAAACAAAAGGCATCCAAATTGGAAAAGAAGGAGTCAGATCATCCCTGTTTGCTAGTGATATGATTTTATAATTAGAAAACCATAAAGACTCTACCAAAAACCTGTTATATTTGATACACAAATTTAGTAAAGTTTCAGGATACAACATTAACATAATGAAAGCAGTAGCATTTCTATATACCAGTAACAATCTAGCTGAGGACTAAATCAAGAAGGCAATCCCATTTAAATTAGCTACAAAAATATCGAGGAATATATTTAACCAGGGATGTGAAAGATCTCTATAAGGAGGACTACAAAATGCTGAAGAAAAAAATTGTCAATGACACAAATGAATGGAAAAACATCCCATGCTCATGGATTCCAAGAATCAACATCATTAAAATGACTATATTGCTACAGTAATCTACAGATTCAATACAATCCCTATCAAGTTACCAATGTCATTTTTCACAGGATTATAAAAAACAATAAATTTCATATGGAACTAAAAAGGAGCCTGTCTAGCCAACGGAATCCTAAGCAAAAAGAACAAAGCTGAAGGATAACATCATCTAATTTCAAATTGTACTACAAGGTTATAGTAAACAAAACAGTATGGTATTGGTACAAAAACAGACACATAGATCAATGGAACAGAATACATAACCTATAAATGAAGCCACATACTTATAACCAACTGATCTTCAACAACACCAACAAAAATATACACTGGGGAAATGACACTATTCATTTTGCGTCATTCACTATTTAGTGTTGGGAAAATTGCATAGCGATATGCAGAAGAATGAGATTGGACCCACACTTCTCACCATATATAAAAATTAACTCAAAATGGATTAAAGACCTAAATGTAAGACCTGAAACTATAAACATTCTACAAGGAAACCTATGTAAAACTCTTTTGGACATTGGCCTATGCAAATAATTTATGACCAAGTCTTCAAAAGCAAATGTAACAAAAACAAAAATAGATGTTGGTGAGGATATAATGAAAAGGGAACACATGCTGTTGGTAGGAATGTAAATTCATACAACCTTTATGGAAAACAGTGTGGAGATTTCTCAAAGAACTAAAAATAGAACTACCACTCAATCCAGCAATCCCACTACTAGGTATATACCCAAAGGGAAATGAATCATTCTATCAAAAAGATACCTGCATGTTTACTCTAACACTATTCACAATGGCAAAAAGATAGAAACCACCTAAGTGTCCATCAACGTAGGATTAGATAAAGAAAATGTATATATATACCATGGAATATGACTCAGCCATAAAAAAGAATGGAATCCTGTCTTTTGCAGCAACATGGATGGATATGGAAGCGATTATCCTCAGTGATATAACTCAGAAACAGAAAGTCAAATACTGCATGTTCTCACTTATAGCTGGGGGCTAAACAACGCGTACATATGGACAGGCAGAATGGAATAACAGACACTGGAAGCTATGACAGGCCGGAGGGTTCGCGGGGGTGAGGACTGAAAAATTACAATGTTCACTACTTGGGTAATGGGTACGCTAAAATCCCAGACTTTACCACAATGCAATATTTGCATGTAAGAAACCTGCACTTGTATCCCCTAAACATATTTAAATAAATAATAAAATAATAAAAAACTCTCAGTAGAGTGATAAAAGGTGGATTCTTTAGACAGGAAGATCAGAGAAGGCTCCTACTTGAGAACCATCCCTAGATAGTCAACTTTGGTCTTATTTTCAATTAGAAATGTCTTTAAAAATTTGAGCCGGGTCCCACATCTGCAAAGTGAGGACACCTTACGTTAGCAGATGCTCTTTCTGCTTGGTCTGCTGGTGGAAGTCATGGCACCTTCAGGAATACACATAAGAATGCCTCCTTTCCTTCACAAGGCCAGCCCATGGCCCGGGAGCACCAGGCTGTGGTGTGGGCATCTCCCAGGAATAAAATGCCTCTTGCTTTTCCTCAAAAGACTGACTGAAATTGACAACTCTCAGACTGTGTGCTAGGAAATCACTTGGGATTCTAGCTACTTCCGAAAAAAGCTAATAAAAAGAAATGCAGCAAACACATTGTCAGTGAAATTTCAGAAACTCAACTACAAAGAGAAAGCAGAGAGGTTAGCATGTGAGAAAAGTAAGGACCTAGACAGAAGATGCCCCCGGGGGCTGCCAGAGGGTCCCCCAAACGGTCCCTCTTGCTCTGCTCTCTTCTCCTCTTTGTCTGTCGGACTGGCCTCTCAGCTTCCACTTAGCCCTTCTCATCAAACAGAAAACAAATAAGTAGTTCTTTTAAAAGTTTAAAGAACAAAAATGATTATTTTCACCATAGTCAAGATAAGTTGTTGATTCCTACTCCTCATGCCTGGTCTGCATTTGTCAAGAGTGTGGGCTTAGGTTTCTTTGGTCAGTTCTAAGTTCAGGTTCTGGCTTTGTGTCTTTCAGGCTGTGGGACATTGGAAGCTAACCTGTGATGGTTAGATAGCTGGTTAAACGTTATTTCTGCATGTGTCTGTGAGGGCATTTTGGGTGAGATTAGCATTTCAATTGCTGGAGAGCAGAAAGCAGAGGGCTTTCACCAATATGGGTGGGGCTCATCTGATCTATTCATCATGGGAACAAAACAGTGGCGGAGGGCGGAATAACCAAACCTGTTTGAGCTGGGACATGGACTTTCTGCCCTCAGCACTCCTGGTTCTCAGGCCTTCAGATTCAGACTGGATCCACACCATCAGTTCTCCAGCTCTTGGGCCTTCGTGTTACACCACTGGCTTTCCTGGGTCTCCAGCTGGCACATGCCAGATCGTGGGAATTCTCAGACACCATAATCACGTGAGCCAATACCTACATTAGATCTCTTTATATGTATGTCTTTTATTGGTTCTGTTTCTCTGGAGAACCCTAATACATTATCTAATTCTCTGAATCTCAGCCTCCTTCTCTGTGATTGGTGATGATAATGACAGCTCATAGGCCTGCCTGACACATAACATGGGCTCAGTAGATGACACTGTTCACATTCCCATCTGACCTCACTAATCCCTCCCCAAGCCCTAGGGAAGGCCTGGTTCTTCCACGTGGCCGGGGCCTGGCCACTGTGAGTCCTCCTGGGAGGCACAGTGAGAGGAAGCAGGTCTAGCTCACACCCACACCTGGTCTCTGGTCCCTGCTGACCTCTTCAGATACGTGACATAGTTGCTTTCTGGGAAAGTAACAAGTTTAAAATGACTCCAGGCCATCATCTGTGTCAAGGACCAATAGTACAGGGGCTGCCCCATCTGTCTCCATACCAGGGGCTCCCAGAGCAGGATGCAGGGCCCGCACTGCACCCTTTACCCTCATCCGTGGGGAACAGGTTCTGGGAAACCCAGGCTGGGATGAATAAAGCCACCTTAGTTCTTCTCGCCATCATGCCTGCAAACTCTCCCTTGACTTGCTCTTTCCTATTCCCGGGTGGCACCCTGGAAATTTTGTGTGGTTCTTCTGGTTACTTTCCTGTGCAGGGGGCTATCAGCCCCAAGCTTGAGCCTCCTGAAAGACTGGGTTAGCTTCCAGCTGGCTTCTCTGTTTCACCTTTTGCCTCCTCCCCTTCTCTGGCTGCTGTCTGTGTCCCCTGTGGGGCCGGCACAGGCAGGGAGGAGGGGCAGGAGGGTGGCAAAGTATTTCTTGCTGTCTTCCTTCAGGGCCCGCTGGGCTCGCTGGAGGTCCCAGTGCTGACCTGCTGTCTGAGGAAGTGCTTTTTTTGGGTCTTCAGAGCTCTCTGCCAGTTGAGGGGCTGTGTCCTTAGGTCCCTGGGCTGCAGTGGTGGCTCCTCTCACTGACTACTCGTGTCCACCCTCAGCCCTGGCCTCAGGGGCTGGTCTTCTGTGTGGTCCCCACCATAGATGAGTCCTGAAGCCAGCCCGCTTGGGGCCTCCTCCCTGAATCCATGCCTGGACCTCGGGCAGCTCGCAGCATCCTGGCCTTACATCCCCTACGGCCCCATGTCCTGGCCTGTACAGCCCACCACAGCCCTGTGAACCCTGAGCTCGCCAGTTTCTGCCTTCAGGCCCTTCAGTCAGGTGTCAGAAACTCAACCCTGCAGCCCTCAAGCCCCAGAGATGATGCCCTACACCTCTCAGCTCAACATGGGGAGAGAAGACACAGGCAAAAGGCAGAGCAACTGTGCTTGTGCACAAAGGCCTCTCTTGTGGACTCTGAACCCCAAGTGAATTCTTGGAGCAGGTGAGCTCTGGAGCACCCTGTTGGCGAGTCCTGCACAGCTGCACGGGTGCCTTGCTGAGGCGCTCTCTGTCCGTTACCCCAGTCCATGGGACTCAGCCAAAACTCCCCATTCCCAGGAAAATGTTTTATGCCTGGTTCCAAAGGCCTCCCTCCTTGACTGGCCATGCAAAGGTTCCAGGTAACCCAAGGAGGCATCTGGCTACAGAAGCAACTCTGTTTGGTAGATTCCTATTGCATATGTTCTGTCCTCTTCTGAGTTTTTTGTTTTTTTTTTTCCCTTTTTCTTTCTCCACTGGAAACACCTGTTGCTGAAACCCTAGAAATGCCTCCTGCATCACTGGCACAGGATTCTGACCTGAGCATCAGTGGCATCTGTGGGGACCAGGTGGCTGTGTCCTTTCTACAGACTGCTGTATTTGAGGGATTTTGTTAGGCTGTAGAGCCTGGTCAAAAGAGGAGACTTAATGATCAGACCAAATTTTGACTTTTTGGCTCCTTCCATTTATCATTTTTGTGGGGTCTTGGAACAGTTACCTAATCCCATTGAGGCTCAGTTTTTGAATCTGTGGAAGGGGTACTGGAGGCTTGTGAGGCAGAGTTTGAAAGGAGGGGAGAGAGTGCCTAGCACAGGGCCCTCTTATGGTCTCCCCGACCCCACCCCACCCCACCTGTGCTCGCCTCCCTCCTTCCGTTCCCCCAACACCACCCATACCTTCCTGCCTCATCTCTCCATTCTTTCCTGATGGGGTCACTCCCATCCACCCTTGGTTGTTTAGTTTCCCCTCTCTGGCCATTCCCCGGGTTCTTCCTTCTCTTTTGTGATGTGGCAGCCAGAACTATGGCTCCCAGGGGCAGGGGACCAGGCTATCCTACATAAATGGGACAATGTCTGGGCCATTTTGGATATTCCTAAAGGGACCTAATCCTTTTGTTAGATTAAGGTTGATCACTCAGACTCTGTGGGAGATAGGGACAGACACCAAGTGGCCCCTGTGTCCCCATTAGCATCTGAATCCCTCGGGCCCCAGGGAGCAGGCAGCAGGGTACCAGACTGTGGCCTTAGGAGTCAGATGGGCTGACTAGCCATGAGACCTTGGGCGAAGCTCCTCCTGGATGGGGGTACTCAGGAGATGTGTATGTGATGGTCACCTGTGATTGATTTTCACCCACTATCAAAGTCATCATTGCTGCTGTCTTTCCCCACTCCTCCCTGTCCCTGGCAGAGACACCTGGCCTGGATCCAGTCTGCCAGCACCTATCAGGCGTCCTCCCTGTGGCAGGAGGGAGAGAGGCAACTGTGAAAACGATGTCGAGGAACACTTAAGACCCATCACAGGCAGGACTCGGGAGGCGTGCAGAGGAAGAGAGCAGTTTTCCACAGTCGACTGAGTCTTCAGAATGCTTGTCCTCAAATGTCCTGCCAAGATAGACTGTTGGTATGGACATAACATAGCCTTAAAACACAGTGACAAGACAGCCCTGGAGGAAGGGTGTGCCAGCGTATGTGGGTTTCTAATGATTTCATCTTCAAACATGGTCTTGGACGCCACTGCTGCAGCTGCAGCTCTGTGGGAGCCTCTTTTCCAGCCGGGGCCTCCAGGGAGAGCTGGCCCATGAGGCACTAGGCCCTGCCTTGGTGGGTGGGTGAGGACCCAGTTGCCCGCTGCAGGGCCCATGAGCCTGAGGGCAGCCTGGAGCTGCATGCAATCCTCCTTCCATGGGTCTCCCTGGTGTTACTGCTCACACTTTCTCATGTTTGGCTGAGACCTTCTCTAGGAGCAACACCTTTGCTTTCAGGTTCCAGAGAATATGAACTGAAGAATAAGCCGCGGCCAAGGCTCTATGGCTGCCCCACTGGTCTGGCCACGGTCTTCATTCCATACTAGAACATCCAAGGTGTTTCTGTAGGAACAAGCTATTCCTAAACATGCACAGATGTGAAGTCTTTTTGCTGGGAACACATATAATATCCATGGAGCCCATCTGGGAAACACCAGGCTAGCTTAATGAGCTTCTGCTTTCAGGGCAACTTCTTGAAGCCACAAATTAATTAGTTGGGGGAGAAAACCCAAACTTCAGAGCCAGGTTCGTGCGATGGCAATGTGTGGGAATGCTCACCATCACGTGTGACCTCCAGAGGCCTGCTGTGCCCTGAAGGCGCACACCCCAACTGTTCTGCACAATAAAGTTCAAGGAAAGTGGCCTGGAGGCAGCTCATGTGAGCTCACCTCTGCCTGCATAGTGCATGTGGGGGCTGCATACCCTTCCACTAGCACCTGGCGGGGCCAGCCATCACCCACGGTCCTCCCGTGCGTCCTTGTCTTGAAGCTAATGCTGGAAAGCTGGAATCTTTCTGTCTTCCACAGCACAAGAGTCCCACATTCCCCCCCGTGCCATCCCCCCATGCTGTGTGTAGCCCTGGGTGGCCTGGAGCTGGAGGTGACTTCTGGGGAGAGCAGGGGCAGCACTTACCCCCCGCCCGTGCCGCCATTCTTGCTGAAGTGTGTGCGCGGCTCGCTGGAGGCCAGCTTCAGCAGCTCCGTCCACTCCCGCTCCCACTCCTCCTCTGTGTACACCAGCCCTGACTGGCAGAGGGGAGCCGGCTCAGAAGGGGGGTGGGCCACAGCTGCGCTGCCCTCCTCTCCTCACCCTCCCAATCTGGACCAGCCTCACCGGGACCCAGGCCAGGCACATCTGTAGGTAGCTACCAACTATACCAACTGCACCCTCTTGGCCACCTTTGCTATGCACAATATATTTTCAGAAGCCCCAAGCTCTAATTCCAGAGCTGCTGGGAATCTGCCCACCAACAAGGGTCATTCTCAGGGGCTGGGGATGACCGAGCATTAACCTGTGCCTGCACCTAACTGGGGCTGGCCGTTCAGATTCTTCTAGGAGAGCAAGGTCCTCATGTTTACCATGGTTGGGGACAATCGGGAATCCCTTTGGACTGAGCTCACACACAGGGGCTGGGGCCATGGGCTGCACCTGACAGCAGGCAGTCATATATATAATTCATCATCCAAGCCAGGATGCTTTTGGGAATGAAGGTAGGCAGCTTTCATGATTATGCCTTAAGGAAGCACAAGTGGACGCATAGTTGCTGTCTGCCGGGACTCTGCTATTTTAACAGGCTCCTCCTCTGTGGGCTTAAAAGCAGGAGACTTTCCTGATCCCAGGGGCTGTTTCTGCCTTCCCCTCATAAGACTGTCTGGGGCCTGGAGGCCATGCTGTGGACTCGACCACGGCCCGAGGCTGCATCTGGCCTGGGTCCCGGGCTCTGGCCATGCCAGTGGATACCAACCTCCTTATTCTGCTGCGTCTGCTGCCACCTCCACCTCCGCTTCAGGGCTTCCCTCTCAGCTCCCGTCCTCATCATGGTATAGAGAGCTTTCCGTAACACCAGGTCCCGGTCGTGAAACCCCCACATTCCTGGAGCCAGGAGGCCAGGGAGAACAGAGGAGAGAAAGGACATGAGAAAAGACAAGCCAGAGGTGATGCAAACTACCACGACCCACTGGGAGAGCCTCCTGTCTGCACGCAGAACAGCCTCCTTACTCAGCGGTTCTGTTAATTCCCCTCCAGCCTTCTTCCTGAGGCTTCCCATTAAGGCAACTAGGTGAATGAAGCAGCACATCCTGTTCTTAGCAAAACAATAGTGGGTGAAAATCAAGTGCTTTTCCTCTCTGGTGCCCTTGGCAACCCATTCTCAATGTTGCTGGTTTGCTTTGAGGACCTAATGGTCATTATTCAAGTCTTACATTTGGGTGGGGGACTGACTAGGGGACAGGGACAGGCTGTCCAGTGTCCTTATGGAGGGCTCCAGGTGAGGGAGGCCATTAGCATCCTGGCTTCTCCAGGGTCTGCCATTTCCCTCCTCTCCAGCCCTGAGGCATCTCAGCTTCCTGAGAAGCAGAGCGCCAGTGACACCACTGCACACACCTGGCCCAGGAGAGAGCGCCTGCTTCCTAGTGAGAGGGTCTCACCCTGTGCCAGGTGCTGAGAGGATATAGAGAGAAACCAGCCATCTCTGAGAATGTGCTCTGGGCAGCTTAGATGTGATCAAGAACCCCAACTCATGGGAGAAGTGCTCAAGAGAAGGGCAGCTCTGGCTACAAGGGAAAACACAGGGGAATCCATCCATCCATCCGTCCATCCAGCCATCCACCCACCCACGCACCCACTCACTCATTCTAGGTGCTGGGAATATATGTGGCAGTGGCCGGGACACATGAAGTTCCTAAAATCTCATGGAGCACATGTTGTGGGGAAGTGGGAAGTGAGGATAGCCACGAGGCTGGCACAGAGTGTACGATGTTGAGGGTGGCAGCCCCACGAGGAGAGGTGAGGCAGGCAGATCTGCTGTGGCGTGAATGGAGACATAGGAGCAAAGGCTCAAATGGGTGGAGGAAGGAGCCAAGTTGCTGTCCCAGCACAGGGAAAGGCCAGGGACAGACCCAGAGGGGGCAGTACTTGAGAAAAGGCAAGAGGGAAAGGTGGCTAAAGTGGGATCGAGGAGAGAGGGAGAGTGAAAAGGGGGCTCTCGAGGGAACTGTGAGCCTCTGGAGAGTCTACAGAAGGAGAGTAATGTGAACTGATGTTTTCAAAGGCTCAACTGGCTGGGCATCTTTGGATATGCAATAGCCCAGGCCTGCCACAGGCTTCTAGCCAGCAAGGCTTCGCCTTTTTCTATAGGATGGCAGGGGAGGGGGAATGACCACTGTCACTCCTCGCTCATCCTCAGACCTCTTTCAGCTGCCTCCTGGGACTCTCCCACAGCTCCTTGGGCAGGTCTCTCTTGCAGAGATGGCCTCCTTGTCCTGCATATATCTGCCTACAGGCCTGACTCCAAGATGACTGTCATTTCTATATGTGCCCCACAATCCTAGCTCAACGTCAGGCCAGGCCAACAGGGGTTCCACAAGGACTGCTGGTGAATGTCATGTGGCAGCTTTGGGTAGCCCCAGTCCTGCGGAGTTTAGCTATATGGGCACAAAATGAAACAAAGTGCTGGGATAAGAGGACAGATTGCTATGAGCTCTGGGCTTATTGTTGTACAGGGGATTCTTGGAGGGGGGTCTCACAGCCCTGGTCAGTCATGGCCCAGGCTCTCTTGCAGATGGAAATGACCAGCCTGAGGGAGGCTCTCTCTTCCCAGGCAGGCCTGGGAGGCCCACTGTGCTCACAGGGAAAATGCTGTGGGGTGTGGCCTTGCCCCGCTGTTGTGCTGATGGGGACAATGACTCTACATGCTGCAGTTGCTGAGGGACAAAAACATTTCCATGCCCCAGACTTCACAATGAGGCTGCTGTTTGACACAGATGAGAGATTTATTCTTTTAGATTCTTTCTCCAGGTTTTAGAAAGAACAAGGCAAAATATGCTCAATAACAGGGGAATAGTTAATGTTATCCACTATGATAAAATAAGACCCAACTACTTAAAATCATGTGTTTGAAGGATAACAGCAGGGAAAATTCTCAGATTGTAAGGGAAAATGTTGGATTCAAGACTGTGAACACAGCAAGATCATCATTTCACCTGAAGAACAGACAAAAGACCGGAAGATGATGACAATACCAAACTGTTAAGAGTGGCCGCCGCTGGGTGGGGGTCGCTGATTTTCATTTTCTCACCATGGTGAATGTGGAGTACTTTTGCAATGCCAACAAGCAGAATGTGCTCCAATGACATGGAGATGAAGCAGGTAAGTGGCTGCCTTGCCTTTCCTCACTGCAGGTCAAGCCTGGGGAATGTTTCCCTTGTTCTCCATCCTCCTCTGGAACCCTTCAAGACCCTGATGTATTTCCCTTGAAGCCCTTTACAGTCTTATCTCACCTACCTCTTGCTGAATAGGCCTCACCGCAGGTCCAAAGAGAGAGAGGTCTGGGGGCTGGCCCTTGATGTAGGTCATGGCACCCAGTTAAAGCCATGTTTGTTGGGGATGCAAGTTTGACAAACAAGGACTGCATTCCTGTGTGAGGGTTGTGGGTTTTGGAGAGGCGCTATCCTCCAGGGCGGGTAAGAACCAACCGGCCCTGATGGTCCCTGGTGCAAACCCAGACTCACCTATCAAAATGGATTCAGCCTTGTGCATATAACGCTGGGCCTAAAGGGATAACTGAGGTTCCAGAAAGTCGATGATGATCCTCAATTATCCAAATATTTCTGTGTTGTGTGGCTTTGTGTGATCGGGAAGCTCACGTCTCTATTGGACAAGTGTGCTGATCTCTCTGTGGTATATTCTGACTATGCTGACTCCCCTGTGATTTATCTGAGCAGTACCTACGTCTGTTTCCATTAGTCCATGCCAACTGTTGACTGCTGTCAACATAGTGGACCCTCATTTACCCAACCTCATGCACTGCTCCCAAAACTTCCTACTCCAGCTTTACCTCGTTCACCCCTACCTCCAAACACCCTGTCCATTCCTGCCTTTATGCTTTATCTGCGGGGTCTCCCTGCCTGCAATGCCCTCTTCTAGTCTCTCAAGTTCTTCAAGTTTCAGTAAAGATCCCACCTCCTCCCAGGAAGTCCTTTTTATTTGTACCAGGCGACGGTCTCTAAGTCCCATCCCTGCAGCTATGCTCAAGGCCTCCTTCTATCACGCCAGGTCTTTTCTTATGTGTGTTCTGTCTCTCCAGCAAGTGCTACTTGACAAGAAGGGCCAGGATTGTTGGCTCTGTCTCCTGGGGACTTTCTCATGACAGTGACATGGGTGACTCTATTTAGTGTATGCTTTTCCTTCAATAGTGTTTCCTTCAATAGCATATGTCTTTCCTTACGCAGGCCTGGAGCCTGGCCACCCTCTGTCTGTGCTGTGGAGCTTACCCAGTGAAGCAGCATGTAAAAGGCAGTTCCCATCCCCTGTTGTGGCCAGAGGAAGAAGCCGTTTACAGCTCGTGCACACAGTGGACCACCAGTTCAGGCGACCTGGAAAAGAAGCTCACTTTAGAACAGGATCCCAGAAAAGGAAGGGGCCACTGGGGGTGTTTGCTAAGGAGGCATAAACATCAGGGACAGATTTTCCACAGGTTTCAATAGAAAGGGGGAACATTATGGCTACTTCTCTCCTCAAATAAAATATAGATTTCTTTTCCCTTTGAGGACAAGAAGTGGCCAAATCCTCCCATCAATTAGCATGAGCATTAAGAAACTCAAGGCCAGCACCTTCTCTCCTTGAATCTGGAAACGTATTTTACACAAGATAAAACATTTCTTTGTAATTTCCTTGAACACAGCTTTCCCTCCTGAAAGCTATTTTTTCCTTTCACCGTCTTGCTTTTTTGAGGCACACATACCTTTGAAAGTATAGTTCATATTTCATTTGATTCATCAAAACCATTATAGTTACATAGGTGTAGTTATGTTAAATTTCATGAATATTTACATTTAGAGACTTCCACTTCAGGGAAGATAGATCAGATGTACTTTTTCCTATTTCTCTTACTAAGTACAACGAAAAGCCCTGGAAATTATGTATAAAATCATATTAGAAGACTCTGAAAAGTGGAGAAGAAGTGGCAGACTAACTAGGGATCTTGAGACTTGAGGAACGACATAATGGTGGGTTCCCTGGAGTTTCTTTTTGCCTCACATATCCCAGATTAGATACTGTAAAAACGAACCAATGAGAGTAGGCCACAAAAAAAAAAAAAAAAAAAAAGATAGAAAAGAAAAAGCATGCTCTCTCTAGACAGAATACCAGGAAAGGGGTAGCTTAGCAAAACAGTAGCTGCTTAGACATTTCCTCTTCTATTCCAGCCAAACATCACAGAAAAAATTATAACCCGACCACCACCCCTGCCAGCAAAGTTCTAGTGAGAAGCCTAGACTTCCACCCTCACCAGGCTGTAACAAGGTGCTCATCACTGCCTGCTCCATCACCTGGGGAGTGTCAGAGAAGGCTGAGTACAAAGCCAAGACCTCAACCCCACTGGGTGGTAATAAGCACCTTGCCCTCTATCTTCAGAGGACACACAGGGAGCCTGAACTTTCACACTCATCTGGCTGTAATGAGAATCTCTGCCTCCTCTCAGCTAGGAAGTACCCCTGCCAAGAAGTACCAAGCCCATTCCCCAGGTATCAACAGGGGCAGAGGGGGAACCTGTACTTCAATTACCCTCTGGCAGTTGTCAGGCAATGGCCCCCTGAACCTACCAGAGTGGTGTCAGGAGGTCCGCTAAAACACAAGATTTAAGTAAGACCCAGAGTCCTATAACTTAATACCAAATATATACCCTTTTAAACAAACAAAAAAAATCACTTATACCAAGAACCAGGAAGATTTCAAACAGAACAAGAAAAGATATGAAAACTGAGATGACAGATGTTAGAGTTATCTGACTGGGATTTAAAAGTAGTCATCCTAAGAATACTTCAACAAGCAATTACAAACATACCTAAGACAAATGAAAAATTAGAAAATGTAGTAAAGAAATAGAAAGTCTTACCAAAACAATAGAAGATACAAAACAGAGCCAAATAAAGAACAAAAATATGGGCAGATATAATAGGGACTGAAAAATACAACTCTGATTTTAAAAACTCAATGGATGTGCTGAAAAGCAGATTGGAGAGAAGAGAAAAAGAATCAGTGTAATGTAAAGGTATAACATAGAAATCACCCAATTTGAACAACAGAGAAAAATTAAACTTAAAAAAAAAAACACATATACAGAACACAACTCAGGAACATGTGGGACTGCGACAAAAGTCTGGAGTCCGTAGAAGAGGCGAAATAAGGTAGAGCTAAAAAAGTATTCGAAGAGGCCAGGCGCGGTGGCTCACGCCTGTAATCCCAGCACTTTGGGAGGCTGAGGCGGGCGGATCACGAGGTCAGGAGATTGAGACCATTCTGGCTAACACGGTGAAAGGTGAAACCCCGTCTCTACCAAAAATACAAAAAATTAGCTGGGCGTGGTGGCGGGCGCCTGTAGTCCCAGCTACTCGGGGGGCTGAGGCAGGAGAATGGCGTGAACCTGGGAGGTGGAGCTTGTAGGGAGCCGAAATCGCGCCACTGCACTTAGGCCTGGGTGAAAGAGCGAGACTCCGTATCAAAAAAAAAAAAAAAAAAAAAGTGTTCAAAGAAATAATCACTAAATCACTAAAAGGTTCCCAATTTTTGCAAATGAACAAACAAACATACAGATTCAAGAAGCTGAGCAAACCCTAAACAGAAAAAAAACCCATAGAAACTCATGCCAAAATACATCATAGTCAAACTTCTAAAAACTAAAGACAAAGAAACCTTAAAAGCTGCCAAGGAGAAACAACGCCTTACTTATATGGGAAAAACAATTCTAAAGACAGTGCATTTCTCATTGGCTACCGTGTAGGCCAGAAGGAAGCAGGATAAATTTTTTTTTTTTTTTTTTTGAGACAGAGTCTTGCTCTGTCACCCAGGCTGGAGTGCAGTGGTGCAATTTCAGCTCACTGCAACCTCTGCCTCTTAGGTTCAAGTGATTTTCCTGCCTCAACCTCCTAAGTAGCTGGGACACAGACATGCACCACCAAACTTGGCTAATTTTTGGTATTTTTAGTAGAGATAGAGTTTTACCATGTTGGCCAGGCTAGTCTCGAACTCCTGACCTCAAGTGATCTGCCTGCGTTGGCCTCTCAAAGTGCTGGAATTACAGGCATGAGCCACCACGCCCAGCCAAGATAATATTTTTTAAGTGCTGAAAGAAAATAACTGTCAGCCCAGAATTTTAAAGCTAGCAAAAATATTCTTCAGTAATAAGCAAGGAGATTTTGTTCCTAGCAAGCCTACCTTAAAGAAATGGCTAAAGGAAGTTCTCTAGGCAGAAAGGAAACGATAAAAGAAGGCATTTTGGCATATAAAGAAGGAAGAACATGGAAAGAACAAAAATATGGGCAAACATAATAAGACTTTCCTTCTTCTCTTGAGTTTTCTAAATTATGTCTGATGGTTAAAGCAAAAATTATGACATTGCCTATCTGTTTATATGTTTCAATGTATGTTGAATAAATATTTAAAACAATTTTATTATAAATGGTAGAGAATAAAGAAGCAAAAAGGCAGGTAAGGTTTATATGCTTCACCAATAGTAGTAAAATGTCAACACCAATAGACTTTGATAAAGTATGTGTATATAATGTAATAACTAGAACAATTCCCAAAAAGGTTATACCAAGAGGTATACCTAACAACAACCAATATTACACAAGCTCCTCCAGAAAATAGCCAACATTACCCTGATACCAAAATCAAAAAAAGTACAAAGAGAGAAAAGTGCAGAGTAACATCTCTCATGAATATGATGCAAAATTCATAAGAAAATACAAACAAGCAGAACACAGTAACATATACAAAGAACTATATACCATGACCAAGGGATGCAAGGATGGCTCAATATTTGAAAATCAATCAATATAATTCACCATATTAATGGGCTACAGAAGAAAAATCACATAATCATATCATGAATACAGAAAAAGCATTTGACAAAATTCAATACTCATAATTAAAAATTCCCATAAAACTAGGAATAGGGGGATCTCCATAACTTGATTTAAAAAATCTACACAAACATACAGCTAACATCATACCTAATGGTGAAAGACTGAATGCTTTACCTCTAAGACTAGGAAAAAGACAAAGATGCGCCCTCTCTCCACTGCTATTCAACATAGTATGAGAAGTCCTAGCCAGTGAAATAAGTCAAGAGAAAGAAATAAAATCTGTATTCGCAAATCAGAAAGGAAGAGATAACACTATTCTTCTTAGCAGAGAACATGATAGTTCACACAGAAAATCATAAGGAAGCTACAAAAAACCATAACTAATAAGCAATTTTTTAAGGTCACAGGATACAAGATCAATATACACAAATCAATGGTACAGTCATCCCCAAGTATCTGCACAGGATTGGTTCTGGGACCCCGCCGACATACACCCAAATCTGTGTATACTGAAGTCTGATAGTTGGCTCTGTGGAACCTGTATGTCTAAGAAGTTGGCCCTCCATATACATGGATTTTGCATCCTGTGAATACTGTAATTTTGATCCTCACTTGGTTGAAAAAAATCCACATATAAGTGGAAGTGGACCTGTGCAGTTCAAACCTGTGCTGTTCAAGAGTCAATTGTATTTTGCATACTAGCACAGATGTCTAAGGGGCCATGGAGCAACTGGAGTTTTCATACTTTGCTGTTGGGATTGTAAAAAGGCACAATTATTTTAGAAAAACTTTTGGCAATTTCTAATACAGTTCAACATACTCTGATATCGGTTTGGCTCTGTGTCCTCACCCAAATCTCATCTTGAATTGTAATGCCCAGGTGTCAAGGGAAGGACCTGGTGGTAGGTGATTAGATCATGGAGGCGGTTTCCCCCATGCTGTTCTCATGATAGTGAGTGAGTTCTCATGAGATCTGATGGTTTTAAAAGTGGCAGTTTTCCCTGTGCTGTCTCTCTCCTGCCACCTTGGGAAGAAGGTGCCTACTTCCCCTTCCCCTTCTGCCATGATTGTAAGTTTCCTGAAGCCTCCCCAGTCATGCTGAACTGTGAGTCAATTAAACCCCTTTTGTTTATAAATTACCCAGTCTGAGGTAGTATCTTTATGGCAGTGTGAAATGGACTATTACCTACCTTTACCATATGACCCAGCAATTCCACTCGTGGATATTTATTTACCCAAGAGAAATGAAAACATAAGACTCATATAAGAAATTCAGAGCAGCCTTATTTCTCAATAAAACTAGTTGCTAACACATCTGGGACTGTGTCTCTGAAATAAATAGCCATTGGGAGTTACCTTGGGTTCTGTTTTTGTTTTTTTGTTTTTTTTTTTTGAGACAGAGTCTCGCTCTGTCACCCACGCTGGAGTGCAGTGGCGCGATCTTGGCTCACTGCAACCTCCACCTCCTGGGTTCATGCCATTCTCCTGCTTCAGCCTCCCGAGTAGCTGGGACTACAGGTGCCCACCACCACGCCTGGCTAATTTTTTGTATTTTTTTTTAGTAGAGACGGGGTTTCACCGTGTTAGCCAGGATGGTCTCAATCTCCTGACCTCGTGATCCGCCCACCTCAGTCTCCCAAAGTGCTGGGATTACAGGTGTGAGCCACCGCGCCTGGCCGGGTTCTGTTTTCTAGTGAACTCATGTCAAGACATCTTCATTCACTCTTTCTCAGGAAGCTTCAGGAGGATGTACTCCACAAAATGAGGGTGGAAACCAAAACCAGAGAAATACAGGAAACAGGAGGGAAATGGGTGAATAGCACAGAAGCGAGGCAAAGGTAATCTCCAGGCTGATGGCTACAGGAGACTCTATCCTACCTGATGACAGGTGCATCTGCACTCATGGCTGCTTTTCAAAAGAATGTGTCTATGGAAAGGATAAATAGCCTGGCTCATTTACATGTTAGGCAGGTGACACAAATGTCATCTTACATGTCACTTCTTGGATAATACTAAAATTGTTTAAAAATTGCTTCAAGCTTATGAGTGGTTGTATCAAGCTTCTAATGTTATGTGAAACTTCTAGTGACATATATATGTTTTTATTTGGAGGATGAAATATAACATGCACCTCCCTAGGGCCTTCAACACTTTGGGAACTTCAATCAAATGAGAATGTTTATAATAGATATTTCCAAGAAATTATAAAAGCATTTTAATCAAAAATTCTTTAAAAAAGAGAGAAATATTAATAGGATTTGAACAACTGAAGAAGCAGAACATGTTTTACATTTCTACATTCCATCTGTCAATGGCTAAAGAAAACGTGTAAATACACAGGAGAATACTATTCAGCTATTAACAAGAATGATGTCATTCATTTGCAGCAACATGGATGAAACTGGAGGTCATTATCCTAAGTGAAATAAATCATGCACAAAAACACAAATATTGTATGTTCTGAATTATATGTGGGAGTTAGAAATGTGATCACATAGAGGTAGAGAGTGCAAAGACAGATACCAGAGACTGGGAAGGGTGAGTGGTGAGGGACGATGAAGAGAAGTGGGTTAAAGGGTACACACATACAGTAAGATGGAATACATTCAATGTTGGATAGCAGAATAGGGTGATTCTACTTAACAAAAATGTATTGTACTCGGGTGATGAACACTCTGACTCAATCACTACACATTATATACATGTAACGAAATTTCAGATATACCCCATAAATTTGTACAAATAAAAAAATCTAATTTTAATAAAAGGTGTTGTTTCTATCAGAATAGAAATAATGAAATATGAAGGATAAAGACTGCGAGTAAGCTTGAAAATTAAGGCCCTCAGGAGTATATTTATTTTAGAGTCAGACAGTTATTGCCTAATGTGTTGCCATATTAACAAAGTTTAATATAAAAAAACTTCTTGGTTCTTTGTTTAAACTGAATCCTTATCCACTCTTCAGCGCTTTTTGGTTAAGATTCAGTGATTCCATTGTAATAAGTGGCATTACTGATAAAAAATAACTGCGCCCTTAATTCTAAATAAAAGCATGTATTAAAATTAACACTACAAAGTTAAGTAGACGAACATCTATTTATTATATGAAGATGTTAATGCTTACACTAACAAATTGGTATATTCTTACCACCTACAAGTCACCTTATTAAAGCTAAATGAGAAATGCAAGTAAGGGCTTTAACTGACACTACCACTGGATGGACCGTTGTGGACGTCATTGGAAAAAACACGCAGTTACTTAGTCACTTCTTTGTCTCTAGGCTGTGAAATAGCAACCTGTCTCACTTGACTTTTAAAAAGTGTTTATAACAACCAGGCTGGGATACAGTAAAACTGGGTTGCCACAGAGTAAAATAAAATGGCAGGATCTTTGCTTACAAAGGCATAAAACTCAACAAAATGGCTGTAACACCTGGAAATCCGACACATTTGACACCAAAGTGGGCAGCCTTGTTCATCCTCTGCATTGATCTCAGCTGCTAGTGCTCTGGGCAACCATCAGGGAGTATAGGGAACATGAGTAGACAATCAGGGAGAGGAGGGACAGGGAATATGCTAATGAGGCAGGTGGTCTGCATTTCTGCGGCAGACCTCGTTGTCTTGCCCGCCCCACAGCGTTTCCCTCCCATCCTTGCTGACATCGCCCTGCTTGTGTCTGGGGCTTTTCAGGCAAGCCTCCTTGCCTGCCCAATGGGGCAACGTGCAAATGTTCATACGTCCAAGACGATCTGTGCAATTCCACTCCCCTTGCCATGGACTGCTGTCGCCTGGCTCACAAGATGTAACAGGAGACCTGCTGGGGCTTGCTCCTCCTTCACAAGGGCCACAATCAGGGGCTCTCTCTTGCTGCCCTGAATGATGCAGTGTGAGGATGTGTGGCCTGATGCGGCCACAGCTACACTGCATCCCCAGCTGGAGCTAGCACTGACCCGCTGGGGAGAGAAGAGCAGGGTGCTGTGTGTGCCTGGGTCCTCCATAACACTGTGCAGCTGCCAGCCCTGCCATGAACATCCCTGTTTTCAGACTCTGAGTTGTGTGGGATAATGATGACCTCACAGTTTAAGCTCCTGCTGGCTGGGTTAGTGTGTTCTCCTGCACACTGCAGGACCTTCAATAAATCAACCAGCTCTGTGTCAGGGGATGTTATTCCCATTTTACAGAGAAGGAAACTGAGGCTCACAGGGAGTAAGTAAACTTGCCCACGATCCGCTGAACCTTAACAGGAGCCCTCACACATCCAGGACAAAATCAGATCACAAAAAAGGCCAGTCTAATTTTGTTTGTTATGGTTGAGTTTGTGGCAAGCCAATTTTAACTTCTCTGACCTATATGATTTCAAAAGCCGTATTACTGAGTAACGAGCAAAACTGGAGCTCAAATTTTGTAAAGTGCCAAAAGAAACACACCCATCACCCAAAACCAAATGAATGTCACCCCTCTGCCATATTTGCACCAGCAGGTTCCTTTCAACATAAAAGAAAAGAAAAACGAGTAAAGATCAAGCTGAAGTTCCCTCTATTTGCCTCCCCCATTTCACTCTCATTCCTTCCTCCCTCGCTGTAACACCAACATGAATTTGGCAATTTTTTTCATTATATCACATGAAGACAGTATTTAAAAATACATTATATATTCAAATCTTCAGATAAATGATACTATTAAATGCTGACGAATGTGTGCTGTACACAATGTTTATTCCTCTGCCACCGGTTCTGGGGAGGCGCTGGCTTGGCCTCTCCCCTGCAGTAGAGACTGAGGATTCTTCTTTAAGACTTCTGACTTGTTATTCCTAGGTGGGGAGTGGCTATCCAATGGGTCCATATAATGAGCAAGTGCCTCAAATCCATGTTATCCCATTCCTCCCATATTCCTTCCTCCCCACACCCCAATTCCTTTCCCTTGAGCTTTCTCTCTCCCCAACCTGGCTCACTGCCAGTGTCTAGGCATAGCAGGACTTTCCCCTTCCTATCCCTACAGACTGTGCAGATCAGCAGGGCCTCTGCTTGTTCCAGCCTTTATTACAGATATAAGGAGAGTAACCCAGGGTCATATGACCCCGAGGTCTACACTTGGGAGAAGGGTGAGGAATTAACCCCACTGGAGCATTCAACAATGAGATATGACCATTGTACGTGAACTGGCTGGGAATCTTAAAATATCCATTTTCATGAAAAACAAAAGAAGAGAGAATGTTTTTCAAAAAGTGCATAAAGAGCCATAACAACCAAATGTAACGCATAAAGTTGGGTTTTTTGGAATGAAAATAAATTACAAAAATGACTTTGGGGCCAATTGGGAAAATCTGAGTATGGGCTCTACTAGTTGACATTACTAAGTTAGTGCTAATTTTCTAATGCTGTTAAGTCATATAGGAGAATGTCTTTATTTTCAGAAGAAGTGAAGTATCCACAATACACATTCAAATGATTCAGAAAAAGTGTATGTACTTCCATACACATAAAGAGAAATAAAGCAAATGTGACAAAGTCCCGAAAACTGGTGATTTTTGGTGCAAGATATATAAATACTCATCTTCCAATTTTCCTGTAGATGTGAAGATGTTCAAGACGAAGGAAATGGCATGTGGGTTTACTCTATAGTCTTACAATGGAGACATTCTGTTCTGGTGCCAAAGACAATTTCTATGTAAATTAACTCATTTGTCTCGATTAAGTTTTAAAAATGGGTTGAATTCAGTTAAAAATATTTTGGGCGAATCTAACTAATGCAAACTAATGCTAGTTTGACTAAATTTTTCCGCTGTTTCAATAGATTGAGTTGAAATTTTTAGTTTGGTTATAATTTTCAATTTTTTTGAAGGCACAGAGCCCTGAAGCTAATAGGTGACTTCTCTGAAGTGTCTTCTGTCAATCCCCTCTACACCATAGCAAGCAGCATTGAAAAATCACCACACTTTCCATGGCAGACACGCTAACGAATCATCACTCTTCCCACAAAGGAGGTGAAAGACCTGATTTCCCTTTTCAATTCAGAGGTCTGTGCAATAAAGACCAACTGATTCAAGTTGAAAATGAGGATGAAATAGTGGGCTTTGGAACACCTACCCTTGCAGAATCTGGACTAGAGTGTCTAAGGTAGTCATCAGAGAGGCAGCCAGTAGACTGGTTAGGCACAGAAGCTGGAGTTAGACTTCCTGGGTTCAAATCTCAGTTCCACTATTTCTTAGCAGTGTGGTGTTGGGCAACTTACTTAACCACTCTGTTTCAGTGTTCAATTCTTAAAAATGGAGATAATAATAGTCCTGATCTAACAGAGTTTTTATGAACATTATATTATTTAATATTGGGAAAGTACTTAAGATAGGGCGTGGCATATAGAAAGCCCCATATATGTATTATGCATATACAGGTCCAAAATCCTGAGTTAAATAAAGGAGTATATTTATGCATATACTAATGAATGAATGAATGAGTGAACCAAAATGCTTTGGCTTAAAAGGTACCTTTATACACCAAAGTCCTTTTTAGAGTAAGCACAACTGCTCTGACATTCATGCAAGAAAGACTATGAACTGCAAATAAAGGGAAGCTTTTGCACACAGAGTGCCTGGTGCTGCTTAAAGGGAGGTCAGCTGGTGCACAATGAGGCAAGTACAGAAAATGGGAGGAAGTGTTTAGGAGCTTTTATAGCAATGCGCTTTGCTGTAATATTTTTATTAAATTTTATAGAAGCATAGGGAGACAGTGAATTGGAAATCTAAAGAAAAGAGTTGTCCTTCAACACAGATTGCTTGAGAAGCACTGTCCAGAGGTTCTCAGAAATGCAAATTACACTCTTGAATTGGGTAGACATCTAAATACAGCATGTTAAATTTTTTTTTGCCTACATTCATTGGTTAGATTGTAGTATTAGGATAAAAAAGATTTAAAGAAAAAAGTTGAGTAGATCTTCGGGAAAAGGAACCATGTGAGGAATGTAAGGAAAGACCTGGCCTTTAGGTGTTAAGCCTAATGAACCAAAGAAAGCAACTTTTAAAAACCAATGAAAAGATTTCTTATATCCCTACAAACCCTCATTGATTTTTACTTTTGTTAGTTACTCTATGCTTATTTATTCCTGATTTCTCTGTAATACTTAGCAAAAAATAATTTAAAATAAGATCTTGTGTGAATGCGTGTAGCACTGCAGATAAAGTAGGGGCTGAAGGCTTTGTCTCTGGTCGTTTGAAAAGAGAAATCCCTCTCCCTAAGATGAGCAGGAGGGCACAGATTTAAAGAGGAAAAGAGGTCAGAAAATAAAAATACTTATTTTCAATAATCCTTTCAAATGTATATCCAAGCTTGAAAGAAAGTGTAGTAAATCTCCAACAACCGGAAATAAATATGGGATGGAAATTAGTATGCACCAAACCAGCAACTGCCAACGAGTGAAGACATTTAACTGTTTAATCACTTCATAAGAACTCGAAAAAAGGCTGGAGACCCTGAAATGTGGGGAATTGGGACTGGGGATGGCCTTTTCCTTCCATATAGAGTTAGGATCCTCAAAAACTATATCCTGAATGCAAAGATTAGAAATAATTTTGCTCTGGCAAAGGCAGTTGGGAAGAAAATTTGTCTCTTTTAGCCTAGGCTTAGCAGAGGAAAATAAAAACTTCCCCGGAAATGTTGACTGTCATGAAGACTTGACCTAAATTGATTTGTGGCTTGGAACCAGTAAGCCAAGAAATTAACCTAAAATTGGTTCTAAGTACCAAAGGTAATTCCTCTTGGGAAACTGGTACAAACAAACAAACAAAAACAATCTCTCTAAGAGGAGTACACTCTCAACACAGGCCACACAAGAGTCCCACATATAACATCCTGCTCACAACCCAAAACTACAAACACAACAGAAAACAAGCCACTGTGAGTAAGAGTCATACACACAAAATCAGCAGTTTATAGATACCTATAAACTTGAGGTTAAAAATGATTAGAGACTGTAAACAAGCATGTTAAAAATGTTTAAAATACACAAAAGAATTAAACAAAATATGACCAAAGAATAAGAGGCAGATTTGGAAAACACATATAGAACTTAAAATGAAAGATATAAAAATTAAAGTAAAAAAGTAAGAATCAGTTTAATATCAGGTTGGACACTGTTGAAGGAAAAAGTTAATACATTTGAAGATAAGTAAGAAGCAACAAAGAGGGAAAGAGAAAAGATGCAAGAGAGTTTATGAGACATAAGAATAGACTGAAAAGATCTAACATTGTCCAATCAAAATTCAGAAAGGCATGAATCAGGCAATATTGAATACTGACTGAGGATTTTCCAAAATATGTAAAAATAAACTCACAGATTTTAAAAGTCTAAGACATTCTAAGAACAATAAAATTAATGTCTTCCTTAACATATCCTAGTGAAACTGCACAATATAAAAGACAGGGAGAAAAGATGTTAAAGCACCTAGAGAAAGAAAAAAACCAGATTATCTTCAAAGGAGTGATAGACTGACAGCCTACCTCTTCAAAGGAACAATGGAAAGAAGAAGCCAAAAAAAAAAAAATCTTCAATGTGCTGAATGAAAATAACTGGCAATCTATAATACTAGACCCATGAAAAGTGTTTTCAAAAAATGAGGGCAAAACAAAGACATTTTAAGACTAACAAAAACTGAGAGAGTAAAATTAGCACTCACCTAAAGAAACTGTAAAGGATGAACTTCAAACAGAAGGAAGATCTGACATGCAAGAAGAAATGAGGAGAAACAAAAAAGGTAAGCATATGGGTAAATCAAAATGAATGTTGACTATATAAAACACTAATGTCTGATGAGATTAAAAGTATACAACTAAAATAAATGACAACAACTTACAAAACAGGAGAGAATAAGGATGAATAAAACTAAACTACTCCAAAGTCCCTGTCTTGCCTGGGTGTAAAGTAGGTTAAGATGTTAATTAATTTGAGATGTGATTCATACGCATATTTTAGGGGTAAACTCTTAATAATGGAAAGAGAGGGTATAACTTCAAAACTTGTAGAATTTTTAAAAAGACATGATTAAACAATATTTAATTGATTTAAAAGAAGATGTGTAAGGAGAGAATAAACACCACATTGAATGGGGGAAAATGGCAATTGCATTAAAAATAAATGCACCTGTTAAAAGACAAAGGCTGTGAAACTGATTTTATGAATAAATTAACTACATGCAGCTTGCAAGAGATAAATCTAAAACAGAGGAATACAAAAGTGCTATAGGTAAAGGTATGAAAGGTGGCAAATGGTACATCAGGAATGTTTTAACTTACGGAAAGCTAACATAGCTGAATCAATAGCAGATAAAATAAATCAAAAGGCAAAAAGCATTAGTAGAATTTAATAAGCACCCTCTACACTGTTCAACTGCTCAATTCATGAGGAAGAAATCAGTTTAATTGCTGTATTCAATAACATAGCATTATATTTATGCAGGATTAAAAATCCATAGGAATAAAAGGAGATATAGACAAGTACTCAATCATGATGAAAGATTTTAACACATCTCTATCGGTAATTGAGAGAAAAAGTAAAAAATAAACCAATAAATGTACAGAAGATGTGAAAAACATAATAAATGACCAAATGGACAAATACAATGCAGCCAAAACAGAAGACTAAACATTATTTTCAAGCACACATGGAATGATTTTAAAAAAACTGATCATATTCTGAATCGTGAAGCAAAGTTCTCAAGAGATTTCAAATCATACAGACAATGCTTTTTGTCCACAATGGAAGTAAGAAATCTATAATAAAAATAACTAAAAATATTTAGTAGTTTTTACATACTTGCAAACAAAGAAGCACTTACAATAATTCATGGGTCAAATAATAAACCAAAATGAAAATCAGAAAATATTTTGAAACCATGTAATAACAAAAATATTACATTCCAAAATTTTGGGGATATAGCTAAAATAGTATGGAGAAAAAAATTAATAACCTTAAATACTTGCAAGAGTTAAAAAGAAAGGCTAGGAATTAATGAATTAATCATCCATGTTAAAAAGTTACAAAGGAACAGTGATTAAATCCAAAGTAGAGGGAGAAAATAATATAGATCAGGAGTCAGTAAACTTTGGTCTATAAGAGGTATAGAGGGAAGGGAAAGAGAAAGAGAGAATGAATATGTGATAGAGAACTTACATGGTCTGTAAAGCCTACAACTAGCTGTTAAATATGAAAGTAAAATAATGCCATTTTCAGACAAATGAAAACCTGAGACTTCACTGCCATCAGGGCTGCATCTAACAAAACTTTAGTTTTGTTATTACACCAGGATGGTGTAATAATTCTAAGTGTCTATGCATCCACTAACACAGTTTCAAAATATATAAAGCAAAAGATAACTAAGGAAGAAACAGAGAAACACAATCATAGTAGGAGATCTTAACACACCCTGTTCAATAGCTGGTAGAATAAGTGGACAAAAACTTAGTGAAGAATAGAAAAGATCTGAGCGACAAAATTAACAAACTTGATATAATTAACATATATAAAAAGTACTATACCTAAGAAGGACAGAATTCAAATTTTTTTCAAGTGCACATAGAATATTTATTAAGCTTAATTATATGCTGGGTCATAAAGCAAGTCTCAACAAATTTAAAATGTCTGAATTCATTCATTATACATTCTTTGACCACAGAAGAATTAAGCTAGAAAAAAAAACTCCTAGAAATATCCCCACAGTGATTAAGCAACATATTTCTAAGTAATTTATGAGTCAAAGGAAAAATTATAATAAGTATTTAAAATGATTTAAACTTAATGATAAAGAAGAATAACATCAAAATTGTTGATGGAACAGAACAGACCCAGAATCAGACCCACACCTACACAGTCACCTGCTGTATCTCAAGGTTACACTGCAGCATAATAAAGAAAAGATGATTTCAATAAATGGTACCATGTCAGGTTGATGAATATATGGGAAAATGGACTTTCATTACATAGCACATCATTTATGAAAATCACTTTTAGGTGGATTATAGATTTAAGTATGAAAGGCAGGAGAATATTTTCAGGACCTTGGGGTAGGCAAAGGTTTCTTAAGCTGAAATAGAGGCTCTCAAGTAAGGGGAAAAAAAAGGTAAGTTGAACTATTTTAGTCATGATCTTCTGTTCATCAAAGTGTATCAGTCAGTGAGTGAAAAGGGAACCAGTAGGGTGGGTGAAGATATTGGCAATACACACCTGACAAAGGTCCCATATCTAGAATGTATAAATAATTCCCACAAGTCAATCAAAAAGGCAATCTTAAAAATGGGTAAAAAACCTGAAAAGGCACCCAACAAAAGAGGATATGCAAATGGCCAATAACATGAAAAGTACCTAATTTTACTAGTCATCAGAAAATAAAAATTAAAACCACTGTGTGGATACTCCTACACTTCCAACACAGTAACT
Organism: Homo sapiens; assembly: GCF_000001405.40. Classification (NCBI taxonomy): domain Eukaryota; kingdom Metazoa; phylum Chordata; class Mammalia; order Primates; family Hominidae; genus Homo; species Homo sapiens. The sequence continues at coordinate 3,718,426 of NW_011332701.1, forward strand.
AAAACAAAAAGACAAAAAACATGGAGCAACCAGAACTCTCAACAGAGGAAGAGCAACTGGTACATCCACTCTGGAAAACTATTTGGACAACTGTTATAATGCTGAACATATGTAAATCCTATGATCCAGCAATATCACTCCTAAGTACAATTGACCCTCTGTTATCTGTGGGTTCTGAATCTGCGAATTCAACCAACTGCTGATAGAAATAATCCAGAAAAAAAAATTCCATAAAGTTCCAAAGAGTAAATCTTGAATTTGCTGTGTGCCAAATAGTATGTCAAATCCACATGGATGAAATGATGTAGGCATTGTGTTAGGTATTACAGGTAATCTAGAGATGATTTAAAATATATGGGAAAATGTGAGTAGGTTATATGCAAATAGCACACCATTTTCTACAAGGAACTCGAACATCTGAGAATTTCAGTATCTGGAGGGTCCTGGAACAAATTCCCTATGGATACTGAGGGATGACTGTATATATCTTTAGAAATGTGTTCATGGCTTACCAGAAACCTGTACAAGAATGTTCATAGCACCCCACTTTTATTATAATAATGACAAAGTTGCAACAGCTTGTTATGGACTGAATGTGTCCCCTCCAAATTCACATATTGAAATCTTAATCACCAGTGTGGCTATATATGAAGACGAAGACTTCAAGGAAGTAATTTAAATTCATTAAATGAGGTTATAAGGGTGGGGCCCTGATCTCCCAGAATTAGTGTTTGTATAAAAGACTCTAGAGAGCTTCAACTCTCAAACTGTCCCCCACCCCAAGGCATGCACTGAAGAAAGACCATGTGAGAATACAGTGAGAAGGCAGCCGTTTACAAGATAGAAAGAGAATCCTCACCAGGAACTGAATTGGCCAGCACCTTGATCTGGGACTTCTAGCCTCTAGAACTGTGAGAAAATAAATTTCTGTCATTTAAATCACTTGGTCTATGGTATTTTGTTATGTTAGCCTGAGCTAAGACACCAAAAAATCCATCAATAACATAATGGAGAAGTTATTTGTAATACATGTATATACATTGCAGTGCAATACACCAATGAGAATAAATAAGCTATATGGTAATTACACAACTCTATGAATGAATTGCATAAGCTTAATGATAAGCAGAAGAATCCAGAACTTAACCCATTCATGATTCCATTTATATAAAGCTCAAAAAGAGGCAAAATAAACCTATGCTATAAGAAGTCACTTTTCTTGATGTGAGTTTCTTGTCTGAGTCCTTGTTATAGGATGTGATCTGTTCTACACTTATGATTTGCACACTTTCCCACATGTACATTTCAATAAGGAATTAAAACAATGAAAGGGTAATGGGTCTAGCTCCAGAGATGACTCTAAGAGAAAAGACAGCTGGAAGCTGCTTGAACCTGAGATGACATTTTGAAGGCAAAGAAAGGATTCAGGTGGTGAATCTGCTGGATGGAATGTCTTCAGAAAACCCCAATTTGCAAATATTTTCACCTCATTTTATTTTTTCCATAAAATGCAAAAGAGTATGTCTGAAATATTTAAGGGGTACCTTAGATGCTGACTGAGTCTATAAACAAGGCTACAACATAAAACTGTGACTACATATTGTCATTAATATATGCTTTAACATCACATGTTTCTTATTTTTACCCAGAATTGTTGAACAGGCTGGCTTCTCATGGATCTGATACACTGCCAGTTTTATTTTACCACTTCTTAAGACATCTAAAGGTTCTATTTTCTAACCCTTCCTTAACTCCCACCTGAACACATGCTTTTCATTTCCAATACCTAGATTAACAAACAGATTTCTATTTCTTCCTCACAAAAATAAAAGTGAGAACATAATGACAATGCAATAGTGACTTAATGAATATTTTTTGATCTTACGAGCTCTGTTACAGCAGATTCATCACATGACTTGCTTCCAAACTTCAGTCTTGGTGGGTAATAGCTCATCAGTAACATTATGTATCCCTGCATTTTACAGGACTGTTAAAGAAAAATAGAGGCCCCAGTTCAGACACACCCCAAGGCCAACCACCTATAACCATGTAGCCAAAACTTAAGTCATCCTGATTTCCCCGAGATATTAGCTCTAATCATAAACAAAACACAAAACATTGGCTAGTCCACATGATTCAGTGAACCAGCTGTAGACAAATCAGCTTAAACTAACTCTGTTTGCCCTAAAAAGAAGGTTAATGTGTAACAGTCAGTCACAAAAATGGTCAAAATGCTTCCTCCTTTACGCTTTCTCAGCTGTGCTGGAACTGCCGCAAGGTAGGCTTCTTGCCACGCTTGGTCTGAAGTCTCCTGGGCTTGTGAACTGTTCTTCTGTACGTACTATACTCCTAAAAATTTGATAACTTCATTTGATTTTCTTCCTGACAGGACTTGGGGATCAGTCACTCTGTGTGAGGAGTGTTAAATGTAAAGCTTGGGGACTGCCGTGATTTGTGGGCCTCCCGGGCCACCCCCATCATCTGTGGGCGCCCTGGGCCACCCCCCTTCACTTTGCCTCTGTCAGATGTTCCTGCGCGGTGCCCTCAGCAACGTGTCCCTCTAGAATTGTGTAACTCGGCTGCTGGCTTTCTACTTGGCCTCTCAAAGAGTGTTCCTTTGGAGATTTTCTCTGGTATTGGTGATTTATTCTTTTAAGAAAATCCAATAAATCATGCAATTCATATTTGGAATGGGTCACGTGGCAGAAAGTATCCTGAGGGAAAGGATGACAGTTCCCAACGCTCTGAGCTGAACTGAGGAGGTCTCGTGGCATGGGCAGGATGAGGACATTTCACAGCCAGGCAGCCATGGGCAAACCCTTCGGCTTCCCCAAGTCTCTTCTGCCTGTTCTGTAAAATGAAGAGCATCTTGGCAATTGCATGCAGCCGATGTGAGATCTGGACATAATTAAAATGGCGTATAATACACCTAGCACATAGGAGATCCCCAATACGTGAAGGCTGCTATTATCAAAAGCATAGTTGCCATAGTGCCCACCCCATCCTATCCCAGATGACCACATCCATGGTTCTGATTGTCAAAAGAGCCCAATCAAAGGGTATGATATCTTTGGAGGGCTCAGAGACAAGCTGTTTGAAATTTGAAGCCATCAAGAGTAGAATTCTGGCTGGACACAGTGGCTCATGCCTATAATCCCAGCACTTTGGGAGGCTGAGGTGGGTGGATCACTTGAGGCCAGGGGTTCAAGACCAGACTGACCAACATGGCAAAACCCCATCTCTACCAAAAATATAAAAATTAGCCAGGTATGGTGGTGCATGCCTATAATTCCAGCTACTTGGGAGGCTAAGGCAGGAGAATCGCTTGAACCCGGGAGACACAGGCTGGAGTGAGCTGACATCGTGCCACTGCACTCCAGCCTGGGAGACAGAGCGAGGCCTTGTCTCAAAAAAAAAAAAAAAAAAAAAAGTAGAATTCAGTCCAAATGCATGCCTGCCTCTAGGCACAGTGTGCTGTAACATACCAATCCAAGTGAAATGGTTAAAAGTGGCACATCAGGAAATCAAAAAAATTCCCCTGACCACAACATATTCAGTATGATTTAATCTCTCATTCTGGATCTTTTAGCATAGAAGAATTATCATACTGCAAGTAATGACACTGTATCTGTGGCAGGCAGAATTCTAAAGTGGTCCTCAGATTCCCACCTCCTGGGGTGTACTCCTGTGTCATCCCTTTCCCTTGGGTGTAGGTGGAACCTGTGACTCCGACGGGATGTCACTCCTGTGATTAGGTTATAATATGGGGTAAAGTGAGGGGATTTTGCAGATGTAATTACTTTACTATTCACTGACTCTGAGTTGATCAAAAGGGAGATTATCCTGGGTTGGCCTGACCTAATCTGAGGACCAAAAGAGGGTTTAGTGGTCAGAGAAAAGGAAAGTCAGAGAGATTTACAGAGAAAGGGCAGATGGTAGAATATAAAGGGAATACGGAAGAGGGAAGAGGGAAAGGGGGAGAGAGGAGAGATTCTCTGGCTGGTCTTGAAGCAGTAAACAACTGCCATGCCAAACAGTAAACAACCCAAAGCAGTAAACAACTTCACTGCCATGCCATAAGAAGAGAGCTAGACGGCAAGGATGTGGTGTGGGGTCCTGGATGGCTTTGGACTGACCCCGTTCTTTCCCCTTTCCTGTAGTTCTCAAGCATTACTGTAGGCAACATGCTACTACATACAAAATACTCTACTAAAATACAAAAATTAGCTGGGTTTGGTGGTGGGCACCTGTAGTTCTGGCTACTTGGGAGGCTGAGGCAGGAGAATCGCTTGAACCCAGAAGGTGGAGGTTGCACTGAGCCGAGATCGTGCCACTGCACTCCAGCCTGGGCAACAGAGGGAGACCCTGTCTCCAGGAAAAAAAAAAAAAAAAGAATGTGCTGGGAATGCAGTATCCTGAGATCACGGGAAACTAGCTGGACCAGTCTGGACTCTGTTCTGGTCCCTCCGAGAACAGGATGTATTTCAATGTTTTAGCCCAATAATGACTGTATCCCCCAGGTATCAAACCCACAGCAGGCTGCTTTCTGGGGTCCCTCAGCTGCAGCACAAGACAGCATGCACCCTGGGCACTGTCCTAACTCTTGTGTGACTGTCTTACCCTGAACCCTAGGCTGCTATTGTCCCTCACTGCCTGTCTGTAAGACACCTGCTTTGTGCAACCTGTACACATGCATGAGACTTGGCAAGGAAGCAGCGCACAGTGAACCTGCATCACTCCTGAGTCTCTTGGGTACTCTCTAGGCACCAACAGTTAGCAAGAAAATGGAACCTCAGTCATTCAGCTGCAAGGAACTAAATTCTGCCAACCGCAGGGAACTTATGGATCTGCCCCTAGATGAGCACACAGCCAGGGGACACCTTAATTTCAGCCTTGAGAGACTATGAGCAGAGTCTCAGACCCAGCTAAAGCACAGCAGACGGCTGGCCCCCGGAAGCTGTGGGATGATACACTTGTGCTGTTTTAAGCTGCCAAATGTGTGGTAATTTGTTAGGCAGAAATAGAAATGCATACAGCGTCCTTTAGCCCAAGGATATTTAAATAGGAATTCTGTCCATTCATTTCACATGTGTATCCTGGGAGGCGTATCCCGGGAGTGTTCAGCAGGTGTCTGGGAGGTTTACTCGTGTCCCTGAAGTGCATGCTGCTAACGGGAGCTATGCACAGAGAAACACCTGAATGCTCAAGGGCAAGCAGACAGCTCCTGTAACCTGTGCAGATAACAGTGTGGCCCAGGCTGTTGAGACTGTGCACACCTGGGAGAGGGCAGGTAGGCAGGATGCAGCCTGCTAGAGCAGCTGTGTGGATGGAGGGCAAGGCTTAGTGGTTTGATGTAAGCCAGCTTCTAGAAGTTAAGACTCTTACTCAGTTGAGAGCACTCCTAGGGCTGTACATCAGACGTGACCGCCCTGAAAAGATGGCCCAGCCATGGTAAATGCCAGCACTTTCCAGCCTCCGGAGACCCCATCATGGCCCAGTGCTATTCTAACATCCAGCAGAACCTAGAATGTGGTGCCCGAGATAAAGGTGTGCTCCATACAAGGAGTGCGATTGGGAACATGCAAAGTTTCATGGTTTCATGTTTCTATTCCTGGCTTTGACAGAGTGGTCATTCCCAACTCCCCATGACATAACCACAGAACAGGAACAAGACACGGGCACTGGCATTGTGAATAGCTTGAAAACTTGAGGTTCTGCAAATAAGAAAATCACAGGTGAACACCATTGAGAGAGGCAGGTGGTTTCACACGTGGGGAGCTATTAGTCACTTATTCTGACTTTTCTGAGCAATAGTCCTCTGATTCATCCGTGATAATGGGACCAATTAACTTCAGCTTTGGAGCAGGTGGTTACCACACACTTTAAAATAAGATGTCTTTTTGCTCATCACCCCACGACATTTTGATGAAAGAAAACAAAACGTGACAATTCTCTATCAGAAAGATGAGGGGATTCTTGCCCTAAATGTGACACTGTAACTCCTTTTAATATCACTGGAGTGCTCCCTCCCCACCTGGGCCCTCGGATGTCCCCTCTCTGGGCATCACTGTGCTTTGCACGTGCTTCTGTGAGAGCTCCTGCCATGGGACTGCGGTATTGCCTTCATGTCCTTTGCTCCTCTGGGGCAGGGGCCTTGTGTTCCTCATCTTGGTTGTCCCCAATAATCCTGGTAGTTGATATAGTTTGAGATGTTTGTCCCCTCCAAATCTATGTTGAAATGTGATCCCCAATGTTGAGGGGGGCCTGGTGGGAGGTGTTTGGGTCATGGGGGTGGATTCGTCATGAATGGCAGGGTGCCATCCTCGCAGTAATGAGTGAGTTCTTGTTCTATTGGTTCCCATGAGATGATTGTTAAAAAGAGTCTGGCACCTCCTCTCTTGCTCCCCTTCACATCATATGATACATCTGCTTCCCCTTCCCCTTCTGCCAGGACTGGAAGCTTCCTGAAGCCTTCACCAGAAGCAGATGCTGGCCCCATGCTTCTTGTACAGCCTGCAGAACTGTGAGCCAAATAAGCCTCTTTTCTTTATAAATTACCTGGTCTCAGGTATCCCTTTAAAGCAATGCAAATGGGCTATGACAATAGGATTTGAGACACCACAGGTGCTCAATGTTTACTAATGAATAATTGTAATGCTGGAGAAGATAACTTAGTATTTGGTCACAATTTAAATTCTTTATAGCAAAAAGTGTGAAGAAAGAAAAATAGGAAATACCACTCTATGAAAATAAAAAATTAGTAGAGGAGGCCATTTACTTGATGCTGAGTATGCATCCAGCCCTGTGCACACACGACCTCAGTTCATCTTCACAACAGCCCCACAAGGTGGGCTGCTTCATCACGACGTCACAGAGGAGAGCCTGACGCCCCCTCAGGGGGCTGCACAGGAACCACACTGTGACCACTACGCTGAGGAGATGTGAACCCTGGCCTCTGTCTCTCCCACACTCTGGCCCAGGCCCTATGCCCAGGGTTGCCCAACGCTGCACCTGGCCCACAAAGGAACGTGGTATTTCCAGGCTTGCCCAGAGTCGCAGCCGCGACTCTGCCTGACTGATGGGTGGAGGAAGCTCCAAAGCACAGCAAGGATGGGAAGGCAAACTTGGCAACTGGCCATGGGAGGAGCTGCCTTTGGAAGCAAGGAATGGTCCCAGGTAGCTAGGAGGCCAATGGAAGCCTCACGAGATGGAAGGCAAGGGAGTGTAAAAGTAGCTGGAGGAAAGAGATGACTCACAGCAGCCGATGGTGAGAGCTATAAGGAGAAGGGGAATGGAAGCCACTTCCTGACCTTTCTCTGTATCAAGCACAGTGCAGCATGGCTTCCCGAGAACCTTGCCCTCACAGTCAAACCCAGCGGTCAGTTTCTAGTGCACACTGACTTACTGGCATATTTGGCACCACTGATTGCTCCCTTCTTGAAACACCTTCCACCCTGGGCGTCAGGGTCACTATCCACCGCTGGTTCGCCCTGATTCCCAGGCCCGCACATTCCCAGTCTCTTCTGCTGGCTCCTTCTTCTGTTCCTCAGCCCTCAATACTGTAGGGCCCCAGCCTGAGTCTTTGGAAAGCTTGTTTTCTGTCCATGCTCCAGACAAGTGTGTCCAACTCATGCTCACCACTGCATGGAGCCAGGTTGGGGGCATGGTGGGAGGGTCCTACGAGGAGCTCACTCCGGGATCCCACGGGTTTCACTTTAGGGCACTAACTCCACATCTGCATCCCCAACGCAGGGCTCTCTCTGACTCCAGACCCTCATGTTCATCTGGGCAGCAACTTTACAAGTCTCACTACAGTCTCGGGCTTTGCCTGACAGTGCTGGCCTCTTCTTCTTGCCCTTCCTCCAGGGGTCTGCATCTCCTCAGGCAACATTATCTACCCCCATATTCAGGGTAACATTCTTAGGGCCATGCTGGACTCTTCCCTGCCTGCCAGAGCCCCAGCCCTCCATCATCAAGGCCTGTAGGTCTGCCTTCAAAACGTACCCCATAGCCGTGTCTCTCTACTGCCCCTCACCTGCACTACCACCCCCACGACCCTGCCAGCCGTCTCTCTCTGCCCTGGTCTGGAGCAACTGCCTCTCCCTGCTCTTCCAGCTTCTTCTCTTACCACCCCATAGTCCATTCTCCAGCAGCCAGAATCTGTCAGATGTGAATCAAGACGCGTCAGCCCCCGGCTCAAAACCCTCCAGGGGCTGCTTATCTACCTTCAGTGAAGCCTAAAGGACGAGGCTCCCTAGCGCCCGGCTCCCATTCTCCTGCCCTCCTTTCCAAATCCTCTCACCCTCGCTCCACCAGCTCAGGTGACACTGGCTTCCTTAAATATGCCAAGACTTTGATGTTAGACTCCCTCTGCCAGGAAAGCCAGGCCCGCAGGTGTCTGTTGCTGCCTCCCTCCCTGCCCTCCAGCGGCATCCCGGGATTCCCTCTCCTTCCTAACCTCCCCAGAGTAGCCTCTGAGGCCCCACTTCATTTTCATGCTCCCCTTGTTCATCGGCTTTCTTCCACTGGAATTTCACCTCCCTGAGGGCAGGGGTTTCATCTGCCTGGAGTGTGGAGGTAGCCCCAGACCTGGATGGGGCATTTCGTGGGCATTCAACACAGGCTGACACTGGGTCAATCTGTCTCCATTTGGCCGCCGTTACACATCTCTGACTTTCAGAGGGAAGGAAGTGAGGCTCCAGCCGGCCAAGTGACGTGGCCAAGCTCCCCCTGCCAATCCGGGCCTCAAGCCAGGGTCGGGCTGACTCAGAAGCCCACAAGCCTCCTCTGTAACTTACCATTCTCTGGCAGATTCCCCTCAATCCAATTATCCTCCCCTGGAGCACAACTCAAAGGTGTGCCTAGAGATTTTTCAACATGCGTTTCCATCTCCCATGTATGCAGTGACTCCTGCATTACACAAAAATGCCTCTGCCCTCTGCCCCCAGACACACTGAAGAACCACACCATCTCACCCACATGGTGGTTAGCTGCTGCCACAGGCAGCAGATGATACTTCCCAACCCAGAGACCCCGGTCTCCGAGCCATCTCCTGTGTAAATGCAGCAGGATCAGCTGATGGCAAAAGGAGTGGTTTCTTGCCTTCTCAATGGCAGGCTAGTCATTAAAGAACGAAAGGTGTTTCCCTTCCTCTCAGGAGGTCAGCTGGTTTTAGGCCCAGATGATCCGGCCCTTCTGTTGCCCTGAGACTGTCATGAGGTGGGAGTGGGTTGTGTTTTCCAGGGTTTGAAGACTTGGGGAAGACCAGTCTCCCAGATCTGTGGGTTTTATGGGAGTTCAGACTGGCACCCCACTTGACACAGAGGCCTCAAAAATAGACGGGGCTGCCTATGTGGCTCGGGAGGCCAGGCAGATACCACGCAGGGCCCCAGGAGAGTGGAATCAGGCCCCAGGATGGACAGCTGGATGGTGGGCAATGTTAACTGAGTGAAGGCCACTGTTTGCCAGTTTTCAGAACCACCTGAGCCCTGGGTTCATGTTCTGTCCAAGGGAAAAGGAAGTCCTCCACCCAAAGTCTTATGACAGAAATAATGTTTCCTGCCAAGCACAGCTAGAACTGTCCCTTAAACAAATGGATTTTTTTTTTACTAAATAATTTTTTGACATCTGTATTTCAATCTCTCATGTATTCAGTAAAATAATATTGCATATAAATAGTTTATTCATAAAGATTCTAAGCACTAAGCTATTAGGAAGAGGCATTTACCCTTTGTACCCAGCAATACTGAGCAGCTTTCTTGGATGGCCACTTCATGATGGAAAAGTGGACTGTGACAGTGGGGGCCACGGGAGCAGAGCCTGGCTGTGGGGTGGAAGGTACAGGAGCTGCCAGTGCTTTCCAGTGACCAAACTCCTCACCCAGATGGGCTGTGGGAGACCCTTTAGCACTGGCCGGCTGAGGGTCTTCACGTGAGTCTGAGCATAGCAGGGCACTGAGAAATGACCTAGTCTAAGACCTCGCTTGAGAGCAGAGGAAAGGAGTTCGGAGGAGTCAGATGGATGGTGGGCAGGGGTCAGGTTCATGCTATCACCCAGCCCAGAGACTGCTTCACTCCTCTGAGGGAGCACACACACAGTTGTCTGCGTACCTCTGTTCTTTTTCTTTTTTTTTTTTTTGAGACAGGGTTTTGTTACCCAGGCTGGAGTGCAGTGGTGTGATCATGGCTCACTGCAGCCCTGACTGCCCGGACTCAAGCAATTCTCCCACCTCAGCCTCCTGAGTAGCTGGGACCACAGGCGTGCACCACCATGCTTGGCTAATTTGTTTATTATTTGTAGAGATGGGGTCTTACTATGTTGCTCAAGCTGGTCTCGGACTTCTGAGCTCAAGTGATTCTCCTGCCTTGGCCTCCCAAAGTGCTAGGATTATAGGCGTGAGCCATCGCGTTTGGCCACTTTTATTATTTTTCAGCGTGAGGGACGAGGAAGACATGTTGGCTACTAGGACTCCTGTCCCAGGCAGATCCCTGATCTTCAGGCGCGAATTGCACCACAAGCACCTTTGACCACTCCCTGAAGAGTGAGACCCACTTCCTCAAGGCCTCCTGCGAGTGTAGACCAGATGGCTTCTCCACCACTGGGTGGGAGCCTGAGCTTCCTGCCTTCACTGATCTCTGCTTCCAGTTGGTTCTCTTCGTGGTGCCCAACATAAACAATGAGCTATTCATAATTTAACATCTTAACTCACTAAGTTTGGGTTTTTAAAAGGTATTTTTCAAGACTGGATGAAGCCAGAGTCCCATCTTAAAATGCTAGTCTGGAAGGTAAAATATAAGTGATAAAAATTAAAATGCAAAATATGGAAAAAAATAACAGAAAAGACGTTCAAAAGAAGTGAAGGCTTTTGCTAAGCATGGTAGGGCTCAAGGAGAAGGTAACATGGTGGGGTCTACCTACAACCTTGCATGAGACTGTGCTTCACACGAAACACAGCACTCAGGCAGCTGCTATGATCACCCAAGCTATTAGCAATCGTCAGTGCTGAGCTGTATAAAGGTCTACACCGCCGTAGCATTCAACAGAGAGTAACCCATGAAACTTGTTTCTTTCTTAACAAATACTAATTTCCGCTTCTCTATGAATAGTGAGCTTTTTCTATTGAAAATATCTTATCTGAATTAGTCATATAGAAGCGTCTTTAAAATAGCCAGCCCCCACAGTGAGTGGTTTAGATTATTGCTAATCTAGCTGAATTGTTTTATGTTTGTTGAGTCTTGCTGAGGTAAGACAGAGCAAGGCTGTGGGTGCCAGTCATTGGATTGCTCTTGATGGCTGCGAAGCAGCTGAGATGAGAATTTCTCCACAGTCACAACATGAGATCCAGCTGTTGGGAATGTAGAGCCTGTTCTAATGTCAAGCATGCCATTGGTGAGGCTTCTATGAGTCCTGTGGCTACGACCTGACTGCAAGCCTGCCCAACACAAATAAGCCCCACTAGGCACATCTCGTCCTTTGTCTAAACGCATCTTGTGCCTTCCCTCTTGAAAGTGGTGGATGACGACAGCCCTGGGCAAACAATGACAAGCAATGGCATGAAAGCAGGTGTACACGTGTACACAGAAGCCAGGTCTGGTAAAACTTCCCGGCACATTGACTTTCTGGATGTTTCCCATTGGCCCCACAGATCTACCGTCTATCCTTCTCCATGCTGCTCTGTATGCAGAGGGTGACCTGCGTGGACCACATCAGTGAGCTCCCCGCAATCTGCCCTTCTGCCATTAAGAGGCACTGGTCAGAACCTGGATGGTGGAGGAAGAGTGTGGTCAGAGTATTTATTTCCCCAGCATCTTCTCTCTCCCGGATGCCACACCTACTGCCCGTGGCTATCTCCATCAGCCACTCTCATCCCTTGTCTTTTTGCCAGGCCTGAGGGTAGTCCCAGGAACGGTAGTATCCTTCACTAGTGTCCTTAAATCCTGCCCACTCCTTGGAAAGCAGTCCCTTTATGGAGTCCTTTATCTCACAGTTTTGTGCTGCCTTTTCTTTCCTACCAGGGTCCTGATTGGTCCATCCACCAATATCAGAATCATACCAACCTACAGGTACTTCTCTCCTGTCTTCTTCTGGAACTCTAGAAAGTGCTTGGTAATTTTATTGGGTCTTCGCCGAGCACCGAGAAAAGCTCTACTCCCTAACAGTGCATTGCTGGCTGCAGCCCTAAACTCCTGGGATGACACATCTGGGGACGTCTCCACGGACCAAGCCTTGGAAGTGGAGGCTCCACTCCACAGTGGACATGAAGAGCTGGCTGAAGGCTGGGTCAGCACTGGAAGGCGATGCTTCCCCACCCCAGCAGGAGCAGGGCTTCCCACTGGCTGAGGACATGCTCCATGTGCACTGTCAGCCCGTGCAGGCAGGCGGGGCTCCCACTGGGAGGGGCGTGGTGGGCCTGAGGAGACAGCCATAACATCTTCCACATGCGTGCCTGAGAAACCCCCAGATATGTGATTTTGCAATGTTTATAATGTGAATGATTATGAGTGAAACTGGCATTGCTTTGTCTCAGGAAGAACCTAAATCTGTTTTAGACATTTGTTTTGGACTCATTATTTTCTCCTTAAACATTCCAAAGAAGAGAGTTTGTCTTGCTTCTTGAACGCTTTCTTCATTGGGATGTTAGGGTGGTGAGGAAACACTAAGGAGAAGGAAGGAGACTGAGGTCAGGTTTTGTGCTTCCTTAACCTGGAAGCTGGAAGAGGCTGCGCAGGCAGGGAATGGACAGCTATGGAAAGCACATGTCACTTAGTACCCCAAAGCGTTGCCGGGTCAGCAGTCTCCTCATCTTTGCAGATGGAGAAACTGAGGCTGAGAGAGATCACCTGACTTGCCCAAGTCCACAGGAAGTGGCGGGTCTCCCGTTTTCTCTAAAGCCCATGGTCTTTCCTATCTTTCATTCAACACCCACGGAGGAGTTGTCTGGGGAAAGAGAGAAGCAAGGCAAAGAAGCATAGAGTTCTCCTTAAAGGAGGACTGGGATTTAGGAGCAAGGGGAAAACTCGAGAGATTTCAGCACCACCTAGTTATCGGCCCCTCCATCCAGCCCATGCTGGCTAGAACACTGTCGGCCCGTAGAGCAGGAGGTGCGGTGCAGCATCTAGAATCCTAACTGAAAACTGCCCAGAGTCTGAGAACATGTGCCCTTCTCTTGCTCATAGAGTAGGTTAGGCCAGCTCACCATTCACCAAGCCTAAAGAGGGTGGGCCTGCTGGCAGGGGCAACTCACCTGCCTGCTCCAAAGCCACCATTGTTGCCTGCTCGATCAAGTCCCGCTCGATGAAGCTCCTGAAATCCTCGCTGTACACGCTCAGGTCTGGCAACTGGAATGTGTAGATTGGCATCTCCAGGGGGAACTGCTCGTTGTTGCATTCACTTGCCACGTGGGACCGGGCCAGGGAGACGATGGCTGAGCTGGCGTGGGAAATCCCCCGGGAAAGCCGCTTTTCTGCAGGGGGAGAAGGAAAGATAGCCCCAAGGGCTGAGTGGGTGTAGGTGTGGCTCTATGTACATAAACACACATACTATGCACACACAATACACACACACAGGTACACATTCATGCACACAGACCACACACATGCACATACCACACAACACACAAAAATACATATGTGCACACATATGAACACACCATACATGTTCACACATATATACTACATGGCACATGCGCACATACATATACATGTGCACACACACTTATAAGCAGAGATATACATGTGCATACACATACTGCACACATACGCATACACACACATGCACACACATAAATGCTCACACATGAATACGAAAGCATACACAGGATCATATGCATGCACACACTAGACACATATACACTGCACATCCACTTGTATACATACATGTGCACACACTACATAGCATACACATACATGCATGCAGACACACACATAGAAACAGTTGGCACATATACTACACACATATATACATGCCCACGCACATACACTACAGACTATACACATACTATATACGTGTACACATATAGATGTATTTGCACACACAAATACACAGGACACACAGCGCACATACATGTACATACATGCACAGACTATATGCATACACACGTACACATACATGTGTGCACACACATACACATGCACACCCATATTCTCTCTGCAACAGCCCTTATATCCTACAAGCCTTTTCTATCCTGCAGGCCTTCCTGCTGCTGGATTAATCACCACCACCTGGTATGTGGCACTTATTCACAAGAGTCATGAAACCACTTAGTAAGTGGGGAGCTGCAAGCCCACAGTACAACTGCACATCAGCACTGTCAAAGAGCACCAGGCTTGCTCTTGGGTCTGAAGTTACATCTACCTCAATTCCACTGAGTTGTCCTCTCCCAGGACTAAATGGTACAAGGGAGACCGCTCTTTGTCTCGATGCATTTATGCACTTAATGCAAAGAAACAATCATTCAGGCATCCACAGCAGCTCAGGTTTTAAGACAGGTTGTTTTACTAAAGTTACGCTGATAAATGCCTCCTACATGGCCCTCCCAGGACACACAATATTAAGTCAGTCCATGTGTTTCTCTTCTGTCTGGATATTCTTTTGCCACAGCACTCTCAAAAATAATGCTCTCCTCTGGCTTTATTCTTCTTGGGCTTTTCAGCCAGGGAATGAGAAACGCAGTGTAGGATTTCTCTAAGGTACAATATGTTACCATGTTAGGAAGTCGATTACCTAGAAAGTAGATGTATCTTCTTGATGCTGCAAAAGCACGCTTGTTTTTATAAGCCCTGTGTTCTAATGACTAACATTGAACATAAAACAAGAATGCTTAAATATATGTTAAGAATAGGTTATCTTTTCTCATAGTGTTTTCAGTAAGGAGAAGTCTTTTTAGCAGGGCAGTAGATCTTTCATTTTTCTCAGGAAAGCATGGTCTCTGGTGTTTTATTCAAAAGCCTGCTGCCTGTGTTGCCTAAATTAAGTATAAATAAGCATTGTCTAAGCCCTGTGGCAAATTCCTGAGGCTATTCCCTGAGGTCCCAAGGAATCCCACTGTCCTCCAGTTCAGCCTGCCCACTGGTGAGGTCTGTGCTCCTGCAATGCCCCTCTGAGGTCCACACTGACCAGCACACCACGGTCACACGGAAAACCCAGCCCCAGCTTTCACCCGGAACAGCAGCATTTTCCTTCCCCACTTGCAAGAGCACTGGACAGAAATGGCATTCATGGAGTTTTGTTACAACAGACTAAAAAGCATAAGCTTTTGATCCTATGGCAAGTTAGTTTTAAATCCGAAGCTAATTTCCAGAAGGTTCATGTATTTTTCCCATTAAAATGAATACAGAGTCACAGAGACAGACTACATTTCGCAATGGGTGGTTTAGATTCACCTTCAATTTCATTCAGAGACCAACAGGATTAAGTTCTTTGTATTTTGCAGAAAGGTAAAAAGAGAAGTTAAACCACACAGGACATTAGAAAGAAGAGGGAGGGAGCACATGGGCCCAGCTTGGGTGGTGGGGGACGGCCCATTGCTTCCCACGCTGGTTCAGGTCCTTGAGTGCAGGAGCAGTGGAGGCTTGTGTCTTTCTGCCTCGTGCAAGCCATGCTGAGGCCACTCATCTTGCCACAAACTACCATTTTTGTATCTGGGAAAGAAGGAACTGCCCCATTTTTCGGAATCTGATGGAGAGGGACATCAGGCATTAGAGAATCGAGGTGCTATGTGCACCTGCAATCGGTGGGACAGACAATCTCAAGGCTGCTCTCAACAGTGGGCACCTGTTGTCCAGGGGCACCCATGCTCCTCCCGGGCCCATCAATCAGCACCCACATGAGACACTTCGATGGCCTTGGAAACACGGTGATTCCTAGGACAACATGATGTGGTTCTGCAGTTCTAAACATGAAATATTTGGAGTTTGAGGGAAAAAAGTATTTTTGAACTAAAAATATTAATAGATTGCGTTGAAGATCATATAAAATGAGAAATATATGCTCCTAATTCTAACATTTCCTGTGACACCCCAGGAATGCACACATATCATCTCTCTCACACACACACAGAGTCACACACACACACACACATTCACACACTGATTCTTTAAACGTGAACTCAGTGATTCTACTTTTGGATGTATAAATAAAATGTTTTACAGGAATTACCATGATCAAAGTTATGTCTCAGAAAAATACAGAAAGATTAGAAAACAAAACAAAACATAGTACAAGAATGTACAGAATTTCCCTGCCACTGACAAAGGGGAGATGTATTAACTATATATTCTTTTTTCATTTATTTTCCTTTTATTTTTAATTTTTACAGAGATGGGGTCTTGCCATGTTGCCCTGTCTGGTCTTGAACACTTGGGCTCAGCGAGGATTACAGGAATGAGTCACTGCATCTGGCCCTGCGTTTTCTTATTTTCTTTGTTTTTGTGGCTCTGGCACCTGGGACCTCCCTGACTGGGGAGAGGCTGCCCCTCCCAGGTGAGCCAATGTTAAGAGATGGCAAAGGCCTTGCCCCGCAGCACACCTCTCCTATGCGGAGCAGCCAATCCAGAATCTACACTCCTGACTACCCTCTCCAGCTGGCTCTTACTCTCCAGGAGGCAACGTTCCTTTGCCCTAAGCACTTCAGGCCAGGGACCAGGCAGCCGGAGACAGGCCCTGGTACCTGGTACCTGGTGCCTCTGAGCTGGCTGCCGTTATGCACACTAGCTGGGGTAGGGGGCTGCTCCCCCTGCCCTGCCTTCCCATAGAAACCACCTCAAAGGCTTTGGCCCATGCTTCCCCTCACTCCTATCTCCAGATGACCGGCGCCTCCCCGTGTGGCCCTGCATGCTGTGCTGGGCCTCCTGTTTCCAAGGAACTGTGAGTTAAAAAAAAAAAACAACTTCCACCTTCATGACAGTCATTTCTGTGTCTGCGTGTCTTATGACACCTGATTAAAACCGATCCTGGGTATATTTTAAAACAGGTGGACAAAACTTTTCCTAAAGGGTGAGACAGAAATATTTTAGGCTTTGTGGGCCATGCAGTCTCAACTACTCACCTCTGTCTTTGCAGCACTAAAGCCGTCGAAGACAGTACATACATGAGTGAGCGTGGGGGTGTTCCAATAAAACTTTACTTAAAAAACAGCCCAGATTGGGCTCACAGGTCTTTTTCTGGGCCCTGATTTAGAATATGAAATGTTCCATTTTCCATTTTGGCACACTATGGTTTCAGGAAGAACTCAACTAAAGGAGACATAAATTTAATTCAGAAACTCTGTAATTCAATAGGAATCGATATGATTGCTCGCAAGGCTCAATTAATAGGATTATGCTGGGATAGAGTCCTATTTTTTTTTTCTTAAATGATATCTAAGAAAAGTCAGATCACAGTATGTAACAGCTACACTTACTAGGCCCTGATTCTGCCAATCTCTCTGGTAGCAGAGAGAAGGGTCCTTCTAGCCCCTGTACCAGGAGGATAAGATAATGGGTTGGTTTGTTTGCTGCCAGCTCAAAAGAGCAGGACTGCCATGTGGCCATCTGTCTGGATTGCTGCTGCCTGAAAGATACCAGCAGCCTTAACCGTGTGGTGTAGTCAAGGAAGGCCCTGAGCACAAGACCGAGCCAAGGACTGGAAGGGGTGGTTCCTCTGGAGTCAGGTCTAATGGCAGAAATGAAACCGAATTTAAGAATAATCAGCAAGAGGGGCAAGACAGTGCATAGCCTCAGTGTCCTGTCCTCACACACACCTAGAAATCCTCAGGGGCAGGAGGTGGGAATGGGTGAGGCCGACAGAGAGGGCCTGGGGTAGGGCGTCTTGGTCCTGCCTTTCCTCTCCCCAGCATGGCTCCAGCATGGCCTGCCTTCCCTATCATCCCCTAGCCCCAGCCCTGTGCCAGCTGGAGAATGTCAGGTGGTGCTGGAGCACAGCTGGGTGGGGCACCAGTCACCATAAGCACTGCTTCCCTCCTTTCCCTAACACACTGGGGAGCTTGGCGGTTACACCAGAGCAGGGCAGTCCCTACAGGAAACAAGGACTTTCTAGAAGAGAGGAGCTGGGAGCAGCCCTCAGTAGACAATCCAGCTATGCAGAGGGGAACAGGCAGGGAACTTCTAGAGCCCAAATGACAACATCTAAGGCTCTCCAGCTTGAGTACCCTTCCCCGACTCTCATCTGGAGGAGCATCCACCAGAGCCTGTGCTCCAGCACAGTGAAGATGGATGATAACTGCGTGCCCCAGGAGCTTCAGGGAAACTGTTAAAGAAAGGCAACAAAGTACTGGCCAGGAGGACTAGATTAAAAAATGAGCCTAGTAAATACATGCAAAGAGATAAATAGAATATCAGAATGCAAAATAATAATAACAATAATAAAGACAAAGAATTAACTTGGGATTAAAAAAAATGTTAATGGGACTAATAATGCATTCATGTGCAGAATAAATAGGGATGTGAAAACATCAGGTCAAGTGAATCTCTTAGAAGACATGAGAACAAGGTGCAAGAACATGATGGAGGAAGGGTTGGAAGGTGTTCAAAGAAAATAATTTCAATCTAGAGTTTTTAATCTACTAAATGAAAATTTAAGTATACCATGTAAATCTTTTTAGGCACTCAAGGCCTTAGGAGATTCACCATGCAAAAACTGTTTTTGGAAGTAGTCTTTGAGGAAGGTTTTTTTTTTTTAGCAAAAGAGAAAAGAATACATGTGAATAAATAAAGGAGTTAATTGTTATCTAAATAAGCAAAGGCAACAAAAAGTATCTAAATAAGATTGAGAGCAAGTAGAGGCAGGACAGAACAACATAAAATCATATTAATACATGTATTTTGCAGGGGAAAATATAGTTGTTAAGTTTTTAAAAATAATAGGAAGAAAACCAAAATAATGATTTTAATAGAATAGCAGTAATTGCAATGTGAGTAAAAGTAGAATGTGTAACTTGCAAACCAGTAGAAAAATTTAACTAGATAGAGAAGATAGGACAGAAGAATGGATTGAATTAACCACTCAAAAGACAGAGATTCTTGGATTGGATAATAAAATGAAACCTAATAATAAATTGTCTACAAGAATCACATTTAACATGAAAGGATATGGAAAAGTTGAAATTATATCAGCAGAAAAAATGATATTTCTGGCAAATATGAACCAACAGAAAGCCAGGGTAGCTGTTTAATATCAACAAAAGCAGATTTCAAGATAAAAACCATTATATCAAATGGCTTGACAAAGAGACAGCCTATATATTGGTCAAAAAACACACGAGGAAGATAATCTAAAAAATTATGAATATACATATACCTAACAAGATAGCATCAAAACAAATACAGCAGAAAGGATGAAACTCAGAGAAGACACAGATAATATGTATTAAAATTTCTAACTCAATTATGGCTTTTCTAAACAACAGAATAAACAGTTGAGAATAATCCAAGATATAGATTCAATATAGCTTGAATAATAGGCTGAGCTAATAGAAACAAAGACAGCATTCATTTGCAACAGTTCAGGAGAGTCTACCTAATTCAATAAAATAAAAAACTGAATTAATTGTATAAATATGAAGAAGAACTTACAATTATTTCAGATGATACTATTGTATACTTAGATATCCAAGTGATTCTCTTAGTCATTAAGCAAATGACTAATAAGAGAATTTATGTAGTTCACTGGATAAAAGATAAATAAGTAAAAAATGAGTTTCTTTTTTCCATGCTTAAAATCTGAACAGAATCTGAATATGTGGAGAGGCATACATAATGTTCTTGGATAGAAGAACAATATTATAAATGCAAATTATTTTTAAAATTAAATAAAAATCCATTCCAATTCCACTCAGAATTATAATTTTAAGGTTTAGATGGCAAAATAAATATTCAAAAACAGCACACACAAAAAAAGGAAAAGCATAGCAATAGAAGGTGAGGGTGAGACCCTGTGAAACCACTGAGTCAAGTGTAACAGGGGGGCAGCCACAGGGGTGGGCAGAACAAGGTATGGAAATAGGTCCAGGTATGTTGAGAATTTAATATAAGGCAAAGCTGGCATTTAGTTCAGTGGGAAAATGTACTTGAATAACTCTCTCTCAATCCAGGAGAAAGCAAAACCAGATTCTTTGCTATTTACAAAAATTTCAAATTGATGAAAAGACTCAAAGAACAAAATTTAAATTAAATATAAGAATATATTTCAGGCCGGGCACGGTGGCTCACGCCTGTAATCCCAGCACTTTGGGAGGCCGAGGTAGGTGGATCACAAGGTCAGGAGATCGAGACCATCCTGGCTAACACGGTGAAACCTTGTCTCTACTAAAAATACAAAAAATTAGCTAGGCGTGGTGGCGGGTGCCTGTGTCCCAGTTACTCGGGAGGCTGAAGCAGGAGAATGGTGTGAACCCATGAGGCAGAGCTTGCAGTGAGCCGAGATTGCGCCACTGCACTCCAGCCTGGGCGACAGAGTGAGACTCCATCTCAAAAGAAAAAAAAAAAAAAAAGAATATATTTCAGTAATTCTGTAGTCCAAGAAACCTTCCAAAGTGAGAGAGAAAGCTCATCAGCCATGAGAACAAGATAATGTAAACATTGTGTATGGGAAAATATTCTGAAAAGAAAGTCATAAGGCAAGTGATATGTGGGAAAAACACATATACATATAGAGGAAATATATGTTTTAGTCTTTATTACAAAGAGAGCAACAAATTGATAAGAAAAGACAAACCAATCAATAGAAAAATGGACAAAGTATGCGAACAGCCACGTTACAAAGGGGAAATCCAATGGCCTAAGAAGCAAATGACAAGATGAGACAAGACACCATTTTCCACTCTTCAGAGTAGAAAAACAACATAAACACATTTGATGTAGTTTGAATATTTGTCTCCAAATCTCAAGTTGAAATGTGATCCCCAATCTTGGAGGGGGGGTCTGGTGGGAGGTGTGTGGATTAGAAGCAGATCCCTCATGAATGTCTTGGACTATCCCCTTGGTGATAAGTGAGCTCTTGCTCAGTTCACACGCAATCTGGTCATTTAAAAGTGTGTGGCACCTCCCACCCACCACTCTCTCTCTCTTGCTCCAGCTCTGGCCATGTAAAGTGCCTGTTCCCTCTTTGGGATTTTAAGCTTCCTGAGGCCTGCCATGATTTTAAGCTTCCTGAGGCCTCCCCAGAAGCTGAGCAGATGCCGGCACCATGCTTCCTATAAAGCCTGCAGAACCATGAGCCAAGTAAACCTCTTTTCTTTATAAATTACCCAGCCTCAGATATTTCTTCATAGCAATGCAAGAAAGGGCTAACACAGAAAATCAGTACCAAGGGGGTACCTGAAAATGTGAAAGCAACTTTGGAACTGGGTAATGGGCAGAAGTTGGAAGTCTGGAGGATTCAGAAGAAGACAGCAAGTGAGGGAAAGTTTGGAACTTCTTAGGGACTGGTTAAATGGTTATGACCAAAATACGGATAATGAAATGGACAACAGAGTCAAGGCTGAGGAGGTCTTAGATGGATATGAAGAAATTATTGGGGACTGGAGCAAATGGTCACGTGTTTTGCCTTAGCAAAGAGCTCAGCTGCATTCTGTTCATACCCTAGGGATCTGTGGAAGTCTGAACTTGATGATTTAGGGTATGTGGTAGAAGAAATTTATAAGCAGCAAAGTATTCAAGAGGTGGCATGGCTGCTTCTAACAGTCTGCATTCAGATGCTGCAGCAAAGATAGGAGTTGGAACTTATATTTAAGGGAAGCAGAATGTAAAAGGGAAGCAGAATGTAAAAGTTTGAAAAATTTGCAGCCTAGCCATGTGGCAAAGAAAGAAAAAGCTTTTTCAGAAGAATTCAAGCAGCCTGAGGAGCAACTACTTGCTAGAGATATTTGCATGACGAAAAGGAAGCTAAATGAGTGCTATTACCTAAGACAATGGAGAAAAAGCCTTGAAGGCATTTCAGAGACCTTCACAGCAGCCCCTCCCATCAAAGGCCTACAGGCCTAGTTGGAAAGAATGGTTTCATGGGCCAGGCCCAGGGCCCCGCTACCTTGTGTAGCCTTGGGACACTGCTCCCCACATCCTGGCTGCTCCAGCTCCAGCCTTGGCTCAAAAGGTCCCAGATACAGTTCAGGCTGCTGCTTCAGAGGGTGCAAGCCATAAGCCTTGGTGACTTTCACATGGTGTTAAACCTGTAGACATGTAGAATGCAAGAGTGAATGAGGTTTGGCAACCTCTGCCTAGATTTCAGAGGATGTATGGAAAAGCCTGGGTGTCCAGGCAGAAGCCTGCAGCAGGGGCATAGCCCTCACACACAACGTCTACTAGGGCAGTGCCAAGGGGAAATGTGAGGTTGGAGGCCCCACACAGAGTCCTCATGGGGGCACTGCCTAGTAAAGCCGTGAGAAGGGGGCCACCACCTTCCAGACTCCAGAATGGTAGATCTACCAGTGGCTTGCACCCTGCACCTGGAAAAGCTGAAAGCAGAGAGCAGCCATGGGGGCTGAACTCTGGAAAGCCACAGGGGCAGAGCTGCCCAAGGTCTTGGGAGTCCACCTCTTGCACTGGTGTGCCCTGGATGTGAGACATGGAGTCAAAGGAGATTATTTTGGAACTTTAAGGTTTAATGATTGTCCTGCTGGGTTTTGAACTTGTGTGAGGCCTGGAGCCCCTTTCTTTTGGCCAATGTCTCCCTTTTGGAATGGGAATGTTTACCCGATTGTATCTTGGGAGTGAATAACTTGTTTTTGATTTTACAGGCTCACAGGTGGAAGGGACTTGCCTTGACTCAGACAAGAGTTTGGACTTTTGAGTTAATGCTGGAACAAGTCAAGACTTTGAGGGACTGTTGGGAAGGCATGATTGTATTTTGCAATGAGAAGGACATGAGATTTGGGAGGGCCCAGGAGTGGATTGATATAGTTTGGATATTTGTCACCACCCAAATCTCATATTGAAATGCAATCCGCCATCTTGGAGGTAAGGCCTAGTGGGAGGTGTTTGGATCACGGGGGCAGATCCCTCATGAATGGCTCGGGCCAACCCCTTGGTGATAAGTGAGCTCTCATTCTGAGTTCACATGAGATCTGATCATTTAAAAGTATGCAGCACCTCTGCCTTCCAACTCACTCTCTCCTGCTCCTACCCTGGCCATGTGAAGTGCCTGTTCCCCCTTTGCCTTCTGCATGATTGTAAGCTTCCTGAGGCCTCCCCAGAAGCTGAGCAGATGCCAGCACCATACTTCCTGTAAAGCCTGCAGAACCACGAGCCAAGAAATCCTCTTTTTAAAATAAATTACCCAACCTTAGGTATTTCTTTACAGCAGTGAAAGAATGGCCCAGCACACCATACATTGTAATTTCCAGTGCTGGCAAGATTGAAGGGAAACACCCGGTTTCACACATGGTGAGTAGCAATATATTAGGAAAGAAGCCCTAAAATTATTAAGCTAGAAACACACATGTGTTGGCACAGCAAATCCATTCTGGGAATGCAAACCCATAGAAACAAAAGCACCAGTATGTAAGATTAGAGGTATAAAGATGTTTCTTTCAGCATTGCTTTCAGTGGCAATTAACAAATAATAACAACGACAAAAACCCAAGCAAAAACAGAATCACCATGAATACAGCAGTGATCTAAAAATTAACACATTATAGAATAAAATGTAGCTATTGAGAGATTATGTTCATCATCTCCTGCTCAGTGAAACAAGCACTTTGCAGTGTGCTGTGCATTTGACTCTGATGTGTTTGATTTTGAACAATATAGCAAGAGGAGCAGGAGGAGACCACCAGAATGTTATCAGCCGTCATTACACTGGTGAGATCTGGGAGGTGTGGAGGCGAATGCTCTTAAGTTTTCCTCATATATCTCTGTATTGTTTCCTTTGTTATAATAAGCATATCTTACTTTCATAATGAAGAAAAAGGATAGAGAAGATGGAGCGCATGGGACAAGAAATGTGATGCTGAACAGACTTGGAGACTGTGTTACTTTGGAAATATGTGAAAGAACTAGAGATGTTTGGTCTGAAAAAACCAAGACTCCAGGAGGAATGCTGGCTTTTACTCACTTATTGGGCTTTTGGGGTCCTAGGAAATCAGACTCATTTTTCTGCTTTTCTGAGGTAGAGGTTGGAACCATGGATAGAAGCAACAAAGGACATTTCGGCATAGTGTGAGAAAGAAGGCACTGAGAGGCCAATATGTCTGCATCCGGGAGGTGATGACCCCACCATTCTTTGTACCACGCAACCCGCCTGCAAGCTGCGGTGCACTGGCCTGGGCGGCTGTGCCTAGGCTCAGTCCCTCAGCGGTACCTTGGGCAATGTCGTCCTGCCTCTGCAGGCAGGGTCGCTCCACCTTGTGCCCGGGCTGTGGCTCTCGCTCTGGCTGCTTGGGACCCCGCCCTTCATTGAACACATGTGGCAGATTGGCTGTGTGCACCTGGCGGAGCTGCTCATAGTCGCTCAGAGCGGCTGTCAGGTCCCAGTTTTTGCCTGTGGACAAGAAATGACAAGAGGTGACAATACGAACGCATGAATAACGGTCTCATCATAGAGAAGAACTGTGACAAGAAGGGTTTCCCATTAGGACATAAACTAATGAATTTTTACCAGTAGTTCTTGTTTTTCAAAGGGGAAAAATGGCCCTCTGCATGACTCTAAAAGCAGAATTTCACACCCATAAGTGACGTCCATCTAAAATATGTGACTATATACAGTCTCAGAGCCTTTAGGTTCATACACACACACACACACACACACACACACACACACACACACACACATCTAAACACTGCATCCCTGATCATCACATCCCCCTTTGAAAATCAAGTTGTAGAGCTTACTCTCTGAGGGGAACAAAGCATCAATTAAAGAAAAATGAATTGAAATAATTCTCAAAGTTTCTTTGGGCTTTTGCTCAGAGTTTTACTTTTTATTTTAAGCTTAATATGAGCGAAGCAGAAGCTTGGGAGGGATTCTCTTGTTAGTGAGCTTTGGTGGGAGATAGGCTTCTGAGCTCAGGCCCTGCACCAGGTGTGATGCCAGGCTGGGCAGGTGTGCCCAGCGTGGGTACGCACTCAGCAGGGCTCCCACCCCGACACGGGGTGCTGGACTGGCACTTCGCAGCACTAGGCACAGCTACACTGGGGAGTTGGAGGCAGCGTGGGCACTCTGATTCCCGACTCTGAGAGTCAGTGGGCTTGTAACGGCAGGAAGGAGTATCACACACTACACCCGATTCAGTTAGGCATCATCCTATAGCACGATTGGGCAACTATAGTTAACAATAACTTAATGTATATTTCAAAATAACTAGAAATGTAGATTTGGAATGTTCCCAACACAAAAGAAATGATGCATGTTTGAGGTGATGGATATCCCAATTAGCCAGATTTGATCATTATACATTGTAGGCTGGTATCAAAATATCACATCTGCCCCATCAATATACATATTGATGTATGTATATATCAATACATACAACTATTATGTATCCATAACAATTAAAAATTAAAAAATTTTAAAAAGAAATCAAAGAATTAAAAACTTAGCCTTAATTTTAAGGAGCAAATAAAAATAAGCTCTCTTCTCATCTTTTCCATTTTAAGTTACTGGGAACCCCAACAGATGTCACATCAAGTAAGGATGAGAAGGAAAGGCGCAGAGGCCCATGGTGAAACCTGAGGCTGGAAGACTGGGGCAGCCACAGGCTACATGTCCCTGATGAAGGAATGCAACCCAGAAGAACAGTCAAGAACACAGGTTCTAGGGCCTGGTTTTGAGCCCTGGTTCCACCTTCTAACTAATTCTCTGATGGTGAATATATCATTTCATCACCCAAGGCCTTGCATTCCTTCCTGTACAATTAGGATAACACAATCCATCTAATGAGAATTCTTATGAGGGTTAAATGAGAAAAGGAGATAGTGTTTGTAAAGTTCTTCCTTTATGGAAAGCACTAATACATGGTAGTTACCATTATTCTCATTAATTATAGGTTTCTGTTTTATGTTTAACTTCCAGCACTCAGAGTTAAAAGCCAGCTAGTAAGCAACGGAGCTGAGATTCAAATACACGGACTTATCTATACTCCGTGAGTTTCTCATTCAACTGTTACTAATGCCATCTCCCAAACACACTGAGGCCATAAAGTCCATGGGAGGGCAGTAGAAGCCTAATTCTAACATGGATATTTTCACACTTCCTCTTCTGCACCCTGGGACACTCTATGGTCCCTTCACTGTTTCCTTTGCCTCTTCCTGCCCTTAAAACACATGGATTCCCCTAATTTTTCTTCTTGCTCTTCTTTTCTCTTAATTTATACCCTCCTTTGAAGATTAATTCCATCTCTATGAGAATAAGCTTAATTCTAGTTACAACTTACATCCTAAGTTTTAAAGCCAAATATTTGACTATGGGAGATATTAGCTGACTATCCAATTTCTAGTCTCCTTATCTAATTCTATATGTTCAGAATTCTAATTTATTTTGGATAGCAATACACACAGCTGAAAATATTCATTTTCTCCTGCAGATCTTCAAACTGTATTCCTGTTGTCCTATCTTTCTGTATTTGCTTACTCTGTTTCTTCTTCCAGGAATAGTTCCTCCAAGCAGCAAGACAGTATAGCTGTATGGAAGAAGACCTTAACCAAAATAATTCAAAGACTGAGGAAGCTTCCTGTGAAGTTTTTCTTCCAGGATGCCTCAATTTCTGATTATCACCAAAAAGCAAGTTATTGGATTACTAGTAGACACAGATTTCATGGTAAGAACTACAACCTCTAGTACAGTTTACTGCTGAAAATGTTTATGCCTTAAACTCCTAAATCATTTGATTTTTTTTCATTGTCTTAAGAGGCAGTGGATTTCAAGTTAAACTTAACATATGTATTTTGGCACTCAGAGAGGGATGAGCTGCTTTAATTTAGTACAAAAGTATCACAGCTCTGAAGAAAAACTATAAATCAGATATACATGAACTCACAGGAGGAGGTGAAACAGAAACTGACTAAACTCAGGGGAAAAAGGAGTCAAACTGTTTTAGGAATGAAGTTAAATTATAAGGGAGAAAAGAGAAAACAGACTGCAGATAGCATAGTAAGAATGATAAAAATGAAAAGTAAAGTAGACAAAACAGAAATAAAGAAACACAGGGTTAAAGAAAAATGTTAGATACCGAGTATAGGTAAAAAAATCCAACATACTCATAATTTGAGCCCCAAATAAAAAACCTGAAATAATGGAAAGGAAAAAAAAAGAATTTAAAGACTTTAATTAAAAAAGCAAACTTTTTGAAATATTTGATTTTACACATTTAAAGGGCACACTGTATATAAGGAAACTGTTCTAGTATAGCCAATACCAACATATTTTAAAATTATCCTCTTTTAAAGATAAAGAGAATTTTTTAAATATGTAAGCAAAAAAGAAAGAAAATCAGGTTAGCAACATACTTCTTGGCAGCAACAGTCAATGCCAAAAGACAATAGGGCCACATCTACAAGATACTGAAGGAAAGAAAGCAATATGAGCTAAGAAAGCTTTATGCCCATCCAGTCTACTCTTTTCTGTATAAAGGCTGTAGACAAACCATTTTAAACATGAATCGTTCAGAAAACATTTCTCAAATGGACACTTTTTGAGAAAATTAATAGAGGATGAACTCCAGCCAATCAAGAGATGAATAAGAGTCTGGCAAAGGAGCAGTCAGGCAGCAGTAAGTTTATTTAACTGCACATCTAAGGAAAAGCAAAGGTAGAGATACAAGTGATGAAGAAGAATATCAATATTCTGTCAAAATGAAAATGACACAATCAACAAAAATGGTAGAATTTAGAAAGCAGAATAAATTTGCAATGCCTCAGCTGTTATACATGAGACTGCAAAGATAATGTTTACAGTTGACAGATCAGGCCAGGTGCAGTGTTTCACACCTGTAATCCCAGTACTTTGGGAGGCCAAAGTAGGCAGATCACTTGAGGTCAGGAGTTTGAGACTAGCCTGGCCAACATGGCGAAACCCTGTCTCTACCAAAAATACAAAAATTACCTGGACATGGTGGGACACGCCTGTAGTCCCAGCTGCTCAGAAGGCTGAGGTACAAGCATTGCTTGAACCTGGGAGGTGGAGGTTGCAGTGAGCTGAGATTGCACCACTGCATGCCAGCCTGGGCGACAGAGCAAGACTCCGTCTCAAACATAACAACAACAAAAAAAACAAAACTACAGTTGACAGGTCAAATATGTATATGTAAGCATATTTAATAGTAGAAGGGCAAACAATAAGAACAGACAAAAGATATACTATTGGTTAAATTAGATGGTAGAAGAGAGAGGGGAGAATGAAGGAAGAAGATAGAAGCTTGTTTTATTGAGGCATATAGGGAATAAACTGATATTGTCTAAAGAAAAAGGGATATAGGATATTACATAAAGGCAAACTTATATAACCACTAGTTATAAACATAATTGTATTGTTATACTAGTGGTTAAAAAAGTAACCATTAACATAGTTTTTTAAAATATCAGAAAAAATATTCTAAAATAAAAAGCTAAGATAACATAGTGAAAGACATTTAAAATATTTACACAGAAAAATAGAAACTATGACAGAACTAAAACCAACCGTATCTGTGAGAGCAATAAATTTAAGTAGGCTTAATGCAACTATTTAAAGAAAAGGATTTTTACATTATCTCTAAAAAGAAAGATGAATCATTTGCTGTATATAAGAGACACACCTAGAGCAAAGTGATTTATAAAGGTCACAACTAAAACAGATAGATAATAGTTTATCAGGTACACAAGACAAAGACAAAACAACAGTAACAACAAAACTGAGATTATGATCTTGTATCAAACAAGGTAGAATTCAGGCCAAAAAGCATTAAGTAATATGAGGAAAACCACTTTATAAGGCAAAACTGTTCAATTGGCAATGAAGTATATTAATCATGTTTTTTATTCTTTGTATTTTATGACGCTTTGACATCTTGGGGCCTTTGTGACCTGGGAGAAGCTGCATCTCCTTGGGCTAGCAAATTCCTAGAGATGACAAACTACTTTTCTGCAAGCCTGCCTTTCATATATAAACCCATTAATCCAAAGCCCAGACCCCTCAACCACAGCCTTTCCTACACTGCAGGCCAATATTCCCCTCCTCTAATCAGCCCAGGGCCAGGTACCAGATAACTCAGGACAGCCCCTCCACTTTGGGCCTGCTGGAATTACTCAGACTAGCCAACCCTCAACCAGCTTAGCCTGCTTGCCGTGCCCTGCCCAATCCTTCCCATGGAAACTGCAACAAAGGCTCTTGCTCTGGTTTTCCTCCTACTCACTCTGCCTCCTGACTGTGAAACAGAAACTGATTAAACTCAGGGGGGAAAAGGAGTCAAACTGTTTTAGAAATGAAGTTAAATTATAAGGGAGAAAAGAGAAAACAGACTACAGATAGCACAGTAGGAATGATAAAAATGAAAAATAAGTCAAGTAGCCAACCTAAAACAGAAATACAGAAACAGGGCTTCCCCATGTAGCCCTGTGTGGTATGTTGTACACCCTGCTTCCAGGGAATTGTGAGTAACAAACTTCTTCCTTTATAACAATAATTTCCATATCTGCATACCTGATTAAAACAAATCCAAAGTACATATGAAAACAGAAGATATAAGAGGTATGAATATCTGCATAGGAAATTAAAAGGCAGAAACTTTATAAAGTGGAAACTACCATGAAACACACTACACTGACACCACAATTACCTAGAGCGTACCATAAACAGCAGGAGTGACTATAACATGGTAACAAACAGCCTCCAAATCCTAGAGGTCATAACAACACAGGTTTACTTTTTGCTTGTTCCACACATCCACCATGGGTTGACTGAACTCTGTGACATAGCTTGTCATTCCAGGATTCAGGCTTATAGAGCAGCCACTATAAGCCTATGACTGTGGAAGAAGGATAAAAAGCCAGGAGCATCTCCCATCAAAAATCAAATACTCTGGTCCAGAGGTGATATCTCACCTCTGTTACAATCCATGGCAAGAACTAGCCACAGGCTCCCTCCAAACACGGGGCCCAGGAACTACATCCTCCCATGTGCCCACAAGCGGGAGGCAGAGAGCTGGACATAGTCCGTGAAGGGCATTAGTGCTGAATACACGGGATGTGAAATGAACACACATAAATAAATAGCCTTAATCTGTGAAGAAAAACATGTTAGAAGACATAATGGAAGAATATTCCATACACAATTGCAACTAAAATGATAAAGTACTGAGGGATATATTTAAAAGAAATGTACACAATGTGAAAGAAAAATAAATCTCAAGACCCCAAAATCACTAAGCCAAAGGGTGTCAGGCAAACCTGCCTCCCATTTTATTCCTAAATAAGATAGCTAAAAAGATAAAAAACACTACATACCTCCCTCACAATTTGCTCACCAGGAAATTCCTTATGGGCCTCAAGATCTTTCTTTAGGGACTCAGAGCCCTAAAACAGTTCTGTGGCATTTTACCCTGGCAATGTAAATTGATAGCTTATCCCACAGGTGTGGGACAAAGGACAGACAGAACTCTAAGTCATCTCTCTGCTCACCTGAGACAAATGCATATCTGGTTGCTTCCTCTGCCCTATTGTTTATGTAAAAATTCAGATTTACTGAGTCAGACTAAGGCATAAGTGATTATTCCTCTACCTGCCTCTCACATGTAAATTGTGTATTCAGTGAAAGGCTGATCAAAGACATAAAAGAATGCAAACTTTTATCTCTTATCTACCTATGACCTGGAAGCCCCCAGGTCAAGTTGTCCCACCTTCCCAGACAAAACAAATGTACGTCTTACACATATTGATTGATGTCTCATGTCTCCCTAAAGTGTATAAAACCCCACTGTGCCCTGACCACCTTGGGTACATGCACTCAGGATCTCCTGAGGGCTATGTCATGGACCATTGGTCACTCATATTTGGCTCAGAATAAATATCTTCAAATGTCTTACAGAGCTTGAATCTTTTTGTCAACAACAACATAAATGTGGAAAACTTAGAATATTCCTGAAGGGCATAAAAGTTAAACTGTGTATATCGTAAACTGAAAATAAAATCCTAATCCCCACCAACTAACCAAATGAACCCTCTCTGGGCCAAGAGGACCTCAGAGATGCCTGAAAAACTGAATTCCTGGACATGGCTGGAAGGGAGGTCAGACACACCTTGTAATACCGCCTTTCTTTTGGAGTTTAGACACAACAGACCAGCATTAACATTAAAATAGAGATCATAAAATAGAGATCACCAAACAGACTGTGTAGCAATGAGATACCAAATTCCAACCTGACTCTGGTAAGCATCACATGACAGATAGCAGACTCTAAAGGAAATCAAATATATTTTACTCCAAAATATATTTCTTTGAAATATTTTTAAATGGCTCTGCAAAGCTATCTTTGTGGGGGAAATTTGCATCTGTAGAGACTCTCCATTAACGCAGCTAGCACTTTCCTGGATTCAGGAAAGATTAACTAAGAGTCTGACACGTTGTAAGGTCTGAAACATTTGCGATGTATTCTCTCTGAAGGCTGCTAGCTGGAGACTTCCTCTACAAAACAAGAGCCTCGGCTTCCACAATCCCCTTATCTTAACTCAAGCATTTCTTTCTACTGACTTCAAATCTTTAGGCAAAGCTGAACTCTTTCAACAAATTGCCAATTAGAAAATCTCTCTGAATCCACCTATGACCTGTGACCATCCCCACTCCTTGCCTTTCTAAGCATCTTTGAGACGTCCCACCTTTTTAAGCTGAACCAATGTATACCTTACATGTATTGATCCATGTCTTTGCTTGTAACTTCTGTCTCCCTAAAATGTATAAAACAAAACTGTAACCTGATCACCTTGGGCGCTTGTTCTCAGGATCTCTTAAGACTGTTCCCTGGGTCATGGTCATTCGTACTGGCTCAGAAGGGCGACAGAGCAAGACTCCGTCTCAAAAAATATATATATATTTTACAGAATTTGGTTTTTCCATCAACAATACTATGTTCCTAGTTTAGGAGACTTAATGTTGTAATTTATTCCTCTAACTTATACATTTGATTTGATTCCAGTAAAAAAAAAAAAAAACAACACAGAAGCAGGTTTTGTTTTCCTTCCTTGGAATCGGACAAGCTGATTTTAAATTCACATCAAAAAATAAGCAAGAATAACCAGAGAAACTCTGAAAAGTAAGTACAAAGAGAAGGAAGGAGCACTCTGAGACACTGGCATGAACTCTACTGCCTCAATGACTAGTCTCTGATCAGACTCAACAATGGAACATAATAGTGTAAACCAAAAATAAAATTTGAAGGCCCCCCGACAACCATCTAAATAGGCTCCCTCCTTGGCCAGGGTACCCTAAAATTTAACCTGAAAGACTGGTTCAGGCCAAGGTGGGAAGTAGGAGTCAGACAGGCCTCATTATGCCCTCCTCTTTTTTGGAATGCAGGAAAAGCTGACCAGCATTTAACATCCAGCATTTAACATTTAAATATCCACATTTAATATCCAGCATTTAAAAGCTGACCAGCATTTAACATCCACATTTAACATCCAGCATTTAACATCTAATTGGACTTAAGTCTGATAAGAAACATTTAAAATCTATTCTCTCTGAAGCCTGCTACCTGAAGGCTTCATCTGCATAATAAAACTTTGGTCTCAACAACCTCTTTATCACAAACCAGACATTCCTTTCTATTAATAACTCTTTCAACCAACTGCCAATTAGAAAAATTTTAAATCTACCTATAATCTGGAAGCCCCCACTTTGCACTGTTTCACATTTCCAGACCAAACCAATGTCCTTTTTTTTTTTTTGAGACAGAGTCTCACTTTGTCACCCAGGCTGGAGTGCCGTGGTGCAATTTCAGCTCACTGCAATCTCTGCCTCCCAGGTTCAAGCAATTCTCCTGCTTCAGCCTCCCAAGTAGCTGGGACTACAGGCGCCTGCCACTACGCCCAGCTACTTTTTGTATTTTTAGTAGAGGTGGGGTTTCCCCATGTTGGTCAGGCTGGTCTCAAACTCCTGACCTCAGGTGATCTGCTGCCTTGGCCTCCCAAAGCACTGGGATTACAGCCATGGGCCACTGTGCCTGGCCCCAGTGTACATCTTAAATGTATTTGACTGATGTCTCATGTCTCCCTAAAATGTGTAAAACCAAGCTGTGCCCCAACCACCTTGGGCACATGTTATTAGGATCTCCGAGACCTGTGTCATGGGCCATGGTCACTCATATTTGGCTCCAAATGTCTCTCCAAATATTTCAGAGTTTGACTCTTTTCGTTAACAATGAAAAAGCCCCAAAGAGAATCAAATATGCACAAAATGTTAAAAGACAGTTGTCGATTTGGGAAAATGTTTGCAACTCATATCACATACAAGAGGTTTGTATCTGAAGAAGGTCAGGTCCTGGAAAAATCTGAGGAAAAAACATGAGGCAGGAAGTTTGTAAGGGGATTGGGCAGAAAAAGCAGCAGGCCCACAGTGCAGGTGCAGTATATTGTAACAAATACTGTAATAAAAAATATCTTTTTCTTTAAGTCAGGAACTTTCACCTTTTCACTTAAAGGAAGCACACTATGGCTTCTCTTTGTCTTATCCAAATTGCCAGTATCACTGTTCTTGTACTTTGGGGCCACTATTAAGTAAAAGAAGGGTTACTTGAACACAGGCACTGTGATGCCAGAATAGCTGATCTGATAACCGAGATGGCCACTTAGTGATGAACGGGTGGGTGACATGTTCAGCCTGGACCCACTGGACAAAGGGATGATTCACATCAGAGTGAGATTTCATCATGCTACTCAGAATGGTGCATGATTTAAAACTTATGATTTCTGGAATTTTCCATTTAGTATTTTCAGATCGTGATTGACCACAGGTAAAACTGAAACCTTTAAAAGTGAAACCGTGGATAAGGGGGGCTATTGTATGTATGTGCATGTGTGTATGTATATATGTATATATGCACATGTATACACATGCACACACATACAATAGCTCCCCTAATCCACAGTTTCAATACATATATACTCTCTCTAGATAGTATATATGTGCACTCATACACACTATATATATTATGTGTGCGAGTGCACGTGTGCATATCTGTACCACACAATCCACTGTTTTGTGTTTTCCATTACTTGGAGCCCAACGCATTCCTAAATAATGTAGGGAAAAATACAGAGAACAAACAATGGCAGTGAAAACTATGTGCTATGTAGAAGTACAGATTCCACCAGGATATCTAGGAAAGAACCACTATAATTTGGGATCCAAGGGGCTCCCTGGGAGAAGTGTCATTTTAGTCTGAGATCAAAAAGAAGAGTAAAAGTTGTCTTGGCAAAGAATCCAGCAGGGTGAGCAGGGAGAGGGGTGTTACTGGACAGAAAGTTGCGTCTGGATAAACCTGAAAGTAGAATGGGCAAGTACATTCAAGGTACTGAGGTCATTAAGTGTGGATGAAGTGGAGGGCAGCAGGAGGAGAGGTCTGGTTAGGATGATGGTAGCAGGGCGGCAGGGAGGATGAGATGCCAGGAGAGAGATGCCCTGCAGGAATTGTACAGTGGGGTTTAGATTTGACCTCAAAGGCAAAGATGAGTCACTGAGGCATTTTCAATAGGGGTGAAACTTGATGAGATTTTTAATTTAGAAAATAAAGTATTTGCATTTAAGAAAAATTACTCTGGTTGCATAGCAGAGACTGCATTTGCATTTGCGCAATACTGGTGCAAAATGAATGCTAGGTGGACACCTGTATTAGTCTGTTCTCATGCTGCTAGTAAAGACATACCAAAGGCTGTCTAATTTATAAAGGAAAGAGGTTTAATTGACTCACAGTTACACATGGCTGGGGAGGCCTGACAATCATGGTGGAAGGTGAATGAGGAGTAAAGTCATGTCTTACATGGTGGCAGGCAAGAGCTTGTGCAGGAGAACTCACATTTATATAACCATCAGATCTTGTGAGACTTATTTACTACCATGAGAACAGTATGGGGGAAACTGTCCCCATGATTCAACTATCTCTACCTGACCCTGCCCTTGACACATGGGGATTATTACAATTCAAGGTGAGATTTGGGTGAGGACACAGCCAAACCATATAATTCCACCCCCGGCCCCTCCCAAATTTCATGTCCTCACATTTCAAAAATTATCATCCCTTCCCAACAGTCCCCCAAAGTCTTAACTCATTTTAGCATTAACTCAAAACTCCACAGTCCAAAGTCTCGAGGCAAGGCAAGTCCCTTCCACCTACGAGCCTGTAAAATCAATAGCAAGTTGGTTACTTCCGAGATACAATGGGGGTACATGCAATGGGTAAACACTTGGCCAAAAGGAAGGGGCTACAGGCCCCATGCAAGTTCAAAATCCAGCAGGGCAGTCAAATCTTAAAGCTCCAAAATGATCTCCTTTGACTCCATGCCACTTCCAGGTTATGCTGATGCAAGAGGTGGGTTCCCATGGTCTTGGGCAGCTCCACCCTGTGGCTTTGCAGGGTACAGCCCTCCTCCTAGTTGCTTTCACAGGCTGGCATTGAGTGTCTACAGCTTTTCCAGGTGCACAGTGCAAGCTGTTGGTGGATCTATCATTTTGGGGTCTGGAGGATGGTGGCCCTCTTCTCACAGCTCCACTGGGCAGTGCCCCAGTAGGGACTCTGTGTAGGGGCTCCCATCCCACATTTCCCTTCCACACTGCACTAGCAGAGGTTCTCCATGAGGGTTCTGCTCCTGCAGTAAACTTTTGCATGGACACCCATGCATTTCCATACATCCTCTGAAATCTAGGTGGAGGTTCCCAAACCTCACTTCTTGACTTCTGTGCACCTGCAGGCTTAACACCATGTGGAAGCTGCCAAGGCTTGGGACTTGCACCCTCTGAAGCAGTGGCCTGAGCTCTACATGGGCCCTTTTTAGCCATGGCTGGGATTTGAGACTGCACAAAGCAGCAAGGCCCTGGGCCTGGCCCATGAAACCATTTTTTCCTCTTAGGCCTCCAGGCCTCCTGTGATGGGAGAGGCTGCTGTGAAGACCACTGACATGCCTGGAGACATTTTCCCCATTGTCCTGGCAATTAAAATGTGATGCCTCATTACTTACGGAAATTTCTGCAGCTGGCTTGAGTTTCCCCCCAGATAATGGGTTTTTCTTTTCTACTGCATTATCAGACTGCAAATTTTCCAAACTGTTATGCTCTGCTTCCCTTTTCAACATAAGCTCCTATTCCAAACCATATCTTTGTGAATACACAAAACAACATGCTTTTAAGAGCACCCAAGTCACCTCTTGAATGCTTTGCTACTCAGAAAT
Organism: Homo sapiens; assembly: GCF_000001405.40. Lineage (NCBI taxonomy): Eukaryota > Metazoa > Chordata > Mammalia > Primates > Hominidae > Homo > Homo sapiens. Next base: position 3,754,764 of record NW_011332701.1, read on the forward strand.
TTCGTCTGCCAGATGCCCTAAATCATCTCTCTCAAGTTCAAACTTCCACAAATCTCTAGTGCACGGGCAAAAAGCTACCAGTCTCTGCTAAAACATAGCAAGAGTCACCTTCGCTCCAGTTAGCAACAAGTTCTTCATCTCTATCTGAGACCACCTCAGCCTGAACTTTATGGTCCATATAATTATCAGCATTTTGGTCAAAGCCATTCAGCAAGTCTCTAGGAAGTTCCAAACTTTCCCACATTTTCCTGTCTTCTTCTAAGCCCTCCAAACTGTTCTAACCTCTGCCTGTTACCCAGTTCCAAAGTTGCTTCCACATTCTCAGGTATCTTTACAGCACCACCCCATTCTACCACTACCAATTTATTAGTCTGTTCTCATCCTGCTAATAAAGACATACCAGAGACTGGGTAATTTGTAGAGGAAACAGATTTAATTGGCTCACAGTTACACATGCTGGGGAGGCCTCACAATCATGGTGGAAGGTGAATGAGGAGCAAAGTCAAGTCTTACATGGCAGCAGGCAAGAGAGCTCGTGTAGGGGAACTCTCATTTATATAACCATCAGATCTCATGAGACTTATTCACTACCACAAGAACAGTATGGGGAAAACTGCCCTCATGATTCAATTATCTCCACCTGGCCCTGCCCTTGACCCATGGGAATTATTACAATTCAAGGTGAGATTTGGGTGGGAACATAGCAAAACCATATCAATACCACAGCAATGTCAATGAGGGATGATGAGGATGAAGAAGTGGAGGGTTGGAGAGGTAATGAGGGCAGAATCTGCAGTGCTTGGTGACCAACTGGAGGGAGAAGGGAGGGAAAAGGAAGTGTTCATGATCTACTTGGCTGGCTGAATTACTGAAAGCCACATCTGGAGTATTAATCAGCATTAAAAAGAAGGAAGTTGCATGTACATATGATTTGAGGGATTTCAGTGAAGGATTGTTGAGTGAGAAAAGCAGTATGCTGGAAAGTGTGTTCAATGCAACCCAGTTTGGCAAAATAAAGCAACAGCGTCCTTGCCTGGTCCATGTTGTGCCTTACTGTCCAAGGTCAGTGTCAGTTCTGCACCACCACTGCCTTTCTCCATCCCTGCAGCACTGCAGGAGAGAAGCTTGCAGGACTTTTCCCAGAACTCTCTTTCTGGTGCAGTCTAGTGATAGTCTCTAGCAAGAGGCATTCATGCAAGGTGGAAGATGAAGCCAGGCCACTTTTCTATGGATGCAGTTGCACAGATGCATGGCAGAGGCAGACATGAGATTTGCTGCAGCTGCCAGGGAAGCTCCTGTGAAGCACCTGCTTTGTAAATCCAGGCCACTGAGAAGGGTAGTGGCAGAGATGCTGATATGGTTTGGCTGTGTCCCCACCCAAATCTCATCTTGAATTGTAGCTCCCATAATTCCCGTACGTTGTAGGAAGGAGCCAGTGGGAGACAATTGAATCATGGGGGTGGTTTCCCCCATACTGTTCTCATGGTAGTGAATAAGTCTCATGAGATTTGGTGGTTTTATCAGGGGAAGCCCCTTCTGCTTGGTTCTCATTCTCTCTCTTGCCTGCCACCATGTAAGACATGACTTTTGCCTTCCACCATGATTGTGAGGCCTCCCCAGCCATGTGGAACTGTGAGTCCATTAAACTTCTTTTTCTTTATAAATTACCCAGTCTCAGATATGTCTTTATCAGCAGTGTGAAAATGGACTGTGTGATGCTCCCTGGGACTCATGAGGTGTCCATGACCTCCAGGGAACCCTGCTGAACCTCCCGTAGTTAGCAACGCTTCTCTGATTTCATGCAGTTGCACTGGTTGTGTAAACCTCTAGTTCCCCTTCCTACTTGGAATACCTAGAACAGCTTCTGTCTCCTTAAGCAAATGTTGATGGATACAGAATTTCATACTGGAAATGGTTCCAGGAAAACAGAGCACAGAGATGAGATGAGGTCTCTGTCAGTGCAGGCAAATCAACAGCTGGTATAGATTGACAACTCTGATGAAAAGAAAGAGCACAAAGACAGCAGGGTGGGCTGACCCTTCATGACTTATCTAGAGAGCAACAGGAACACAAGGGAAGCTTTAATTCTCAGCTCCAGGTATAGCTGTGGAGTCACAGCTCCCAGTTCCTTTAAGGAACCTCTTAGCTCTTATAGCCATGGAGGCATTGATCCAAAGAGCCAGACCTTTCTGACACTGCACACTGATGAATTACACAAGTTTAATTGAAAGCCTTGCTAGACCTCCTAAGAACATAGTATGGCAGTGATCACAAGACTGGGGCTTTGGAGCTGGATGGGATCCTGAGAACACTTAAGTGGTTTTTGACAAACCAGAGGGCCTTGAAATCCAACATCAACATCAACTGACCCGCCCTGGGCTCAACAAAGCAGCCTCTGCTCACTTGACTGAGAGAAGCTTCTCCTTGTCTGAAGACCTGCTAATGACCTTGCCTGAGCAGACAAGTTACAGGGGGATGCCTACGTCACCTTAAAACCCAGCTTGTTTTGGAATCAGATTCTTAACTACGAAGACAGCCTGGGAGGATATACCATACACATCCAAAGAATCGCAAGATTGTTGCCAGTAGAAATCTGAAGAAAGTACATAGGAACATGTCACCAGCAGCAACTAATGCTGAGCTCTTTGGATATGAAAGTCTGGGTGCTTGCTGCAGACAAGGGGTGCCCAATAGATGCAGTGGAAAAGGGTCACAGACACGTCAGCTGGAGTCTGCAAGGTGCAGTGTTCAAGATCATGATGGCCTGCCTATTTCTCTCCGGTTTGGTGATTTATCTAGTGGAGTATAGAAATCCTATGTGCCCTCTTGCTTCCTTGTCATATGCCATAAGACCTATTGATGAGGAGAAATTAAACTCTTAATTCAGTCTTTAAGGTATAGTTTATCACAAATGGGTTGTGAGTGAGCTAGATGGCAAATGAACAAAACTCAAGATGGGTTTGGTGACTTGGAGGACATTGCGCCTCCCTTTGTTGGTGAGATGCATGCACATTTCCAGTGGAATGAAGAAGAGTAAAATTAGCAGGGCACGATGTTACTGCTGTTGCTTGCTGGTTAGATATGGGCCAAAGGATATGGATGGGTGAGGATTTGACAAAAGGGGTGGATGGTGCTGGAGAGCCTGTGCTCAACCTTTCCCCTCCCTTCATTCTCCTCTGCGTAATTTGGGAACAGCCTGGAATGGCACTTCCCAGAACTGCTTTCCAGACAAGCTCTAGGTTCTCAAATGACAAACATTCATGCGAGGCGTGGAAGGCAGCAGGAGAAGTCTTCGAATACTGAGGTTAGCTGCGAGCAGAAACAGACAGCTTCTGGCCCAGCTCTGGGGAATCTCATCCTCAGCAGCCCAGATGGTGACAGTGGCTCTGCCTGTGAGTCATGCTGCACCCAGGAGAATACCTACAGGTGAGCTGCTTCGGTGCTCTGGGGCAGTAGGCTGTGACAGCACAGTGCGTCCCCACCCGGCATCCCCAGGGTTGAGAGCTTGACCTTTGAGTTATGTGTTTCTATCTGCGGCTTCCCTGCCCTTCACTCCTCTACCCTTCCAGCTGGGGTGCAAGCCTCTAAGTGGTGGTCTGAAAATCCTTCTCACTTGCAACCTCCAGATTCTTATGTGCTCCAGAAAGAGCCCCGGCTGTATTCATATGTGTATACATATATGTGTATACATAAAGATGTATATGTACATAGGTGTCTACAGACCACTATTTGAGCTTGGAGAAAAATATGGAAGAACACATACTAGCTTGCTCACATGGGTTTCCGGGAGTTGTAATGACATCAATAGAGAGAGGAAGGAGGGATTGGGATGAGCCAAGCAACAAAGAAGACTTTTTCTAGAAACAAATGATATATATGTTATGATACCATTCATGCAAAATGACATATGCATGTGAATATAAATGTATACATTAAAATAGAAGAAAGGCAGGTAGGGTCAGGATGGTCCCTCAGCAGGAATTCTGAAGGTGAGGCTACGCTGGTTCACCCCATGGAGAAAGGCTCCTGCCAGTTACGATTACTATTAACCCTTCCTATTACTCTAGGAGTGAATCCATTTATCTGGTTTCTTTCCTCCAGGATAGAATGACCAAAGAAGGGAAATGCAGGCAGAACATAAAGACTCTGCAGACAGCGCAGATGTGGTGGGTGGGAGGCTTAGCCTCAGCTTTTATAGTCAATTTCTTTAAATGAATTTACCCTGAATTTAAATGAAAGTCTAAATTCCATACATACAGTGTGAATAGCTCACATACCTATCAATTTACAACATGGCTATGGTGTGTTAGATAGCAAGTCCTAGAAGGACTGAGGGTAGGGTTTTCTGCACAGCAGCCCCCCAGGGCTGTGGGTACCACAGGCATTCACTCAGGGGTGGGAGTCAGAAGAGCGGGGAGTGTCAGGGGCCAGATTTTGGCCACAGCCCTGCTGTGAGCTTGCCTTGTGACTTTGGGCAACTTCTGCCTCCTCTTTGAGTCCCAGTTTTGGCAATGTTAAGGAGAGATGGTTGAGATTCATCTCTAAGGGGCAGTGTAAGTCTGAAGAGTCTGAAAGTTAAAAACAACACGATTGGCCCACTCTCCTCATTTTCCTCTCATTCCCCGACTCCCACCACTCCCCTTACACCACCCATGTCCCTAGCACTGATGGCCTGCACTTTGCCAACCCCAGGAACACTGAGAGCTAGCCACTCCCTTAGCCATGTTCTTCTTGGCATCTGGGATGCCACATTCCCTTGGCTTGCCCCCTCTCCACTACTGCTCAGCTGGGTCTCCCCTGCTGGGTCCTCCTCCTCCTCCTGGCCTCTGCTTGCTGAAGGGCTCCAGCCCCAGGACCACTGCTCTTCTCCACCCACATTGCCCGCCAGGGCTGCTCGCTGTGAGTGCCATCTAAATACTGATGACTCCTGGAGTTTTGTCCTCAGGCTAACTCTTGACTCACACATCCAGCTCCTGACTCAACACCTCTGCTCGGCTATCTAAGAGCATCCCAAGCCTAACACAGCCTAAGCCAAAGATCCATGCATCATGCTTGACTCTGTTCTTACCCTCACACCCGACATCAGCAAGTCCTTGCAGCTTCACCTTAAAATATGCATTCTTGATCTAATCATAATCAAAATCTCTACCATTGCCACCCTAGGTTGGCTGCATCTCTTGCTTGGATTATTGCCAGAGGCTTCTGGTTCCTCTCCTTACTTCCACCCCAGTGTGCCCTGTCACCTGTTCTCCACAGGACAGCCAGAGTGGCCCTTTGAAAATGTAAATCTTGGCCGGGCGCGGTGGCTCACGCCTGTAATCCCAGCACTCTGGGAGGCTGAGGCAGGTGGATCACGAGGTCAGGAGTTCAAGACCAGCCTGGCCAAGATGGTGAAACCCCGTCTCTACTAAAAAAAAAATACAAAAATTAGCCAGGTGTGGTGGCAGGCGTCTGTAATCCCAGCTACTCGGGAGGCTGAGGCAGGAGAATTGCTTGAACCCAGGGGGAGAGGTTGCAGTGAGCTGAGATTGTGCCACTGCACTCCAGCCTGGGAAACAGACTGAGACTCCATTTCAAAAAAAAAAAAAAAGAAAATGTAAATCTTATCATGTTCCTCTCCTTTGAAACCCCAGGGACTTTCAATCACTTTCCAAATAACTTCGGAGTCTTCCCCATGGCCTCCAGGCCCTTGGCAATCTGGCCCCGGGCACCAAGTGACTTCGCCTGCTGTCCCTCTTTGGGCTCCAGCCACTCTGACCTGGGCCAGGGCTTTCTGCCATAGGGCCCTAACGCTCACTGTTCCTTCTGCTTGGATTATGCATTCTCAAAATATCTGCACTCTTTCTCCCTCACTTCATTGTGGTCTCTCCTGAGCTATCACCTCATCAGAAAGGCTCTCCCTGACCTTTTTATCTAAAATACCCTGTGTCCTGGCATCCAGCAATCCCACTTGTTGGTATAATCCCTACAGAAATGCCCGTACATCTGCCATATGCACATAGAGCCACTAAAGATGCATACAGCAGCCCTGTTCATAACAGCACAAAAGAGAAACAAGTCAAATGTTCATCAAAAGTAGAATGAACAAATACATTTGGTTTATTCAAACAATGGAATGCTATGTGGCAATGAAAAAGCAATTTAATTCCATACAACAATACAGAGGAGTCTCAGGAATATCTTGTTGTAGGAAAGGAGAAAGTTCCTAAATATTCATGCAGTCTGGCTCCATTTATTTGAAGGCCAAAGCTTGCAATACTAAGCAACATATTGACTACAGGTGCAGACATGCATGGCAACACGCTAAGGGAAAGCAAGGGAAAGGTAAACACAAACTTCAGGTGAGTGGTCGTTTCCCAGGGGGAGGCAACATGATGGGTTAGCAAGAAACACAAAGGGATTTCAAAGTTAATGACAAATTCCATGCCCCTCACCCTTTCTAAGCTGGGTATTTTCATAATGAATTCTGATAAATTAATTTTGTACCACCTCAATATTTAACAGAAATAATGAATCAGGGTAGGTTAAACTGTGGCAATCAGTAGAGCCTCCTGCCTCCCATCAGGAGCTTAAACACAAAAGGCCTATTCCTTTCTGCACACAGCAGTCCAGGGTGGAGTCCAGGCCTCTGATGGTTCCGCTCCACACACTCATCCAGGGATCCAGGTACCATCTTCCACACGTGGCTTCCAAGGCTGCCTGGGCGGCAGCAGCCCACTCAACCAGCAGGGACAGGGGAAGTCCCTCACAGCCGAGACTGCTTTTCCAGGGACTATGGCAGCCTGGAGGGCAGGGATTGCTACTCAGAGGGGAGGAGGGCCTCTTCCTCTTGGCTTCACTGCAGACTCTCCTCAAACTTCACCTCCTCAGGCAGCCTATGATGGGCCAGCCTAGAAGGGCACATGGCACACTTTCTGTTGTTCCACTGTGGGGTGGGTGACATGGCCACATTGAAGTGCAAGGGAGACTGGGACATGAGGCCTCGTAGCCTGCTTAGGCAGAAGGAAAGATGGGTTTTGGAAACAGCTAGTTGCTTCTACCTCAAACATTTGAAAAAGATGTATGCTACAAATCCTGTGTATGTATACATATACATACACGCATATTACATCTACACACACGTGTGTATATGGATATGTGTATGGAGAACTGAAAGAAGAGATATCAAAATAGCCTTGGGATTCTCTTTAAAGAGTAGGATCAGGAGTGACTTTTATTTTCTCATTTTGTTTTTCTGGGTTTTTTTTTTTTTTGAGACAGGGTCTTACTCTGTCACACAGGCTGGCGTGTAGTGACATGATCTTGGCTCACTGCAACCTCTGCCTCCCAGGTTCAAGCAATCCTCCCACCTTAGCCTCCCGAGTAGCTGGGACTACAGGTGTCCACTGTCCTGGGCTTGTTTTTTTTTTTTTTTTTTCTGTAGAGACGGGGTTTTGCCATGTTGCCTAGGCTAGTCTCCAACTCCTGGGCTCAAGGGATCTGCCTACCTCGGCCTCCCAAAATGCTGGGATTACAGGTGTGAGCTACCATGCCCACCTGTATTTTCTCATTTTGTTTGCATTTTTTCAATGAATTTATACTAATATCCTCAGGGCCTCAGTTTACCTAAATGCCTGGCGGATGTGATTGTTTGGGTAACTAACTGGCTCCTTTTGGTTATTTTTAATGAATATGCAGACATCCAAAAGCTAAACTAAATTGTGTACTCAACTATTTCAAACAACTGGCTAAATAATGTAGAAAAGTAAATCATTCAGTTTTAGTACTGAATGATAACTATTTTGTGTTACTCTGTAAGATTAGTATTGAAACTATCAATCTCATGGTAATGTAAAATATAATTAGTATATTCTTATGATAAAAGGATAATAATTTTGGGAAAAAAACCTTTCAATTTGGTTATATATATATCAACTGAGTGAAAGAAGAGCAAGTTATAATTATACACACACATACATACACACACCATCATGTGCTATATGACAATTCCGTCAATGACAGACCACATACAATGGTATTCTCACAAGAGTATAGTGGAGCTGAAAAATTCCTATTACCTAGTGACATCACAGCTTTTGTAACTTCATAGTGCAACACATACCTTTTCTATGTTTAGATATACAAATACTCACCACTGTGTTACAATTGCCTATAGTTTTGTAGCTTACGATCAATAGGTTATAGCCTAGAGCCTAGGTATGTAGTAGGCTATGCCATCTACTTCATGGAAGTGAACTTTAATATTTGTGCAATGATGAAATTACCAATCACATGTCTCATAAGGTATTTCTGTCATTCAGTGATGAATGACTATATATGTGTGTGTTTATTATTGTATATGTGTGTATGTATATAGTATGTGCATAGTGTAATTTGGTGTATGTGTATATACACATATACAATAATAAATTAAACACACATATATCATCATTCATCACGTGATGGAAATACCTTACACACACACATACATACATAGCAGGCATTAATTCATTGTTGACTTATTCCACAGACGAAATTATCTTATTGTTGTATGAATAGATAAAAGAATATGTACTTACAGCCTGATAAATTCTACTTTTGGGCTTCACACACTCCATATCTTATAAACAAAGTGAATTCTTAAGTATTTCCAGATGCTTGGGTTCTCTGTACTCAGAATACAATTAATCTAAACAATGATGCAAATATATGGTAAAAGCGTTTTCATGGCAGCTGAAGAAATAGCTAAACTGAACAGCCTATAGCTACAGAAAAGGAAGTGCTCCATGCTGTGCCTTAGGGAAGGCTGGCTGGCTTGTGGCCATGGATTCACTGAGCATACCCCCACGAGGCTCCCTGTACGTGCAGGCATCCTTGGGTGCTGATAGCATGGATATGAATAAAGATGCGTATGTGCTTCTTAAGAGGCTAACAGAGTAAGAGGTAAGACAGACATGGGAACAACTGTCATGGACTGGGATGACTGAGAGGTATTGCAGAGGAGCCAGGGGGTCTGCACAAGGGCTGACACATCCTGCTATTTGTGAGCGAGGAGTGGAAGCTTCCCGGGAGAGGAAGAGGGAGGGCAATATGGGGCATAGAACATAGAAAGGCTCAGAGGCTTGCAAAACCACCATCTGCATAGAGGTGTTGGGAGTTTGAGAGATTTGGTGGCTTAACAAGGAAAAGAGATGAGACCACAAGCAGGCAGCGGCATGCACAAGCTTAACTGGGAGAGCTTGGAGTGGTCTGCAGCGGATACATGGGGAAGGGGCACATCCTCAGAGCAGGAGCTTACCTAGACAAGACATTTGCTCAGACATTACTCGAGGTGTATCTGTGAGGGTATTTCTGGATGAGATGAACATTTAATTTTGATTTGTAAACTGGGCAACGCACATTGCCCTCCCCAACATGGATGGGCCTCATCTAATCCACGGAAGGGCTGAGTAGAACAAAAGGCTAAATAAGAGGAAACTCACTCTCTCTGCCTGACTGTCATCGAGCTGGCCTTGGACTCAGCTGGAACTTACACCCCCAGCTCTCCCAGTTCTCCAGCATGCTGACTGCAGGTCGTGAGACTTCTCAGCTTCCATAACCTCATGGGTCAATTCCTTATAATAGGTCTGTCTCTCTCCCCCACTCTCTCTATAATATACATGTACATGCACACTCACACACAAACATGTATGGATATGTGTGCATACTGCACATTCATGTGCCACTTAACAATGGAAATACCTACTGAGAAATGCATCACTAGGCGATTTCATCATTGTGCGAACGAACATCACCAAGGCACTTACACAAACCTAGATGGCATAGACTACTACACACCTAGGCTCTGTGTACAGCCTACTGCTCCTAGGCTACAAACCTGCACAGCATATAACTGTACTGAATACTGTAGGCAACTGTAACATAATGGTAAGTATTTGTGCATCTAAACATGTCTAAAAATAAAAAAGTACAGTAAAAATATGGTATAAAAAATAAAAAATGGTACACCTGCACAGGGCACTTACCATGAATGGAGCTTACAGGACTGGGAGTTACCCTGGATGAGTCAGTGAGTGAGAGGTGAGTGAATGTGAAGGCCAGGACATTACTGTACACTACTGTAGACTTCAGAAACACTGTACAAGTAGGCTATACTAATTTAATTTTTTCTTTCTCAACAATACATTAAACTTAGCTTACTTTATTTTATAAATTTTTAAAACTTTTTGACTCCTGTATTACAAAGTGTTACTAACACTTAGACTAAAATACAAACATATGTACAACAGCACAAAAATATTTTCTTTCTTTATATCCTTATTCTATAATCTTTTTTTAAAAAAAAAATTAAACATTTTTTCTTAGCCTAGGCCCACACAGGGTCAGGATCATCCGTATCAGTGTCTCCACCTCCACATCCTGTCCCACTGGTAGGTCTTCAGGGGCAGTGACATGCATGGAGCTGCCATCTCTTATAACAATGTCTTCTTCTGGAACACTTCCTGAAGGACCTGCCTGAGGCCATTTTACATTAACTTTAAAAAAATATATAAGTAGGGCCGCGCGGTGGCTCACGCCTGTAATCCCAGCATTTTGGGAGGCTGAGGCGGGCAGATCACGAGGTCAGGAGATCGAGAACATCCTGGCTAACATGGTGAAACCCCATCTCTACTAAAAATACAAAAAATTAGCCATGCTTGGTGATGAGCGCCTGTAGTCCCAGCTACTTGCAAGGCTGAGGCAGGAGAATGGCGTGAACCCAGGAGGCGGCGCTTGCAGTGAGCCGAGATCGTGCCCCTGCGCTCCAGCCTGGGTGACAGAGCAAGGCTCTGTCTCAAAAAAAAAAAAAAAAAAAAAAAAAAATATATATATATATATATATATATATATATGTATATATACACGTGTATATATATATGTATATATATATATATAGAAGGCATGCACTCTAAAATGATGATAAAAAGTATAGCATAGTAAATACATAAACCCATTACATAGTCATTTGTTATCAAGTATTATGTACTGTACATAGTTGTATGTGCTAGACTTTTATACAAATGGCAGCACAGTAGATTTATTTGCAGCATCCCTGCAAATACATGACAGCTACAATGTCATTCGGTGATAGGAATTTTTCAGCTCCACTGTAACCTTATGGGACCACCATGGAATATGCAGTCGATCATTGACTTCAAAGTCATTATGTGGCACATGACTGCACACAGGACCTACATCTCCTATTGGTTCTGTTTCACCAGAGAGCCTAGACTGAGACACGTGCCCAGGTGATGTCACTCAGAAGTGGGGTCTCGGGGTCAGAGCTCTGAGGGCAGCAGCATCTCGGGGCTTTATAGACACAAGGCTCTATCTTACCAGTGGGCAGTGGATGCTGGGGAGGTTTCATGCTGGATGCAAAGCTGGCAGGCTCTCCGTGGCGAAAACTCTGCTTATAATTGGCCTATGTTTAAAACAACTGGATATGTAAAAACTTGAATTTGGGGCGGGCAGACTTTCAGCAAATGGGTCTGCAGTGAATGGGTCCACCAGCCTAGGGGCCAGGACATGGAGGCCACCTCTGGCTCATGTATACAACAGGAGGTCAGCGGGGCTGGGCTGTAGGGCGGGACCAGAGAGGACCAAAATGATAGTCCAGCGGGGGGGACTTTTAGAAAATATATAATTTCATTTCAAAGTGTCAGATGAATTTTTAAAAAACATATAAGTTGATTTTAAAGAGAAATAAATGAATTCAGTGGCTATATTCATTTCTACTCAGCCCCACTCTCTGCCATTCCCCCGATGTGTAAGCAACAGTGTTTCTACTATTGCCTCAGTGCAGGTGGGAACCTGTTGGAATAAAACGTCATGCTGCAGAAAGCCAGAGTTAACTTGCAAGTCAATCTTCTCACTGAGCCCAATCATCTTTCTAGACAGCCTAAAAAGCTACTTACTGAAATCAGCAACACCGTTAACTTCATTCACCAAAGTAAGGTCTCCTGGCCTTTAACCTTAAAATGGTTCTTAAAAAGGAATTGAAATACTGATTTTCATAAAAATATCAAAGACAGTGAAGCCAACTGTCAAAATGAATTCAGTCCTAAAAATTAAAGTATGCTTGCTGAGAGTGACAGCAGCCTTCTCATGTGGGATTTACCAGGCACTCTGCACCCTGGTTCTGAGATCTGCACGGTACTTAAGAAAGAAATCCATTCCTTTCAGTTAAATCGTTTCAGTTAAAAATTCCCGAGGCACCTTTTTAAAACTGAAATAAAACTAAATCCCAAAGACATGAGAAATAAATCACTTCATGTCTCTTGAGTGTTTTCCAATCTGGCTTCCAGGAGGAGCTTAATTTGTCACTTCTAAAGAAAGCCTTCTAGCTCTTTCCATCTTATTTTACCAGGAAGTCCACTCGCTTCCTTCCCACAGTGTCTGTGTATGCCAGGGTTAGCAGTGGAGTCTGCTGCAAGCCACCAGGGTCCAGGCCTCACACCCTGGCCAGGTCATCAAGCCCAGAGCACAGTTAGAGAGCTGGCGTGGGTGGCCAACCAGCCTACACAAATGACAGAAAAAGGCTGCTTGTCCTAGGAAATTTCCTGCTTGTTCAGATTCAATGAAATCCTGCTGGATCTCTATGTCTACAAAATAATGAGCCCCCACTCATGGAGGGATCAGAATTTGGGTGAGCAGTGCCTGCCCCGCTCTTCCCAGGTTGCCTGGTGCAGAAGGCTGGGTACCCAGGAGAAGCAGATGAGGGTGGTGACAGGGATGGGTGCAGGTGCAGAACCCACTGTGCTGTGTGAGCCTGAGGGCTGGGAGGCCCTGTCCACCCAGGAGCACTTGTCTTCCCAGGAGACTGCATCCCTCAGTGACCTGCATGCATCAGGGGGACTGTGTCCACCCAGGAACCATGTTCAAGCATTCATCAGAGATTCAGGGGGCACCTACTGTGTGCTGTTTTAATACTCAGGCACCAAACAGTTCCCTAATAAGATGACTTCAGGACAGACATCTGAAGAAATGAGGAAGGGAGTGATGTGGCTATTTGGAGGGCAGCATTCTTGGTCATTAGAACATCACGGTCAAACTGTGCCCTGGGCCTGTGTGGCTGTAGAGTCTATCGATGAGTTGGACAGGGAAGCCTGTGCCTGGAGTGTGCAGCATGGGGCCATGGTAAGGACGCAAGATTTTACCTTGGAAGAGACCAGACCATTGGCAGATTCTTAGCTGCAGAAATGTTCTCACAGTCTTTCATTTAATTAAAAGTTTTAAAATGTATCTTTCTGTGCTTGGCTTGTTTCACTTACACAATTACCTCCAGTTCCACACACGTTGCTGCAAATGACAGGGTTTTATTCTCTTTTATGTCTGGATAATTTGTACATGGTAGAATGAATGCCCAGAGCTGTGCCCAGCTGGGTGAACTTCTTCAAGTGTGCACATCACTGTAACCACTAGCATGATCAAGTAGATCACGGCTACATCAAGTTCATCACATCAGATGGCCCCATGCCCCTCCCAGCCAATCCCTCTGGCATCATTTCCTACAAAGTATCACACACATAGTAGCTTAAAACAGTGCAAATTTACTATCTCACAGTTTTGTAGGCTGGATGTCCAGTAGGCTCAGCTGGCTTCTCTGCTCTGAGTCTTACAAGGCTGAAGAGGTGTCAGCAGAGCCGTGGTCCCTCCTGGAGGCTTGAAAGAGAATTGGCTTCCAGCCTCCTTCAGGTGTGCCAGGACCCTGTTCCAGGTGGCTGGCTGTAGCACTGAGTCCCTGTTTCCTTGCAGGCTGTCAGCTGGAGGTCACTGTCAGTGTCCAGACACCACCTATGTTCCTTGGCTTGTGGCCCCTTTCTCCATCCCCAAGCCAGCAATGACTGATGGAGTCCCCTTTATACTTCAAGTCTCGGTGACCTCTTCTTCCTCTTCTCTCAGGGCCCTGTGTCTTCCTCTTTTGCTTCTAAAAGCCCTTGATATTACCTTGGGCCCACCTAGATAATCCAGGATAATCTATTTTAAAGTCACCTGATTAGCGACCTGAATTCCATCTGCAAAGTCCCTTCGCAGTGGTAACCAGAGCAGTGTTTGGCTGAATGTCAGGGAACAGGAATCTTGAGGGACATCTGTAGAATCTTGTCTTCTACATGGCCCCTGTGCTCTTGAGCTCCATATAAATGGAATCATGCAGTAAGTGTCTTCCGTGTCTCTCCTGGTGTGCTCAGAATAAGGTCTCTAGTTTCATCTGTGTTGCAGCATGCATCAGTAGTTCACTGCTTTTAACCATTGAGTACTATCTACTGTGCGGATGCGCTGCAGTGAATTCACCTATTCACTCGCTGAGGGATATGTGCGTTACTTCTAGGTTTGTGTGATTATAAGTAAAGCTGCTACGAACATTCCAGTAAGTCTTTTTGTGGACATATGTTTTCATTTTTCTTTAGTTAATATCCAAGAGTAGAATTGCTGGGTTAAGGGCTTAAATGTATTTTTAATTTTGTAAGAAACCACCAAACTGTTTCCCAAAGTGGTTTTATTATTTTGCCTTTGTAACATTGGAAAGTTCTATTTTTCCACATCATTCTAATACTTCGTATTGTCAGCATTCTTAATTTTTTTTTGTTTTGGTGGGTGTGCAGTGATATCTCATTGTGGTTCTAATTTCTATTTGCCTGATGACTAATATGAAAATTTCCTCATGTGCTTACTGGTAATTCATGTATCTTCTTCTTTTCTGTTTTTAAGTCTTTTGCTCACTTTTCTATTGTTTGTATTTTTATAATTAATTTGTGGTTGTAATTTATTCATTCTAGATACAAGTGCTCTATCAGATACATGTTTTATGAATATTATTTCCCAGTTTGTGGCTTACCTATTTATTTTATTTTATTTATTAAGACATGGTTTTACTCTATTACCCAGGCTGGAGTGCAGTGGCATGATCTTAGCTCACTGAAACCTCTGCTTCCCGGGCTCAAGTAATCCTCCTGCCTCAGCCTCCCAAGTAGCTGGGACCACAGGTGCATGCTATCATACCTGGCTAGTTTTTTTTCTTTTTTTTGTAGAGACAGAGTTTTGCCATGTTGCCCAGGCTGGTCTGGAATTCCTAAGCTCAAGTAATCTGCCGGCCTTGGCCTCTGAAAGTGCTGGGATTATAGGTGTGAGCCACTGTACCCAGCCTATTTATTTTAAGTGTCTTTTGATGAACCAAAATTTTTTGTTTTGGTGAAATTCAATTCATCATTTGTCTTCCTTTCCATAGCCCTTTTTTGGCCTCTCTAAAACATGTTTGCCAACTCCAAGTTCATGAAGATTTTCCCTCCATGCCTTCTTCTAGAAGCTTTTTAGGTTTTGTTTTTACATTTAGGCCTAACCTGCCTTGAAGTAATTCGTATGCATGGTAGGAGGCAGAGCGTCAAGGCCCTCCTTTTTTTTTTTTTAACATACCATTTTACAGTTGTTTCAGCACCTTTGTTGAAAAGACTTTCCTTTCTTCCCCTTGCCCTTGGTGCAGGCCTCTCTCTGGACTCCATCCTGTTCTGGGATACACGGTCTCTGTGTATGCTCATATTACCCAATCACTTTAGCTGGAAGTCAGGGCCTGCAAGCCCTCCAGCTCTCTTCTGGAGGACTGTCCTCCCCTAGGTCCTCAGAGATTCAGTACAACCCCAATCAGCTTCCAGCAGTACCCCACCCTGCCCAGCCCTTCTTGTTTTTGGAGAAACTGAATGACTTCTATTTTATATTTGGCTCTGGCTGCTGTCTGAAAAGTAGAAGCAGTGGGCAAGGCAAGGGGCATAGAGCCTGGGCTGTGGACCCCCATAGAGGGGCTGCTGGGCTTCTGAGGGGAGCCAGCAGGATTTCTGATGACCGGCTGTGGGTGTGAGTAAAAGCAGTGGGAACTTTCGAGTTTTCAGACAGGAAGAGCAGCGTGTTTCCAGTCCCCTGTGGCCAGGGCTGAGATGGGCTGAGTGGCCCTGGAGGTTTATATGATGGCCAAGGGAGCCTGGTCCGGGAGAGCCTGGGAGTTCTGTGGTGGTGATGTTGCCCCTAGGTTAGGGGAGGCTCTGGCTCTCCGCTCGCAGTCAGCCAGCGAAGTTCCACCTATTTGACATGTGGGCACGCCCTAAGATTTCAGTTGAAAACTATATTCAGATTGATGGCAAGATGGTTGAATAAGAACAACTCCAGTGTGCAGTTCCCAGTGAGATCGACGCAGAAGGCAGGTGATTTCTGCATTTCCAACTGAGGTACAGGTTCATCTCATTGGGACTGGTTGGACAGTGGGTGCAGCCCACAGAGGGCGAGCCGAAGCAGGGCAGGGCGTCGCCTCACCCAGGAAGTACAAGGGGTCGGGGAATTCTCTCCCCTACCCAAGGGAAGCCGTGAGGGACTGAGCCTGAGGAACTATGCACACTCCGGCCCAGATACTGCACTTTTCCCATGGTCTTTGCAACCTGCAGACCAGGAGATTCCTTCCAGTGCCTATGTCACCAGGGCCCTGGGTTTCAAGCACAAAACTGGGCAGCCGTTCAGGCAGACACCAAACTAGTTGCAGGAGGTTTTTTTTTCCATACCCCAGTGGTGCCTGGAACACCAGAGAGACAGAACAGTTCACTCTCCTGGAGATGGGGCTGAAGTCAGGAAGCCAAGTGGTCTGGCTCAGTGGGTCCCACCCCCATGGAGCCCAGCAAACTAAGATGCACTGGCTTGAAATTCTCGCTGCTAGCACAGCAGTCTGAGGTCGACCTGGGGCACTTGAGCTTGGTAGGGGGAGGGGCGTCTGCCATTGCTGAGGCTTGAGTAGGTGGTTTTACCCTCACAGTGTAAACAAAGCCGCAGGGAAGTTCGAACTGGGTGGAGCCCATCACAGCTCAGCAAGGCCGCCGTGGCCAGACTGCCTCTGGACTCCTCCTCTCTGGGCAGGGCATCTCTAAAAAAAAAGGCAGCAGCCCCAGTCAGGGACTTATAGATAAAACTCCCATCTCCCTGGGACAGAGCACCTGGGGGAAGGGGTGGCTGTGGGCGCAGCTTCAGCAGACTTAAATATCCCTGCCTGACGGCTCTGAAGAGAGCAGTGGACCTCCCAGCACAGCGTTTGAGTTCTGCTAAGGGTCAGACTGCCTCTTCAAGTGGGTCCCTGACCCCTGTGTATCCTGACTGGGAGACACCTCCCAGGAGGGGCCAACAGACACCTCATACAGGAGAGCTCTGGCTGGCATCTGGTGGATGCCCCTCTGGGAGGAAGCTTCCAAAGGAAAGAACAGGCAGCAATCTTTGCTATTCTGCAGCCTCTGCTGGTAATACCCAGGCAAACAGGGTCTGGAGTGGACCTCCAGCAAACTCCAGCAGGCCTGCAGCAGAGGGGCCTGACTGTCAGAAGGAAAACTAACAAACAGAAAGGAATAGCACATTCACTCAGAGATCCCATCCAAAGGTCACCAACATCAAAGACCAAAGGTAGATAAATCCATGAAGATGGGGAGAAACCAGCGCAAAAAGGCTGAAAATTCCAAAAACCAGAACGCCTCTTCTCCTCCAAAGGATCACAACTCCTCGCCAGCAAGGGAACAAAACTGGACAGAGAATGAGTTTGGCAAATTGACAGAGGTAGGCTTCAGAAAGTGGGTAATAACAAACCCCTCTGAGCTAAAGGAACATATTCTAACCCAATGCAAGGAAGCTAAGAACCTTGAAAAAAGGTTAGACGAATTGCTAACTAGAATAACTGGTTTAGAGAAGAACATAAATGACCTGATGGAGTTGAAAAACACAGCACAAGAACTTCGTGAAGCATACACAAATATCAATAGCCGAGTCGATCAAGCGGAAGAAAGGATATCAGAGATTGAAGATCAAATTAATGAAATAAAGCAAGAAGACAGGATTAGAGAAAAAAGAATGAAAAGGAATGAACAAAGCCTCCAAGAAATATGGGGTTATGTGAAAAGACCAAATCTACATTTGACTGATATACCTGAAAGTGATGGGGAGAATGGAACCAAGATGGAAAACACTCTTCAGGATATTATCTAGGAGAACTTCCCCAACCTAGCAAGGCAGGCCAACATTCAAATTCAGGAAATACAGAGAACACCACAAAGATACTCCTCGAGAAGAGCATCCCCAAGACACATAATCCCAAGATACATAATCGTCAGATTCACCAAGGTTGAAATGCAGGAAAAACTGTTAAGGGCAGCCAGAGAGAAAGGCCAGGTTACCCACAAAGGGAAGCCCATCAGACTAACAGTGGATCTTTCTGCAGAAACCCTACTCAACACAACCCAGAATTTCATATCCAGCCCAACTAAGCTTCATAAGTGAAGGAGAAATAAAATCCTTTACAGACAGGCAAATGCTGAGAGATTTTGTGACCACCAGGCCTGCCTTACAAGAGCTCCTGAAGGAAGCACTAAACATGGAAAGGAACAGCCGGTACCAGCCACTGCAAAAACATACCAAATTGTAAAGACCATCAACACTATGAAGAAACTGCAGCAACCAACGAGCAAAATAACCAGCTAGCATCATAATGACAGGATCAAATTCACACATAACAATATGAACTTTAAATGTAAATGGGCTAAATGCCCTAATTAAAAGACACAGGCTGGCAAATTGGATAAAGAGTCAAGACCCATCAGTGTGCTGTATTCAGAAGACCCATCTCACATGCAAAGACACACACAGACTCAAAATAAAGGGATGGAGGAATATTTATCAACAAATGGAAAGCAAAAAAAAGCAGGGGTTGCAATCCTAGTCTCTGATAAAACAGACTTTAAACCAACAAAGATCAAAAGAGACAAAGAAGGGCATTACATAGTGGTAAAGTGATCAAGGCAACAAGAAGAGCTAACTATCCTAAATATATATGCACCTAATACAGGAGCACTCAGATTCACAAAGCAAGTTCTTAGAGACCTACAAAGAGACTCAGACTCCCACACAATAACAGTGGGAGACCTTAACAACCCACTGCCAATATTAGACAGATCACTGAGACAGAAAATTAACAAGGACATTCAGGACTTGAACTCAGCTCCGGACCAAGCAGACCTAATAGACACATACAGAACTCTCCACCCCAAATCGACAGAATATACATTCTTCTCGGCACCACATCGCACTTTTTCTAAAACTGACCACATAATTGGAAGTAAAACACTCCTCAGCAAATGCAAAACAATGGAAATCATAACAAACAGTCTCTCATACTACAGTGCAATCAAATTAGAACTCAGGATTAAGAAACTCACCCAAAACTGCACAACAACATGGAAACTGAACAACCTGCTCCTGAATGACTCCTGGGTAAATAATGAAATGAAGGCAGACATAAAGATGTCCTTTGAAACCAATGAGAACAGACGCAACGTACCAGAATCTCTGGGACACATTTAATGCAGTGTGTAGAGGGAAATTTATAGCACTAAATGCCCACAAGAGAAAGCAGGAAAGATCTAAAATCGACACCCTAACATCACAATTAAAAGAACTAGAGAAGTAAGAGCAAACAAATTCAAAAGCTAGCAGAAGACAAGAAAAAACTAAGATCAGAGCAGAACTGAAGGAGATAGAGACACAAAAAACCCTTTAAAAAAAATCAATGAATCCAGGAGCTAGTTTTTTGAAAAGATCAACAAAATAGACCGCTAGCCAGACTAATAAAGAAGAAAAGAGAGAAGACTCAAATACACACAATGGAAAATGATAAAGGGGATATCACCACTGATCCCACAGAAATACAAACTACCAGAGAATACTATAAACACTCCTATGCAAATAAAGTAGAAAATCTAGAAGAAACGGATAAATTCCTGGACATATACACCCTCCCAAGTCTAAGCCAGGAAGAAGTCAAATCCCTGAATAGACCAATAACAAGTTCTGAAATTGAGGCAGTAATTAATAGCCTACCAACCAAAAAAAGTCCAGGAACAGATAGATTCACAGCCGAATTCTACCAAAGGTACAAAGAGGAGCTGGTACCATTCCTTCTGAAACTATTCCAATCAATAGAAAAAGAGAGAGTCCTCTCTAACTCATTTTATGAGGCCAGCATCATCCTGATACCAAAACCTGGCAAAGACACAACAAAAAAAGAAAATTTCAGGGCAATATCTCTGATGAACATCAATGAAAAAATCCTCAATAAAATACTGGCAAACCGAATCCAGCAGCACATCAAAAAGCTTATCCACCATGATCAAGTGGGCTTCATCCCTGGGATGCAAGGCTGGTTCAACATACGCAAATCAAGAAATGTAATGCATCACATAAACAGAACCAATGACAAAAACCACATGATTATCTCAATGGATGCAGAAAAGGCCTTCGACAAAATTCAACACCCCTTCATGGTAAAAACTCTCAATAAACTAGGTATCAATGGAACATATCTCAAAATATTAAGAGCTATTTATGACAAACCCAGAGCTAACATCATACTGAATGGGCAAAAACTGGAAGCATTCCCTTTGAAAACCAGCACAAGACAAGGATGCCCTCTTCACCATTCCTATTCAACATAGTATTGGAAGTTCTAGCCAGGGTAATCAGGCAAGAGAAAGAAATAAAGGGTATTCAAATAGGAAAAGAGGAAGTCAAATTGTCTCTGTTTGTAGATAACATGATTGTATATTTAGAAAACCCCACCATTTCAGCCCTAAATCTCCTTAAGCTGATAAGTAACTTCAGCGAAATCTCGGGATACAAAATCAATGTGCAAAAATCACAAGCATTCCTATACACCAATAATAGCCAAATCATGAGTGAACTCCCATTCACAATTGCTACTAAGGGAATAAAATATCTAGTAACACAACTTACAAGGGATGTGAAGGACCTCTTCAAGGAGAAGTACAAACCACTGCTCAAGGTAATAAGAGAGGACACAAATAAATGGAAAAACATTCCATGCTCATGGATAGGAAGAAACAATATCATGAAAATGGCCATACTGCCCAAAGTAATTTATAGATTCAATGCTATCCCTATCAAGCTACCACTGACTTTCTTCACAGAATTGGAAAAAACTACTTTAAACTTCATATGGAACCAAAAAAGAGCCCACATAGCCAAGACAATCCTAAACAAAAAGAACAAAGCTGGGGGCATCACGCTACCTGACTTCAAACTGTACTACAAGGCTACAATAACCAAAACAGCATGGCACTGGTACCAAAACAGATATATAGACCAATGGAAGAGAACAGAAACCTCAGAAGTTAACACCACACTTCTACAACCATCTGATCTTTGACAAACCAGACATAAACAAGCAATGGGGAAAGGATTCCCTATTTAATAAATAGTGTTGGGAAAACTGGCTAGCCATATGCAGAAAACTGAAACTGGACCCCTTCCTTACACCTTACACAAAAATTAACTCAAGATGAATTAAAGACTTAAACGTAAGACCTAAAACCATAAAAATCCTAGAAGAAAACCTAGGGAATACCATTCAGGACATAGGCACGGGCAAAGACTTCAGGTCTAAAACACCAAAAGTAATGGCAACAAAAGCCAAAATTGACAAATGGGATCTAATTAAACTAAACAGCTTCTGCACAGCAAAAGAAACTATCATTAGAGTGAACAGGCAACCTACAGAATGGGAGAACATTTTTGTAATCTTTCCATCTAACAATGGGCTAATATCTAGAATCTACAAAGAACTTATACAAATTTACAAGAAAAAACAAACAACCCCACCAAAAAGTGGGCAAATTATATGAACAGACACTTCTCAAAAGAAGACATTTATGTGGCCAACAGACATATGAAAAAAAGCTCATCATCACTGCTCATTAGAGAAATGCAAATCAAAACCACAATGAGATACCATCTCACACCAGTTAGAATGGCGATCATTAAAAAATCAGGAAACAACAGATGCTGGAGAGGATGTGGAGAAACAGGAATACTTTTACACTGTTGGTGGGAGTGTAAATTAGTTCAACCATTGTGGAAGACAGTGTGGCGATTCCTCAAGGATCTATAACTAGAAATACCATTTGACCCAGCAATCCCATTACTGGGTATATACCCAAAGGATTATAAATCATTCTACTATAAAGACACATGGACACATATGTTTATTGTGGCACTATTCACAATAGCAAAGACTTGGAACCAGCCCAAATGTCCACCAATGATAGACTGGATAAAGAAAATGTGGCACATATACATCATGGAATACTATGCAGCCATACAAAAGGATGAGTTCATGTCCTTTGCAGGGACATGGATGAAGCCGGAAACCATCATTATCAGCAAACTAACACAAGAACAGAAAACCAAACACCGCATTTTCTCACTCATAAGTGGGAGTTGAACAATGAGAACACATGGACACACAGAGGGGAACATCACACATCGGGGCCTGTTGAGGGGTGGGGGGCCAAGGGAGGGATAGCATTAGGAGAAATACCTAATGTAGATGACGGGTTGATGGGTGCAGCAAACCACCATGGCACGTGTATACCTGTGTAACACAACTGCACATTCTGCACATTCTGCACATGTACCCCAGAGCTTAAAGTATAACAAAAAAAGAAAGAAAACTATATTCAGCTGCTTCACAAAAATACTTGCAAATAGCTGCTAGAGCAGTGCCTTTACATAAAGTGCATTAAGTTAGTAACTGGCTCATGCATGTGGCCAGAGAAGTGGGTCAGAGGACAACCTGTGGCTCCCACTCAGGAGCCCAGGGGAGGACTTCCAGGGCAGGGTGGGGTGAGAAGCTCAACAAGATGGGCAAGTGTGCTCAGGGCTTGTGGCAAAGCTGTGCCCCTCACCTCTGTGCCCTGGAGTCCAGACTGGCTATTGGACTGGAAAGGAGGTCCTGCATGAGACTCCGGGTCTAACTGAGCCACCAGGGAGCCAGAAGCTTCTACAAGCAAGAGGCACGACGAGCAGAGCAGCCCGGGAGGCACAGGGCGGAACAAAGGCTCTGCTCTGGGTGCAGTGTGGCTAGGACGCATGGCCAGGCCAGGAGAAAGTAGGGCCTTCCACAGCTGTTTGTTTCTTTGCTTTTGTATTTGATTTTAGTTTGCTTTTGATGAGATAATTTGCATTTTGGGTGGGAGTTAGAACTTACTCTCTCTGTGCTGTGTAGAATCGGTGCGTGTGGGTGTGCAGGGGGAATGGGTGGTAAATATGTTATGTGGCATGTGTGTGGCAGGTGTGTGTTGGGTTATGTGTGCACAGCCTGAGGCTCTCCATCATTCTGGCTCCCTCTATCGCAGCCACAGACATCAAGGACCCTGCATCAAAGGAATGTGGGGGCCACTCTGGACACACAGGGGTGTGCTGGGGACAGTGGCCACGCATCTGGTCACATGGGACCACAGGCATTTGGCACCTGAGTTCTCTCCTCTGAAACATCACCCTGGGCCCTCTGGGGTGGGTGGACGGCTGATTCTCCTTGGTGGCCTCTGGGCCTGCATCCTAACTGGGTAGGGCAAGGAGTGGCTCCAACTAACAGCATGGAAACTTCCCTGGCTGTGAGGGGCTTCCTATTGGGCAAAGCCATTAGGGGGCGCCTCCGTGCTCACTTTCCAATGTAGCCTGCAATCATGGAACAAATCGATTAAAGCAGAGAACAATCAGTTATTTTTTCAGACTCATTTTCTTAAATGGCTTAATCTATGCCTCAGGCCACACAGACTGTTGGTTACGTAAGCAACTCCAGTGACTGCATTCCTGTGACATCGCTACAGTGCTGCATGCAAAAGCTGGCCTCTCTACTCCTGAGCAGACTCTGCTCTTTCCACGCCCTCTCTCCAGCCACCGGGGAGACTGTGCCACTGTGCCCGTGGACAGGGAGTGACAAAGGACAGAGCTCCCATTCTAACCAGTGAACCATTTCTGCTGGAGCCTGTGGGGAAACCACAAATGCCAACATCAACAGGCCTTTCTGTATACTCTTGGAGTCCAGTTTCCATTTTAGAAGAACATTATTAAAAACAAACCTAATTTACCACAACCAAAATTAAACAGCTAGATGACCTTCAACCAATGTCTCTGGTTTGGATCCAGTGATCTGCATGTGGCCTCACATCCCCATCATAGTTGCTCTTTGCTTGCAATTTTTAGCTCAGTGTAAATGCAGAATAACCTATATTTCACATAAACAACTCTTGCTAGATATGCAGGGTTGTTGTGAAACTTTGTTTAACTATTTTACCATCTTCATGTGCAAAGCTCTGGCAGGTATGCTTTAGCCTCAGGGGAGGGAGAGACGAAGTGGTGCAGAACTGAGGTAGGTTTCAGAGGCCTCCGTTATGAACACACACGTGACCGTGCACAGAGTTAGTAGCTTGAAAAATGTTACATTCCCAACATGGGAGTCACTTCTTAGTATTGGTGGCTTTTGGAGTTGTTTAAAATAAATTAGTCAGAAATGGATGAATAACAAAGTTAACTGGATTTTTTAGTATGACTAGTAAAATGTAAACAATAGCAGATCATCTGTGTTCATGACGTTGAAAAAAATCCCTATACTGCAAATATGTACTAAGTCAGACAGTAATGGAATTACACATCCTGCACCAAATTCATCTGTGTAAACTGTAACACTACAAAGCTGATGTCAACATCTGTCACATTAACTGTCTAACGCACGACTTCTGTTTTGGAAGTCAGCAGCCCTTTATTCAATTGGCAAAACCAGATACCCTCTAGGCATTAAATGGGTAATATTTACAAACACTTTTTTTCATGTGTGAGTTAAGTAATAACATTTTATTTCAAGATTAGTTATATAATGCTGACATTATATATCATATAAATCAGTTTAGAATTCTTTCATAAAAATTTTCATACACAAAACTACTACTGTCCGCTTATTCCAGCAATGAAGTAAGTGTTTATCAGTGATAGCACAGTAAACAAATTCAAACTGCCCTGGGGAGTTTCGCTTCTGGAAATGGTGGAGTAGGTTGTTTTACAACAATACTGACACTGGAATAACTAGGAAACATGGCAAAATATAAGAAAGAGATCTGTTTGATGACATCAGAGAGTATAAAGGCAGTGAGGAATGTTAAGCTGAGAACTAGGAGAGGATTAGAGACAAGAGAGATAAACTAGCATTTGGAGTTACTTTCCCCATTGGGAATATTGCCAGTGACAAAAGCAGTGGCTGAGAGGCTGAGGAGCTGAAGAGAGCTTTTAACAAGTCTTATGGATCTGGGCAGATAGAAACTAGTACTCAGGGCCCTCAATGAAGAACAAACCTTGGCCAACACCCCAGGCTTTTGGCTGGGAACTTGAAGGGCTATACCCCAAGAGTGAGAGTAAACTAAAAACAAACTAGCCATAGTAGGGAATCAAGGCCAGCTTCAAATTACTTAAATACCTGATTGGCTTAAAGTGGCCTTGGATTACTAATGTCCTCACCCCAGTTGCCTAAAATAAGCAAACTTCACTTTCTCAGGAAAAAAAATAAAATCACCCATAGCCTAAAATTATATCTCAAAATCTTAATATATAATATCCAAGACCCAATTAAAATTACCAGTGGTCCCTTAAGATTAAAATGGAGCTGAAAAATTCCTATTGCCTAGTGATGTTGAAGGTGACATAATGTTCTAGTGCAATGTATTACCTTTTCTATATTTATATAGGATTACATGCACAAATACTTAGTATTGTGTTACAATTACCTACGGTACTGAGTGCAGTAACATGCTGTACAGGTTTGTAGCCTAGGAACAGTAGGCTATACCATATAGCCTAGGTGTGTAGTAGGCTGCACCATCTAGGTTTGTGTAAATGAACTCTGTGATGTTTGCACAATGGGGAAGTTGCCTAACAATGCATTTCTTAGAATGTATCTCATCATTAAGTGATGCATGACTGTAGTCTAAAATAATTATATTTAATATGGTAGATGTTAAAGAATTTTGGGCTGGGTGCAGTGGCTCATGCCTGTAATCCCAGCACCTTGGGAGGCTGAGGCAGGCGGATCATGAGGTCAGGAGATCGAGACCATCCTGGCCAACATGGTGAAACCCCGTCTCTACTAAAAATACAAAAATTAGCTGCGCATGGTGGCACATGCCTGTAGTCCCAGCTACTTGGGAGGCTGAGGCAGGAGAATCGCTTGAACCCGGGAGACGGAGGTTGCAGTGAGCTGAGATTGTGGCACTGCACTCCAGCCTGGAGACTGAGACTCCATCTCAAAGAAGAAAAAAAAAGAATTTTGGCAGGGAATTGAATTGAGAAACATAAAAATAAGTCCAGTCTAGAACTGAAAAATAGATGAACTAAAAATAAGAACTCGGTGCATATGGTTAAGAGCTGACTGGGCAATCAAGAAAAGAGAATAAATAAAGTGAAAGATAAGTTCAGAAGAAAATATTGTTTGAAGCAGACTTACAGACATGCAGACACACAGACACACAGTGGGAGGTGGAGGTGTGGAATGAGAGCTAAAAGCACAAGACCATACACATAAGCATGGGAAAGGGGCTTTTTGACACATGTGCACAGAAGCTCCTCAACTTGCCATGGAGTTATGTCCCAACAAACCCATCCTAAATCAAAAATACTGTAAGTGCCTATTATAAAGTTGAAAAATCGTAAGTTGAACTATCATAAGTCAGTGACCAGCTGTAGCTGAGTTCCAGAAAGGAAGAATATACAGGATGGGATAGAAGCAATATTTTAAAAGATAATGGTGGACATGAGGCAGGACTAGACTGTAGCTCCAACTTGGAAGAACAGAGCAGCGTGCGGAGGCTCGCATCATGAATTTTAGATCCAGAATGACTGCAGGAATAAACCAGGAATCTATAGACCCTCTGAAAGAAGCAGACTGCTCCTGCAGGACCTGGTAGATGCCCCAAATACTGGGAGTGCCCAAACTGCAGAAGCAGGAAAGGGAAATCCTCTGCCCCCAAACACACACTCTCACTGGGGAAACTGAAGGTCTAGTTTGTGGGAGAAGTTTCTGACCTTACCTGGAGCAGAGTCAATTTAGAGAGCTGAGCGAAATACAGGGGTAGAGGAGGCAGCGGGAAAGGCCCTGGGAGCTCACTGGGTCCCCAAGCAGGCCATTCTTGCCTGTCACCACAGGGATCGGGGGGCAGTCAGAGGCAAAGGAAAAGGAAGTCTCAAGCTGAACTTTTTAACAATTTGAACTGGGCAAGAGCCTCCTGGCCAGAACTCAGGGGAAGGCGCGAATCTGACGTGTAGCCTCCACAGGATGGGGAGGAACTAAAGCCCTTTTCTTTTGCATCTGGGAGGTGGATAGCCTGGGGTAAGTTCTCAGCTTTGCTTGCCCACTGCCAGGAAACAAACTTGGTGCCGTTAGCAGGCACACGGTGGAAGTGAGACTGGCCCTTCAGATTGTGTGGGAGCTGGGTGAGGCCTGTGACTACCGAATTGCCCCACTTCCCTGACAGCCTGCATGACTCAGCAGAGGCAGCCATAATCCTCCCAGGAACACAACTCCATTGACCTGGGAACCTCACCCCCATTCCCTACAGCAGCCGCAGCACAGCAAGACCCAACGGAGAGTCTGAGCTCAGACACGCCTAGCCCTGCCCCCCATTGATGGTCCTTCCCTACCTCCTCTGGTAGCTGAGGACAAAGGGCATATACTCTTGGGAGTTCTAGGGTCCCACCCACTGCTGGTCCCTCTCCATACTAGCACAGCTGATGCTCTCTCGAAAGCGCTACCTCCCGTCAGGAGGCCAACCGGCACAAAAACAGAACATTAAACCACCAAAGCTAAGAACGCTCACAGAGTCCATTTCACCCCCCTGCCACCTCCACTGGAACAGGTGCTGGCATCCATCGCTGAGAGACCCATAGATGCTTCACATCACAGGACTTTGTGCAGACAACCCCCAGTACCAGCCCAGAGCCGGGCAGACTTGCTGGATGGCTAGACCCAGAAGAGAGATAGCAATCACTGCAGCTCAGCTCACAGGAAAGGGGGAGAATACTACATCAAGGGAACACCCTGTGGGACAAAAGAATCTGAACAGCCTTCAGCTCTAGACCTTCCCTCTGACAGAGCCTACCAAATGAGAAGGAACCAGAAAATCAGCTCTGCTAATGTGATAAAACAAAAGCAGAAGTAGCTGTTCTTATATCAGACAAAACAAACTTTAAAGCAACAGCAGTTAAAAGAGACATGGAGGAGGGGTATTATATAATGCTAAAAAGCCTTGTCCTGGAAAACATCACAATCCTAACCATATATGCACCTAACACCGGAGCTCCCAAATCTATACAACAGGTACTAATAGATCTAAGAAATGAGATAGATGGCAACACAATAAGAGTGGGGAACTTTAATACTCCACTGACAGCGCTAGACAGGTCATCAAGACAGAAAAGTCAACAAAGAAACAATGGATTTAAACTATACCTTAGAACAAATGGACTTAACAGATATATACAGAACATTTCATCCAAGAACTGTAGAATACACATTCTATTCAACAGCACATGGGACTTTCTCCAAGATAGACCATATGATAGGCCACAAAACAAGCCTCAATAAATTTAAGAAAAATGAAATTATATATATATATATATATATATATTTTTTTTTTTTTTTTTTTTTTTGAGACGGAGTCTCACTCTGTTGCCCAGGCTGGAATGCAATGGCGCAACCTTGGCTCACTGCAAGCTCCGCCTCCCAGGTTCACGCCATTCTCCTGCCTCAGCCTCCCAAGTAGCTGGGACTACAGGCGCCCGCCACCACGCCTGGCTAATTTTTTGTATTTTTGGATTTTTAGTAGAGGCGGGGTTTCACCGTGTTAGCCAGGATGGTCTCGATCTCCTGACCTCGTGATCTGCCTGCCTCGGACTCCCAAAGTGCTGGGATTACAGGCGTGAGCCACCATGCCCGGCCAGAAAAATGAAATTATATTAAGCACTCTGTCAGACCACCCTGGAATCAAACTGGAAATCAACTCCAAAAGGAACCTTCAAAACCATGCAAACACATGGAAATTAAGTAACCTATTCCTGAATGATCATTGGGTCAAAAATGAAATCAAGATGGAAATTAAAAAATTCTTCAAGCTGAATGACAATAACGACACAACCTATCAAAATCTCTGGGATATAGCAAAGGAGGTGCTAAGAGGAAACTTCATAGCCCTACACGCCTACATCAAAAAGACTGAAAGAGCACAAACTGACATTCTCAGGTCACACCTCAAGGAACTAGAGAAACAAGAACAAACCAAAGCCAAACCCAGCAGAATAAAGGAAATAACCAAGATCAGAGCAGAACTAAATGAAGCTGAAACAAACAAACAAACAAATACAAAAGATAAATGAAACAAAAAGCTGGTTCTTTGAAAAGATAAATAAAATTGACAGACCATTAGTAAGATTAACCAAGAAAAGAAGAGAGAAAATCCAAATAACCTCATTAAGAAATGAAATGGGAGATATTACAACTGACACCACAGAAATACAAATGATCATTCAAGGCTACTATGAACATCTTTACTCACATACTAGAAAACATAGAAGAGATGGATAAATTCCTGGAAAAATACAACCCTCAGCTTAAATCAGGAAGAATTAGATACCCTGAACAGACCAATAACAAGCAGGGAGATTGAAATGGTAATTTAAAAATTACCAACAAAAAAAAGTCCAGGACCAGACGGATTCACAGCAGAATTCTACCAGACAAAGAATTGGTACCAATTCTTTTGACACTATTCCACAAGATAGAGAAAGAAGGGACCCTCCCTGATGCATTCTATGAAGCCAGCATCACCCTAATACCAAAACCAGGGAAGGACATAACCAAAAAAGAAAAACTATAGACCGATATCCTTGCTGAACAAAGATGCTAAAATCCTTAACAAAATACTAGCTAACCAAATCCAACAACATATCAAAAAGATAATCCACCATGATCAAGTGGGTTTCATACCAGGAATGCAGAAACGATTTAACATATGCAAGTTGATAAATGTGATACACCACATAAACAGAATTAAAAACAAAAATCATGTGATCATTTCAATAGATGCAGAAAAAGCATTTGACAAATCCAGCATCCTTTAAGATTAAAACTCTTGGCAAAATCAGCAACAAGAGACATACCTCAATGTAATAAAAGCCATCTATGACAAACCCACAGCCAACATAATACTGAATGGGAAAAGTTGAAAGCATTCCCTCTGAGAACTGGAACAAGACAAGGATGCCCACTCTCACTACTCTTCTTCAACATAGTACTGGAAGTCCTAGCCAGGGCAATCAGACAAGAGAAAGAAATAAAAGGCATCCAAATCGGTGATGAGGAAGTCAAACTGTCAATGTTGGCTAACAATATGATTGTTTACCTTGAAAACCCTGAAGACTCCTCCAGAAAGCTCCTAGAACTGCTAAAAGAATTCACCAGTTTCTGGATACAAGATTAATGTACACAAATTGGTAACTCTTCTATATACCAAGAGTGACCAAGCGGATAATCAAATCAAGAACTCAACCCCTTTTACAATAGCTGCAAAAAAATAAAATACCTAGGAATATACCTAACTGAGGAGGAGAAAGACCTCTACAAAGAAAACTACAAAACCCTGGTGAAATAAATCATAGATGACACAAACAAATGGAAACACGTCCCATGCTCATGGATAGGTAGACTCAATATTGAGAAAATGACCATACTGCCAAAAGCAATCTACAAATTCAACACAATTCCCATCAAAATACCATCGTCATTCTTCACAGAATTAGAAAAAACAATTCTAAAATTCATATGGAACCAAAAAAGAGCCTGCATAGCCAAAGTAAGACTAAGCAAAAAGAACAAATCTGGAGGCATCACACTACCTGATTTCAAACTATACTTTAAGGCCATAGTCACCAAAACAGCATGGTACTGGTACAAAAGTAGGCACATAGACCAATGGAACAGAATAGAGTACCCAGCAATAAGCCCAAATACTTACAGCCAACTGATCTTTGACAAAGCAAACAAAAACATAAAGTGGGGAAAGGACACCCTTTTCAACAAATGGTGCTGCGATAACTGGCTAGCCACATGTAGGAGAATGAAACAGGATCCTCATCTCTCACCTTTTACAAAAATCAACTCAAGAGGGATTAATGACTTATATATAAGACCTGAAACTATAAAAATTCTAGAAGATAACATTGGAAAACCCCTTCTAGACATTGGCTTAGGCAAGGATTTCATGAGCAAGAACCCAAAAGCAAATGCAATAAAAACAAAGATAAATAGCTGGAACTTAATTAAACTAAAGAGCTTTTGCATGGTAAAAGGAACAGCCAGCAGAGTAAACAGACAACCTCCAGAGTGGGAGAAAATCTTCACAATCTATACATTTGAGAAAGGACTAATATCCAGAATCTAGAACCCAAACTCAAACAAATCAGCAAGAAAAAAACAAACAATCCCGTCAAAAAGTGGGCTAAGGACATGAACAGACAATTCTCAAAAGAAGATATACAAATGGCCAACAAACATATGAAAAAATGCTCTACATCATTAATGATCAGGGAAATGGAAATCAAAACCACAATGTGATACCACCTTACTCCTGTAAGAATGGCCATAATAAAAAAATCAAAAAACAGTAGATTGAGGCATGGATGCAGTGATCAGGGAACACTTCTACTGCTGGTGGGAATGTAAACTAGTACAACCACTATGGAAAACAGTATGGAGATTCCTTAAAGAACTAGAACTACCATTTGATCTAGCAATCTCACTACTGGGTATCCACCTAGAGGAAAAGAAGTTATTATATGAAAAAGACACTTGTACATGCATGTTTGTGGCTGCACAATTCACAACTGCAAAATCGTGGAACCAACCCAAATGTCCATCAATCAATGAGTAGATAAAGAAACTGTGGTGTATATATATATGTATACACAATGGAATATTACTCAGCCATAAAAGGGAATGAATCAAAGGCATTCGCAGCAACCTGGATAAGATTGGAGACTATTACTCTAAGTGAAGTAACTCAGGAATGAAAAACCAAACATCATATGTTCTCACTGATATGTAGGAGCTAAGCTAAGAGGACACAAAGGCATAGGAATGATACAATGGACTTGTGGACTTGGGGGAAGAATGGGAGGAGGGCAAGGGAAAAAAGACTACAAATAGGGTGCAGTGTATTACTGCTCAGGTGATGGGTGCACCAAAATCTCACAGATCACCACTAAAGAACTTACTCATGTAACCGAACACGACCTGCACCCCAATAACCTATGGAAAAATAGAAAAAAAAAGACAATGACTGAGAATTTTCTAAAATTAGTGAAAGATATCAAGCCACAGATCCAGAAGTGGTATGAACCCCAAGGAGCATAAATATAAGAAAAATGCAAGTCTGCATGTTATAATAAAACTGCTGAAAACCTATGATAAAGGAAAATATTTTAGAAACAGTATAAGAAAAAAGACTACCTTGACTTTTAAATGGAAATAATAAAGGCCAGAAGAAAATGGAATATCTTCAGAGTTCAAAAATAAGTAAATACATACATAAATGCCAGTCTACAGTCCTATATCTTGTAAAATTATTCTTTAAAAGCAGATGCAAAATAAAAAAAAATTTCAGACACTTATCACCAGGGGACCACACTATAGAAAATACTAAAAGGTGTTCTTTAGGTAGAAGGAAATAATCTCAGATTGAAGCTCAGAGCTACAGGAAAAAATAAAGAACAACGGAAAATCATTATAGCCAAGTGGGTATTGACCCTATAGAAAATAACGTTGCCCTACGGAATTTGAAAGAGAATCAAATTATGGGACAATATTAATATACAAGGCAGAAGGGGCTAAATGGTGTTCAGAAGTACTAAGTTCCTTGAATTGTCCAAAGTATGGTACAAGTACTATTTTAAGGGAAACTCGATAGTCAAGGATGTATATCGTAACCTCTATCGTAACTACCAAAAGAATAGTAAAGGAATGTACCGGGAAGAAGCTAATAGAATAGAACATTAATAAATACTTTGATTTATACAAAATTATGCAGGAAAGATGAAAAAGGAAATGACAGGGCAAACAAAAGCAAATAATGAGATGTTAGATCTATAACCAACTAGATCAGTTATCACATCCAATGTAGGTAAACTAAAATGCTTCAAGTAAAAAACAGATGATCAGACTGGATTTAAAAAACCTTAATTTTACATTGCTTACATCTGAATCACAAACTGTCACAAAGGTTGAAAGTAGAATGATTTTAAAAATATATCATGCAAACACTAATCAAAAGAGCTAATGTAGAAAAACCAATGTCAGACAAGTTGACGTTAATGAAAATAAAACTTTAGTAATGACAGAAAAAAGTTTATAATAAAATATCAGTCCTACAGGAAGCTATGACAAGTCTATTCTTAACTTCAAATTATATAAAGGAAAAATCGACAGAAAATAAAGAGAAATATACAAGTCCACGATCATAGTTGGAGGTTTTAACAAAGTGCTGTCAGTAGCTGATAGAACAAGCAGACAAAAATAATCAGTATGGATTTAAATCACATGAAAAATACGATCCAATTAACATATACAGATCACTGCACCAAGAATCACAAAATCCACTTTTTGTTTCTTTGTGAACATGGAACGTTTACCAAAATTGATCATATGCTAGGCCATAAAGCAAGTCCCAAATTTCAAAAGGCTGAAATCATTCAGACTCTCTTCTCTGACCAACTGGAAGAGGACAGGGAATTGTAGGGGACTGGCTGTGCCACCGTGCCCAGGTGACCTTCCAGGTACCAACAGAGACCCCACAGGCACAGGCTTCAACCGCGGTCTGAGTCTTGGCAGAATGCCTTGGGATCCTTCTGGCACAGGGGCAGATGGGAGGTCTGTCAGGCACTGCTCTGAGGACATCTCTCCCTCACCTTCTCTCTCCCCTGCAAGGCAGTCATCAGACAGCTCCACCTGGCCTCACTGTTCTGATGAGGTATGGGCCTTTCTTCTCCCACCCCCTCAGGATGGTAGACATGAATGAAAATAAAACTGTAATAAAGCGGTGAAACCTCTTAGCTGCAGCGCAGAACAGGCTCCCCAGCAATGGGGTCTTGCACAACTCATGCAGCACTCCATCCCTTTTGTTTCAGTGTCATGCTTTCTGGCATGTGAAACAAGGACCTGGGAGCTGGCACCTTGGCTACTCTCTCCTTTGCTGTCTATGTAAGTAATAAACCGTCTGCATCTAAAACTGGCCTGTCGCATCCTTACTGGTTGAATCAGGCAGACCTTGCTCTTGCCTTGTCTGGTGTGTGCGCTTGACAGAAATCAATAACAGAAAGAGAAGTGGAAAATCCTTACATGCTGAGGAATTAACTGGAAATGTATAACCATTTATATATATATGTGAAAAGAAGAGGCTGGGCCTCAACAATCTAAGTTGGGGGTTTGCAAATTATGACCCATGGGCCAATTCCACTCTGCCCCTGTTTTTGTACAATGCATAAACTAAGAATAGCTTTTACATTTTACTTTTATTCATTTATTTGAGACAGAGTCTTGCTCTGTCTCCAAGCTGGAGTGCAGTGGCGCAATCTTGGCTCACTGAAACCTCCACCTCCCAGGCTCAAGCGATTCTCCTGCCTCAGCCTCCCGAGTACTGGGATTACAGACAACCACCACTGTGCCTGGCTAATTTTTGTATTTTCAGTAGAGACGGGGTTTCACCTTGTTGGCCAGGCTGGTCTTGAACTCCTGACCTCAGGTGATCTGCCCACCTCGGCCTCCCAAAGTGCTGGGATTACAGGCATGAGCCACCGTGCCCAACCAGCTTTTACATTTTAAGTTTAAAAGAAAGAATATGTGACAGGAAGCATGTGTAGCTTGCAAAGCCCAAAGTACTTACTATCTGTCCTGCCATGGAAAGAAGTTTGCCAACCCCTGATCTGAGTACCGATCTCAAACAGTTTTAAGAAATAGCAAATTTAACCAACAAATAAAGAAGGAAAAAAGGAGAAACAACAAGACCAAGAAAAGAACTCACAAATGCTGAGAGGGTAGATCTACAACCAAATATATCAAACATTTATGAGGATAACATCAGATTTTAATGGAACAGACGACAAATGATAAAGAGAATCGATGAAGCCAAAAAATGGTTCTTTGGAAAGACTTAGAATAATCGATAACTTGGCCGGGTGCAGTGGCTCACGCCTGTAATCCCAGCACTTTGGGAGGCCGAGGTGGATGGATCACGAGGTCAAGAGATTGAGACCATCCTGACCAACATGGTGAAACCCCGTCTCTACTAAAAATACAAAAATTAGCTGGCCGTGGTGGCAGGTGCCTGTAGTCCCAGCTACTTGGGAGGCTGAGGCAGAAGAATTGCTTGAACCCGGGAGACAGAGGTTGCAGTGAGCCCAGACTGTGCCACTGCACTCCCCTGGTGACAGAGTGAGACTCCATGTCAAAAAAAAAAGAAAAAAAGATAACTGATAACTCTGGCAAGACTTATATACATTTATATCTATGTGTCTATGTGCAAAAGAAGGCAGATACACAGGAATATATACTGCATGATTCCATGTATACAAAGCTTAAGCACAGGAAAGACTAACCTAAGGTGTTAGAAGTCATGACTGTAGTTCTAGTTACCTCTGGGGAGAAAGAAGGTGCAGTGATAGGAAGAGGGAAGGAAAGAGATTTCTGGCTGCTGATAGTCACAGTTTGATTTGATTTCCTTTTTTATTTTTATTTTATTATTTTTTAATTTTTTTATTATACTTTAAGTTCTAGGGTACATGTGCACAACATGCAGGTTTGTTACATATGTATACATGTGCCATGTTGGTGTGCTGCACCCATTAATTCGTCATTCACATTACGCATATCTCCTAATGCTATCCCTGCCCCCTCCGCCCACCCCAAAACAGGCCCTGGTGTGTGATGTTCCCCTTCCTGTGTCCAAGTGTTCTCATTGTTCAATTCCCACCTATGAGTGAGAACATGCGGTGTTTGGTTTTTTGTTCTTGTGATAGTTTGCTGAGAATGATGGTTTCCAGTTTCATCCATGTCCCTACAAAGGACATGAACTCATCATTTTTTATGGCTGCATAGTATTCCATGGTGTATATGTGCCACATTTTCTTAATCCAGTCTATCATTGATGGACATTTGGGTTGGTTCCAAGTCTTTGCTATTGTGAATAGTGCCTCAATAAACATACATGTGCATGTGTCTTTATAGCAGCATGATTTATAATCCTTTGGGTATATACCCAGTAATGGGATGGCTAGGTCAAATGGTATTTCCAGTTCTAAATACCTGAGGAATCGCCACACTGTCTTCCACAATGGTTGAACTAGTTTACAGTCCAACCAACAATGTAAAAGTGTTCCTATTTCTCCACATCCTCTCCAGCATCTGTTGTTTCCTGACTTTTTAATGATTGCCATTCTAACTGGTGTGAGATGGTATCTCGTTGTGGTTTTGATTTGCATTTCTCTGATGGCCAATGATGATGAGCATTTTTTCATGTGTCTGTTGGCTGCATAAATGTCTTCTTTTGAGAAGCGTCTGTTCATATCCTTTGCCCACTTGTTGATGGGGTTGTTTTTTTCTTTTAAATTTGTTCGAGTTCTTTGTAGATTCTGGATATTAGCCCTTTGTCAGATAAGTAAATTGCAAAAATTTTCTCCCAATCTGTATGTTGCCTGTTCACTCTGATGGTAGTTTCTTTTGCTGTGCAGAAGCCCTTTAGTTTAATTAGATCCCATTTGTCAATGTTGGCTTTTGTTGCCATTGCTTTTGGTGTTTTAGAGATGAGTCCTTGCCCATGCCTATGTCCTGAATGGTATTGCCTAGGTTTTCTTCTAGGGTTTTTATGGTTTTAGGTCTAATGTTTAAGTCTTTAATCCATCTTGAATTAATTTTTGTATAAGGTGTAAGGAAGAGATCCAGTTTCAGCTTTCTACATATGGCTAGCCAGTTTTCCCAGCACCATTTGTTAAATAGGGAATCCTTTCCCCATTTCTTGTTTTTGTCAGGCTTGTCAAAGATCAGATGGTTGTAGATGTGTGGTATTATTTCTGAGGGCTCTGTTCTGCTCCATTGATCTATATCTCTGTTTTGGTACCAGTACCATGCTGTTTTGGTTACTGCAACCTTGTAGTATGGTTTGAAGTCAGGTAGGGTGATGCCTCCAGCTTTGTTCTTTTGGCTTAGGATTGACTTGGCAATGCGGGCTCTTTTTTGGTTCCATATCAACTTTAAAGTAGTTTTTTCCAATTCTGTGAAGAAAGTCACTGGTAGCTTGATGGGGATGGCATTGAATCTATAAATTACCTTGGGCAGTATGGCCATTTGACGATATTGATTCTTCCTATCCATGAGCATGGAATGTTCTTCCATTTGTTTGTATCCTCTTTTATTTCATTGAGTGGTTTGTAGTTCTCCCTGAAGAGGTCCTTCACATCCCTTGTAAGTTGGATTCCTAGGTATTTTATTCTCTTTGAAGCAATTGTGAATGGGAGTTCACTCATGATTTGGCTCTCTGTCTGTTATTGGTGCATAAGAATGCTTGTGATTTTTACACATTGATTTTGTATCCTGAGACTTTGCTGAAGTTGCTTATCAGCTTAAGGAGATTTTGGGCTGAGACAATGGGGTTTTCTAGATATACAATCATGTCATCTGCAAACAGGGACAATTTGACTTCCTCTTTTCCTAATTGAATACCCTTTATTTCTTTCTCCTGCCTGACTGCCCTGGCCAGAACTTCCAACACTATGTTGAATAGGAATGGTGAGAGAGGGCATCCCTGTCTGTGCCAGTTTTCAAAGGGAATGCTTCCAGTTTTTGCCCATTCAGTATGATATTGGCTGTGGGTCTGTAATAGATAGCTCTTATTATTTCGAGATATGTCCCATCAATACCTAATTTATTGAGAGTTTTTAGCATCAAGGGTTGTTGAATTTTGTCAAAGGCCTTTTCTGCATCTATTGAGATAATCACATGGTTTTTGTCTTTGGTTCTGTTTATATGCTGGATTACATTTATTGATTTGTGTATGTTGAACCAGCCTTGCATCCCAGGGATGAAGCCCACTTGATCATGGTGGACAAGCTTTTTGAGGTGCTGCTGGATTCGGTCTGCCAGTATTTTATTGAGGATTTTTGCATCGATGTTCATCAGGGATATTAGTCTAAAATTCTCTTTTTTGTGTGTGTCTCTGCCAGGCTTTGGTATCAGGATGATGCTGGCCTCATAAAATGAGTTAGGAAGGATTCCCTCTTTTTCTATTGATTGGAATAGTTTCAGAAGGAATGGTACCAGCTCCTCCTTTTACCTCTGGTAGAATTCGGCTGTGAATCTGTCTGGTCCTGGACTTTTTTTGGTTGGTAGGCTATTCATTATTGCCTCAATTTCAGAGACTGTTATTGGTCTATTCAGAGATTCAACTTCTTCCTGGTTTAGTCTTGGGAGGGTGTATGTGTCCAGGAATTTATCCATTTCTTCTAGATTTTCTAGTTTATTTGTGTAGAGGTGTTTATAGTATTCTCTGATGGTAGTTTGTATTTCTGTGGGATCGGTGGTGATATCCCCTTTATCATTTTTTATTGTGTCTATTTGATTCTTCTCTCTTTCTTCTTTATTAGTCTTGCTAGCAGTCTATCAATTTTGTTGATCCTTTCAAAAAACCAGCTCCTGGATTCATTAATTTTTTGAAGGGTTTTTTGTGTCTCTATTTCCTTCAGTTCTGCTCTGATTTTAGTTATTTCTTGCCTTCTGCTAGCTTTTGAATGTGTTTGCTCTTGCTTTTCTAGTTCTTTTAACTGTGACGTTAGGGTGTCGATTTTGGATCTTTCCTGCTTTCTCTTGTGGGCATTTAGTGCTATAAATTTCCCTCCACACACCGCTTTGAATGTGTCCCAGAGATTCTGGTATGTTGTGTCTTTGTTCTCGTTGGTTTCAAAGAACATCTTTATTTCTGCCTTCATTTCGTGATGTACCCAGTAGTCATTCAGGAGCAGGTTGTTCAGTTTCCATGTAGTTGAGCGGTTTTGAGAGAGTTTCTTAGTCCTGAGTACTAGTTTGATTGCACTGTGGTCTGAGAAACAGTTTGCTATAATTTCTGTTTTTTTACATTTGCTGAGGAGTGTTTTACTTCCAATTACGTGGTCAATTTTGGAATAAGTGTGACGTGGTGCTGAGAAGAATGTATATTCTGTCGATTTGGGGTGGAAAGTTCTGTAGATGTCTACTAGGTCTGCCTGCTGCAGAGCTGAGTTCAATTCCTGGATATCCTAGTTAACTTTCTGTTTCGTTGATCTGTCTATCGTTGACAGTGGGGTGTTAAAGTCTCCCATTATTATTGTGTGGGAGTCTAAGTCTCTTTGTAGGTCTCTAAGGACTTGCTTTATGAATCTGGGTGCTCCTGTATTGGGTGCATATATATTTAGGATAGTTAGCTTTTCTTGCTGAATTGATCCCTTTACCATTATGTAATGGCCTTGTCTCTTTTGATCTTTGTTGGTTTAAAGTCTGTTTTATCAGAGACTAGGATTGCAACCCCTACCTTTTTTTTTGTTTTCCATTTGCTTGGTAGATCTTCCTCCATCCCTTTATTTTGAGCCTATTTGTGTCTCTGCATGTGAGATGGATTTCCTGAATACAGCACACTGATGTCTCTTGACTCTTTATCCTATTTGCCAGTCCGTGTCTTTTAATTGGAGCATTTAGCCCATTTACATTTAAGGTTAATATTGTTATGTGTGAATCTGATACTGCCATTATGATGTTAGCTGGTTATTTTGCTCGTTAGTTGATGCAGTTTCTTCCTAGCATCGATGGTCTTTTCAATTTGGCATGTTTTTGCAGTGGCTGTACCAGTTGTTCCTTTCCACATTTAGTGCTTCCTTCAGGAGCTCTTGTAGGGCAGGTCTGGTGGTGGCAAAATCTCTCAGCATTGGCTTGTCTGTAAAGGATTTATTTCTCCTTCACTTATGAAGCTTAGTTTGGCTGGATATGAAATTCTGGGTTGAAAATTCTTTTCTTTAACAATGTTGAATATTGGCCCCCACTCTCTTCTGGCTTGTGGAGTTTCTGCCGAGAGATCAGCTGTTAGTCTGATGGGCTTCCCTTTGTAGGTAACCCGACTTTTCTTTCTGGTTGCCCTTAACATTTTTTCCTTCATTTCAACTTTGGTGAATCTGACAATTATGTGTCTTGGAGTTGCTCTTCTCAAGGAGTATCTTTGTGGTGTTCTCTGTATTTCCTGAATGTGAATGTTGGCCTGCCTTGCTAGGTTGGGGAAGTTCTCCTGGATAATATCCTGCAGAGTGTTTTCCAACTTGGTTCCATTCGCCCCCTCACTTTCAGGTACACCAATCAGACGTGGATTTGGTCTTTTCACATAGTCCCATATTTCTTGGAGGCTTTGTTTGTTTCTTTTTATTCTTTTTTCTCTAAACTTCTCTTCTTGCTTCATATCATTCATTTGATCTTCAATCACTGATACCCTTTCTTCCAGTTGATGGAATTGGCTACTGAAGCTTGTGCATTCGTCGCGTAGTTCTCATGCCATGGTTTTCAGCTCCATCAGGTCATTTAAGGACTTCTCTGCATTGGTTATTCTAGCTAGCCATTCGTCTAATCTTTTTTCAAGGTTTTTAACTTCTTTGTGATGGGTTCTAACTTCCTCCTTTAGCTCAGAAAAGTTTGATCGTCTGAAGCCTTCTTCTCTCAACTCGTCAAAGTCATTCTCCGTCCAGCTTTGTTCCATTGCTGGTGAGGAGCTTCGTTCCTTTGGAGGAGGAGAGGCACTCTGATTTTTAGAATTTTCAGTTTTTCTGCTCTGTTTTTTCCCCATCTTTGTGGTTTTATCTACCTCTGGTCTTTGATGATGGTGACGTACAGATGGGGTTTTGGTGTGGATGTCCTTTCTGTTTGTTAGTTTTCCTTCTAATAGTCAGGACCCTCAGCTGCAGGTCTGTTGGAGTTTGCTGGAGGTCCACTCCAGAACCTGTTTGCCTGGGTATCAGCAGCAGAGGCTGCAGAACAGCGAATATTGCTGAACAGCGAATGTTGCTGCCTGATCTTTCCTCTGGAAGTTTCGTCTCAGAGGGGTACCCAGCCGTGTGAGGTGTCAGTCTGCCCCTACTTCGGGGGTGCCTTCCAGTTAGGCTACTCAGAGGTCAGGGACCCACTTGAGAAAGCAGTCTGTCTGTTCTCAGATCTCAAACTCCGTGCTGGGAGAACCACTACTCTCTTCAAAGCTGTCAGACTGGGACATTTAAGTCTGCAGAGGTTTGTGCTGCCTTTTGTTCAGCTATGCCCTGTCCCCAGAGGTGGAGTCTACAGAGGCAGGCAGGCCTCGTTGAGCTGCAGTGGGCTCCACCCAGTTTGAGCTTCCTGGCCGCTTTGTTTACCTACTCAAGCCTGAGCAATGGCGGGCGCCCCTCCCCCAGCCTCACTGCCGCCTTGCAGTTTGATCTCAGACTGCTGTGCTAGCAATGAGCGAGGCTCCGTGGGCGTGGGACCCTCCGAGCCAGGCGTGGGATATAATCTCCTGGTGTTCCATTTGCTAAGACCATTGGAAAAGCGCAGTATTAGGGTGGGAGTGACCTGATTTTCCAGGTGCCATCTGTGACAGCTTTGCTTGTCTAGGAAAGGGAATTCCCTGACCCCTTGCACTTCCCGGGTGAGGTGATGCCTCACCATGCTTCGGCTCATGCTCGGTGCGCTGCACCCACTGTCCTGCACCCACTGTCTGACAAGCCCCAGTGAGATGAACCCGGTACCTCAGTTGGAAATGCAGAAATCACCTGTCTTCTGCATCGCTCACGCTGGGAGCTGTAGACTGGAGCTGTTCCTATTCGGCCAACTTGGAACTGCCCCACCGATTTGATTTCAATGATATTTGCACTGATGCTACATTTTCTGAGAATTCATTAAGTTGTACAGTTATGTTGTAATTTCTAGAGGTATGCAATACTTCAATAAGAAACTTTGAAATATTTTGACTTTGTCTTATTGGCTTTGCTTTGTAGTAGGTTTTGCAGTGTCACTGTAAAGTGGCTACTTGGAATACATTTGATGTTAAAAAGCTGTTACTTTATAACAAAACATCAACAAGCAGGAACTGAGCACATGGGCATGTAGTTTTATATACCTGCACCATTTAGATTAGTCTGACCATTATGATTCACTCAGTACAAATTTAACATTAAATTAAAATCAGTGGTACTTATCCTAGAGGCCTGATTATAATCAGCAAAATAATTCATGCTAAAAGCTGCAAGATTGCAAGGTAAGCATTAATATTTCACAAGAAACCATGGAGAATACTATCCAAGGAGTCACCATGACTAGTTAGGCAGAGGACACATAGAAACAGAAGGAAGAAAACTTTCCAAATATCAAGAAATAAAAACAAAACGATGATAAAGCTGGCTTTTTCAAAGGGCTTCTCAGTGGTGTACTGGGTTGGCCCCAGAGGGACTTTGGCAAATCTAGTCCTCAAAAGTAAAATGAGAGAAAATGACCATTGATGAAGGGCATAAAATTGCATTTTGTATGGAAATATTCATAACTGTCCTCTGTTCAGGCCCTATTATGTTCCATTTCAGTGTTGCGGATACCTTGTTTCATTCATTCATACCACCATTTTATAACTGCAGAAACTAAGGCTTGGCAAGTTAAACTACTTGGTTCAGGAACCCCAGCAGGCCAGAGAAGGGTGATAAGTCAGACTCAGGATGTTCTGACTGGCTTCAGCAAACTGCACAGAAACACATGGGCTCCATGCTGCTCCTATGGGTCCTGATTACAATCTGCCTCCCTGAGGTGGCTGCTTCCACCTTCTCCCCACGGGGTGGCCACCCTCCAAGATAGCCCCCAAGGATCCCTCTGTGTGGCCCCCTCCACTTTGTACTAGGGTTAGTCTGTATGACCGATGGATTATAGCCTATGTGATGGGATGTCACTTCCGAGATTACTCCATGACACACTGTGGCTTCCACCATAAGCTGTCGCTTTATCTCTCCCTCATCACTCACTCTGAGGGAAGTCAACTGATGCTTTACAAGGTTGCCCAGGCAGCCAGGGAAGAGGCTGTGGTGAGGCTCTGAGGTCTCCTGCTGACCGCCAGTGAAGAATTGAGGCCACCAGCAGCCCTGCGAGTGGGGATGGAAGAAGGTCCTGCAGCCCCAGCTAGACTGTAGCCTCGAGAAGGACCCTGAGCCAGTTACACCACGCTTGGATTTATGAGCCTCAGAAATGGTGTAAGAAATATATGATGGTTATCTTAGGCTGCTAAATTTTGGGATGATTTTTGTATGCGGCAATAGATGACTAGTACACCACAATATCAGACTTCGACTAAACATTCCTGATTTAAAAAAAAAAAAAAAGAACTGCAATGGAATGACATACAAATGCACCAGAATGGCTAAAGTTAAAAAGACTGACAACACTAAACATCAAAGATGATGGAGCAAGCAGGACTCTCGTATGTTGTTACAGTGGGAGTATAAAACAATATGAACACAATTGAAAAGGTCTAGCAGTTTCTGTAATACTCAACATACATCTGCCTATGACCTAGCTACATCTACCTGGGATCCAGAGAGTTCACTCATAGGTGTTTACCCAAGAAAAGCAAAGCCACATCTCCATAAAAAGACTTCTACAGAAATGTCTGTAGTAGCTTTACTGATAGTAGCCAAAGCCAGAAACCACCCAGATACCCATTAAATAGTGATGGATAAAAAAACAAACTGTGGTATAGCCACACAATGAAACACTACTTAGCACACTTCATTCTTTCTTCAAAAGAAATGAACTGCTAATATACTCAACATAGATGAATTTCAGAAATGTGCTTGGTGGAAAAACCAGACACAAACCTTGCACACTGTACACTTTCATTTATACGAGGTTATGGAACAAGCAAAATCAATCTAGGAATGCAAAAAAAAATTGAGAACAATGGTTGCTGAGGGGTGGGCTGAGGTGGGGAGGGGTTTTGACCAAGAAAAGAAGTGAGGAAACTTTTTGAAAGGAAGGTAGTGTTTGATTTTTTTATTACAGTTTCAGACACAAGGTGTGTCTATTCGTCAATACCTATTAATGGCATACCTAAGGCTTGTGCATTTCATTGCACATAGATTTTACCATAAAGAACCAAAAACATATTGCACTCCAGTTAATAATAGCCAGGCGGAAACATTTAAGGTGAAATGTAAGCTACGTATCTACAACTTACCTTGAAATATACAAAAAATTAGATGAATTGATGGATTCATGGAAGAATGGGTAGATGGATAGGTACATATATGTGACAAAGAAAGTAGGGTAAAATGTTAATTGTAGAATCTAGGTGGTGGGTACATGGTGTTCATT
The DNA here is from genome assembly GCF_000001405.40 of Homo sapiens. NCBI lineage: Eukaryota > Metazoa > Chordata > Mammalia > Primates > Hominidae > Homo > Homo sapiens. The sequence continues at coordinate 3,799,117 of NW_011332701.1, forward strand.
GAGCAATTCTTTCATCTTTTGCATGTTTGAAAAATTTAATAGTATACTAGTGGGGAAAATATTTGAGAGTGGTGGGTTCTGTGTGTGCATGGAACTATCTGTAACTTGGAGGAGCTAGAAAAATCCATTTGGACAATGTGTTCATGGACTCAGAAAATCAGAATATAATTTTTTTTGAGGCAGGGTCTCACTGTGTTGCCCAAGTTGGATTGCAGTGGTGCAATCATAGCTCACTGCAGCCTTGACCTCCTGGGTTCAAATGATTCTCCTGCCTCAGCCTCCTCAGTTGCCAGGACTACAGGTGTGTGCCACCATACCTGGTTAATTTTTGTATTTTTAGTAAAGACAGGGTTGTACTATATTGCCCAGGCTGGGCTCCAACTCCTCGCCTCAAGTGATTCTCCTGCCTTGGCCTCCCAAAGTGCTGGAATTACAGGTGTGAGCCACTGCACCCGGCCTATATTTGTTTTTTTTTTGTTTTGTTTTTTTGTTTTTATGGTTTCTTTTTTACACCTTAAAGATTACTTTATTGTTAAAAAAAAAAAGTGCTAACAATCATCTGAGCCCTCAGCAAGTTGTAATCTTGCTAATGGGGGGTCTCTCCTCCACGTTGATGGCATCTGATTGATCAGGCTGGTAGTTGCTGAAGGTTAGGGTGGCTATGGCAACTTCTTTTATTATTATTATTATACTTTTAAGTTTTAGGGTACATGTGCACAATGTGCAGGTTTGTTACACATGTATGCATGTGCCATGCTGGTGTGCTGCACCCATTAACTCGTCATTTAGCATTAGGTATATCTCCTAATGCTATCCCTCCCCCCTCCCCCCACCCCACAACAGTCCCCGGAGTGTGATGTTCCCCTTCCTGTGTCCATGTGTTCTCATTGTTCAATTCCCACCTATGAGTGAGAACATGCAGTGTTTGGTTTTTTGTCCTTGAGATAGTTTGCTGAGAATGATGGTTTCCAGTTTCATCCATGTCCCTACAAAGGACATGAACTCACCATTTTTTATGGCTGCATAGTATTCCATGGTGTATATGTACCACATTTTCTTAATCCAGTCTATGGTTGTTGGACATTTGGGTTGGTTCCAAGTCTTTGCTATTGTGAATAGTGCTGCAATAAACATACGTGTGCATGTGTCTTTATAGCAGCATGATTTATAATCCTTTGGGTATGTACCCAGTAATGGGATGGCTGGGTCAAATGATATTTCTAGTTCTAGATCCCTGAGGAATCGCCACACTGACTTCCACAATGGTTGAACTAGTTTACACTCCCACCAACAGTGTAAAAGTGTTCCTACTTTTCCACATCCTCTCCAGCACCTGTTGTTTCCTGACTTTTTAATGATCGCCATTCTAAGTGGTGTGAGATGGTATCTCATTGTGGTTTCGATTTGCATTTCTCTGATGGTCAGTGATGATGAGCATTTTTTCATGTGTTTTTTGGCTGCATAAATGTCTTCTTTTGAGAAGTGTCTGTTCATATCCTTCACCCACTTGTTGATGGGGTTGTTTGTTTTTTTTCTTTTAAATTTGTTTGAGTTCATTGTAGATTCTGGATACTAGCCCTTTGTCAGATGAGTAGGTTGCAAAAATTTTCTCCCATTTTGTAGGCTGCCTGTTCACTCTGATGGTAGTTTCTTTTGCTGTGCAGAAGCTCTTTAGCTTAATTAGATCCCATTTGTCAATGTTGGCTTTTGTTGCCATTGCTTTTGGTGTTTTAGACATGAAGTCCTTGCCCGTGCCTATGTCCTGAATGGTATTGCCTAGGTTTTCTTCTAGGGTTTTTATGGTTTTAGGTCTAATGTTTAAGTCTTTAGTCTATCTTGAATTAATTTTTGTAAAGGGTGTAAAGAAGGGATCCAGTTTCAGCTTTCTACATATGGCCAGCCAGTTTTCCCAGCACCATTTATTAAATAGGGAATCCTTTCCCCATTGCTTGTTTCTGTCAGGTTTGTCGAAGATCAGATGGTTGTAGATATGTGGCATTATTTCTGAGGGCTCTCTTCTGTTCCATTGATCTATATCTCTGTTTTGGTACCAGTACCATGCTGTTTTGGTTACTGTAGCCTTGTAGTATAGTTTGAAGTCAGGTAGGGTGATGCCTCCAGCTTTGTTCTTTTGGCTTAGGATTGACTTGGCAATGCGGGCTCTTTTTTGGTTCCATATCAACTTTAAAGTAGTTTTTTCCAATTCTGTGAAGAAAGTCATTGGTAGCTTGATGGGGATGGCATTGAATCTATAAATTACCTTGGGCAGTATGGCCATTTTCACGATATTGATTCTTCCTACCCATGAGCATGGAATGTTCTTCCATTTGTTTGTATCCTCTTTAATTTCATTGAGCAGTGGTTTGTAGTTCTCCTTGAAGAGGTCCTTCACATCCCTTGTAAGTTGGATTCCTAAGTATTTATTCTCTTTGAAGCAATTGTGAATGGGAGTTCACTCATGATTTGGCTCTCTGTTTGTCTGTTATTGGTGCATAAGAATGCTTGTGATTTTTACACATTGATTTTGTATCCTGAGACTTTGTTGAAGTTGCTTATCAGCTTAAGGAGATTTTGGGCTGAGACAATGGGGTTTTCTAGATATACAATCATGTCATCTGCAAACAGGGACAATTTGACTTCCTCTTTTCCTAATTGAATACCCTTTATTTCCTTCTCCTGCCTAATTGCCCTGGCCAGAACTTCCAACACTATGTTGAATCGGAGTGGTGAGAGAGGGCATCCCTGTCTTATGCCAGTTTTCAAAGGGAATGCTTCCAGTTTTTGCCCATTCAGTATGATATTGGCTGTGGGTTTGTCATAGATAGCTCTTAATATTTTGAGATATGTCCAATCAATACCTAATTTATTGAGAGTTTTTAGCATCAAGGGTTGTTGAATTTTGTCAAAGGCCTTTTCTGCATCCATTGAGATAATCATGTGGTTTTTGTCATTGGTTCTGTTTATATGCTGGATTACATCTATTGATTTGTGTACATTTAACCAGCCTTGCATCCCAGGGATGAAGCCCACTTGATCATGGTGGATAAGCTTTTTGAGGTGCTGCTGGATTCGGTCTGCCAGTATTTTATTGAGGATTTTTGCATCAATGTTCATCAAGGATATTCAGCTAAAATTCTCTTTTTTGTGTGTGTCTCTGCCAGGCTTTGGTATCAGGATGATGCTGGCCTCATAAAATGAGTTAGGGAGGATTCCCTCTTTTTCTATTGATTGGAATAGTTTCAGAAGGAATGGTACCAGCTCCTCCTTTTACCTCTGGTAGAATTCGGCTGTGAATCCATCTGGTCCTGGACGTTTTTGGTTGGTAAGCTATTGATTATTGCTAAAATTTCAGAGCTCGTTATTGGTCTATTCAGAGATTCAACTTCTTCCTGGTTTAGTCTTGGGAGGGTGTATGTGTCCAGGAATTTATCCATTTCTTCTAGATTTTCTAGTTTATTTGTGTAGAAGTGTTTGTAGTATTCTCTGATGGTAGTTTGTATTTCTGTGGGATCAGTGGTGATATCCCCTTTATCATTTTTTATTGTGTCTATTTGATTCTTCTCTCTTTCTTCTTTATTAGTCTTGCTAGCAGTCTATCAATTTTGTTGATCCTTTCAAAAAACCAGCTCCTGGATTCATTAATTTTTTGAAGGGTTTTTTGTGTCTCTATTTCCTTCAGTTCTGCTCTGATTTTAGTTATTTCTTGCCTTCTGCTAGCTTTTGAATGTGTTTGCTCTTGCTTTTCTAGTTCTTTTAACTGTGACGTTAGGGTGTCGATTTTGGATCTTTCCTGCTTTCTCTTGTGGGCATTTAGTGCTATAAATTTCCCTCCACACACCGCTTTGAATGTGTCCCAGAGATTCTGGTATGTTGTGTCTTTGTTCTCGTTGGTTTCAAAGAACATCTTTATTTCTGCCTTCATTTCGTGATGTACCCAGTAGTCATTCAGGAGCAGGTTGTTCAGTTTCCATGTAGTTGAGTGGTTTTCAGTGAGTTTCTTAGTCCTGAGTTCTAGTTTGATTGCACTGTGGTCTGAGAGACAGTTTGTTATAATTTCTGTTCTTTTACATTTGCTGAGGAGTGCTTTACTTCCAACTATGTGGTCAATTTTGGAATAGGTGTGGTGCTGAAAAAAATGTATATTCTGTTGATTTGGGGTGGAGAGTTCTGTAGATGTCTATTAGGTCTGCCTGCTGCAGAGCTGAGTTCATTTCCTGGGTATCCTTGTTAACTTTCTGTGTCGTTGATCTGTCTAACATTGACAGTGGGGTGTTAAAGTCTCCCATTATTAATGTGTGGGAGTCTAAGTCTCTTTGTAGGTCACTCAGGACTTGCTTTATGAATCTTGGTGCTCCTGTATTGGGTGCATATATATTTAGGATAGTTAGCTCTTCTTGTTGAATTGATCCCTTTACCATTATGTAATGGCCTTCTTTGTCTCTTTTGATCTTTGCTGGTTTAAAGTCTGTTTTATCAGAGACTAGGATTGCAACCCCTGCCTTTTTTTGTTTTCCATTTGCTTGGTAGATCTTCCTCCATCCCTTTATTTTGAGCCTATGTGTGTCTCTGCACATGAGATGGGTTTCCTGAATACAGCACACTGATGGGTCTTGACTCTTTATCCAATTTGCCAGTCTGTGTCTTTTAATTGGAGCATTTAGCCCACTGACATTTAAAGTTAATATTGTTATGTGTGTATTTGGTCCTGTCATTATGATGTTAGCTGGTTATTTTGATCGTTAGTTGATGCAGTTTTCTTCCTAGCCTTGATGGTCTTTACATTTTGGCATGTTTTTGCAGTGGCTGGTACCAGTTGTTCCTTTCCATGTTAAGTTCTTCCTTTAAGAGCTCTTTTAGGGCAGACCTGGTGGTGACAAAATCTCTCAGCATTTGCTTGTCTGTAAAGTATTTTATTTCTCCTTCACTTATGAAGCTTAGTTTGGCTGGATATGAAATTCTGGGTTGAAAATTCTTTTCTTTAAGAATGTTGAATATTGGCCCCAACTCTCTTCTGGCTTGTAGAGTTTCTGCCGTGAGATCAGCTGTTAGTCTGATGGGTTTCCCTTTGTGGGTTACCCGACCTTTCTCTCTGTCTGCGCTTAACATTTTTTCCTGCATTTCAACTTTGGTGAATCTGATAATTATGTGTCTTGGAGCTGCTCTTCTCGAGGAGTATCTTTGTGGCGTTCTCTGTATTTCCTGAATCTGAATGTTTGCCTGCCTTGCTAGATTGGGGAAGTTCTCCTGGAAAATATCCTGCAGAGTGTTTTCCAACTTGGTTCCATTCTCCCCATCACTTTCAGGTACACCAATCAGACGTAAATTTGGTCTTTTCACATAGTCCCATATTTCTTGGAGGCTTTGTTCATTTCTTTTTATTCTTTTTTCTCTAATCTTCCCTTCTCGCTTCATTTCATTCATTTCATCTTCCATCACTGATACCCTTTCTTCCAGTTGATTGCATCGGCTCCTGAGGCTTCTGCATTCTTCACGTAATTCTTGAGCCTTGGCTTTCAGCTCCATCAGCTCCTTTAAGGACTTCTCTGCGTTGATTATTCTAGTTATCCATTCATCTAGTTTTTTTTCAAAGTTTTTAACTTCTTTGCCATTGGTTTGAATTTCCTCCTGTATCTCAGAGTAGTTTGATCGTCTGAAGCCTTCTTCTCTCAGCTCGTCAAAGTCATTCTCCGTCCAGCTTTGTTCCGTTGCTGGTGAGAAGGTGCGTTCCTTTGGAGGAGGAGAGGTGCTCTGCTTTTTAGTGTTTCCAGTTTTTCTGCTCTGTTTTTTCCCCATCTTTGTGGCTTTATCTACTTTTGGTCTTTGATGATGGTGACGTACAGAAGGGTTTTTGGTGTGGATGTCCTTTCTGTTTGTTAGTTTTCCTTCTAACAGACAGGACCCTCAGCTGCAGGTCTGTTGGAGTTTGCTAGAGGTCCACTCCAGACTCTGTTTGCCTCAGTATCAGCAGCGGTGGCTGCAGAACAGCGGTGCCTGTAGAACAGCGGTGGCTGTAGAACAGCAGATCTTGGTGAACCACAGATGCTGCTGCCTGATCTTTCCTCTGGAAGTTTTGTCTCAGAGGAGTACCTGGCCGTGTGAGGTGTCAGTCTGCCCCCACTTGGGGGTGCCTCCCAGTTAGGCTGCTCGGGGGTCAAGGACCCACTTGAGGAGGCAGTCTGCCCGTTCTCAGATCTCCAGCTGTGTGCTGGGAGAACCACTACTCTCTTCAAAGCTGTCAGACAGGGACATTTAAGTTTGCAGAGGTTACTGCTGTCTTTTTGTTTGTCTGTGCCCTGCCCCCAGAGGTGGAGCCTACAGAGGCAGGCAGGCCTCCTTGAGCTGTGGTGGGCTCCACCCAGTTCGAGCTTCCCGGCTGCTTTGTTTGCCTAATCAAGCCTGGGCAATGGCAGGCGCCCCTCCCCCAGCCTCACTGCCACCTTGCAGTTTGATCTCAGACTGCTGTGCTAGCAATCAGGGAGACTCCGTGGGCGTAGGACCCTCCGAGCCAGATGCGGGATATAATCTCCTGGTGTGCCGTTTTTTAAGCCCGTTGGAAAAGCACAGTATTCAGGTTGGAGTGAACCGATTTTCCAGGTGCCGTCTGTCACCCCTTTCTTTGACTAGGAAAGGGAATTCCCTGACCCCTTGAGCTTCCCGAGTGAGGCAATGCCTTGCCCTGCTTCGGCCCACGCACAGTGCGCTGCACCCACTGTCCTGCACCCACTGTGTGGCACTCCCTAGTGAGATGAGCCTGGTACCTCAGATGGAAATGCAGAAATCACCCGTCTTCTGTGTTGCTCACGCTGGAAGCTGTAGACCAGAGCTGTTCGTATTTGGCCATCTTGGCTCCACCCCCCTGTATTTGTTTTAAACCAATTTTGATCTCTATCTTGGAGGGAGATCCAGTTCATTAGAGATCATTCCTATGGATGCCTCTCCAACTTCTACACTAGATATTCATTTCTCACCTTAGACCTTTCAGATGATCCTCTGCAGTGAATTCTTATAATGTTATGCTTTCTTGGTACCTATTTTGAATGTATGTTGGACTTTCTCATACCAGAAGCAGGGCTTAGTCATCCTTGAAAGTTTCCAGGTCTCCACCTCTTCCCAGGCCCTCAAAATGGTCGATCCAGAGATGTGCCTTATATAGCTGCCTCCTGGTGACCAAGTCCCTAAGGGACAGCTAGATGCAACCTACTTGACCCACCCTGCAGACCCTCACACCCAGCATGGACTGCTCAGATATGCTGCCATGACCACCCTTCACTCACAGCATGGCCTCCTGTAACTTGTGCCTACCTGCTCTAACCCAACGAATTACAACTCCTTGTGGGGAACCTGCTGGGGTGATGGCCTGGACCCCATAAAGGCTTCAGCCCTCAGAGCCCACACTCCATCTATCTTGCTCCCCACCCGCTAGCGAGCACACAGGTCCTGACGGCTCCCCTAGTCCAGCGTGCTGCCCTCTTCTCTCCGGACCTGCGAGGAACTCACTGCTTCTGGTATTTCATAGGTTTTGTTGAGTGGCCTCCTCTGTGTCTCACTCGACCGACACACCTGAACCTAACTTCTTTCCAAATTCAGAACTGTCCTAAAGAGTGGCTATCTTGGTAGGCTAAATAAATAAATACACCAGACACAGACAAGAGACTCAAGGGTGTCTAAGAGGGTAAACAAGTCTCCCAGGAGAGACCTGGGCACAGGTCAGACACAGGGATTCTGCCATCCACCAGGATAAAGAAGTACCCCGTGAAGGCACATCATAAACATGCACAACCACCTCCCCTGGAGCCCCGTCAGGGCAGGGCTGGACTTCACAGCCACTCTACAGAGAGAGGGAGACCTCAAAAGCAAACTAAAAAGAGAAAAATGCAACCCCCTCTCTCTGCCACTGCTGACAAAAGCCAGTCTATGGCAGTTTAAACACAGCAAGCAAACCAGCCATGACCTCGCGTTGGGTGTCTCCTCTTCCACGACGTTTCTCTACACACACTCTTCCCAGGGCACCTGGACCTACTCCCTGCCTTTACACAGCATACATGTCCCTGCCAGCAAGCCACAGCACGTGCTCTGTGTTCTGCCGGGATGTTCTCCACCCGTCTCCACCCACCATGCCTCTGTCTGTCAAGGCCTTCCTTCACGGAGCTCTGTGCATGCTCATGGCCGGAGTTCCCTCCTTATCCCTCAAGGCCTCCCTTCCTACAGGCTTCTCCCGGCACAGTGCCCATCTGCCCTGTATACAGCAGGCAATGTTCCTGCAGGTCTGCACCAGGGCATGAGTGCCGATGACAGCGATGGAGTCCCGTTCCCCTGTGCTTCACAGAGCAGGGGCTGCCCCACACAGAAACCGCCCAAGGCTTCCCCAGTGTCCTCGCCTCAGTCTGGGGCCCTTTTTTCCTGAAGGTTTCTATCGGGCTCTGACTGAAACCTTTAACCAAAGGGAGTGTGAAGCAGGACAGAAGGACAGCAAGCTTTCCTCAAGGTTGGGACCCTGGGGACGCAGACAGGACTCTTCCCACCTTCTGGAACCTGCCTCTGGCACCCAACCATTCCCAGTCTTACTGGATGTGACAGGAAGGAAATCAGCTCTAACTTCAGTTCCACCTTAAACTCCAAAGACACCATCAGCAAGTCCTAGGTCCTTAGTGGTTCTTGGTTTCTGCCTTCTAAAGCAAGGGGTTTGAGCCCCTCCAAGTCTGTGACTGAAGCTTTTAAACCCCAAGCAAAGCTCCATTCATAGTCCTTCTTGGCAAGTTTTGACCCACTGCTAGTCCTTCCCTATCTAGAAAGACTCTCCTTTGTTTTGACCCCAAGTAGCCCCCATTTCCTCTTAGGAAAACCTGGTACTAAATACGGCACTACCTTGGTGCTCCTGGGACCTACAGGTCACCTTGCTCACTGCCCTCAATTTTACAGATGAGAAAACAGAGCAAGAAGATCAAGAAACTTGTTGAAGATTGCACAGTAAATTAGTAAGACCTAGGGCTAGCGGAGCAAATAATATTTCCTGCCTGAAAACACAAAGACCTCCCATCCAAGCATCCTTCCCAGCAGCCAATGGAACCAGGCGGGGAGAGACCTGGGGGCAGAGAGCCCCGACACTGCCTTGCCGCTGCACTGAGGATGGCACCTGGTGCTTCCAGGGAGGGTGTATGAAGGCGCTAACTCCAACCTGGATGTTTTAGAAAGCAGACAGTGGGGCATGTACTACAACTCTCTTATTCAACATAAAAGAATGCAAATGATAAAATTCTAAGATGCCTAAGTGGGGTTTGAAAAAGTCGATGTAACTGGAGGTTAAATGTGACATGTGAAACCCACAAGCAAGTGAAGATCTGAAAACTGTCTTGTTAATTCACTTCAGGCTGCCCAGTTTTTGTAGGGACAGCTGTGGCTACAAACGGGGGCCATGTGGGAAGGGCACTCTCCCTGCACTGTCACCTGCATGCCCAGGATTGGCAAGGAGAGCCACTGCCCCCCACTTGCCAGCTGGTCTCCGGCAGCATGAAAACAGGGGGCGTGGCAGTTCCTGCCATAAAGAGGAAAATGATACACCTTATCCCAGACGCCAGGTGCTGTCTGCATCAGTCCTTTTAAAAATTTAATCGCTTTATACAATTGACACCAAATAAAATGCACATATTTAAGTTTATAATTTGAGAAGCTGACACGTGTCCATACAGACACACCTCATTTTACTGTGCTTTACTGTATTGCCCTTTGAAGATACTGCATTTTCTTTTTACAAATTAAAGGTTTGTGGCAACCCTGTGCTGAGCAAGTTTATTGGCATCATTTTTCAAACAGCATGCACTCACTGTGCATCTCTGTGTCACATTTTGGGAATTCTCACAGTATTTCAAACTTTTCCATTAGGATTATATCTGTTATAGTGATCTGTGCTCAGTGATCTTTGATGTTACTGTTGTAATTACAACAGTTCTGGTTCTGGGGCACCACGAACCACACCCACACATACCGATGAACTTAATAAACGTTGTGTGTGTTCTGACTGCTCCACTGACCAGTGATTCTCCTGTCTCCCTCTCCTCAGGCCTCCCTATTCCCTGAGACACAACATATTAAAGTTAGGCTATTAACAACCCTAAAATGTCAAGTTGTTCAAATGGAAAAAAAAAAGAATTTCATGTTTCACTTTAAATCAAAAGCTAGGAATGGTTAAGCTTAGTGAGGAAGGCATTTTAAAAGCTAAGATGGGCCAAAAGCTAGGCCTCTTACACTAAACAGTTAACTAACTTTTGAATGCAAAGGAATAATTATTGAAAGAAATTAGTAGTGCTACTCCAGTGAATACACAAATGATAAGAAAGTGAAACAGTCTTATTGCCGATACGGAGAAAGTTTCAGTGGTCTGTGGTCTGGATAGATCAAACCAGTTACAATATTCCCTTAAGCCAAAGCCTAATCCAGAGCAAGACCCTAACTCTCTTCAATTCTACGGAGGCTAAGAGAGGTGAGGAAGCTACAGAAGAAAAGTTAGAAGCTAGCAGAGGCTGGTTCATGAGGTTTAAGGAAAAAAGCCATCTTCAATAACATAAAAGTTTCATGTTATTGCACTGGGGAAGTGGCAAGTGCTGATGGAGAAGCTGCAGCAAGATCTCTAGATCTTAGAAGATCTAGCTAACATCGCTGATTAAGGTGGCTACACTATACAACAGATGTTCAATGTAGACAACACAGCCCTCTATTGGAAGAAGATGTTATCTAGGCTAGATGAGAATAAGTCTCTGCCTGGCTTCAAAGCTTCTACAGACAGGGACAATTGTAGCTGGTGACTTTAAGTTGAAACCAATGCTCATTTATCATTCTGAAAGTTCTAGTGCCCTTAAGAATGACACTAAATCTACTCTTCCTGTGCTCTATAGGAACAAAGAAGCCTGGGCACAGCACATCTGTTGATACCTTGGTTTACTGAATATTTTAAGCTCATTGCTGAGACATGCTGCTCAGAAAGAAAGATTTCTTTCAAAATATTACTGCTCATTTGACAATGCACCTAGTTACCCAAGAGCTCTGATGAAGATGTACAAGATCAATGTTTTCACGTCTGCTAATACAACATCCATTCTGTACTCCACGGATCAAGGAGCAATTTTGACTTGCAACTCTTATTACTTAAGAAATACATTTTATAAGGCTATAACTGCCATAGATAGTGATTCCTCTGATAGATCTGGGCAAAGTACATTGAAAACCTTCTGGAAAGGATTCACAACTCTAGAAGTCAATAAGAACATCTGTGATTCATGGGAGGTGGTCAAATTATCAACATTAACAGGAGTTTGTAAGAAATGGATTCCAACTCTCATGGATGACTTTGTGGGGTCCAAGACTTCAGTGGAAGAATTAACTGCAGATGTGGTGGAAGAGAACTGGAATTAGAAGTGGAGTCTGAAGATGTGACTAAATTGCTACAATCTCAAGTTGGGGAGTTGCTTCTTATGGATGAGCAAGGAAAGTGGTTTCTTGAGATGGAATCTGCTCCTGGTAAAGATGCTGTGAACACTGCTGAAATGACAAAAAGGATTTAGAAATTACAAAATGCATTTGATAAAGCAGCAGCAAGGTTTCAGAGGACTGACTTCAATTTTGAAAGAAGTTCCACTGTGGGTAAAATGCTATCAAATAGCATCACACATGCTACAGAGAAATCTTTCATGAGAGGAAGAGTCAATTAAATGCATCAAACTTCACGATTGTCTTATTTTAAGAAATTGTCACAGCCACCCCAACCTTCAGCAATCACCACCCTGATCAGTTAGCAGCCATAAACATTGAGGCAAGACCCTCCACCAGCAAAAAGATTATGACTCACTGAAGGCTCAGATGATTGTTAGCATTTTTGGCAATAAAGTATTTTTTCAAATTAAGTTATGTACATTTTTTAGATATAATGCTATTGAACACTTAGTAGACTACAGAATAGTATAAAGATAACTTTTTTTTTTTTTTTTTTTGAGACAGGGTCTTGCTCTGTCACCCAGACTGGAGTAGAGTGGCGTGATTTCCACTCACTGCAACCTCTGTCTCCTCGACTCAAGCAATCCTCCCACCTCAGCCTCCCCAGTAGCTGGGACGACAGGCATGCACCACCAAACCAGGCTGATTTTTGTAGGTTTTTGTTTTTTTTTTTTTCAATAGAGACGAGGTCTCACCATGCTGCCCAAGCTGGTCTGGAACTCTGGGCTCAAGCTATCCGTCCTCCTTGGCTCTCAAAGTGCTGGGACTACAGGTGTGAGCCACTGTGCTTAGCCAACATAATTTCTATATGCACTAGAAAACCAAAAAATTCATGTGACTTGCTTTATTGCTATATTTATTGCAGTGGTCTGGAACTGAATCTGCAATACCTCTGAGGTCTGTTATCACTGCAAGATACCATACATATATACCACTCTCAAAAGATTCCTCAGGCCAGGTGCGGTCGCTCACGCCTATAATCCCAGCGCTTTGGGAGGCCGAGGTAGGCAAATCATGAGGTCAGGAGATCGAGACCATCCCGGCTAACACGGTGAAACCCCATCTCTACTAAAAATACAAAAAATTAGCCAGCCATGGTGGCGGGTGCCTGTAGTCGCAGCTACTCGGGAGGCTGAGGCAGGAGAATGGCGTGAACCCGGGAGGCAGAGCTTGCAGTGAGACGAGCTCGCGCCACCGCACTCCAGCCTCTGTCTAAAAAAAAAAAAGATTCCTCAGCTGCTTTGTAATCCCCACTGCTCACTGCTGCCCTCAGCCCTGTCTGAGGCAATCACTGACCTGCATTCCATCGCTATAGATCACTATGCATTTCCTAGACTTTACATAAGTGGAATTGCACAATATGTAGTTTTTTTTTGTCTCACTTCTTTCACTTCATGTAATTATTTTGAGAGTCATCTCTGTTGTTGCACGTTATCAATAATTCACTCCTTTGGATTGAGAGCCGAGTAGCATTCCAGTGTATGTATCTACCACCATTTGTTTACCCGTTTACCTGTGATGGGTATTTAGGTTGCTTCCAGTTTTTTAGCCCTCACTAAGAATGCCAAAAACATCTGTGTACAAGCTTTGCTATGGGCAAAGGCTTTCGGTTTTCTTAAGTAAATAAATAGGAGTAAAATTTGCTGGATTGTACACTAGGTACATGTCTAATTTTGAAGAACTTGCTGAATTGTTTTCTAAAGTGGCTGCACCACTTTCCATTCAAAACCAGCAGCGTACAAATTTACCAGTTTTTCCACATCCTTGCTGAGATTTGGTATGCTCAGTATTGTTGGTTTTAGTCATTCTCATAGGTGTGTAGTGCTATCTCATTCTGGCTTTAAGTTACATTTCCCTAAGGATTAATGATGTTGAGCATCTTTTCACCTGCTTATTTGCTATCCATGTATCTTCTTTGGTGAAGTCTGTTCAAAGCTTTTGCTTATTTTTAATTGGATAGTTTTTACAAAAATAATTGAGTCATGAGAACTCTTTACATATTCTAGAAACAAGTACTTTACCAGATATATGATTTGCAGTATTTTCTTCCAACTTGCAGTTTATCTTTTCATTCTCTTAACACTATCCTCAAAAAGCAGTTTAAGTTTTTAATGAAGTCCAATTTATTAATTTTTCTTTTATGGATTGTTCATGGGGTATCATGTCTAGAAAATCTTTTCCTAAGACAAGGTTAAAAAGATTTTCTCATGAATTAATGGCATTTGAGCGACCTGGATGAGACTGGAGACTATTATTCTAAGTGAAGTAACTCAGGAATGGAAAACCAAACATCGTATGTTCTGACTTATAAGTGGCAGCTAAGCTATGAGGATGCAAAGGCAGAAGAATGACACAATGGACTTTGAGGACTCAGGGATAAAAGACTACAAATAGGGTTCAGTGTATACTGCTCGGGTGATGGGTGCACCAAAATCTCACAAATCCCCACTAAAGAACTTACTCATGTAACCAAACACCACCTGTACCCCAATAACCTACGGAAATAAAAAAAAATAATAAAAATAAAATAAAAAGATTTTCTCCTGTGTTTTTTTCTAGAAGACTTTTTTAGCTTTAGGTTTTATATTTAGGGATACCATCCATTTTAAGGTAATTTTTGCATATGAGTGAGATGTAAACCAAAGTTCATTTCTTTTGCATATGAAAATCCAATTATCCCACAATTTGTTGAAAAGATTATTTTTTGCACTGAATTACTTTTGTATGCTTATTGAAGACCAGTTGTCCACATATGTGAACTATTTCTTAACTTTCCAATTTGTTTCATTGATCTAATTCTCTACATTAAAAAAACTACTTTATTGTATATATTAAGGTATATGATATGATGTTCTGATACACTTATACATAGTGAAATGGTTATTATAGTCAAGCACATTAGCTTATTCATCATTTCACGGTTACCCCTTTGTGCATATGTGTGTGTATGTGTGTGTGTATGTGTGTGTGCCTTGAAAGCAAATTTTCTAGTACACTATGCAATATTATTAATGATAGTCTTCATGTTGAACATTTGATCAACATCACAGTTTTGATTACTGTACTCTTATGAGTTTTAATATCAGGTATTGTCAGACTTCTGATATAGTTTGGCTCTATGTCCCCACCCAAATCTCACTTTGAATTGAAATCCCCATAATCCCCACGTGTCAAGGGCATGAGTGGGTGGAGGTCATTGGATCATGGGGGCAGTTTCCCCCATCCTGTTCTTGTGAATAATGAGTGAGTCTCACGAGATGTGAAGGTTTTATAAGTGTCTGGCCTCTCCCCTGCTTGCACTCACTCCATCCTGCTGCCCTGTGAAGAAGGTGCCTGCTTCTCCTTTGTCTTCCACCATGACTGTAAGTTTCCTGAGGCCTCCCCAGTAATGTGGAACTGTGAGTCAACTAAGCCTCTTTCCTTTATAAATTACCCAGTCTTGGGTATTTCTTCATAGCAATGTGAGAACAAATATGCTTTCTAACTTTATTCCAATTTTTCAAAGTTTGTTTTGTTTATTCTCTGTCCTGGGATTTATGTATGAATTTTAAAGTCAACTTGTTAATTTCTACATAAAAAGCTGGCTTGGATTGTTATTGAGATTATACTGAATTTAAAGCAATCTAGGGAGAACCAACATCTCAACAATATTGAGTCTTTTGACCCATGGATATGGTACATTTAACCCTTTATTTAGGTTTTTCATCTCTTTAAGCAATGTTTTGAAGTTTCAGTTGTAAATTTATTCATATTTTATATTTTTGGATGCTACTGAATAAAGTATTTTTAAAATTTATTTTAAAAAATAATGCAATTATTCATTGCAATTGTAAAAATGCAATTGATTTCTCTATATTGGTTTTGTATCTTACAACACTGCTAACTTCACTTACTAGTTCCAAAAAATGCTTTTAAATTCCATTAGATATTCTACATATGTCATCATGTCACCTGTGAATAAAGATAGTTTGCTTCTTCTTTTCCAATCTGGGTGCTTTTTAATTATAATTTATTGTTTGACTGCACTGGCCAGAATGTCCAGGAAAATGTTGGATAGAAGTAGTGAAAGGGCGCATTCTTATCTCCCTCTTGATCTTTGGGGAAAAGCTTTCTTTCATCACTAGGTGTCAGGTTAGCTGTAGGCTTTTTTGTAAATACTTTATATAAGATTGAGGAAGTTTTCTTCTATTCCTAGTTTTCTGAGTGTTTTCTAAAAATCAAGGACGAATGTGGATTTTACCAAAAGCTCTTTCTGCATTTACTGAGATGATTGTATACCTTCTGTTTCTCAGTATGTTAATATGGAAAATTATGTTGACTGATTTTTGAATGTTAAACTAGTTTTGCATTCTTGGGATAAAACCCACTTGGTCATGAGGTAGTATCCTTTTTATATGCTGCCAAATTCGATTTGCTAAAATCTTTTTCAGTGTTTTCACACTTTTCTTCATGAGGAATATTTGTCTGTAGTCTTTCTTGGTTTTGTATTAGGGTAATGCTGGCGCAAAGAATGAATGAGTTGGGAAGTATAACCCCTTTTCAATTTCCTGGAAGAGCTGGTATAATTTTTTCTTTATATGTGTGGTAGAATTTACCAATGAAGCTATAGATGCTTGCAGTTATCTTTGTGAGAAAGTTTTCAACTACAACTTAGATTTCTTTAATAAATATAGACCTATTCAAATCATTTTTTTTTTTTCTTGCATAGGCTTTGGTATTTTGTACCTTTCAAATAATTTGTGAATTTCATTTAACTTGCTGCATTTATTGGCATAGAATTGTTTATAATATTCCTTTATAATCCTTTTAATATCTTGAGAATCTGTACTGAGGTCATCTCTTTCATTCTTGATATTGTTAATTTGTATCTTCTTTTTCCTCTGATTATGTGGCTATGGGTTTATCAATTTTATTGATCTCAAAGAACCCACTTTTGGTTTCACTGACTTTCTCTACTATTTTTCCATTTACTATTTCACTGTTTTTTGTTCTGGTCTTTATTATTTCATTTCTTCTGTCTGGGTTTAATTTGCTCTTTTTTTTTCTAGTTTTCAAGATAAAAATTAAGGTAACTGATTTGAGGCCCTGCTTCTTTTCTAATAGAGGTGTTTAACTTATACATTTTCTTATAGGTACTGTTTCCTTGAATCATTTTTTCCTATTGTTCATGCCTCTCCTTCAAGGATTCCAATTACACTTATTTTAGGCTGCTTACATTTTTCCACAGCTCACAGATGCTTTAATTTTTAATTATTTTTTCTTTTTTAGAGATGAGGGTCTCATTATGTAGCCCAGGCTAGCCTCAAACTCCTGGGCTCAAGCAATAATTCTGCTTCAACCTCCCAAGTAGCTGGGATTGCGGGCATGCACCACTGCACCTGGCTTTCACTGATGCCTTTAATATTTCTTTACTTCTATTTTTTTCTGTGTTTCATTTTGGATATTTTCCATTGCTATGTCTTCATGTTCACTAACCTTTCTCTTTTTTTTGTATTAAGCAATGTGCTGTTAATTCCACTGAGTTACTTTTTCATCTCAGATGTAGTCTTCATCTCTGGAAGTTCAACTCAGGCTTTAAAAAGTATCTTCCATAACTTTACTTAAACATCTGAACAGCATGTCAGTATGTACCTTATTCTATTCTATAGAGTACAGTTATAATAACTTTTAGTGCCCTTGTCTGATAATTTTAACATCTCTAGCAGTTCTGGTTTGACTTTGATTGAACAGTTTCTCCTCATTATGGGTCCTATGTTCCTGCTACTTTGCATTCCTGATAACTTCTGATTGAGTGCCAGACAGCAAGACTTTTACATTATTTGGTGCTGGACAAGTTTATATTTCTATAAATATTATTGAGCTTTGTTGTAGAATGAAGTTACATTTCTTGGAAATACTTTTGAGAGAGGAGGTAAAAAGAGACCAGCTAGGCAGATAGTTAGGGCAGAGAGTCCTTGGCAGAACTTCCCTTCTAACAAAAAGCAGCCCAGGAAATCACTCCTCTTCTAATAGAAAGCAGCCTGGAAGACCGGGCTGCAAACAGATAAGGAAGCTGGAGCTTGCACGGGGGGATGCTTGCAGCTGCACAGACAGAAAGGGGTACCTGGGGCCAGGTGTGTCCACCATGGAGGCTCCACCTCCCCCTTTGAAGCACATACACAGTAGGAAAGCAACGTGGAGTAGCTCAGGCAAAAGACCTGCCTGTATAATAAAAGGGTGGGGTGGGGGATGCCAGAGATTCATGCTCTACGCAGATGGCACACCTGGGGTTTTTCACACCCTATGTAGGTAAGATAACACCTCACCTCCCCACTAGCTAGCTTATAAAAACCCTTGCATTTCACTGCTGAATGGCAACGCTTTTGGGGATCCCTCTCTGCTGCAGAGAGCTGTTATCTTTCTTTTGCCTAATAAACTTCTGCTTCTGCTCTAACCTCACCCTTGGTGTGGCCGTGTCCTTGACTTCCTTGGCTGTGAGATCAAGAACTTTGGATCAGGCAATGAGGCCATTTCACTGTGATCCTTGTGGATCTTGCTTCTTGCTTTTAAGGTTCATTAGGTATGATCAGAGTGATTTATTTACTTTTATTTTTTTAGAGTCAGGGTCTTAGTGTTGCCTAGGCTGGAGTCAGCAGTGTGATCATAGCTCACCATAACCTCGAACTCTTGGGCTCAAGTGATCTCCTCAACTCAGCCTCCTGAGTAGC